>NC_000011.10:18810000-19435000 GCF_000001405.40 Homo sapiens
AACTCATCATTTTTTATGGCTGCATAGTATTCCATGGTGTATATGTGCCATATTTTCTTAATCCAGTCTATCATTGTTGGACATTTGGGTTGGTTCCAAGTCTTTGCTATTGTGAATAGTGCCACAATAAACATACGTGTGCATGTGTCTTTATAGCAGCATGATTTATAATCCTTTGGGTATATACCCAGTAATGGGATGGCTGGGTCAAATGGTATTTCTAGTTCTATATCCCTGAGGAATCGCCACACTGACTTCCTGTTCTTCTGATTATTAATGCTGCTGTTTGGCCCCTTCAACTCCAGAATCCTATTATTCCCCTGACACCAAAGATCCCAGCATCTCCTACTGTCACTCCAGCCTTCAGAGGACAGCTACCACTCAGCTCCTCAGCCATACTGACACCACCCTCATTGTTCATTCCTTATTATCTTGGTAATGGTTCATTTCCCTGGGCTGTTCTGAGGAGCAGAGCCTGAAGTGTGTATTGTGCAAGTGATAATTAATGGACTGTTCTCAGGAGAAACCTGTAAGAGGGTGAGGGAAGCAGAATAGGGAAGAGGCAGAGCTAAGCATGGAAATGGTTTCAGGTAAAGTCAAGTCTCATCTTGATTTTGAGTATAAACTGGGATGTGGAATCTGTCTCATCTTGAGGCAAGAAAGAAGGTCTTTGTAACTTTCCCCTAGGTCAGGCATCTCACAAATTGTGAGGTGGCTCCACTTGCCTAAGGACAATTCTCTGGGGAAAGTTGCAGGTATGAGCTATTAGCAGTGGCACCTGCACCAGGTGATAAATGGACAGATGGTACCAAATTAATAAAATAAATCAGTGGCTCTGGATGTGTCACCAACAGTGTCTGCTATATCTGGATAAGCTTCAACCCTCATTAACTCTGTACTTATCTTGCATCTGTACTCTCACAGCTGAACGTGGCTGGAGGAGGAATTTTGCTGAATAATATCACTATATAAATGATAAACAGACCCAAGTAAATCCTTAATGCTGCCCAGCAATTATGTACACTTCTCTAGTCCACTCATGTCTTGTTGTCCTAGGTGACTACTCCATGGCTATCCTTTTCCTTAAACCTGTGACACCTTCTCCATTATTCTCACTGTCAGTTGATGACCATGACTGATGACTATTTCAACAGCAACAATCAGAAGAGAAATTCCTCAAAACTCCACTTCTATTACTTACCAGCATCATTAACCATGTACTCTGCCTTCCCTTCTATTACTAAGGTCAACCACCAACTCCATGCAGTAGGAGAGTGGGCAGCTGGAGGATGGATCCCCACTCAGACAGCATTGCTGGGGGATTGGTGAGAGCAGGAGAAGAAATATTTTGACCACTCTTTCCTGCTTTCTGATCTCCTGGTGCCTCCCATTGCAGAACCAAGAAAGCCCATGTGTGTAGTTTGTGGAAGACAGCCTCCTGGGACACAGAGAAAAGCGCAAGATAATTGGTGGCGGTGGATGCAAAAGGACAACCACCAGCACAAATGTGTTCTGTAGTGATGGTTTCCAAATTCACATCTTCAGGAGAACCTCTTAATTCCAGACTCACATATCTAATTGCCTGTTGTATTAGTTTTTCTACTGCTGCATAACAAATTACCATGCATTTAGAGGCTTAAAACAACAAATATTTATTGTTCCTCCATTTCCATGGGTCAGAGGTCGGAGTATGGCTTCACTGGGTGCTCTGTTCAGGCTCCCACAAGGCTGCAATTGAGCACTTGGGTTGGGGCTGTGGGTCTCATCTGAGGCTCAGGGTTCTCTTTTAAGCTCACTGGCTGTTGACAGAATCCAGTGTTCTCCATAACATAGCACTTTGCTTTGTCAAGGCCAACAGGTGAACATCTCTGGGGTTTCCTCTCTGACAGTTAGACTGTCTTTGAAGGTCTCACCTGATTAGGTCATTCTCACCCAAGATAGGCTCCCTTTATCTCCTACTATTAGACCATTCTTGCATTGATATAAAGGAATACCTGAGACTGGGTAATTTATAAAGAAAAGAGGTTTAATTGACTCTTGGTTCTGCAGGCTGTATAAGCATGGCACCGGCATCTGCTCAGCTTCTGGTGAGAGCCTCAGGGAGCTTTTACTTATGGTGGTAGGTGAAGTGGGAGCATGTGTGTCACATTGCAATAATGGGAGAAAGAGAGAGGGGGAGAGGTGCCATGCACTTTTAAACAACCAGATCTCATGAGAACTCACTCACTGTCACAAAAACAGCACCAAGACATTCATGAGGAATTTACCCCCCATGATCCAACCACCTCCAACCAGGCCATACCTCCTCCAACACTGGGGATTATATTTTAACATGAGATTTGGAGAGGTCAAATATCCAAACCATATCACTCCCTTTAGTTGTAACTTAATTACAACAGAGAAATTCCTTAACCTTTGCCCTATAACATCACATAATCAAGGGAGTGATATCCCGTAACCTTTGTCATATTCTACTAGTTAAAAGTAACTTAAAGATTCCATCCACATATGAGGGGAGGGGATTATACAAGGGAGTGCATCATGAGGAGTCATTTTAGGATTTTGCCTGCTGTACCTGTCACCTGTTACCTACATTTATTTACGTGCTCAAACTAACTGAAATCTTGATCTCTACTTGTAAATCACCTCCTCCAACAGACTTCTCCATCTCATTCAATGGCAACATCATCCTTCTGCTTGCTTGGTCCTCACATCCCAAATACATCTTGTCTCCTCTCTTTCCCTCATCCCTTTTATCCAATCTTTAGCCCTACTTTCAACATCTAAGAAGAGTCTGATCACTTCTACTGCTACTACCATGGTAACTGGTTTCTCTCTCTCTTTTCCACTTCATTGCAGCTACTCCCTATTGGCCTCTTCTTCCATTCTCTTATATTTTCATAACACAGTAGACTGTGTCTCTGTTGAAGTGTCACTTCTCTGCTTCTAGCACTCTGGTGGCCTTCATCTCACTTAGAGTAAAGGCAAATTCCTTATGTGATTGGGTCCTGTTACCTCATAGCACTCCTTTCACACTTTTTGTCCTAATTCAGTCCACTCTAGTCACAATGGCCACCCTGCTGCTCCTAGCATGCAGTAGGCATTTGCTGTGCCCACAGATGCCCACAGGATTCAATTCCTTCCTTCACTGAATGGAAATCTTTGCTCAATATTTGCTGTTATTGGTTAGACTTCCCTGAATATCTTAGTTATATTCACAACTCTCCAACTCCCTACTCACTTTTATCTTTTTAAAAAATTAATTTAGGGCCGGGCGCAGTGGCTCACGGCTGTAATCCCAGCACTTTGGGAGGCCGAGGTGGGCAGATCACAAAGTCAGGAGATCAAGACCATCCTGACTAACACGGAGAAACCCCGTCTCTACTAAAAATACAAAAAATTAGCTTGGCGTGGTGGTGGGCGCCTGTAGTCCCAGCTACTCAGGAGGCTGAGGCAGGAGAATGGCGTGAACCCAGGAGGCAGAGCTTGCAGTGAGCCGAGATCGCGCCACTGCACTCCAGCCTGGGTGACAGAGTGAGACTCCGTTTCAAAAAAAAAAATTAATTAATTTATAATTGACAATAATTGTGTATATTCATGGGGGTATGAAGTGGTGTTTTGATCTATGTATATGTTATAGAAAGATTCAAACAAGCTAATTAACATCTCCATCATCTCACCAGTTTATCATTTTTTGTAGTGAGAATGCTAAAACATCTATTTTAGTAATTTTGAAATACACCATAAAATTATCATTAACTGTGGTCACTATGCAGTACAATAGATCACAAAAGCTTATGCCTCCAGTCCAACTGAAGCTTTGTACCCTTTGATCAATATCTTCCTTTTCCCCATGCTATCCCGTCCAACCAACAGCCTCTGCTAATCACCTTTCTACTCTGTTTCTCTGAGATTAACTTTTTTAGATTCCACATATAAGTGAGATCAGTGTGCCTGGCTTATTTTACTTAATATAATGTTCTCCAGTTCCATCCGTGTTGTTGAAAATGACAGAATCTCCTTATTTTTTAATGGCTATATAGTATTTCATTGTGTATATACACCACATTTTCTTTATACATTCATTTGTTGAGGAACTCTTAGGTTATTACATATCTTGGTTATTGTGAATAATGCTGCAATAAATATGGTTGTGTAGATATTCTTTGACATACTGATTTCAGTTCCTTTGGATATATACCTAGAAGAGGGATTGCCAGATCATAAGGTAATTCTATTTTTAGTTATTTGAGGAATCTCCATGCTATTTTGCCAAATGGTTATACTAATTTACATTCCCACCAACAGTGTACAAAGATTCTCTTTTCTCCATAACTTCGCCAACGCTTGTTTTCATTTGTCTTTTTAGTAATAGCTATTCTAACAGGTGTGAGGTGTATCTCACTGTGTTTTTATTTTGCATTTCCCTGATGATTAGTGATGTTGAGCATTTTTTCATATACCTGTTGGCCATTTGTAACTCTTCTTTTAAGAAATATCTGTTCAGGTAATTTGTCCCTTTTAAAAATCAGATTATTTGTTTTCTTGATGATTTGAGTTGTTTGAGCTCCTTGTGTATTTTGGATATTAGCCTTTTATCAGATGTATGGTTTGCAAACATTTTATCCCAATCTGTGGCTTGTCTCTTCAGTTTGTTGATTGTTTACTTTGCTGTGCAGAAAATTTTTAGTTTGATGCTATCTCATTTGCCTATTTTTGCTTTTGTTGGCTGTGCTTTCAGGAGCCTATCCAAGAAATCATGATCCAGTCATGAAGCATTTCTCTTATGTTATCTTCTAGTAGCTTTACAGTTTCAGGTCCTATGCAAGATAAAGGCCCAATTTAATTCTTCTGCATGTGGGTATTCAGTTTTCCCAGAAAAACTTATTGAAGAGACCATTATTTTCTTATTGTGTGTTCTTGGCCCCTTTGTAAAAGACTATTTGACTGTAGATATGTGAATTTATTTTTGAGCTTCTTATTTGGCTCCATTGTTCTATGTGTCTGTTTTTATGCCAGAACCGCACTGTTTTAATTACAATATCTTTACAATATATTTTGAAATCAGAGAGTGTGAAGCCGCCAGCTTTATTCTTTTTGCTCAAGATTGCTTTGGCTATTTTGGGTCTTTTCAGGTTCCATATGAATGTTAGGATTATTTTTTCTATTTCTTGTGAAAAATGATGCTGGAATTTTGAAAGGAATTGCATTGAATCTGTAGGTCACTTTGGGTAGTATGGGCATTTAAACAACATTAATTCTTCCAAATCCACGAACATGCCATATTTTTTCATTTATTTGTGTCTTCTTCAATTTATTTCATCAATGTTTTATGGTTTTTAGTGTACAGTTGTTTCACCTCGGTTAAATTTACTCCTAAGTATTTTTTGAGGTGCTATTGCAAATGGGATTGTTTTATTAATTCCTTTTACAGACAGTTTATTGTTAGTACAGAAACACTACTGATTTTTATAATGTGTAGCTTTACTGAATTTGTTTATCAGTTCCAGTGGATTTTTGGTGGAGTATTTCAGTTTGCTTTATATAAGGTCATGTCATCAGCAGAGATAATTTTACTTCTTTTTTTCTTATATGGATGCCTTTTATTTCTTTTTATTGTCTAATTGCTCTGTTTAGGACTTCCAGTACTATGTTGAATAGAAATGGTAAGAGTGGGCATCCTTGGCTTATTCCTGATTTTAGAGGGAAACTTTCAACTTCTCACCATTGAGGCTGATGTTAACTGTGGACTTGTATATAGCCTTTATTGTGTTGTGGTACATTCCTTGTATATCTATTTCTTTGAGAGTTTTAAAAAACATGAATGAATATTGAATTTTGTCAAACACTTTTTCTGCATTTATTGAGAAGATCATGTGGTTTTTGTCCTTTATTTTGTTAATATGGCATATCACATTTATGAATTTACATATGTTGAACCATCCTTGTATCCCTGGGATAAATACAACTTGACCATGATGAATGAACTTTTTAATGTGCTGTTGAATTTGATCTCCTAGTATTTCTCTTCAGCAAATATGTTTATTTTTTTATTTTTTAAAATGACACATAATTGTACATATTTATGTGATATATAGTGGTGTTTCTTTTTTCGTTTCTTTTTTTTGTTTGTTTTGAGATGGAGTCTCAGTCTGTCACCAGGCTGGAGTGCAGTGGTGCTATCTCAGCTCACCGCAACTTCCACCTCCTGGGTTCAGGTGATTCCCCTGCCTCAGCCTCGCAAGTAGCTGGGACTACAAGCGCGCACCACCACGCCCAGCTAATTTTTGTATTTTTTAGTAGAGATGAGGTTTCACCATGTTGGCCAGGATGGTCTCGATCTCCTGACCTCGTGATCCACTCGTCTTGGTGTTTATGTTGGTGTTTCAAGATATACAATGTGTAGTGATCAGATCAGGGTAATTAGCATATCTATTATCTCAAATATATACCATTTCTTTGTATTCATATATTATTTCTTTGTAAGTGGGAGTTAAACATTGAGTACACATGGACACAAAGAAGGGAACAACAAACACCGGGGCCTACGTGAGGGTGGAGGGTTGGAGTAAGGTGAGGATTGAAAAACATTCAATATCCTCCTTTTAGCTACTTGAAATTATATGTTATTGTTAACTATAGGCATCCTACAGTGCTATAGAACACGATAACTTATTCTATCTAGCTGTAATTTTGTATCCTTTAACAAATATTTCCCTATCCCCCATTCTTCCTACCCTTCCCAGCCTCTAGTATCTTCTATTCTACTTTTTATTTCTATGATAATTTTTTTTTTCAGTTTTTGCATGAGTGAGAGCACGCAGTGTTTAACTTTCTGTGCCTGGCTTATTTTACATAACATAATGTCATCCAGTTTCATCTATGTTGCCGCAAATTACAGGATTTGGCTCTTTTTGATGGCTGGATAGTATTTCATGATGTATATATGCCACATTTTCTTTTTTTTTTTAGATTCAGGGTACATGTGGAAGTTTGTTACGTAGGTAAGTTATGTGTCATGGGAGTTTGATGTACAAATTATTTTGTCACCCAAGTAATAAACCTAGAACCCGATAGGTAATTTTTCAGTCCTCACCCTCCTGCACACTACACCCTCAAATACGCCCTGGTATCTGTTGTTCCTTCTTTGTGTCCATGAGTACACAATGTTTAGCTTCCACTTACAAGTGAGAACATGTGTTATTTGGTTTTCTGTTCCTGCATTAGTTGGCTTAGGATAATGGCCTCCAGCTCCATCCATGTTGCTGCAAAGGACATGACCTTTTTTCTTTTGAGACAGAGTCTTGCTCTGTCGCCCGGGCTGGAGTGCAGTGGCGCGATCTCAGCTCACTGCAAGCTCTGCCTCCCAGGTTCACGGCCATTCTCCTGCCTCAGCCTCCCAAGTAGCTGGGACTACAGGTGCCCACCACCACGCCCGGCTAATTTTTTTTGTATTTTTAGGAGAGATGGAGTTTCACCGTGTTAGCCAGGATGGTCTCGATCTCCTGACCTCGTGATCCGCCTGCCTTGGCCTCCCAAAGTGCTGAGATTACAGGCATGAGCCACTGCACCCGGCCCGCAAAAGGACATGATCTCATTCTTTTTTTTTTTTGTATGGCCCTGTAGTATTCCTTGGTGTATATGTAGCACATTTTATCTAGTCTACCATCGATGGGCATTTAGGTTGATTCCATGTCTTTACTATTGTGAATAGTGCTGCAATGAACACACGGTTGTTGGGGTGATCAGACCCAATACCAGGTTGTGGGGGTGACAAAGTCCGGTGGAGTCAAAGGATTGAGAAAAAGACAGTTTGAGAGAGAAAAGTGGGACACCAGGGGGCCATTGCTAGTGTACAGAGGCTGCGAAGGGCCTGAGCTCTGGGAGCCCATGCTATTTATTGGTAATCCAACAGAGAAACAGGTGATGAGAATGGGGAGGTCAAAAGGGCAGGTGCATGGTCTACAGCTGTGATGGTTTAGCATTTATAAGGAACATGTTCTGCTGCTTGAGATAATGGGAATAGGAGCCTAGGAGGGCTAGAAGCAAGGAGTCAGCAAGTCTAGTCACATTCCAGAGGATATTATGCAAGCCCTGCCTTGGTTTCCCTCCCAACACTCAGCTTTTTCCCAACATGCCCCACTTCTCTTTTTTGTAAAAGAGAAGGTAACATTATTACTAGCATGAGAGGTGACCTCTTTTAATTGAGCAAGGCGATTGCAGGCTGTGCAGCCCTTAATTGCTGGTTGGTGATCCAGCTTCACTTTTCTTAGCCCTTATTCAAACTGGAGTCTCTCTGGTTTGAATGCTTCCCACATATCTCCCCTTTCTCTTTTATAAGAGGACCCTGAATCCTAGGGGTTGCAGAAGAGTGAAGGTCCGTCTTCTGTAACTTCTTCATGCTGAATAGGGGCGATGATACTGCTGCCTAACTATTAGCGTCTCTTGTATTCAGGGTAGAGAGGAGCTGAGTCAGAAAGCATTGGTCCATTAAGCATGATGACTCTGGTTGGTCTTCGTTCCATCTTCGCATTCAGATTCAACTGGATCATGGCTCATACAAGGGGAACCCAGTCCATGGTTGGGATCCATGGGTCCCTCCAGTCTCCTGTTCCATGGTTGTACACATTTTGAGGGCATCCACACGGTTAGTTCATCTCCTGCAAAACACGAGCCTACCCTCACCCCCATGTTAGTAAATCTACTGAAACAGAAGCAAAAACATTTGTGGCTATAGCCGGAAGGCCACTGATAATGAGAAACAGGCCCCTTCTAACAGAAGGCACAGAGAAAGCAAATTGAGGCTTTTCAAACCTTTGATTCACACAGTACAGGTGGGTCCACTAGATGCTGTGGCTCATGATAGAGCTTCAGATGTTTGGTAGGCACCCACACAGGCACCTGATTGTCACCTGGACAGACACAAGCAAATCCTCTTCCCCATAAAATTACCTTTAGGCAGGGATTGGAGGACGTAGATTCAGAGGTAAGGAGAATTTTGGGGCCTAATGGCTTCCTGATGTTTGATAGGTGTTCTCTCGGAAGTTAGGAATTCCCTTTCTCTCCATATTGCTGCGTGGGCATGGAGGACTAGGTAAGCATTCTTAGAATCTGTATATATATTTACCCTTTTTCCTTCTCCTAATTCTGTGTATAATGGCCCCTGCTTTTGCTAGGATGTCTCTCCCTAACAAAGGAGTGGGGCTTTCAGGCATAATTAGAAAAGCATGTGAAAAGAGTAAAGTTCCCCAGTCACAACGTAGTGGCTGGGAGAAGTATCTAGTGACTGCCTGTCCTAGGAACCCTCGGATAGTGACAAATCTGGAGGACAGTTGTCCGGGACAGGAGAAAAAGACTGAAAAGGCTGCGTCAGTGTCCAGGAGACAGTTAACCTCCTGGCCCTCAATGGTCAAGCGTACCTGGGGAGGGTGATGGCATGGGCTGGTGCTTGCCCCGGGCACCCTCAGTCCTGCTGCTGGATTATCTGGTTAGGGGCTTCTGATTCAGAGGACCTTCGTCCCCTGGGGCAGTAGGCCTTCCAGTGATTCACTTGACATAAGGGGCATGGACGAGGTGGCGGCTTATTTCTATTCGGATCTCTCCATGTCAGATCAAAGAATTGTCCTAACTCTTGTAAAACATCAATATAGCCATCAGGGTTATCTGAGAATTTACCTAGGTCTATTTTAATTTGTTTCAAGTCTGAAAGGGAAAAAGGTATATACACTCTGACTGGGCCAAATTCTCCAGAATACAACTTAAGGGCATTTTTGCTTTGGGGGGAACGTTTCCCATCTGAAAAAAAGAACACAGGGATGCCAGCACCCCTAGTCATTTTCCAATGAGCATTAGTCCTACAGCGTCCTCTATGGTCCTAATGCTTATTCTTTTCCAGGGTGCGTAACCACCCATGGACCTCTGCTTATTGGATTGGTTATGCTCACCAATGTAGCAGTCCTGCACCTGTTTTCCCACCTTTCTTGACTGCAAAGAAAGGGCTCTGGGCTGCTGGATTCTAGTGGTCCTTTACCAGCATGCCCAACACGCCTTTGTGCTTAGAGGTGAGTTCTAGAGCTGGGCTGGGTTCCTAGTTCATAATAACCCAACTGCCCCATCAAGATGCATTCCCATAAATAGTTCTTATGCAAATTCATTTCAGAGAGGGTGTAGGTAACCTTTTGAGTCAGGATTGAGATAGAGTTTGATTCTGTGAGTACTTTAAGGCTTGGCTGAGTGCAAACAGCTCTCACATTTGAGCAGACCAATTATTAAGCAACTTTTCTAACTCTGCTTCTACAAGTCTCCCTATCAATTACTGAATACCCATTGTGTGTGTGTGTGTGTTTTCCCCTCAATCACCCGGGAGGAACAATCTATCATCCTGTCCTGAAGGGAGTTCCTCCTAGGTCTGGTTAGACCTTTGTATGGTAATTAAGTTTTAAATCTCTCATTAGGAAACCTGCTGGGTTAAGGGAATTTTCAGTGGTTAATATTAAATCACTTTTTTTTTTTTTTAACAGAATAGCCCCATACTTTAAGATTGAGTTTGTAAGCTACCTTTTTGCTTTTTTAACTTAGGATTGCTCTGAACTGGTGGTGTGTGCTCCCAGTGAGGTTTCTTCTAAAGGTTATTTTTCTACTTTCTTCTGTTAGCAAAGCAGTTGCCGCTACAGACTGAATGCATTTGGGCCATCTACGGGTTACTGGGTTAAGGATTTTTGATAGGAAGGCTACTGGTTGTCACTGATCTCACTGCTTTCGGGCTATGCCCTTGTTTACACTGACAACAAGGTAGTATTGGAGTGTTATAGGGGCACAGAGAAGACCTTCAAAGATCAATTATAGGTTTTAAAGTTACCCTGGCTTTTAAAGGAATAGGGTACACTTTTTTCTTTACTTGTGTTTGTCTCTCCTTTGTAGATGGATTTTGGAAACACAGCGGAAGGATATTTGCTGTCCTCCCTGCTGGATTATAGTTACGGGAAATTGCCATGCTTCAAGGTGTCCTTCAGCTCTAGCCTTTTGAATAGAATTTTGTATAGCACCACCAGGTTTTCATGTTGCAACTGCAGGAGCAGTAAGTTTTGTAGCTAATTCATTTTCTTGCCCATTAAGGGGAGAAAGAGGAGGTGGCCTTTCACTTAATTCAGCAGGTGGAGCTGACGGGCTAATAAAACATACTTTTTCAGTTTCCCTTTAATTTCCTGTTTCCTGTTCCTCACATTCAGAATCTGAAGTTTTTTACACTGGTCCTCCTCTTCCTTATCTGAATCTGCCTCATCATCTGTTTGAAATGTCTCAAGAGCTGCTTTTATTAGTGCCCACACTGAGCAAACCGAAACTGGAATTTTTGCTCCATCTTTATACGCTTTTAAAAAATTTCAATTCTCTCCCATTTATCCAACTCCATAGTCCCTTGTTCTGGGAACTATGGACAAAACTGCTTTACTGCACTAAAGAGTGAGTGATGGTAAATTCTGAGTACTAACTTTCACTCCCCTTCTTCGAAATAAATGCCTTAAGAAATTTAAATAAGCAGAATGTCTGCTTTCACTTTGTCCCTCTGTTACCCTGGTTCTCCCGAGTGCTCAGCTTTCCCTCTGAGCTTCTTTTAGACGTCCTTGGGTGTCCTTTTTGACAATGCATTCTCCACTTTCACACGCTCTAGCATTCCTTTACCAGGGTTTTTGTCGCTCCACATTGGGCAGCCAGGAATGTTGGGGTGATCAGACCCAAAACCAAGTTGTGGGGGTGACAAAGTCCAGCGGAGTCAAAGGATTGAGAAAAAGACAGTTTGAGAGAAGTGTGAAACACCAGGGGGCCATCGCTAGTGTACGGAGGCTGCGAAGGGCCTGAGTTCTGGGAGCCCACGCTATTTATTGGTAATCCAACAGAGAAACAGGTGGTGAGAATGTGGAGGTCAAAAGGGCAGGCGCATGATCTACAGCAATGATGGTTTAGCATTTATAAGGAACATGTTCTGCTACTTGAGATAATGGGAATAGGAGCCTAGGAGGGCTAGAAGCAAGGAGCCAGCAAGTCTAGACACATTCCAGAGGACATTATGCAAGCCCTGCCTTGGTTTCCCTCCCAACACTCAGCTTTTTCCCAACATATGTTTGCATGTGTCTTTATGGTAGAATGACTTACATTCCTTTGGGTATATAGTCAATAATGAGTTGGTTGGGTTGAATGGTTTTAAGTTCTTTTTTTTTTTTTTTTTGATGGAGTCTCGGTCTGTCCCCAGGCTGGACTGCAGTGGTGCAATCTCGGCTCACTGCAAGCTCCGCCTCCTGGGTTCACGTCATTCTCCTGCCTCAGCCTCCCCAGTAGCTGGGACCCAGGCGCCTGCCACCACGCCCGGCTAATTTTTTGAATTTTTAGTAGAGACGGGGTTTCACTGTGTTAGCCAGGATGGTCTCGATCTCCTGACCTCGTGATCCGCCCGCCTCAGCCTCCCAAAGTGCTGAGATTACAGGCATGAGCCACCGTGCCTGGCTGGTTTTAAGTTTTTTGAGAAATCATCACACTGTTTTCCTCAGTGGCTAAACTAATTTACATTCCCACCAGCAGTGTATAAGCAGTCCCTTTTCTTTACAACCTTGCCAGCATGTGTTATTTTTTCACTTTTTATAATAGCCATTTTGACTGGTATGAGATGATATCCCATTTTTTTTTTTTTTTTTTTCTGAGACAGAGTTTCACTCTTGTTGCCCAGGCTGAGTACAATGGCACCATCTTGGCTCACTGCAACTACTGCCTCCTGGGTTCGAGTGATTCTCCTGCCTCAGCCTCTCAAGTAGCTGGGATTACAGGTGAGTGCCACCATGCCTCGCTAGTTTTTGTATTTTTAGTAGAGATGGAGTTTCACTATGTGAAATGCCAGGCTGGTCCTGGACTCCTGACCTCATGTGATCTGCCTGCTTTGGCCTCCCAAAATGCTGGGATTACTGGCATGAGCCATCATGCCTGGGCCCCATTGTGGTTTTGATTTACTTTTTTCTGATGATTAGTGGTGCTGCACTTTTTTTTTTCACATGCTTATTGGCCACGTGTATATCGTCTTTTGAAAAGTGTTCATTTCCTTTGCTCACTTTTTAATTTTTTTGTTTGATTTTTGCTTGTTATTTATAGATTCTGGATATTAGACCTTTGTCAGATGCATAGTTTGCAAATATTTTCTCCCATTCTGTAGGTTGCCTGTTTACTCTGTTGGTAGTTTCTTTTGCTGTGCAGAAGCTCTTTAATTAGGCCCAATTTATCAATTTTTGTTTTTCTTGCAATTCTTTTGGCATCTTTGTCATGAAATCTTTGAAAGGGCCTATGTCTAGAATGGTATTTGCTAAGTTATCTTCCAGGGTTTTTATAGTTTTTGGTTTTACATTTAAGTCTTTAATCCATCTTGAGTTTATTTTTGTTTATGATATAAGGAAGGGGTCCAGTTTCAATCTTCTGCATATGGCTAGCCAGTTGTCCTAGAACGAGCTATTGAATAGGGAGTCCTTTCCCCATTGCTTATCTTTGCTGACTTTGTTGAAGATCAGGTTGTTGTAGGCATGCAGCATTATTTCTGGGCTGTCTATTCCATTCCATGGGTCTATGTGTCTGTTTCTGTACCAGTACCATGCTATTTTGGCTAATGTAGCCTTGTAGTGTAGTTTGAAGTCAGGTAAAGTTATGCCTCCAGATTTATTCTTTCTGCTTAGGATTGCTTTGGCTATTCAGGCTCTTTTTTGGTTTCATATGAATTTTAGAGTAGTTTTTCCTAATTCTATGGAATGTCATTGGTAGCTTGATAGGAATAACATTGAATCTATAAATTGTTTTGGCTAGTATGGCCATTTTAACAATATTGATTCTTCCTATCCATGAGCATGGACTTTTTCCTTTTGCTTGTATCATCTCTGAATTCTTTCAGCAATGTTTTGTAATTCTCATTGTAGAGATCTTTTACCTTCCTGGTTAGCTGTATTCCTAGGTATTTTATTTTTGTGTGTGGCTCTTGTGAATGGGATTGTGCTCGTGACTTGGCTCTCAGCTTGGATGTTGTTGGTGTATGGAAATGCTACTGACTTTTGTACATTGATTTTTGTATCCTGAAACTTTGCTGAAGTTGTTAATCAAATCTAGGAGCTTTGGGGCAGAAACTATGGGGTTTTCTAGGTATAGAATCACATAATCTGTAAATAGAGATAGTTTGACTTTCTCTCTTCCTATTGGATGCCTTTTATTTCTTTCTCTTGCCTGATTGCTCTGGCTAAGACTTCCAGTACTACGTTGAATAGGAGTGATAAGAATGGGCATCCTTGCCTTGTTCCAATTCACAAGGAAAATGCTTTCAGCTTTTGCCTATTCATGATGATGTTGGCTGTGAGTTTGTCATAGATGGCTCTTATTATTTTGAGGTATGTTCCTTCAATGCCCAGTTTGTGGATGATTTTTATTTTTGTTTATTTTTATATTTCTATTTTTATTTTTTATTTCCATAGGTTTTTGGGGAACAGGTGGTGTTGGTTACATAGATAAGTTCTTTAATGGTGATCTCTGAGATTTTGGTGCACCCATCACCTGAGCAGCATACATTGTACCCAATGTAGTCCTTTATCCCTCCCCTCCACCCATTCCTGTGAGTTTCCAAAGTCCATTGTATCATTCTTATGCCTTCCCATCCTCATAGCTTAGTACCCACTTATGAGTGAAAACATAACGCTGTTTAGTTTTCCATTCCTGAGTTACTTCACTTAGAATAATGGCCTCAAATTCCATCTAGGTTGCTGCGAATGCTATCATTTTGATCCTTTTTATGGCTGAATAGTATTCCGTGGTATATATTTACCACAATTTCTTTATTTACTCATTGATTGATGGACATTTGGGCTGGTTCCATATTTTTGCAATTGTGAATTGTGCTGCTATAAACATGCGTGTGCAAATATCTTTTTCATATAATGACTTCTTTTCCCACCCAAGAGTGGGATTGCTGGATCAAATGGTAGATCTACTTTTAGTTCTTTAAGGAATCTCCACACTGTTTTCCATAGTGGTTGGACTAATGTACATTCCCACCAGCTGTGTAAAAGTGTTCTTTTTTTCACTGCATCCCCACCAACATCTAATATTTTTTGATTTTTTTGATTATTCATTCATTCAATGCCATTCTTGTGGGAGTAAGGTGGTATTGCATTGTGGTTTTGGTTTGCATTTCCCTGATCATTAGTGATGTTGAGCATTTTTTCATATGTTTTTTGGCCATTTGCATATCTTCTTTTGAGAATTGTCTATCCATGTCCTTAGCCCACTTTTTGATAGGGTTTTTTCTTGCTAATTTATTTGAGTTTCTTGTAGATTTTGGATATTAGTTGTTTGTCAGATGTGTAGATTGTGAAGATTTTCCCCCACTCTGTGGGTTGTCTCTTTACTGTTCTGATGGTTTGTTTTGCTGTGCAGAAGCCTTTTAGTTTAATGAAGTCACATCTATTTTTCTTTGTTTTGTTGCATTTATTTTTGGATTTTTGCTCTTTGCCTAAGCCAATGTCTAGAAGGGCTTTTCTGGTGTTATCTTCTCAAATTTTTAGGGTTTCAGGTATTAAAGTCTTTGATTCATTTTGAGTTGATTTTTGTATAAAATGAGAGATGAGGTTTCAGTTTCATTTTTCTACATGTGGCTTGCCAATTATCCCAGGACCGTTTGTTGAATAGGGTGTCCTTTCCCACTTTATGTTTTTGTTTGCATTGTCAAAGATCAGTTGGCTGTAAGTATTTGGGTTTATTTCTGGGTTCTCTATTCTGTTCCATTGGTCTATCTGCCTATTTTTATATCAGTATCATGCGGTTTTGGTGATTATGGCCTTATAGTATAGTTTGAAGTCAGGTAATGTGATACCTCCAGATTCGTTCATTTTGCTTAGTCTTGCTTTGGCCATGTGAGCTCTTTTTTGGTTCCATATGGATTTTAGAATTGTTTTTTCTAATTCTGTGAAGAATGATGATGGTATTTTGATGGGAATTGCATTGAATTTATAGATTTCTTTTGGCAGTATGGTCATTTTCACAGTATTGGTTCTACCCATCCATGAGCATGGGATGCGTTTCCATTTGTTTGTGTCGTATATGATTTCTTTCAGCAGTGTTTTGTAGTTTTTCTTGTAGAGGTCTTTCACCTCCTTGGTTAGGTATATTCCTAAGTATTTTATTTATTTGCAGCTGTTGTAGAAGGGGTTGAGTTCCTGATTTGATTCTCCTCTTGGTTGCTGTTGGTGTATAGCAGAACTACTCATTTGTGTACATTAATTTTGTATCCTGAAACTTTACTGAATTCTTTTATCAGTTCTAGGAACTTTTTGGATGAGTCTTTAGGGATTTCTAGGTATACAATCATATTATCAGCAAACAGCGGCAGTTTGACTTCCTCTTTACTGATTTGGATGCCTTATATTTCTTTCTCTTGTCTGATTGCTCGGGCTAGGAATTCCAGTACTATGTTGAATATAAGTGGTGAGAGTGGGCATTCTTGTCTTGTTCCAGTTCTCAGGGAGAATACTTTCTATTTTTCCCTGTTCAATATTATGTTGGCTGAGGCTTTGTCATAGATAGCTTTTATTACCTTAAGGTATGTCCCTTGTATACCAATTTTGCTGAGGGTTTTAATCATAATGCGATACTAGATTTTGTCAAATCTTTTTCTGCACCTACTGAGATGATTATGTGGTTTTTGTTTTTAATTCTGTTTATGTGATGTATCATATTTATTGACTTGCATATATTAACTCATTCCTGTATCCCTGATATGAAACCTACTTGATCACGGTGGATTATCTTTTTGATATGCTATTGGATTCAGTTAGCTAGTATTTTTTTAGGCATTCCTCAAGGATATTGGTCTGTAGTTTTCTTTTTTTGTTATGACCTTTATTGGTTCTGGTATTAGGGTGATACCGGCTTCATAGAATGATTTAGGGAGGATTCCTTCTTTCTCTCTCTCATGGAATGGTGCCAATGGTTGGTACCAATCCTTCTTTGAATGTCTGTCTGATAGAATTCAGCTGTGAATACATCTGGTCCTGGACTCATTTCAATCTCGCTGCTTGTTATTGCCCTGTTCAGAATTTCTCATTCTTCCTGGTTTAATCTAGTAGGGATGTATATTTCTAGAAATTTAGCCATCTCCTCTAGGTTTTCTAGTTTATGTGTGTAAAGGTGTTCATAGTAGCCTTGGATAATCTTTTGTATTTCTGTGGTACTGGTTGTAATATCTCCCATTTTGTTTCCAATTAAGCTTATTTGGATCTTCTTTCTTCTTTTCTCGGTTAATCTCGCTAATTGTTTATCAATTTTATTTATCTTTTCAAATAACCAGCTTTTTGGTTCATTTATCTTTTATTTTTTTTTGTTTCAATTTCATTTAGCTCTGCTCTGATCTTTGTTATGTCTTTTCTTCTGCTGGATTTGGGTTTGGTTTGTTCTTGTTTCTCTAGTTCCTTGAGGCATGACCTTAGATTGTCTATTCATGCTCTTTCAGACTTTTTGATGTATGCATTTAAGGCTATGAACTTTCCTCTTGTCACCACCTATGCTGTGTCCCAGAGGTTTGGATAGGTTGTTTCACTATTATCGTTCAGTTCAAAGAATTTTTAAATTTCCATCTTGATTTCATTGTTGACCCAATGATCATTTAGGAGCAGGTTATTTAATTTCCGTGTATTTGCATGATTTTGAGTGTTCCTTTTGAAATTGATTTCCAATTTTATTCCACTGTGGTCTCAGAGAGTACTTGATATAATTTCAATTCTCTTAAATGTATTGAGACCTGTTTTGTGGCCTATCATATGGTCTATCTTGGAGAAAGTTCCATATACTGATGAATAGAATGTATATTCTGCAGTTGTTGGGTAGAATGTTCTGTAAATATCTAAGTCCATTTGTTCGAGGTGATAGTTTAAATCCATTGTTTCTTTTTTGACTTTCTGTCTTGATGACCTATCTAGTGCTGTCAGTGGGGTATTGAAATTCCCCACTATTATTGTGTTGCTGTCTATCTCATTTTTTTAGGTCTATAAAACAATTTTTAGTAATTGTTTTATAAATTTGGGAGTTCCAGTACTAGGTGCATATATATTTAGGATTGTGATATTTTCCCATTGGACAAGTCCTTTTATCATTATATAATGTCCC
Organism: Homo sapiens; assembly: GCF_000001405.40. Classification (NCBI taxonomy): domain Eukaryota; kingdom Metazoa; phylum Chordata; class Mammalia; order Primates; family Hominidae; genus Homo; species Homo sapiens. Next base: position 18,828,172 of record NC_000011.10, read on the forward strand.
TCTTTGTCTTTTTTTTAACTGCTGTTGCTTTGAAGTTCCTTTAGTCGAATATAAGAATAGCTCCTTCTGCTTGCTTTTGGTGTCCATTTGCATGGAATTTTTTTTTCCATCCCTTTACTTTAAGTTTATGTGAGTTCTTATGTGTAAGATGAGTCTCTTGAAGGCAGCAGATACTTGATTGGTGAATTCTTATCCATCCTGCCATTCTGTTTTTTTTTTTTTTTTTCCTGACAGAGTCTCGCTCTGTTGCCAGGCTGGAGTGCAGTGGCATGATCTTGGCTCAGTGCAACCTCCGCCTCCCGGGTTCAAGTGAGTCTCCTGCCTCAGCCTGCCGAGTAGCTGGGATTACAGGCGTGCGCCACCATGTCCAGCTAATTTTTGTATTTTTAGTAGAGATGGGGTTTCACCATGTTGGCCAGGATGGTCTTGATCTCTTGACCTCGTGATCCACCTGCCTTGGCCTCCCAAAGTGCTGGGATTAGAGGTGTGAGCCATCACACCCAGCCCATTCTGTATTTTTTAAGTGGAGCATTTAGGCCGTTTACATTCAGTGTTAGTATTGAGATGTGAGGTACTATTCTATTCATCATGCTATTTGTTGCCTGAATACTATTTATTTATTTATTTATTTATTGTGTTTTTGTTTTAAAGATCTTGTGAGATTTGTGCTTTAAGGAGGTTCTATTTTGGTGTATTTCAAGGATTCATTTCAAGATTTAGAGCTCCTTTTAGCAGTTCTTGTAGTAGTGGCTTGGTAGTGGCAAATTCTCTCAGCATTTGTTTGTCTAACAAACACAAACAAATTTATGAAGCTTAGTTTGGCTGGATACAAAATTCTTGGCTGATAATTGCTTTGTATAAGGAGGCTGAAGATATGGTCCCAATCCCTTCTAGCTTGTAGGGTCTTTGCTGAGAAATCTGCTGTTAATCTGATAGGTTTTCCTTTATTGTTTACTGGGTGCTTTTGCCTCACAGCTCTTAAGATTCTTTCCTTCATCATGACTTTAGATAACCTGATGGCTATGTGCCTAGGTGATTATCTTTTTGCAATAAATTTTCTGGGTGTTCTTTGAGCTTCTTGTATTTGGATGTCTAGATCTGTAGCAAGGCAAGGGAAGTTTTCCTCCATTATTCCCTCAAATATGTTTTCCAAACTTTTAGATTTCTCTTCTTCCTCAGTAACACCAATTATTCTTAGGTTTGGTTGTTTAACATAATCCCAACCTTCTTGGAGGCTTCATTCATTTTTTTAATTCTTTTTCCTTTGTCTTTGTTGGATTGGGTTAATTTAAAAAATCTTGTCTTTGAGCTCTGAAGGTCTTTCTTCTGCTTGTACAATTCTATTGCCAAGACTTTCCAGTGCATTTTGCATTTCTCTAAGTGTGTCCTTTATTTCCAGAAGTTGTGATTATTTTTTATTTATGTTATCTATTTCACTGAAGATTTTTCCCTTCATATCTTGTATTTTTTTTATTTCATTAAGTTGGACTTAACCTTCCTCTGGTGCCCCCTTGATTAGCTTAATAATCAACCTTCTGAATACTTTTTCTGGCAATTCAGGGATTTCTTCTCGGTTTGGATCCATTGCTACTGAGCTAGTGTGATCTTTTGGGGGTATTAAAGAACCTTGTTTTGTCATATTACCAGAATCATTTTTCTGTTCCTTCTCATTTAGGTAGACTACCATGAAGGGAAGCTCTGGGGCTCAAGGGCTGATATTGCTGGTGTTCAGATTCTTTTGTCCCATGGAGTGCTCCTTTGATGTAGTGCTCTCCCCCTTTTCCTAGGGATGTGGTTTCCTGAGAGCTGAACTGTAGTGATTGTTATTCCTTTTCTGGATCTATCCACCCAGAGGAGATACTCAGCTCTGGGCTGGTATCAGGGGGTGTCTGCACAGAGTCCTGTGATGTGAACTGTCTTCAGGTCTCTCAGCCATGGATAGCAGCATGGTTTTTGGGCTGTCTCCTGGGGTCTGCAGGAACAATTTTCTTCCTTCAAAGGGTCTGTGTGGATTCTTTTGGCTTTCCTGGTATGTTGTTGAGGATTTTAACATGAAGAGATGTTGAATTTCAGTGAGAATCTTTTCTGCATCTATTGAGATAATCATGTGTTTTTTTTTTTAGTTCTGCTTATGTGCTGAATCATATTTATTAATTTGTGTATGTTGAACCCACCTTGCATCCCAGGAATAAAGCCTACTTGATTATGGTGGATTAGCTCTTTGGTTTGCTAGTATTTTGTTAAGGACTTTTGCATCTATATTCATGAAGGATAGTGGCCTAAAATTTTTCTTTTTTTGTTGTGTCCCTGCCAGGTTTTGGTATCAGAATGATGTTAGCCTCATAGGTTGAGTTTGGGAGGAGTCCCTCTTGCTCAATTTATTGGAATAGATTCAGAAGGATTGGGACTAGCTCATTTAAAGCTCATTATTGGTGTGTTCAGGGATTCAGTTTCTTCCTGATTCAATCTTGGGAGGTTGTGTTTCCAGGAATTTATTCCTTTCCTCTAGATTTCCTAGTTTGTTTGCATGAAGGTGTTCATAATAGTGTCTGAGGATCTTTCGTATTTCTGTGGAATTGGTCATAATGTCATCTTTCTTGTTATTGATTATGCTTATTTGGATGTTCTCTCTTTTTTTCTTTATTAATCTAGCTAGCAGTCTATTGATCTTGTTTATCCTTTGAAAGAACCAAGTTTTGCTTTTATTAATTTTTTTGTATACATTTTTGGGTCTCAAAATGTTCTGCTCTGATTTTAGTTATTTGATTTCTTCTACTAGCTTTGGTGTTAATTTGTTCTTGTTTTTCCAGTTCCTCTAGGTGTGATGTTAGAGCATTAATTTGAGATCTTTCTAACTTTTTGAGGTAGGTGCTAAGTGCAGTCAACTTTCTTCTTACCACTGCTCTTGCTGCATCCTAGAGATTTTGATATGTGGTGTGATGTTTTCATTTATTTCGAAGAATTTTTTGGTTTCTGCCTTAGTTTTCCTGTTTACCAAAAAGTCATTCAGGAGCAAGTTGTTTAATTTCATGTAATTCTGTGATTTTGAGAGAGCTTCTTGGTGTTGATTTCTGTTTTTATTCCACTGTGGTCTGAGAGTATGATTTAAAAAATTTTTTTGCACATAAATCAGAACCTCAATGCGATACACCTTACTCCTGCAAAAATGGCCATAATCAAAAAATTAAAAAAAAAATGTTGACAGGGATGCGGTGAAAAAGGAACACTTTTACACTGATGGTGGGAATGCACACTAGTACAACCACTATGGAAAACAGTGTAGAGATTCCTTAAAGAACTAAAGTCATTATATGAAAAAGGTACTTGCGCATGCATGTTTATAGCAGCACAATTTGTGATTGCAAAAGTATAGAACCAGCCCAAATGCCAATTAATCAATGAGTGGATAAAGAAAATGTTTTATAAATAAATATATATATATATATATACACACACACACACACACAAACACACACACATAAGTATATATATACACGTATGGAATACACACACACACACACACACACACACTCAGGAATGGAAAACGAAACGTTGTATGTTTTCACTCATAAGTGGGAGCTAAGCTATGAGGATCAAAAGGCATAAGAATGATGCAACGGACTTTAGGGACTTCGGGGAAAGTGGGAGCGGGTGAGGGACAAAAGACTACACATTGGGTATTGGGTACACTGCTCAGGTGATGGGTGCACCAAAATCTCATAAATCACCATTAAAAACTTATTCATGTAACCAAACACCACCTGTTCCCCCTAAATCTATTGAAATAATAAAAAAAGTATTACATGTGATTGATCATGAAGTATGTTCATTGTGCAAAACAGAAAAATGTATATTTTGTGTTTGATGGGTGGTGTATTCTGCAGGTGTCTATTAGGTTAATTTGGTTAAGTGTTGAGTTCAGGTCCCAGATATCTTTGTTAGTTTTCTGCCTCAGTACCTGCCTAATGCTGTCAGGGAGATGTTGAAGTTTCTCAGTATTATTGTATGGCTGTCCAAATCTGTTTGCAGGTCTAGAAGTACTTATTTTGTAAATCTGGGTGCTCAAGTTTTGGGTATGTATATATTTAGGATAGTTAAGTGTTCTTGTTGAATTGAACCCTTTATCATTGTGTATCCATTCCCCCACTTTTTTACTGTTGTTGGATTAAAGTCTGTTTTATTGATATAAGAATAGTGACTCCTGTTTTTTGTTTTCCATTTTTGTGATAGATCTTTCTCCAACTTGTTACTTTGAATTTGTGGATGTTGTTTCATGTGAGATGGGTTTCTTGAAGACAACAGACAGATGGGTCTTTTTTTTTTTTTTGTCCAACTTGCCACTCTGTTCCTTTTAAGTGGGGGCATTTAGATTATTTACATTCAAGGTTAATATTTATATGTAAGATATTGATCTTATTAAGTTGTTAGCTGGTTGCTTTGCAGTTTTTATTGTGTAGTTGCTTTATGGGGTCTATGGGTTATGTACTTAAGTGTGCTTTTGTGGTAGCAGTATTGTTATTTTGTTTCTGTGTTTAGAACTCCCTTAAGAATCTCTCATTAGGCTGGTCTAGTGATAAGGAATTCTCTAGTGCTTGTTTGTCTAGAAAAGTTTTTATTTCTCCTTTGCTTATGAAGCTTAGTTTTGCAGGATATGAAATTCTTGGTTGGAATTTCTTTTCTTTAAGAATGCTGAAAATGGGCCCCCAATCTCTCCTGGGTTGTAATATTTCTGCTGGGAAGTACACAGTTAATCTTATGGGACTCCCTTTGTACATGAGCTGATCTTTTCCTTTAGGTGCTTTCAAGAGTTTTTCTTTAGCACTAACCTTGTATAGTCTGGTGACTATATGCCTTGGTGATATTTGTTTTGCACAGTATCTCACAGTTTGTTCCTTGGATTTCTTGTATCTGGATGTCTACCTCTCTAGCAAGATTAGGAAAATTTTCTTGAATTATTCCCTTAAATATGTTTTCCAGGTCATTTATTTTTTTTCTCCTTATCCTTCAGGAATGCCAGTAATTTCTATATAATCCCATTTTTTTTCCTCAAAGGTTTTGTTAATTATTTAAAAATCTTTTTTTTTTTTTTTTTTTTTTTTTTTTACTTTTATCTGACTGGGTTAGTTAGAAAGATGAGGCTTCAAGCTCTAAAATTCTTTTTCTTTTTTAAATTCTATTTTTAGATTCCAGATGTACATGTTCAGGTTTATTACTTTGGTATATTTTGTGATGCTGAGGTTTGGGGTACCAATGATCCTGTCACCCAGGTACCAAAACCTTGATGTTATCTCTTCTGTTTGGTTCAGTCTATTTATAAAGATTTTGATTGTACTTTGAAAATCCTTATGTGAGATTTTCAATTCTGGAAGCTCTGATTGGTTTCTTTTTATGATGTTTATCTCTTCCTTCATTTCTTGGATCAATTTAGAAGTTTCATTGTGATCTTCCACCTTATCTTGGGTCTCATTGAGCTTCCTTGCAATCCATGCTTTGAATTATTTATCTGTCATTTCTGGGTCACTATTTTGGTAGGGCTCATTGCTGGAGAGCTAGTGTGATCTTTTGATGGTATCACTACATTCAGATTTTTCATAATGCCAGAATTCTTGTACTGGTTCTTTCTTATCTGGAGATGCTGGCACTTTTAATTTTTATAATTATTTTTATGCAGATAAGATTTTTGCTTTTTCTTCCTTTCCATATAATACTGGTTTTTTTCTTTCCTTTCCCCCGCTCTCCTTAAAGGATGTGACTGTACAGAATGTTGGGTAGGGTCTTTTGGCTTTGCTTCTATAGCCCTATGCACTTCTGTTGGCAGGTTTTATATTGGGTTGTGCTGTTTAACCTACAAGCCAGTAGATGAAGCTTATAGGTAAGAGCTGGCTGTGGCCAACATGGGTGGGCATATGCTTGATTCTCATTTTCTGGGAAAAGCTCTCTGTTGTCTTAGGTGATCAGCTGGTTCATGGAGCATACAGTCATCTAACCTCCCTGCTCAGTCCCAGACTTGGGGGGTGCAGTGGGCAAAATGGGTGGGGCCAGACCAGGCAGGCCCACCACAGGTCCCGGTGTGGAAGGCACAAGCAACAGCGCTGAGGGAGAATCCAATGGCCATCTGGCAAGTGCTCAGAGGTATGCCTAAGTGTGGAGCTGGGAAACCTCCTTGGCCCCAAGTTCTCTGCATATTCCAGGAGTGTGGGTGCTCTAGATTCCTGGAGATCTGACTGAGTGTGGAGTAGAGAGGGTGCTGCTTTACCACAATCTCTGCACAGGAAGTGTCAGGCAGCTCAGGCTGCTGGTCCAGGTGAGTGGGTGCTCTTACTGCCTGAGCATAAAGCAGTAAGGGCCCCCCTTCACCAGGATCTCTGCACGGGAAGGGTTGGATGGCTCAGGCTGCTATTTAAGGTGAGTGGGTACTCCAAATGCCTGGAGATGTGCCTGGATATGGAGTGGAGAGCCCTCCCTGCTACCCCACAGCAGGACCTCTGCACAGGAGGGATGAGGTGACTCAGGCTGCTGATCCAGGAGAGCAGGTGCTCTGAATGCCTGGAGATCTGCCTGGGTATGAAGCAGAAAGGACCCCCCTGCACCAAGATCTCTGTACAGGAAGAATGGGATGGCACAGGCTGCAGAACCAGTGAGTGTATGCTCCAAATGCCCGGAGTTCTGCCTAGCTGTGGAGTGGAGAGGGCCTTGCTACACCATGATCTCAGGGGAGCAGGCTTGGGCAACTAGCAGTGACACACACTGACCAGTTCCAGGTCACCGTGCTGGCCTTGGCTGCAAGTCTTATCACGCAGGAGAAACTGCAGCTGTCGCAGCTCTCCTCCTACCCCTGACCTGTGATAGGGGAAGAGCACAATTCCAGCACCTACTGCTGAGGTGCTTTCCACAATTCTGGCAGTAGAGGTTCCTACCCTGCTCCAGAGAAGGCACTCCAGCCTCTGGCCTCCAGCAGCCTGTGTGGCCACGCTGCCAGGTTGCTGAAGAATGATTGACTATATGTGACTGGATTAAAAATGGTGTCCTGCTCTTGGTCCCAGGTCTGGGAAAACACCTGCAGCTTTTCCAGGTGTCTTTTCCTCTCAGCCCCTCCAAGCCTCTCCTTAGGTTAACTCCAGGACTTGGCAGAAACAAAGTGTTCTCCCTCACTCTGGGTTGCTTGGATCCCTAGTGGAAAGCTGAGTCACAGAGGGAGGCTTTTTGCCTCTCTTATGTATCAGAACTTCACTACTTTTATCAGCTGGACACCATTGCAGAGGCAGTTGGCTGGCACTCTCCTCCCTGGGATTATAAGGAGATCCCTCATGATTCTGTTGGACCCCATTTCCTTTTCGAATTAAAGCTCACAGAATTCTTTTTTTTTTTTTTGGAGACAGTCTCGCTCTATCACTCAGGCTGGAGTGCAGTGGTGTGATCTCGGCTCACTGCAACCTCCGCCTCCTGGGCTCAAGCGACCATCCCACCTAAGCCTCCTGAGTAGTTGGGACTACAGATGTGTGCCACCACGCCTGGTTAATTTATGTATTTTTAGTAGAGATGGGGTTTCACCATGTTGGTCAAGCTGGTCTCGAACTCCTGACCTCAAGTGATCTGCCTGCCTCAGCCTCCCAAAGTGCTGGGATTACAGGTGTGAGCCAGCATGCCTGGCCACATAATTGATCTTTATGCACTATCTTACTATTTCCAAATAGCTGAGTGGCCGAGGCACAGAAAAAGCCTCTAATTCACCATGTTAAGGAAAGAAAAACAAATAATTGTTTTTAGTAGTCCATTTTGGAAGACAAAAATTAATTATTTGCTGTGCCCCTTTGTGCTCTTTTGATAAAAATAAATCTTTCTGAGACATATATCTTTGAGGAGAAGGTAACAGAGTAAATTATGGTGGAGGTGAAGAAGAGGATCAAATTACCTGTCTTGAACTTTCATCCTGCTACAAAAACTACCGTTTTTTGGTTGTGGGAATTACAGATCACAGAGTAGGTATCAACCCATATTTATGTTCCTGGGGACATCACTAGAGGATTCTAGGACATGGTAATAAGCAACTTTTGATGAATTTACATTGTGTGGGCTTTATGTCAATTACTTATTCAGATTCATGATCCTGGATCTGTTTGCCCTCATGACAGCCCTGAGTTGGCTGGTGGGGAGTGTAATTGTTCTTTAGCTCCTGGACTTCCTCATGTGCAGGAACACCTTCTCCATCTACATCCCCAACCTGGCTGGGACTGACATGCTCCTCTTCTCCTGCAAAGTGGTGCAATCTGTAGAGGATCTTGTTTTTATCTTACACATTGTTGCTGTATGCACTCCATTCTTCAGATCAATTGTGAAGTACTTCTCCTACGCAGTGGGCCTGAGTATACGCAGTGCCATTAGCACTGACTGCTGCTGTCCAGTCCTGTGCCCCAGGCAGGCACTGCTGCCATGTCTGAGACACATGTAAGCTGTCATGGGCCCTGTCCCTGGTGCTGAGCATCCTGGAAGGACAACCCTGTGGCTTACAGTTTAGGGTCTTTAAAGACAGACTATATCAGGCTTTTGATTTCATCTCTGCCATCTGAGTGGTCTTTCTGTTTGTGGTTCTCACTAGGGCCAGTCTGACTCTGCTGGTCAGTGTCCAGTGTGTTTCCCAGCAGACACAGCTGCCCAGGCTCTATGTGATCATCCTGCTCATGGTTCTGGCCTTCTTTTCTATGATCTGCCCATTAGTATCCACTGGTTCCTATTTTGCTGGGCAGTGGTCTATCCCAAGAACATTAAGCCCTACCTGATTAGTTTAACTCTGTCCTGTCTGAAGAGCTACACCAACCCCATCATTTACTCTTTGTTGGTTTCTTTAGACAGCATTGATATGTGAAGACCCTCAAGCTGATTTTCCAGAGGGCCCTGTGTGATGAGCAAGAGATAAAGCAGAGGGAAGCCAGCCTTCCCTTGGAAACAAAGGTGTCAGTAGGTGGTGCAATCAGTGGTGAAGAGTAGATTTCAGAGTCAGAAAGACATGGGTTTGAGATCATGCTCTGTGACTTACTAGCTGTGTAGAGTTTTAAATTCTAAGTATTAATGTCTTCATTTATAATGTTGGGATGATAATGATCTATGTATATCATAGGGCAAGGGTGATAATCACATGAGATGATCCTTGTAAAGAAACAAACACAGGGAGTGGGGCGGGGCCAAGATGGCCGACTAGAAGCAGCAGCAGTCAGGGGCTTCCACTGAGAAGAACCAAAACAACATGTGAGTGCTGCACTGGCAACCAAGGTATCCAGGTTCTACCATCAGGACTGATTAGGCAGTTGGTGTGACCCACAGAGAACAAGGAAAAGCAGGGTCATGTGTTGGCGCACCTGAGAGCCAAATGGGACAAGGGGAGCCACCACCCTTCCACCAAGGAAGGTGATGCGTGAGCATACTACCCAACCTGGGAAACTGTGCTTTTTCCACAGATCTGTGCAACTCACAGATCAGAAGATCCCATTCTTGAGCCCACGCCACCAGGGCCCTTGGTCCCAGTCACAGGGCTACACAGATTCTCAACAGCCACTTGGCTGGAATCTGCCTAAGATTACAGAGTTCCCAGGGAGAGGGGTGGCCATCATCACTGCAGCTGCCAGATACCTAAGAAAACTGAGCTCCCTGAGGGAGGGACAGCAGCTATCATTGTGGTTGCCAGCTGCCTAAGACACTGAACTCCCAGGGAGGAAGGGCAGTAGACATCACTATAACTCCAGGCTGCATTTTTCCCTTGCTAGAGCCAGGGAGATTGGACAGCTTGGTTCCAAGAGGTATTCTCCACAATGCAGAACACCGGCTGTGGTAGACTGTGGGAGACTGACTCTTTAGGCCAGACCCTAACCCATCCCTCCTCAATGGGAGGGGCCTTTCTGCAGGAAAGCCAGGAACTTCAGCCAGGGGCTTAGGGACAGAACTCTGATCTCCTTGTGCCTGAGGCCCTAGGGGGAGGGGTGGCTGTGGTCTCTGCAGACCAGCAGACTTAGTCTTTCCCCCTGCTAGCCCTGAGGAATACAGGCAGCCCACATGAATGGGTTTCCCCCCAGCACAGCACACCCCCTCCACCAAGGGATAGCTAAAGTGCTTCATTAAATGGATCCTGGTTCCCATGCCCCCCAGCTGGGTGAAACCCCCCAACAGGGGTTACCAAGATACCCTATATAGGACCATTTCTACTGGCGTCAGGTTGTTGCCCCTTGAGGTCAGAGATCCCAGAGGAAGGAGCAGGTACCCACCTTTGCTGTTCTCCAGCCTCCTTGAGTGACATCTCCAAGTGCAGGAGCGCTCCTGATGAATAGGGCCTGAAATGAACCTCCAGCAAACCACAGCAGCCCTACAGGAAAGGAACATGACCATTGAAGGAAAAACAAACAAACAGAAAGCAACAACAACAGCATCAATGAAAAAGTCTCCACAAAAACCTCATGCAAAGGTCAGTAACCTCAAAAATCAAAACTAGACAAACTCATGAAGATGAGAAAGAATCAATTAAAAAAATGCTGAAAACTCTAAAGGCCAGAGTGCCTCTTCTCCTCCAAACGATTGCAACACCTCTCCAGCAAGGGCACAGAACTGGACAGAGGATGAGATGGACGAATTGACAGTAATAAGCTTCAGAATGTGGGTAATAACAAGCTTTGCTGAGGTAAAGGAGCATGTTCTAACCCAATTCAAAGGAGCTAAGAACTATGATAAAAGGTTACAGGAGCTGCTAACTAGAATATCCAGTTTAGAGAGGAATATAAATGACCTCATGAAGCTGCAAAACATAGCAGGAGAACTTTGTGTTGCAAACACAAGTATCAATAGCCACATTGGTCAAGCAGAAGAAAGAATATTAGAGCTGGAAGACTATCTTGCTGAAATAAGGCAGGCAGACAAGATTTAGAGAAAAAAGAATGAAAAGGAAAGAACAAAACCTCCAAGAACTATGGGACTATGTAAAAAGACCAAATGTACAAATGAGTACCTAAAAGACACGGGGAGAATGGAACCAAGTTGGAAAGCACATGTTAGGATATCATCCAGAAGAACTTCCCCAACCTAGCAAGACAGGCCAACATTCAAATTCAGGCAATACAGAGAACCCTAGTAAGATACTCCACAAGAAGATCAACCCCAAGACACATAATTCTCAGATTCTCCAAGGTCAAAATGAAGGAAAAAATGTTAAGGGTAGCCAGAGAGAAAGGCCAGTCACTACAAAGGGAAGTGAATCAACTAACAGCAGACCTTTCAGCAGAAACCCTACAAGCCAGAAGAGAGTGGGGGCCAATATTCAACATTCTTAAAGAAAAGAATTTTCAGCCCAGAATTTCATATTCGGCTAAACAAAGCTTCATAAGTGAAGGAGAAATAAAATCTTTTTCAGAGAAACAAATGCTGAGGAAATCAGTCACAACCAGGCCTACCTTGCAAGAGCTCCTGAAGGAAGCACTAAATATGGAAAGGAAAAACCAGTACCAGCCACTGCAAAAACACACTGAAATACAAAAACCAATGACACTATGAAGAAACTGCATCAACTAGTGTGCAAAATAACCAGCTAGCATCATGATGACAGGATCAAATTCATGCAGAATAATATTAATCCTAAATGTAAATAGGCTAAATACCCCAATTAAAAGACACAGACTGGAAAATTGGAAAAAGAGTCAAGACCCGTTGGTGTGCTGTACTCAAGAGACCCATCTCACATGCAAAGACAGACATAGGCCAAAAATAAAGGGATGGAGGGAAATTTACCAAGCAAATAGAAAGCAGAAAAAAAGCAGGGGTCACAAACCTAGTTTATGACAAAACAAACTTTAAACCAACAAAGATCAAAAAAGACAAAGAAGGGTATTACATAATGGTAAAAGGATCAATTCAACAAGAAGAGCTAACTATACTAAATATATATGCCCCAAATACAGGAGCACCCAGATTCATAAAACAAATTCTTAGAGATCTACAAAGAGATTTAGACTCCCGCACAATAATAATGGGAGACTTTAATACCCCACTGTCAATATTAGACAGGTCATTGAGTGAGAAAATTAACAAGAATATTCAGAACTTGAACTCAGCTCTGGATCAAGTCAGCCTGATAGTTATTTATAGGACTCTCCACCCAAAAACAACAGAATATACATTCTTCTCAGTGTCACATGGTACTTACACTAAAATTGATCACAACTGGAAGTAAATCACTCCTCAGCAAATGCAAAAGAACTGAAATCATAACAGTCTCTCAGATCACAGCACAATTATAACTCAAGATTAAGAAGCTCACTCAAAACTGCACAACTACATGGAAATTGAACAACCTGTTCCTGAATGACTCTTGGGTAAATAATACAATTAAGGCAGAAATCAAGAAGTTCTTTGAAACCAATGAGAACAAAAAGGCAATGTACCAGAATCTCTGGGATGCAGCTAAAGCAGTATTAAGAGGGAAATTTATAGCACTAAGTGCACACATCAGAAAGTTAGAAAGATCTCAAATTGACACAGCGCAGCACACTGGCTGTGGCAGACTGTGGAAGACTGACTCTTTAGGCCAGACCCTAACCCATCCCTCCTCACTGGGAGGGGCCTTTCTGCAGGAAAGCCAGCAACTCCAGCCAGGGCCTTAGGGACAGAACTCTGATCTCGTTGGGCCCTAGGGGGAAGGGTGGCTGTGGTCTCTGCAGACCAGCAGACTTAGTCTTTCCCCCTGCTATCGCTGAGGAATACAGGCAGCCCACATGTGGGCTAACATCACAACTAAAAGAACTGAGGAGCAAGAGCAAACACATCCAAAAAATAGCAGAAGACAATAAATAACTAAGATCAAAGTGGAACTGTAGGAGATAGAGACATGAAAAATCCTTTAAAAAAATCAATGAATCCAGTAGCTAGTTTTTTGAAAAAATTAATAAAATAGGCCACTAGCTAGACTAATGAAGAAGAAAAGGAGAAGAATCAAAGAGACACAATAAAAATGATAAAGGGGATATCACCACTGACCCCACAGAAATACCAACAACAATCACAGAATACTATAAACACCTCTATGTAAAAAAAACTAGAAAATCTAGGAGTAATGAATTCCTGGACATATACACCCTCTCAAGACTAAACCAGGAAGAAGTTGAATCCTTGAATAGACCAATAACAAGTTCTGAAATTAAGGCAGTAATAAATAGCCTACCAACCAAAAAAAGCCCAGGACCAGATGGATTCAAAGCCAAAGTCTACCAGAGGTACAAAGAGGAGTTAGTACCATTCCTTCTGAAACTATCCTAAACAACTGAATAGGAGAGACTTCTCCTTAATTCATTTTATGAGGCCAGCATCATCCTGACACTCAAACTGGGGAGAGACACAACGAAAAAAGAAAACTTCAGGCCGATATCCCTGATGAACATCAATGCAAAAATTCTCAATAAAATACAGGCAAATTGAATCCAGCAACACATTAAAAAGCTTAAGCACCATGACCCAGTTGGCTTCACCCCTGGGATGCAGGGCTGCTTCAACATACACAAATCAATAAATGTAAGCCATCACATAAACAGAACTAATGTAAAAAACCACATGATGATCTCAATAGACGCAGAAAAGACCTTTGATAAAATTCAACATCTCTTCATGTTAAAAACTCTCAATCAACTAGGTATTGATGGAAAATATCTCAAAATAATAAGAGTCATTTATGATAAACCCACATCCAATATCATATGGAATGGGCAAAAACTGGAAGCATTCCCTTCGAAAACCAGCACAAGAGAAGAATGCCTTTTCTCACCACTCCTATTCAACATAGTATTGGAAGTTATGGCCAGGGCAATTAGGCAAGAGAAAGAAGGGTATGTAAATAGGAAGGGAGGAAGTCAAATTGTCTCTCTTTGCGGGCGACATGATCCTACATCTAGAAAACCCCATCATCTCAGCCCAAAAGCTCCTTAAGCTAATAAGCAACTTCAGGAAAGTCTCAGGATACAAAATCAATGTGCAAATGTCATAAGCATTCCTATACACCAAAAATAGACAAGCAGAGAGCCAAGTCATGAATGAACACCCATTCACAGTTGCTACAAAGAGAATAAAATACCTAGAAATACAGCTAACAAGGGATGTGAAAGACCTCTTCAAGGAGAACTACAAACCACTGCTCAAGGAAATAAGAGAGGACACAAACAAATGGGAAAACATTCCATCCTTATAGATAGGAAAAATCAATATTGTGAAAATGGCCATACTGCCCAAAGTAATTTACAGATTTAATGCTATTCCCATCAAACTACCATTGACATTCTTCACAGAATTATAAAAAACTACTTTGAAATTCATATGGAATCAAAAAAGAGCCTATATAGCCAAGACCATCCTAAGCAAAAAGAACAAAGCTGAAGGCATCACGCTACCTGACTGCAAACTATACTACAATGCTACAGTAACCAAAACAGCGTGATACTGGTGCCAAAACAGACACATAGACAAATGGAACATAATAGAGATCTCAGAAAAAAAACCAGATCTACAACCATCTGATCTTCAACAAACGTGACAAAAACAAGAACAGGGAAAGGATTCCCTATTTAATAAATGGTGCTTGGAAAACTGGCTAGCCATATGCAGAAAATTGAAACTGGGCCCCTTCCTTACACGTTATACAAAAATTAACTCAAGATGGATTAAAGACTTAGATGTAATACCTAAAACCATAGAAACCCTAGAAGAAAACCTAGGCAATACCATTCAGGACATAGGCATAGACAACGATTTTATAATGAAATTGCCAAAAGCAATTGCAACAAAAGCAAAAATTGACAAATGGGATCTAATTAAATTAAAGAGCTTCTGCATAGCAAAAGAAATTATCATCAGAGTGAACAGGCAACCTATAAAATGAGAGAAAATTTTTAAAACCTGCCCATCTGACAAAGGTCTAATATCCAGGATTTACTAGGAACTTAAACAAATTTACAAGAAAAAACAAACAACCCCAGTGAAAAGTGGGCAAAGGACATGAACAGACACTTCTCAAAAGAAGACACTCATGTGGCCAACGAACATATGAAAAACAGCTCAACATCATTGATCATTAGATAAATGCAAATGAAAACCACAATAAGATACCATCTCATGCCAGTCAGAATGGCGATTATTAAAAAGTCAAGAAACAACAGATGCTGGCGAGGATGTTGAGAAACAGGAACGCTTTTACACTGTTGGTGGGAATGTAAATTAGTTCAACCATTGTGGCAGACAGTGTGTCAATTCCTCAAGGATCTAGAACCAGAAATACCATTTGACCCAGCAATCCCATTACTGGGTATATGCCCAAAGGAATATAAATCATTCTATTTTAAAGATACATGCTACTATAAAAACACATGCACATGTATGTTTATTGAAGCACTATTCACAATAGCAAAGACATGGAATCAACCCAAATGCCCATCAATGATAGACTGGTTAAAGAAAATATGGTACATATACACCATGGAATACTATGCAGCCATAAAAATGAATGAGATCATGTCCTTTGCAGGGACATGGATGAAGCTGGAAGCTATCATCCTCAGCAAACTAACACAGGAATAGAAAACCAAACACTGCATGTTCTCGCTCATAAACGGGAGCTGAACAATGAGAACACATGGACAGAGGGAGGGAAATAACACACATTGGGACCTGTAGGTGGGACGGGGGAGAGGGAGCATCAGGATAAATAGCTAATGCATGTGGGGCTTAATACCTAGGTAATGAGTTGATAGGTGCAGCAAACCACCATGACACATGTTTACATATGTAACAATCCTGCATGTTTAGCACATGTATCCCAGAACTTAAAATAAAATTAAAGAAACACAGAGCATGTCCGTAAGAAATGCTCAACAAATGTTAGTGATGATGCTAATGATATTGATAATGATGACAATAATAAAGATGTCAGTCTACATGGTGGAAAAAATTTCCTGAAAGAAACTGAGTGGTGAGAGGCCCTTCCCTGAAGATTAACCACAACAATTTCCGCCCATTTACTCCTAGGGAAACAGTAGAAAGGGTTCTCCACCCCAGTCATTGAACCGATTCAATATGCCCATAGATACATGTCCATATTCTTCTATCTGCAAATTCCAAATCCTTGAAACTCCAAAAACTAAAAGTTGTTTTGTAAATTTGGAACCAAAACTAACTGATCTGAAATGCTAAGAGGCAGAAAGTTATCTTTTAAAATCTCCCTTATTGGGCACATTCATAAGTTTCTTTGCAGAAATACTAATGTGTTTGATTATGCAGTGCTGCCTCAGATTCCACTAGGGGGTTAAATAACATTCAATGGAAGCACATATGATAATTTATAGATGATATTTGGATGTAAGGGTTTCCATTAGGAGTTTGGACCTGCATTTATAAAATGATGAAAGTTTGCCCTGCCGGGGACTGGGATGCTGGTGGCTACTCAGTCACAGATGTTCTTCAGTTTAGGATGAATGTACACACATCAGCACTGTTGTGAGGACTGTTGTGTTCCTAAATTTGGAAAAACTTTGAGGTTTTTCTCCCTGGGGAGCATGATTGACACAAATGAACATAACTAGGTAGTGGGGTTGTGTTGGTGGGAATTTAGTGAGGATGAGATTCTGATTTGTTTTACTCTCTGCTTATGGAGACCTACAGAGAGCTGCAGGGGACAGAAAGAGGCCTCCCAATGGTGTGACTACAGCCCTTATCCAATTGTGGGCTAAGTCCTATCACTCTTCACACATACCATTTGCTGTGATGCTGAACCTCAGATTGTCCAGAAGGGGGAGCTGAGAGAATAAATCCATAGGTTCACAAGAAGCAGTAATGTGGTTATGAAATTGGTCCTGAGATTTCATTTTCAATTGTTAGAGATTCAGGGGTCACACCCACCTGGATCAACATGTCATATAGTTTGGCTTAACCCATATTAATAAAAATGTTTTTTTTTCACCTCTGGCAACTGGAGAAAACAAAATCTAGTCACCTTTTCAGACCCTCTGACATTTAACGTTCTGGCTCCTAGTTACCTTTCCATCTTCATTTATTACTATTCCAATTCTCCTATTTTCTGGGATCATCCTCCAAAACTCCACCCATGGCAGACATGGTTAATAGATCCCAGGATGTTGTCTCATTGAGCCTATCTTGGGCTTAAAAATAAAATTCTTCTGAAAGCAGCATTTTGTAGACTTTGCAATCAGATGCGGCTGGCACAAGAGATGAAATCTCCACATGGTCTAATGTTTCCTAAATAGTTTCTGCATCTGTGCCAACAATTACCATGAGACTCGATTGCATTTTCTTCTTTCCACCTCTTTTAGTTAAAAATCTTCTTGTCTTAAACTTACCCACCTTGAGGGATTGTTAGGATGATCAAATAATCAAAAAAGATAGTTACCAGGAAATGGCCTCATTAGTGAGATGACATGCTATGTTAAGACAGGGGCTGTCCTCCTCAAATTCCAACCTTTTCTTTAAGTTTTTCCATCCATCACTAAACTTCTCTTCCTCTTCTCAGCTAGCTCTGAGGTAGTAGATATTGATCACAGACATCCTCTCTTTCCCTACTGCTGTAGGCTGGTGGAGGGCAGAGCTATATCTTGTCAACTTCTTTATTTCCCCAATGTCAGAGCCTGGGCAAGTGTGTTTTGCCTATACTGCTACCTGCTACATTCTCAATTAACTGGTTACTGGAGAGAAAGGGGCTGTGCATCCTCTGGAATTTTCAATGTAATGTTGACTAAAGTCACAGTGGACTCTGAATAACAGAGAGGTAGTGTAGGATAGGGCTGAATAAAATCATGTTGTGGTAGATGCAAGTTGGCATGGATCTCTAGCACAGAATGATTCTTTCAGGGGACAATTTTTACTACAGCTCTTTTTCTTTTCTTTCTTTTTTTTTTGCTGCTAGTAATTGACCCTACTTATCCCATGAATTTCAAATCTTTGTTAAAGTTTATCACATTCACCAAGGTTTTGTGTAGTGCATTTGAGTGCTTGTTTGTGTGTGAGATTTGATGGACTTTAATTTCACATTTGGTTTAATATGCTGCAAATATCAGAAGGGGTAAGCATGGAATAGAGTCCATTTAACAAATAAAGACACAGAAATACATAGAGGTTAAGAAACTTGTCCAAGGTGGCAAACTAGCATCGCCTGTTAGATGTTCTTTTTTTTTTTTTTCTGCCAACCATCCTGATTCTGGCAACCTGATTTTGCTCCATGTAGCTTCCAGCCTAACATCATCCTACCAGGTTCTTTTGTGTCTCTTCCCTTATTCTCTCTTCTTTCTCTTTTTTCAGAAGCAAAACCTAATTATTTGCATTTTCTCCCCTTTATTCTACCCTCATCCATCTTTGGAGTCCATCCATCACTGAACTTGGATGGAACCACCAAACTATCTAGTTTGGGTTCTTCTTGACATCTATGTCTCCAGGGCTTCGCTTTCTTCTTTAAGTAGTTACTATCCTTGCCACATTTAATGAATATGTTTAAGCTTCCAGAAATCCTTCAAGGTAGAAGGCAGGGTGGTTAAAACCTGACAGTTTTCTGCTCATGTTTTTGGAACGTGACACCTGATGGTTGAGGTTGCTGAAGATGCACTCCAAAGATGCATGGGGGTAGAATAAAGGGGAGAAGATGGTGGTCCTTTTGGAATTTGGGTTGTGCCAACAAAACTGGCCAGTGCTTGAGGGGCATTTGCCCTAGGCCGTCGAACTTGCAGTCTCCATAAGATCCCTGTGTGGGGAAAGCAAGCTAAGTCCTAGTGTTGTACAACTCCAGGGGATGTCACCTACATTGTGGCCTATGTGAGTCCTGCCCCTGGATTTGTGCAATGCACACCCTGTTGGGCAGCATGTGGTGGAACTGACTGAGGAGAGACCCTGTAAAGAGAGGAAGTCCACCTGTGGTCAGTACTTAAATGAAAGAGGAGACAGGGAAGAAAGGCCTGATACCACTACATGAGGTGCAGAAAAATAACTGAAATACTCCTTGTTATGGTTTGGCTGTGTCCCCACCCAAAATCTCATCTTGAATTGTAATCCCCATAATCCCCACATGTCAAGGGAGAGACCAGGTGGGGGTAATTGAATCATGGGGGCAGTTTCCCCCATGCTGTTCTCATGATAGTGAGTGAGTCTCACAAGATCTGATAGTTTTATAGGGGGCTCTTCCCCCTTCACTCTGCCACTCTTCTCCCTGCTGCTTTGTGAAGAAGGTGCCTTGCTTTTCCTTCACCTTCTGCCATGATTGTAAGTTTCCTGAGGCCTCCCCGGCCATGCTGAACTGTGAATCAATTAAACCTCTATCCTTTATAAATTATACAGTCTCAGGCAGTTCTTCATAGCAGTGTGAGAACAGACTAACACACTCTTTCAGAAATTGAAAGGGAGTAACCAATCTGAGTCATACATTATTATACTTGAGGCATCTATGTTATTAAAAGTATGAGTGTATAAAAGGCACTTGTCCATGTATTTAATTTGTTCTCATTAAAAAAATCTAAGATGGACCATACCATATGATGAGGAGGGAGGGTCAGGATGGTCTGTATGATTTGAAGAGGTTCTTTACTTCCATCCAGGGTTCAGGGTCATGCAAATATCAAGTTTCCTGGTACAGTTTTTCAAGCAGTTAGCTGTTCCTTTACTTGAACTTCCAGACCACCCAGATTAGAACAACCCCTCTTATTCTTATTCTAATCTAAAAGCACATGATTATTAGGGCACCTGGCATTCTTTTTAGGAGCCTGAGAGCTCTGGAGGATGGAGTTTGTTTGCAAACTCTTCAGTGCTTGTAAGTGTTGCATGTACCTGATACCCACTATTTGTTCATTGGATTTGATGTAGCTCTGAATATTCTCTCCTGTTCAATGACTTCTGTTCCATGATTGTCTCTTCTGTGAAACAAATTTCTAGGCCATTTCTCTGTTTGATTTTCACTGGAGCTCCTATTAGTAACTTGCTTGATCTTCATTTCTCTTTCACTCAGACAGCTCCTCTCTGAGTCCGTCAAACTCACAGAACTGGGAAGGACCCCAGGGTCTCTTTAGATTCGTATCTTTACAGATGAAGGAACTGAGTCCCAGAGGGTGGAAGTGACTTCTCCAAGGCCACACAGAGAGTTTGGGCCTCAGGATCTCAGTCTGAGATTTTAGGCTCTTCCTGCCTTACTTTTTCCTCTGGTTCTTCCCCTCTGTCATTACCTCTTGTTTCATTTCACTTAACTCGTGGCTGGAATTGCCCCCAAAGTGGCAGCAGGGCCACAAGGGAATGCCCCAAACAATCCTGAGATGGGGGATTCCATCTCATTTAGTACTTCCAAGAAGTACTAAACACTAGAGGAAAGAGGTGTTGTACCTAGGTATAACCAGTATAACCACAGTGAAGGGGTCAGGGTGTGGAGATTTTATGAGGGTTTAAGGAATTTTGCTAAGATGCCAGGGACAGCTTCTTTCAGTGTTTTGGGCAACAACCTAGATACCTTTATCAGTGCCTGAGAATGTTTATAAGGCCCCAGTTTGGGTGCAAACATGCTAGGAAAAACCTGTAGCTGGCTGGGTCATAGAGTGGTCAAGGCATTGGGGGACCCTACACCTCTCTTGGCCTCTTTCTCTATTTGGGTGATATTACTGGGGTAGGACCAACATGGATAATTCGCCCTTCCAGAAATAGAAAATGCAATGGAAAATAATTCTAGGGGCATGTCTGACATTGAGGCAGGTCTGCGGGAAGTGGTAGAACTGTCCAAACTGACTCATTTTGCTGAGATGTCTGGAAAATGGACAAAAGAACAATCAGGGAAACACAGGCAGAACCACCTCTTTCTGCCTTGCTGCTTCTGCACCAGCCATGAGTCTATGTCTTTGCCTTTCTGTACCTGTCTCTCTCTCTGATTTTCTTTCTTTCTATAGCTGTGTCTCTCTGGGTGTGTTTGTCTCTGTTCCTCTCACTGTTTCTTCTGTTCTCTCTCTGCTCCATTTTTGCCCCATCACATCCTTCATGCCCACATAATAATTTAAAGAGGATTCTCAGCCAGTCCTCACAAACTTTCTTCTCTCTCTCTCTCTTTTTTTTTAACCTCCAAATTATCCCCTTCTCTGAAGTCCCTCCAAGTTTTTCTCTGATACTTTCTTCTTGTCCAAGGGTGAATATATGGAAATGGAATGTGTGATAGATGGGGAGATGGTTTCCTTCTCTCTCAGACTCTGTCCTGTGAACAGCTTTTTTGAGCACTGTTTACAAGTAAAGTGAGAGAGGGCAGTGTAGGAAGATGAGAAGAGCCTGGACAGAGTCTAGGATGCTGGGGTTTTAGAGAGTTAGTAAATAGCCCTTTCTTTCTCCACTTAACCTCTGAACCAGTTATGAAGTTGACAAGTGGCAAGTTAGTGGGAGGGCAAATTGTTATCTCAATTGCTCATAGAGTTATTGAATAACATGACTGAGACATATCATCAGGGAGATTCCTGATACTGGAACCTAGTGTTAGGCAAATGGAAGCTTCCGGTCACTGCACAGGTGGCACCAGGGTGCAGTGTACCTCAGTTATTTGTCTAAAATGAGGAAATAATGTTAGCACCCACCTCTTTGGGTTATTGTGAACATTAAATGAGAAAAATGTACCTATTTCCTGGCACATATTAGGTGTTCAATCATTGTTAGCTGTTATTACTAGCCCAGATGCCAGCTATGCCCTTGTTCTCTGGCTCCCTGGATCTACCAGCATTCAAGTGCCTGCCTGGCATCCAGATCTTTATTCCTAAGGGGCCCAAGTCCTTAGGTGTCTTGCCTTGTAAGCTCATGCTTTCTGCAGTTGTTGTTTCCTGGTGCTGTTAAGTGTAAAATATATACTAGATTATAAAGACTTAATACAAAAAATAGAATATAAAATATCTCATTAATTTTTTATATTGGTCACATAACAAAATGATAATATTCTGGATATAGCCTATAAAATATAAAATTACAAGGTGGCTCACATTTTATTTCTGTTAGTGCTATTTTAGAGTAACTACAAAAATTTAAAAAATGTATCATTAAAAAGCTAATACAAGAGAAAAGATTAAACAAACAATTCATAAAAATAAAATGGATTAAAGATAATATAATAGATAGGACATATAGAAAACAAATAGCAAGATGGTAGACTTAAAACTAACTGTAATTAAATTGCAGACAAATGGACCAAACGATTCAGTTAAAAGTACAAGATTGCCAGACTAAATCTTGAAGAAGACCCAATTGTGTTATATTTACAAGATACACACTTCAAATATAAGGACCCACATAGTTTGGATAAAAAAAGGATAGAAAGAGATAAACTAGGCCGGGCGCGGTGGCTCATGCCTATAATCCCAGCACCTTGGGAGGCTGAGGCAGGCAGATCACCTGAGGTCAGGAGTTCTAGACCAGCCTGGCCAACATGGCAAAACCCTGTCTCTACTAAATAATACCAAAATTAGCCAGGCGTGGTGGTGGTTGCCTGTAATCCAAGCTACTCAGGAGGCTGAGGCAGGGAGAATTGCTTAAACCTGGGAGGTGGAAGTTGCAGTGAGCCAAGATAGCGCCACTGCACTCCAGCCTGGGTGACAGAGTGAGACTCCATCTCAAAAAAAACAAAAAACAAAAACAAAAGAGATAAACTATGAAAATCTTAAATAAAATAAAGCTGGCATGGTTAAGATGATATAATATAAATTATAATTTAAGGTAACGAGTATTACTAGTGAAAAGAAGAAATATTTCATAATAGCAAAAATGTCAATTCATCAAGAATACATTACAAACTTAAACATGTATTCACCAGCAGAGTTAAAACATGCAAAGTAAGAGTTGACACAACTAAAAATAACATACAAACCCAGAATCATAGTTGGTGATTTGAACTCAACACTTCTAATAAAAGAGAAAAAGAAGACAAAAAAATTCTGTAAAGATATAGGAGACTTGAACAACATAATTAGCTATATGACTTAATGATATATATGGAACAATATATTCAAAATATACATTATTTTCAAGTGAATGTGGATTATTTCTCTTGTAGACCATATTATGGCCACAAAGCAATTCTCAAAACATTTTAAAGGATTGAAATCATTATAAGTAGCTTCCCTGACCACAATAGATGCAAACTTCATTCTATTCAATAATAGAAAGGTAAATAGAAGCCTTTGAGATGTTTGAAAAATGATTCAGCACACTCTATTCATTATAGAATAAATTAAATATTTATAAGAAATAATACTACTAAACATCAAAATTGTAGCAGGCAGCTAACACATTACTTATGGTGAAATTTATAGCCTTTAATGCTTATATTAAAAAAGAGAAAGGTTGAAAATCAGTAACTGGGGAGGTAGAGCAAGATGGTGGACTAGAAGCCTCCACCGATCATCTCCCCATGAAGGACACCATTTTAACAACTATCTACACAAAAAAGCACCTTCATAAGAACCAAAAATCAGGTGAGCACAGCACCTGGTTTTAACTTTGTATCACTGAAGAGGTAGAAAAATCTGTCTTGAATTGCTGAGGTCACCCCTCCCCTCCCACTGTGGGGTGTGTGCTAGCAGAGGGAGAGTACAGCAATTATGAGGCATCAAAGTCATTGCTGTCTTGTTAGAGCAGAAAAGAAAACCGGACCAAACTCAGCTGACACTTGCCCATGGAGGGAGCATTTAAACCAGCCCTAGCCAGAGGGGAATCACTGATCCCAGCTGTTGGAATTTGAGTTTCTGCAAACCTTACTACCATGGCCTAAAGTGCTCTGGGGCTGTAAATAAACTTGAAAGGCAGTCTAGGCCATAAGGACTGCAACTTCTAGGCAAGTACTAGTGCTGAACTGGGCCCAGAACAAGTAGACTAGGGGAGCATGCGACCTACTGAGACACCAGCAAGGGCAGCAAAGGGAGTGCTAGTATCACTCCTCCCCTAACTCCAGGCTGTACGGTCCATAGCTCCAAAAGAGAACTCCTCCTTCCACTTGAAGAGAGGAGAGGGAAGACTGGGGAGGACTTTGTCTTGCATCTTGAAAACCAGCTCAGCCAACAGCAGGATAGGGTACTGGTCAGAGTCATCAGGCCCTCTTACCAGGCCCTGGCTACTGGGTGATTTTTCTAGATATGCCCTGGGGCCAGGAGGAAACCCATTGCCTTGAAGGGAAAAACCTAGTCCTGGCACCATTCATCACCTGCTAACTGAAGAGCCCTTGGGCCCTGAATAACCATCAACAATACCCAGGTACTATGTTGAAGGCCATTCTTCAGCGATCTGGCAGTGGGGCCACACAGGCATTTTAGTCTCAGGCCAGAGATTGGAGTCCTTACTCTGGAGCAGGTTAGGAGCCTCTATGGCCAGAACTGTGGAAAATGCCTCAGCAGTAGGTGCTAGAATTGTGCTTTCCCCCATCACAAGCCTGGGGTGGCAAGAGAGCTGATACAGCTGCAGTTTCTCCTAGGTGGTGAGACTAGGGCCAGCGCCAGCTTGGTGATCTGGAACCAGTCTGCATGTGTCATTTCTGGGTACTCCAGCCTGCTCCCCTGAGACTGTGGTGTAGCAGGGCCCACTCTGCCCAATATCCAGGCAGAAATCCAGGTATTTAGAATACCCATTTTCCTGGACCAGCAGCCTGAGCTACCCTACCCTTCATGGGCATAGATCAAGGTACAGCAAGGCCCTCTTTGCTCCATGCCCAGGTAGATCTCCAGGGATTCAGAGCACCCGCTCATCTGGATTAGCAACCTGAGCAGCCCCACCCTTCCTGTGCAGAGATCCTGGTTCGTGGAGGCCCTCACTGCATCACATCCAGGTATACCTCCAGGCATCTGGAGCACTTGCTCTTCTGTTTCAGCAGGCTGAGCTATCCCACCCTTCCTGGACATAGATTATGATACAGTGAGGCCCTCTCTACTTTATGCCCAGGTAGACCTCCAGGCATCTGGGACACCTACTCTTCTGGATTAGCAGTTTAGGCCACCCCCATCCCTATGCAGAGAACTTGGGGCCAAGGAGGTTTCCCAGCTCCACACCTAGGCACACCTCAGGGCACTTGGTGGCTGCCCACTGGATGCTGGTGTGTGTGTCTCCTACTGGGTGACCCGTAGGTGGAACTGCATGATTGGGCTCTGCCCATCTTGGTCTCCATCCATCTCGGCTCCCACCCATCTTAGTCTCTGCCTTCCTGGGGCTGAACAGGGAGCTCAAACCACTGTGCACTTTAGGAAGCAGCCCACAGCGTGAGGCGATAGGGAATTTCTCTCAGTAAGAAAGAATCAAGTACATACCTAGCATTGTTGGCCACAGCCATCTCTTACCTGTAAGTGCCATCTACTGGCTTGTAGGTTGAACTGCACAACCTAATATAAAACCTGCCAACAGATGTGCATAGTGCTATAGAAGCAAAGCCAAAAATCCTACTCAGCATTCTCTGCAGTCCCATCCCCTAGTGAGAGAGGAAAGGGAAAGGGAAAGGGAAAGAAAAAAAAAAACCCCAATAATATTACATATGAAGACGGAAAAAAATCAAAATAATTACCAAAATTAGAAATGCCAGCAACCCCAGATAAGAAGGAGGCTGCATAAGAATTCTGGCACCATGAAAAATCTGAATGCTGTGACACTACCAAAGGATCACACTAGATCTCTAGCAATGGTCTCTAACCAAAATGGAAACTCAGAAATGACAGATAAAGAATTCAAAGCATTGATCACAGGGAAGCTCAGTGAGATCCAAGACAAGGTTGAAAATCAACACAAAGATACTTCTAAAGCAATCCAGAAAATGAAGGAAGAGATAAACATCCTAAGAATAAATCAATCAGAACTTCTGGAATTGAAAATCTCACTTAAGGATTTTCAAAATATAATTGAAAGCTTTATCTATAGACTAGACTAAGCAGATAAAAGGATTTCAGAGCTTGAAGACTGCTCTTTTCAACTAACCTGTTAGACAAAAATAAAGAAAAAAGAATTTTATAAAGTGAACAAAGTCTTCAAGAAATGTGAGATTATGGAAAGTGACCAAACCTATAAATTATAGGCCTTCCTGACAGAGAAGGAGAAAAAGTAAAGAACCTGGAAAAATATTTGAGAAAATAATTTAAGAAAATTTCCCTAATCTGGCTAGAGAGGTAGACAGCCAGATATAAGAAATCCAGAGAACACTTGCAAGATACTATATAAAACAAACATCATCAAGGCATATAGTCACCAGATTGTCCAAATATCAATGCCAAAGAAAAAAATCTTAAAGGCAGCAAAAAGAAAAGGTCAGGTCACATGCAAAGGGAACCCAATCAGGATAACTGTGGCCTTCTCAGCAGAAATATTATAAGCTAGGAGAGATTGGGGGTCTTTTTTCAACATTCTTAAAGAAAAGAAATTTCAACCAAGAATTTCATATCCCACCAAGCTAAGCTTCATAAGCAAGGGAGAAAGAAAATAATTTCCATATAGGCAAGTGCTAGGGGAATTTTTTTGCCATTAGACTAGCCTTACAAGAGATCCTTAAGGGAGTTCTAAATATGGAAACAAAAAAATGATACATGTTACCACCAAAAACGCGCTTAAGCACATAGCCCACAGACTGTGTAAAGCAACCACGCAATAGAAACTACAAAGCAACCAGCTAACAACTTAATGACAAGATCAAAATATCACACATCAATACTAACCTTATATGTAAATGGTCTAAATGCCCCCAGTACACTTGTATGCAAATGATCGAAATGCCCACAACTTGCTCCTGAATGACCTTTGGGTAAACAATGAAATTAAGGCAGATATCAAAAAATTATTTGAAATAAATGAACACAAAGACACAACATACCAAAATCTCTGGGATGCAGCAAAAGCAGCATTAAGAGGAAAATTTATAGTGCTGAACAACTACCTCAAAAGTTAGAAAGGTCTTAAATTAACAATGGTCTAAGTGTCCCACTTTAAAGAAACAGAGTGGCAAGTTAGATTAAAAAAGACCCATTCATTTGCTGTCTTCAAGTGAGCCATCTCACACATAATGACACCCATATCCTCAAAGTAAAGGGTTTGAGAAAGGTCTACCATGTAGATGAAAAACAAAAAACAACAGTGGTAACTACTCTAGTATCAGATAAAACAGACTTTAAATCACCAACAGTAAGAAAGGACAAAGAAGGGCATTACAAAATAACGAAGGGTTCAATTCAATAAGAGGACTTAACTATCCTAAATATGTGTGTACCCAACATTGGAATATCCAGATTCATAAAACAAGTACTTCTGGATCTACAAAAAGATTTAGACAGCCACACAATAACAGTGGGGAACTTCAACACTCCACTGTCATCATTAGACAGATCACTGAGTCAGAAAACTAACAAAGAAATTACGGATTTAAACTGGACATTTGACCAATTGAACCTAATCGAGATCTACAGAACACTCCACCTATCAACCATGGAATATACATTCTTCTAATCTACACATAGAACATACTTTAGGATTAACCACATGCTTGGCCATAAAGAAAGTTTCCATAAATTCAAACAAATTGAAATACCAGCGATACTCTCAGACCACAG
This sequence comes from Homo sapiens, assembly GCF_000001405.40. NCBI lineage: Eukaryota > Metazoa > Chordata > Mammalia > Primates > Hominidae > Homo > Homo sapiens. The sequence continues at coordinate 18,855,753 of NC_000011.10, forward strand.
TGGAATAAAAATAGAAATTAATACCTAGAAGATCTCTCAAAACTACATGATTACATGGAAATTAAACAACTTGCTCTCGAATGACCTTTGGGTAAACAATGAAATTAAGGCAGATATCAAAAATTTCTTTGAAATAAATGAAAACAGAGACACAACATACCAAAATCTTTGGGATGGAAAAAAAGCAGCATTAAGAGGAAAGTGTAGTGCTAAACCCCTACCTTGAAAGTTAGAAAGATCTAAAATTAACAATCCAATATCACACCTAAAAGACCTAGGAAAACCAGAACAAACTAATCCTAAAGCCAGTAGAAGAAAAGAAATATCTAAAATAAAAGCAGAACTGAACAAAATTGAGACCCAAAAATCCATACAAAGCATCAACAACAAAAAGAAAGTTCGTTGTTTGACAAATTTACAAGAAAAAACAAACAACCCCATCAAAACACGAGCGAAGGATATGAACAGACGCTTCTCAAAAGAAGACATTTATGCAGCCAAAAGACACATGAAAAAATGCTCATCATCACTGGCCATCAGAGAAATGCAAATCAAAACCGCAATGAGATACCATCTCACACCAGTTAGAATGGTGATCATTAAAAAGTCAGGAAACAACAGGTGCTGGAGAGGATGTGGAGAAATAGGAACACTTTTACACTGTTGGTGGGACTGTAAACTAGTTCAACCATTGTGGAAGTCAGTGTGGCGATTCCTCAGGGATCTAGAACTAGAAATACCATTTGACCCAGCCATCCCATTACTGGGTATATACCCAAAGGATTATAAATCATGCTGCTATAAAGACACATGCACATGTATGTTTATTGCGGCACTATTCACAATAGCAAAGACTTGGAACCAACCCAAATGTCCAACAACGATAGACTGGATTAAGAAAATGTGGCACATATACACCATGGCATATACACTATGCAGCCATAAAAAACGATGAGTTCATGTCCTTTGCAGGGACATGGATGAAGCTGGAAACCATCATTCTCAGCAAACTATTGCAAGGACAGAAAACCAAACACCGCATGTTCTCACTCATAGGTGGGAATTGAACAATGAGAACACATGGACACAGGAAGGGGAACGTCACACACTGGGGCCTGTTGTGGGGTGGGGGGAGGGGGGAGGGATAGCATTAGGAGATATACCTAATGTTAAATGATGAGTTAATGGGTGCAGCACACCAACATGGCACGTGTATACATATGTAACAAACCTGCACGTTGTGCACATGTACCCTAAAACTTAAAGTGTAATAAAAAAAGTTTGTTGTTTGAAAGGACTAACAAGATCAATAGACCACAAGCTTGATTAACAAAGAAAAGAGAGAAGATCCAAATGTTCATAATTGGAAACTACAACAGTGACAGTACAACTGATCCCACAGAAAAACAAAATATCCACAGAGATTATTATGAATACCTCTATGCACAACAACTAGAAAATCTAGAGGAAATGAGTAAATTCCTGGAAACACACTCTTTCCAAAGATTGAATCGTGAAGAAATTGAAATCCTGAACAGACCAATTTGAGTTCCACAACTGAAGTGGTAATAAAAAAGCCTACCAACCAAAAAAGCCCTGGAGACTTTCTTTATGGCCAAGCATGTGGTTAATCCTAAAGTATGTTCTATGTGTGGACAAGAAGAATGTATATGCCATGGTTGATGGGGGGGTATTCTGTAGATCTCTATTAGGTCCACTTGGTCAAGTGTCCAGTTTAAGTCCAGAATTTCTTTGTTAGTTTTCTGCCTTGATCATCTGTCTAATGATTTACAGCTGAATTATACTAGATGTACAAAAAGAGTGGGTACGAATAGTACTGAAACTATTCCAAAAACATTGAGGAGACTCCTCCTCAACTTATTCTATGAGGTCAGTATCAAACCAATACTCAAACCTGGCAGAGACAAAATGAAAAAGGAAAACTACATGCCAACATCCTGAAGAACATAGACACAAAAATCCTCAACGAAATACTAGCAAACAAAAATCCTCAACAAAATACTAGCAAACTAAATCCAGCAGCACATCAAAAGTTAATTTACCATGATCAAGTAGGCTTCATTCCTGGGATGCAGGGTTGTTTCAATATACAGAAATCAACACATGTGATTCACCACATAAGCATAATTCAAAACAAAAACTATATGATCATTTCAATAGATGTGGGTAAGGTTTTGATAAAATTCAACATCCCTTCATGATAAAAACCCTCAAGAAACTAGGCATTGAGGGAATATACCTCAAAATAATAAGAACCATGTATTACAAACCCACAGCCAACATCATACTGAATGGGCAAAAACTGGTTGCATTCCCCTTGAGAACCAGAACAAGACAAGAACAAGACAACATAGTAATGGAAGTGCTAGCCAGAGCAATTAGGCAGAAGAAAGAAATAAAGAGCATCCAAATAGGAAAAGAAGAAGTCAAACGATCTCTCTTTGAAGATGATATAATTCTATATCTAGATGACCCTAAAAACTCTGCCAAAAGGCTCCTAGAACTGATAAATGACTTCAGTAAAGTTTCAAGACACATAATCAATTTACAAAAATTAGTAGCATTTCTATACATCAACAATGTTCAAGCTGAGAGCTAAATCAAGAATGCAGTCCCCTTTACAATAGCCATGAAAAATTAAATTAAACCTAGGAATACATCTAATCAAAGATATGAGAGCTATCTATGAGGAGATCTACAAAACACTGCTAAAAGAAATCATAGGTGACACAAACAAGTGGAAAGTACTTTCATTCTCACGGATTGGAAGAATCAATAGTGTTAAAATGACAATACTGCCAAAATAATCTACAAGTTTAACACTATTCTTATCAAACTACCAACATTATTTTTCACAGAAAATAAAAAGAATTTATAAAAAGCTATTCTAAAATTCATAAAGAATCAAAAAAGAGTCCAAATGGCCAAAGAAATCCTAAGCAAAAAGAACAAAGCTGCATGCATTACATTACCTGACTAAAAACTATACTATAAGCCTAGAGTAACCAAAACAGCATGGAACTGGTATAAAAACAGACACACAGACCAATGGAACAGAATATAGAATGCAGAAACAAAGCTGCACACCTATCACCCTCAGATCTTCCACAGTATTGTCAGAAATAAGCAATGGAAAAAGGACTCCTTATTCAATAAATGGTGCTGAGATAGCTGGCTAGCCATACGCAGAGGAATGAAACTGGATCCTTACCTGTTACCACATACAGAAATTAACTCAAGATGGATTAAATATTTAAATGTAAAACCTCAGACTGTAATAATCATAGAAGAAAACCTAAGAAACACATAATTCTGGACATCAGCCTTGGGAAATAATTGATTAGTAAGTTGTCAAAAGCAATTGCAACAAAAACAAAAATGGACAAGTGGAACCTAATTAAACTAAAGAGCTTCTGCACAGCAAAAGAAACTAGCAACAGATTAAACAGCCAACCTACAGAATGGGAGAAAATATTCACAAACTGCACATCTGACAAAGGTTTAATATCCAGAATCTATAAGGAACTTAAGCAATTCAACAAGCAAAAACCAAATAGCTGTGTGAAAAAATGGGCAAAAGACATGAACAGACACTTCTCATAAGAAGACGTACAAGCAGCCAACAAAAGTATAAAACAATGCTCCACATCACTAATCATCGGAATTATAAATCAAACCCACAATGAGATACCATCTCACACCAGTCAGAATGGCTGTTATTAAAAAGTCAAAAAACTGGCAGGGTGCGGTAGCTCACGCCTGTAATCCCAACACTTTGGGAGGTCGAGGTGGGTGGATTATGAGATCAGGAGTTCAAGACCAGCCTGGCCAAGATGATGAAACCCCGTCTCTACTAAAAATACAAAAATTAGCCGGGCATGGTGGCGGGTGCCTGTAATCCTAGCTACTCAGGAAGCTGAGGTAGAGAATCGCTTGAACTTGGGAGGCGGAGATTGCAGTGAGCCGAGATCATGCTGCTGCCCTCCAGCAAAAAACAACAGATGCTGGTGAGGCTGCAGAGAAAAGAGAATGCTTATAAGTCGTTGGAGGATATGTAAATTAGTTCAACCACTGTGGAAAGCAGTTCGGAGATTTCCCAAATAACTTAGAACTACTATTTGATTCAGTAATCTCACTACTGGGTATATATCCAAAAGAAAATAAATCGTTCTACTAAAAGGACACCTGCACTTGTATGTTCATTGCAATTCTATTCACAATAGCAAAGACATGAAATCAATGTGCCTATCCATAGTTAATTGGATAAAGAAAATGTGGCACACATACAGCACAGTAGTAACCCTCCAGGAATTTCAGCAGCAGGGATAGGGCCCAGAGAAGAGCACACATGATCATTGACAGGGATCCTGCATGGCTGCAGTAATACCAGATGGTAGGCCACAGGATGGACAGGCAACACTTGGTGCTAATGGCACTGGGCATATTGGCCTGTGATGCAGGAAAAGATCCTTACAGTGGAAATGAAAATGGAATTGGAATGGAAGGAGATGAAGAATTTTACCAGGGAACCTTTAATATGGCAGCACAGCAAAATAGAGGAGGAAGAGGATGAGGGTGAGATCTGAGTGCCACTGAAAAGAGGTATTTGAGTTATGGGAGAATCTATGAAGGACTACTAAGTGATGTGCTGTGGTGTGTATAATATAAACCTACTCCATTCCTTCTCCCAGGAGATCTTGAGCAGAGTTTTCTTTGCTGATGAAAGCTTTTCTGTGAGAGGAGTCTATAAGGGGAAGTTGAAAAAGTGCAGGGCTTGGAATGCAGAGAGAGGTACTCCTACAGCTTTCCACTAGAGAGAGGATATAACTCCCATCCGGGTGAATAACAGCAGCAGATTGAGATTTTACTGGGTACTGTTTTTTAATCCTTTCAGAGGCCTGTGAGGTAAGAATCAGTGTTGTTCTCATTTTGGAGAGAATGGAATTGGAGTACAAAACAGATGAGTTATTTGTTCCTAGTCTTACATAGTATGGATTTGAACCCAGCAAGACTGCCTCAGGGTCCATGTTTTTGACGAGTGCTTTGGACCCAGCACCACTGTGTATCACTTACACATGAATTGGAGTGGGTAGCAAAGTAATTCCCAGTTAAATCCGAGACGACAGTCAAAATTGTGCATGAAAAAAAAGCATGAGCAAATTCCAGGAACAGAGAAAAGAAGCCAATTAAATAAGGAACAAGAGAGAACTGGGTCGAAGCCAATTAGGAATAGATAGCAGAATCTAAGGGCCCTCTTCTGCCTGAAAGGCAGCCATTGCTCTGGAATCCAGAGAACTCACAGGTGCAGGAGGCCTCCAAGTGTACAGAGGACCCTTCCTCCTGTGGAGGTGGAGAGAGGGATCAAAATGTTATAGAATTATACGCAAAGGTGTATCTCACTCCTAAAAAAATGAGTGCATGTAAATACTGGTGAAATCTGATAAGATTTGTATTGTAGATAACTGTATTGTACCAATATTAATTTCATTGTTTTGATAATACATTTATGTAACATGTCATTACTGCTGTAGGTTGGTTGATGGGTATACAGGAACTCTCCATTTTTTTGTAACTTCTTGTTAGTCTACAATTCATTGAGAATGAAAAGTTAAAAAACAACCAAAAGGTCAGTTCATTGTATGAACTACCTCCATGGATACTGAAGTCACCAAGAATGAGAACATGGGGTATGCCTGAAAGAAGTTTGTAAATTTGGCATATAGGTTAGAAGATAATATGATATCTTATATGAACTTAAAGTATTCTTACAGTGAATAGGAAAAGGAATATTACTGAAATCAAAATAACCAGTTGCCCAGAGAGAGCCAACAGTCTTTGGTTCAATTTTCAGGTGAAATTTCGCTCCAGGGCTCCTCATTATGGACAAAATTGTTAGCTGAAGCTGTGCAATTGATGATACCACAAACTCTCAGGGTGGACTCTCCTAGTAACCCCCATTCTGAACTGATGACATCACATCTAAACCCCATGCCTGGAGCATTGGCTGCAAGCACTGTCTTCCTGCTTCCTCTGACCTGCAAGAACCCTCACATACAGCCAAGTCCTACTATGGTGTTTATAAATCAAGCGTGCACATATAGGATACAGAATCAGCAAAGAGCTCGGCCTGGAAGAGCAATCAATCTGGATTCAGAAGGCCTGAGTTCTATATGCTGAACAGTGTTATAAGAGCCATTGATGCATTTTTTTTTTTGGAAAAATGGAAAACAATAGACTTCTTTACCACTTTCATAGCTACTTTATACTGTCTCCTGAGTACTCAAATTGCATTTGTCAGCTCCCTTCTGTGAGGGTCAATCTGAGGGGCATCCTCACTGCCTGTGAGCAGCACAGAGCCCACTGTGATGTCCCGTCTTCTCTTGGTGGTCTCTTCTGTCTGCTTGAGTTACCTGTGGAAAGAATAACCAATGGCAGAGAAGAGTCCTGAGTTTGTACTGATCCTAAGTTTTCATAATGAAATGGTTTTAATTGTGGTAAAATTTATGTAACATACATTTTACTACGTTAACGATTTTTTAGTGTATAACTCAGTAGCATTAAGTACATTGCCAATGAGATGTAACTGTTACCAAACAAAAATTTTTGTGCTCATTAAATAATGATTTCATATTCTCCCCATCCATCACCATCAGGTTCCTCCTAATCTATTTTTTGTGTTCATCAATTTTCCTAGATTAGATACTGGAAAAATTTGAACTTACAATATTGTTCTTTTGTGTCTGGCACAATGTTCTCAAGGTTCATCTGTATTGCAGCATGTATCAGAATTATGTTGCAATGCTAAGCTATTATCTAGATACTGTAATTGACATTATCATGGAAATGTCAAATACCTTCAATCTTGCTTCTGATAGTGACTGGCCATGAAACTAACTGAAAGTTACAGCCAGAACAACTTGTACAAAAATGGGAAGTATCCAGAATTCCTGTATAATTGAAGGAATCTGTCAGCAAATAATAAATGGTTTTAAGATAATTTCTACATTGAAACCAATACTGAGGTTGCAAATGGCCAAATTAGAACTCATGGGGCATATTTGTAGACTCTACACTCGTCCCTTTGTCCAGGAAAGCTAAATAAGCACTTACTAGTTCTGAAGGGGAAGGAGCTGTGGTTATCTTAACTTGAAACCAAGGCCAACATGTCACTGTGCCATGGACAAATGACAGCACAGGACTTTCCATAAAACCAATTTCCTAGACTGTTTTTATGAATACAGAGAATCTGTCTCTAAGGACATTATTTTCCCCTGTATCTGAGAATTCAATGAAATTCAGAGGCAGCAGAACTCACTTATCCAGAATGAGCTTCCTCCCTGCAGCAATACCCCTAATCATAGAAGGGAACATGGTTTTTAGGTGAACATAGTCCGAGAGAAAGATAAGGAATTTTCCCTTGGATACTGTCCGGTAGGAAATAGTTATAAAAAAAAGGTTTTCCAGTTTTAGACAGGAATTCTTTCCATTCCCATAAAAGTTGAACGTGAAAGTTTTCAGTAAGAAAAATTTAATGGAAGATAACAGGGGAAATTTGTTGGTAATAGGAAGAAGGATCTAAACAGTGTACTTTCAAATTAATGATTTCTCTGAGTAAAACTAGAAATGTGAGATTAAAAATAAAACTATTTGAAGATATTGAGGGAATCACAGGCATTTCTGAGGCAGAAAGATGAGAAAAACACATATAATTGTCAAGGTGGCAGGGCAGTGTTTCTCTCAAAGTGCCGTCTGACTGACAGGGCAGAGGCTCTTCCTCATGGCCCCAATCTGCTTCATGACAGCTCCAGGGTTTCCTCAGAAAGCCGCCATCTGCCTTCTTCCACCTCAGGCGTGTCCTGCAGAGCCCTCTGGAGAACCAGCTAGAGAGTCTTCCTGTTTTGAAGCTGCCTAAAGGAGCCCATGAAGAAGTAAATAATGGGGTTGGCACTGCTGTTAAGAGTGGACAGGAAAATGGAAACTAGACGAACGTGACAAATCCACGTGGATCCAGAAAAATAGGAATCACTGAATGCCAAAGGGCAGGTCACAGAGGAGGAAGACCAGCACTCTGAGCAGGATGGTCATGTACAGCCTGGTCAAGGGCATCTTCCGGGATCCACAAAGGATCCTGACCAGCAGGACCGGGCTGGACCCGCAGAGAACCACACATAAAAAAATCAGCCATGTGACTGTGATGAAATCTGATGTTTCACACCAAACAGAATCAGCACCACTAGACAGGAAGCCACAGAACATCCATTCCAGGATGCTCTGCAGCAGGGACAGGGCCCAGAGCAGGACACACGACTGCTGACAGGTGTGTGGGGTGGTGGCAGCGGTACTAGATGGGCCACAGGATGGACAGGCAGTGCTTGGTGCTGATGGAGCCCAGCATGCTCAGGCCTGTAAAGTAGAGAAAGGTCATCACAGTGGTGAAATAGGTGGAGATGGAAAGGAAGAAGTCATGGTAGAAATTCACAATTTCTAAAATCTGGGAGCAGAGGAAGAAGTCGGCCCCGGCCAGGTTGAGGGTGTAGAGGGAGAAGGTGTTCCTGTGCAGGCGGAATCCCAGGAGCCAGAGGAAATGACTGCATTTCCTGCCAGCTGGACCAGGTCAACGATGAGGAGCAGCAACATGAGGATCATGATCTCCATGCCACAATGTTGAAGATGGGTCTCCTCGGTCCTATTGATTGATGTCAGTTCTGTACCCAAGGCTGGGATGGTTGGATCCATGCACAGAAACCCTAGTCTGGTGCCCCTGGGAACACAAAAAAGATGTGATCAGCAGCTGTGTGATCTCTGATTTCACATACATTCTATTATATGAGAATTATTGTCCCCATTTTACAGAGGAGAGAAACAGGCTTGCAGAGAATAAGCCACCTGTCAAAAGGTGAGGAGTGCTGAACTCCAGTTTCAAATCCAGTTCTTGGTGACTCTAAAGCCTGGGCTCTCTCTATTGCAACACAATTTCTCTACTGACATGGGAATAACATTATGATGAAAACATCCCCACTCAACTGGCCAGGGCTGTGGATCCAAGCATTACTCGGTCCTGGTCAGAAATTTTCTCTCGAGTGTAGGAGTTTGGATAAAGAGGTGGACACCTTCATGATAAAAGTGGTCATCATGGATGAAAATGAAGGTTAGGCATTATTTACATGAGGAAAATGTGACGTCTTGCTAGGACAAGTGTGATGATGACTGGGCCTGGTGAGCTAGGAATGGCTCAGTGTGTGTCCGTCATTACAGAGAGGAGCACTTTTATATCCCCAGTGCCTAGCTCCATGTGGAACACACTGTGTTTTGTGTAAATATTCATTCAGTGAATAAATGCATGAATGAAGAGCCTAATGGTAGTGATAGCTTTGGATTAAAAGGAAAATAAAAATAAAAACACAATTAAAGGTGTTGGAACACCCACATATAATGAGATGTAAAAATTTCATTCATCAGAATTTTATTTGTTCCGTCTGTGTTAAAAGGCATTACTGATATGTGCCCAAATACCTGAAGTTGACTACTGATGTGCCTTTGAAATGAGGACTCAGTGTGGCTTTGCTGAGCCCCTAGAATCTCTTTTGTACACAGTGTTGGGGTAGGGTGTGGTCTGAGCTGAACTGCTCAGCAATATAGAAAAAGAAAGAGTAAGCGTGGGTGAGGTCTGAGTGCCGCTGAAAGAGGTAATTGAAATGTAGCAATATCTTTGGAGGACTCCTAAGTGTTCTGCTGGGTGTACACAGTGCAAAACAACTTGATTCTGTCTCACAGGAGATCTTTGGTAGACTTTCTCTGTTGATGCAAACATTTGTATGAGAGGAGTCCATGAGAGGAAATAGGAGTTCAGCGCTTGGAATGAAAAAAGAGATGTTCATGTAGATTTCAACTGGTGAAACAGGACTAGCTCATATCTGGCTGAAAAACAGCAGCTGATTGAGAGTTTATTAGGGATTGTCTTAATGCTCTCAAGAGCCTAGGAGGTAAGAGTTAGTATTATTCCTATATGGCAGAGAATGCAATTAGAGCACAAAAAGAGTGAGTTATTTGTCCCTGGTCTTACACAGTGCGGATTTGGACCCAGCAGAGCTGCCTCAAGGTCTACCCTTTTCACCAGCCCTTTGGACCCAGCACCACTCTATGTCTATTATACATGATAGAGGGGGAAGGCAGAGGAATGACTCTCAAATTTAACCCAAGTTGGCAGTCAAAAGTTTGGACTGAAAAAAAAAAAGCTAACCTAAACAAACTCCAGATAGAGAATGAGAAGCAAATCAAATAGGGAACCAAATAGAGTTGAGTGAAAACCAATTAGGAACAAATTGAGGAGCTCCTTTCTGCATCACAAAGGCTGCCTTTGTTCTGGAATGCCAAGGATGCACAGGGGCTGGAGGCCTCCAGGTGGAAAGAAGACACACCCTCCTCTGGGAGTACAAAGGAGCATCAGGAGTGGATGCATCCATCCTGAGCTCTCTTAGAGATACAAGCTGCCACAGCCTTCGTTGTCCTGAAAAGGAAATTAACGGAAAACCAGAACCTCTGTTAACCACATTGAGGACACTTAAGATTAAGAGTTTGTCCGCTTATTTTTAGGATATGATATATTTGTCTTCCTTACAAAACCTGAAGCTCCATAAAAACTAAGCTATGCCTGTTCTGGTTCACTGTAGTATTGCCAGCATTTAGCCTGTGTTCCTCAAAGACCATCTATTGTAATATCCTCCTATGACACAAGAAGCTGCTGAGGCTTAAAGAATCAAAGGATCTTCCTGAGATCACACTATGAAGAGCAGATCCAGTATAAGCTCCTGGTCCATGGAGCCCTGCATGAGACTTCTCTACTGTTTTCTGCTTCATCAATCATTATTTTTGAGGACCTCCTGAAAAATCTTGATGTGAGCATAGAATCTGAGATAATCAGGAGCTTTAGAGCCTACTCCATTGCCCCATATCCATTTTCCTTTTCAGTCAAACAACAATTCTGAGCATTTAAAAGCAGCACAAGGACACACATTCCAGTTTTCCTGGATGCTGGATGACATTGTATGACCAGGTTCTGGTCAATGGGAAGTAAGAAGATGTGATGTAAGCAAGTCCTGGCTCATGGGATCAATAGAAGGAGCACAGCCTTCCCTTCCCCTCTTCCTTCTCCATCAGGCTGGAATGCTGAGGTGGTTGGCAGGCAGTAGGACCACAAGAATGAGGGCAACTCTCTAGACATTAGGGAGCAGCAATTTTTGGAGTCCTAATGTCTGATGCCTTGGAGCCTCCAGCTCAGGTCTTAAATACAGTCACTCCTGAGTATCCACAGGGGATTGGTTCTAGAACCCCTGCACACACCAAAATCTGCCCATGCTCAATTTCCTTATAGAAAATGATGTAGTATTTGAATATAACTTATGAACTTTCTCCTTTATACTTTAAATTATTTCTAGATCACTTATAATACCTATTAAAATGTAAGTGCTATGTAAATAATTGTTATATGGTATTGTTTAGGAAATAATGACAAGAAAGAAAAGTCTGTACCTGTTCAGTACCTATAGAGCTACTCCTGTCCTCCTTTTTTTGGAATATATTCTACCTGTGGTTTGTTGAATCTAGGGATTCAGAACCAACTGACATGGAGGGACAACTGTACTTTCTTGTTTAAGATATTCCTACTTCGTGTTTCTTTTAGAGCAGCCAAACTTACATTCTAACAAAAAGGAATATGTTTTCTCTTTTTAAAATTACATTTCACTTCCTAGGCATTTTTGATAAATGCAGGTATTTCTCCATAAAATCGACAATAGAGAAAGAATTTCCAAACATAAAAAAAACTCTGATAGAGATTAAATGAGACATGATTCAATGAGATTTAGAGAGAGAAAACCCCAGGAGGTAGGAGGAAGATATAAAAAGGTGAGTGGGATAGTTTCATTTGCCTTGAGGATTTGCTTCCCAATCTTCTCTACCCTGTTTGACATCCCAAGAGGGTGGCTTCTCTGTACCTCATCAGTGATATTCTTTTCCTTTTGGTTTCTGGTTGAACTGAGACACTGAGAGACACTGGTAGGAGACTGGAAGGCAGGAGGGGAGTGATTTGGAATTTTCACCTCCTGGGCCTCTGCCTTTGTGACTGTGTGTTGGTGATGCAGGGCTTCTCCACCTGCCTGCTCATCCTCTCCCAACCCTACAGCTACAGCTATGGCTATGGCTGTGCTCTCAATGGTAACTGCTCCTTCCCTGTCCCTTTAAGCTTAGGGGAGGAAGTAGTGCTACACCATTGCCATTTAGGGTGCTTCCCTAGGCATTGTCTTTTCCCCTTAACCCTGTCCATCTTTGTACATAGTCCCCTCATGAAACACTCCTCATTTATTTCATTTTGGACCATCTGTTTCTTCCTTAGACCTTTCCAGATAGGCAAAGAAGAATAACTTTGAAAAGTAAGTAAAATAATAAGACCCCTTAACCACAGCTCAGCTGTAGGAAGGAATGCCTGCATATCCCCTTGCTCCTTAAATGAATTTAAAAAGCATCATTATCTCCATGAAAGCAGATTGAATAGTTGGAATAAAGGGGGTGATATGGAGAGATGGATCAGAGGGAGAAAGCTCTGCTGACCCCATTTGAAACTCCCGCAGTCTGGGCTGCCAGCACTCAGTTTCTAGAAGGAAGCTTCATGTCTCCTGCCTTTTCTTGAAGGAAACTTATGAACTTCTGTATGCAGAACCCCAAGGTGGAAACACAGGTTTGTGAACTTATAGCAGAAACAATAACTTGCTGTGGAAAGAAGAGAGTTCTTGGTACATACCCTTACCTTTCCTCCTTCTTCAAGTCCAAAGATAAAGAGCTGCCCCTTGCTAAAGGGGTAGAGCCTTTCTGGGATTCCGTGACTTCAGAGCACTATTCTGTGTTGTGTCATTTAGGAGATGCCTACAAGAGCTGGAATGAGAACTGGCAACCAACCCAGGTTTATGAAGATACAGACAGCATGTGATTTCCTGTATGAGGATTGCAGGCAAATCAGAAGCCAGAGCTGTTTGAGCCACGATCCCTAACTGAGATGTTTCTTGGCCTCTGTCCCATTATTAATACATATCTGCCTCTCTCATCATATCCCATCTCATTCAACTTCCTGTAAGTAATTGCTGTTTTGAACTTTTACAATTTATTATGGGCCTAGGTATCAATGTCAAGCAACGTGAGCTTGTTTTGTGAGGCTTTATAACTAAAAACTAAAGTAGATCATAGGGTCTTTCAGGGCTTGCAATGGCTTGATCCCACTCTGTGTGTGGGTTTGGTTTTCTAAGTCCATGATTATTTTCTGTTCAAAGACAAAGTAGAAAACTCAAGAGTTTAAAGTTCATGTGGAACCAAAAAAGAGCCTGCATTGCCAAGTCAATCCTAAGCCAAAAGAACAAAGCTGGAGGCATCACGCTACCTGACTTTAAAGTATACTACAAGGCTACAGTAACCAAAACAGCATGGTACTACTACCAAAACAGAGATATAGACCAATGGAACAGAGCAGAGCCCTCAGAAATAATGCCACATATCTACAACTGTCTGATCTTTGACAAACATGACAAAAACAAGAAATGGGGAAATGATTCCCTTTTAAATAAATGGTGCTGGGAAAACTGGCTAGCCATATGTAGAAAGCTGAAACTGAATCCCTTCCTTACACCTTACACAAAAATTAATTCAAGATGGATTAAAGACTTAAATGTTAGACCTAAAACCATAAAAACCCTAGAAGAAAACCTAGGCAATACCATTCAGGACATAGGCATGGGCAAGGACTTCATGTCTAAAACACCAAAAGCAATGGCAACAAAAGCCAAAATTGACAAATGGGTTCTAATTAAACTAAAGAGCTTCTGCACAGCAAAAGAGACTACCATCAGAGTGAGCAGGCAACCTACAGAATGGGAGAAAATTTTTGCAATCTACTCATCTGACAAAGGGCTAATATCCAGAATCTACAATGAACTCCAACAAATTTACAAGAAAAAAACAACCCCGTCAAAAAGGAGGTGAAGGATATGAACAGACACTTCTCAAAAGAAGACATTTATGCAGCCAAAAGACACATGAAAAAATGCTCATCATCACTGGCCATCAGAGAAATGCAAATCAAAACCACAATGAGATACCATCTCACACCAGTTAGAATGGCGATCATTAAAAAGTCAGGAAACAACAGGTGCTGGAGAGGATGTGGAGAAATAGGAACACTTTTACACTGTTGGTGGGACTGTAAACTAGTTCAACCATTGTGGAAGTCAGTGTGGCGATTCCTCAGGGATCTAGAACTAGAAATACCATTTGACCCAGCCATCCCATTACTGGGTATATACCCAAAGGATTATAAATCATGCTGCTATAAAGACACATGCACACGTACGTTTATTGTAGCACTATTCACAATAGCAAAGACTTGGAACCAACCCAAATGTCCAACAATAATAGAATGGATTAAGAAAATGTGGCACATGTACACCATGGAATACTATGCAGCCATAAAAAATGATGAGTTCATGTCCTTTGTAGGGACATGGATGAAGCTGGAAACCATCATTCTCAGCAAACGATTGCAAGGACCAAAAACCAAACACAGCATGTTCTCACTCATAGGTGGGAATTGAACAATGAGAACACATGGGCACAGGAAGGGGAACATCACACTCTGGGGACTGTTGTGGGGTGGGGGAAGGGGGGTGGGATAGCGTTCGGAGATATACCTACTGTTAAATGGTGAGTTACTGGGTGCAGCACACCAACGTGGCGCATGTATACATATGTAACTAACCTGCACATTGTGCACATGTACCCTAAAACTTAAAGTATAATTTAAAAAAAAGGAAAAAAAAAAAGAAAACTCAAGAGTGGAAAATGTTACCTTGTAGTTCACACTCTTTTAATCCCTTAGTCCCATAAAATTAACATTCTAAAGTGTAAGCAGTAGAAATAATGTAAACTCTATTGAAACTTAAGTAAATTATTTTTTTTCAGACTTGGTGGAGGTCCTTTTGCTGAACACTATACTCTGTTGTGAATAGGATACACCTTCAATGAGGAAGAAATCCTTGACCTATTTCACCATTTCTCCAACATTGCATAAAGGACATTTTTAAAATTCAGTTTCTTCTCTAACTGCAGCAAAAAGGCAAGGAGGAGTCTGTTTCAGGAACCTGAATCAATTCCTATGAAAGCCTTGTTCACTTAGAACAAGGCTTTAATTTGTTCTGTTTCCATATCAAGGTCTATGTCATGAAAGCAGGGCCAAGTGGCAGTCCTGGCACGATGCTCATTGTTCTAACCAAAGGGCCAATGAACCCAGCACCTATGCTGGCCTTGACATCACTGAGAGGTACAATGAAGTCCCTTGGCACAATTTTTTGGCAGGTTGGTGAGACAGAGAAAGGTGGGTCCTTGCCATGCAGATGGGCAAATTTCTGAAACCCTGTTGAGTGTTAACAATCTATTTTGGTTTGTGCCTCAGGAGAGAGCTGGATATCGTTGGCTCCATAGACAGCCAGGGCCATGGTTCTTATCTTTTCCACAATTGGAAGCTGAACATCATACGGGAAATGGAATCAACTTCTTTTACTTGCAGCTTCTCTCAAAGCCCAAGCCAAGTCCGCAACCGTTTTCTACCAACTGACCAGTGATAGCAAGGGACTGCATCAAAGGCACCAGCCCGTTTTGTGAGCTCACACACCAAGTCAATCTCAGCACCGGTGTGGATCTTGAAGACCTTCAGAGTCACCATAATGGGAACCCCAAAGAGCTGAGCAATCTGAATTTGCTGCTAGAGGTTACGGCAGCCATCTGCCACCAACTGGATGTTCTTTTCTTTATGTTCTTTCTTCAGAGGAACACCAGCAGTTACACTTGGCCCGCCACTGTGCATCTTCAGAGCTTGCACCGTTGCCACCAACACAACCACACTGGGCACCAAGCTGGAAGCTTGACACTTGTTGAAAAATTTCTCCATTTCAATGTCAGCACCAAAGCCAGCTTCAGTCACTACAAATCCTTCTTCACCAACCAGTTTCAGGGCAATTTTGTCAGCCAACACTGAAGAATTGCCATGGGTGATGTTAGCAAAAGGGCCCACGTGCATGAATACAGGTGTCCATTCCAGGGTCTGCATCAGATGGCCACCACCATCCTTCCCAGCCATGTCTTCATGTCTGAGAGGCTGTTCATAAGGGCCAGCACCACCATGATCTCGCTGGCCACCACGATATCAAACAGCGTTTGCCAAGAGGAGCCTTTCTCTGTGTTTGCCTGCCTGATGGTTATTTTTTGTAGAAATCAGTTGTTTGTATTTTTTTAATTAAATTTTTTTATTTCCATAGGTTATTGGGGAACAAGTGGTGTTTGGTTACATGAGTAAGTTCTTTAGTGGTGATCTGTGACAAAACGGGGCAGCCTGTGGCACTGATGATTTGGGGGTGACTGGTGCTTTGACAGTTTTGATGAAAGATGCAATGAAATCAAATCTGTGAGATTTTGGTGCACCCATCACCCGAGCAGTATACTCTGCACCCAATTTGTAGTCTTTTATCCCTCATCCCCTTCCCACCCTTTCTCCCTGAGTCCCCAAAGTCCATTGTGTCATTCTTATGCCTTTGCATCCTCATAGCTTAGTTTCCACATATCAGTGAGAACGTATGATGTTTGGTTTTCCATTCCTGAGTTACTTCACTTTGAATAATAGTCTCCAATCTCATCCAGGTTGCTGAGAATGCCATTAATTCATTCCTTTTTATGGCCGAGTAGTATTCCATCATATATATATTAGTTTCTTTACCCACTTGTTGATTGATGGGCTTTTGGTTGGTTCCACATTTTTGCAATTGTGAATTGTGCTGCTATAAACATGTGTGTGCAAGTATCTTTTTTGTAAAATGACCTCTTTTCCTCTGGGTAGATACCCAGTAGTGGGATTGCCAGATCAAATGGTAGTTCTACTTTTAGTTCTTTAAGGAATCTCCACAGTGTTTTCCATAGTAGTTGTACTTGTTTACATTCCCACCGGCAGTGTAGATCACTGTATCCATGCCAACATCTATTTTTTTTGTAGAAATCGGTCATTTTTATTCAATACTCTCTGCCATGCGATGGTGGAAGGGTCGGCGTCGAGGCAGGCAAATTTACTCATTTCCTCTTCTGTCAGTGTGCTTGGATCTGTCTTATTTATTCCCAGTTTTTTTTTAGTCAAGTAATCAGAGAATTTCTGAAAATTCTGTGACACCATTCATTAAATGAATCAGCTGATTATACAGAGCCTTGTCTGTGCATTTTCATGCAGAATCCTTGGGTCGATGACAGCAGCTGGTGAATTATTGGCAACTGTGATGGCATGGATATCTCCAGTCAAGTGAAGGTTGAACTCTTCCATGGGATGACCAGGGCATATCCACTACCCATGACTCCTTCTTTCCACTCCAAAAGTCGGTCCTTGGGAAGGTTGCCTCATACAGGCAAAAGAGGTGACATGCAGATGCATGGTCAGAGCCTGCACAGCCCAGTCATAACTGTGCTCTTCCCTTCTCCTAGAGGAGTGGGCGTGATCCCAGTGACTAAGATGTATTTTCCATCTGCTTGATCCTTTATCCTTTCTAGCACAGACAAAAACTTTGTCTTTACTTTTGCCATTGATTTTAATTTCATCTGCAAGCAATCCCAACTCATTATGGGTAAATGGATCAGTAGAAAGGTCTGCTTGACTCCATTTGGAACTCCTGCAGTCTGGACTGCCAGCCTCTCCCATCCCATCCCATATGGCCCACCTCCCTGTAATCAATTGTTGTTGTGGACCTTTAAATGTCCACTGTGAGCCTAGGTTCAATGTCAAGCAATGTGAGAGTGTATTGTGGGGCTTTATAAATGAAGAAAAAGGTATATCAGAATGTCATCCAAGGCTCACCATGGCCTGACCACAATTGACTTTTTTCTTTCATATATTTTTAAATCACAGTGGTTATTGCATTCATATGTATACTTTCATTCCAACAACAGAGAAGTGCATAAAAAGTGAAAGTCTCCCGAGTCTCTTTCTCGAAAAGCCACTACTTGCTACACTTTCCATTCTTATTTGATGATGATTATTAGCTGTGAATAGTCAGCTTATATTTGTGTTTTGCATTTATTAGTATTATCAAGTGGATCAACTTACTTTTCTTATAAGATGTAAGTAGCACACATAGAATATCTTTCTCTACTTCATGATATTTGTTGTTTATTTTTATTTAGTATAAATATTAAAATTTTCTAGTCTTATTTCATATGACTTCCCTTCATTTAAGTTATTTTAATTAGAAACTATTTCAGATATTCAGAAAACTTCTTCAATATATTTGTCTTTGAGGAGAGTGCATGGAATTTTGAGGATCTGGAATAGGATGTCAACTTTCAATATATGCAGGAAAAGAATTTGTTTGATATGTGTGAGTGTACTATTTTCAAAATAAATTTTCAAACACAAAAAATAAATTTAATGATGTAGCTAAAAGAAAGGTAAAAATTTGAAAAGATATGACAGAAAGAGAAAGTTAATTGGTGGTGAGAAACTTAAGAAAATGAGTATAGAAAACTCTTCTGAAGAGATTTTCTGTAAAGGAAATAAGAGAAACCAGGTCATGGATGCATGGATGGAGGAGAATGTGGACTAAGGTGGTGATTTAAGCCAGGGGATGGGATAGCCTGTTTGTGCTGCACCGGAATGATCCAATAGAAAGAAGCAAAGGGAGACGTGGTCATTATGCACAGTGTTTCAGTGCAGAGAGGGGTGTTTTCTTTATCAAAGTGGTGGTATTTTAGCAGCTGGTGTTTTCTTTATCAAGGTAATAATGCATTCAGGTGTATATTTTCTTTACAAATGGCAGAGAAGTGAATTCAAGGTCAAAGTGTCCTTGAATCCTATTCTCCAGAGGCCACCACTTGCCATAGTTTACTTTTTTTTTATTATTATCAGCTCTGAATAATACACTTATATTTCATTTTAATTTGTCAGTATGAACAAGTGGACCAATTGATTTCTTTTACACAATGTAAAGAGTTCAGCACTCTTATTTTCTTTCTCTGTCTATTTAATGTCATTTGTTCTTTATATTTGTTAGTTGTGAATTTTCATAATTTTATGTCTTTCCTCTTATGCTTGCATTCTTCTGCCTCATGCTACAGCCAAATCAAGCCACTTGCATTTTAAATAATACAATTTGAATTAGATTCTATTTCAAAAACTGAGAAAAGTTCCTTAATGGATTATTTCAGCAAATATGTAATAAGGACTTTGTTACAGGCAGTATTTTGTCTCTACAATGTTCATATGCTAATGTTCTAACACCTAAGTCAGAATGCTGCTGTATAATATTTGAAAACAGGCACTTCAAGGATGTAAGTAAGTTAAAAAGAGGCTGTTAGCTTGGGCCTTAATTCAACAGAACTGGTGGTCCTATAATAGGAGATTAGGACACAGACACACAGAGGTAAGACCATGTGAAGAGACAGGGAAGAGAAGATGCCATCCAACCCTGCCCACACCTTAATCTCAGACTTCTAGCCTCCAAAGTTGTGAGAAAATGAAGTTGTGTGGTTTAAGCCACCCAGTTTGTGGTACCTTGTTGTGGCAGTCATAGAAAACTAATAGAGATGTACCATGTCTTAGGATTTTTTTCAGGCACTTGAGTTGCAGTTGTGAATAAAACTATACCATGGGCTTCTGGAGTTTATTTCCAAAGGGCTGAATGAATGCCCTCAGAAAGTAAATACAGACTGAAAAGAGAAGAGGTCTGAAGTGTCTTCATCCATGAAACATCTGGAGAAGCTGGATCCAGCAAACCATCCATAGAGAAACTTACCAATGGAGAAAAAGTCTTAGAATTAGACAGAAATACATATGAGAATGTGGTATATGATAAAGGTTGCATGTCAAAATTTTGAGGAAAACATGTAAAGAAGCAATTGTGGGGGAGGGAAGAAAGCTAGGAAGTACAGTGTTTGATAATTTTAAGCCATGGAGTTATTGGTTGGTAATAGTGTCAGTAGCGGCTGAGCAGTTATAAAATTGACCCTTGGTGAGAAGCATGGGAGTCATTGCTGATGTCAATGTGGTTGCAGAGGAAGAATGGCCCAAACACTAACTGGAGAAGGTGTACAAGAGAATGGCAGGTGGTGTGATGGGACTCCTGGACACCACAGACTCCAGCTGAAACACTGTAGAGAAGGAGACAGTGAAGGCAGGTAGCTGCATGCCATGTTACTGTATAAACAACCAGCAGCGTTTCTATATACAAAACAGGCAGTAGGAAGAAATAAAAGAAAATGAACCTCAATTACATCTTCTGAAAAAGAAGGGTAATGAGAATGCTTAAAATCTAGTGTAAGTTTTGAATAAGAACAACATTCCAATATTGATTCATATATGGAAAAGTAGATCAATAAAAACATCACAAGATTAGACATGAATACGCATTGAAATTTAGTATAATAAAGGCGATATACTGAATAACTGTGTAAAACATGGACTATTCAATGAATGGGACTGGGATACTGAGTGGTCATCTAAAATAAAATTAAGTTGAAAATATACTTTACGTATGATTTTGGGATAAATACAGATACATGAAATACTTTTATAATGAAAATATAAGAACCTAAAGAAACATAGGAAGATGTTTTTTTTAAGCTCCCAGTGGGGAATAACTTTCAAATTACAGGACAAACTTTAGAAGACATTAAAGAAAATATTAATAAAGACAAAAACAAAGACTTCATTGGCATGGCATGAATCATCATAATGAAAATTAAGCTGGGAAAATATTGATAATGTATATCATAGCTTAACTGCTAAATTTCCCAATTTATAAAATGTTTCTGTAAAATGTCAGTTCAATATCCAAAAAGCTAATAAGAAAATGACTATAGGTCATGATTTACAATTTCTAGAAAGTAAAAAGGGGTCTTAAAGACATGGAAAGATGAGAATACCAACTCTTAATAAAAGATATGCAAACTGAATTGATACAGAGTTTTATTTTACTTACCAAAATGTAAAAAGCCAAATGTTTGGATAGTGTATAGCATGTGGATGTTATGAGACCAGGCACTCTCCCTCATTTCTGCCGGGGGTGCAAATGGATAAAATAACCTCCAGGGAAGATGATTTTCAACATATAGAAATATATATAAAGTATCATATTTTTCTCCCTATAATTCTTCATCTAGGAATTTATCCTAGAGATATACTTGTGCATGTTGAAGATATATATATATATATATATATTTATATAACTTTGTGTGTATATATACACACACAAAGTTAATAAATGCAGCATTTTTGCAATAAAAAATGGTAACAGCCAAAATGGCCATCAATACTGTATAAATTATGGTCTATTCGTATAGTAGAATACTCTGCGACAGTATCAAAAGAACAACAGGCTGGGCATGTTGTTTCACACCTGTAATTCCAGCACTTTGGGAGGCCGAGGTGGGAGGATCATTTGCACCCAGGAGTTCGAGACTAGCCTGGGCATCATAGAGAGAACCCTTCTCTACAAAAATGAAAATATTAGCTAGGCATGGTGGCTTGCACCTGTAGTTTCAGCTACTTGATAGGCTGACGCAGGAGGATTGCTTAAGCCCAGGAGTTTGAGGCTGCAGTGAGCCGTTATTGGGCTACTGCACTCTAGCTAGGGTGACAGAGTGAGATGCTGTCTGAGTAAATGAAATAAAATAAAAAAACAAGAAACCTGATATGAAAGGGGCTTCATGATACATCAAATAAAGAAAAAAGAATGCAGGCCAATGTGTATTTTGTATGAGATAGACTATATATATATATATATATATATATATATATATATATATAATATATATACATATAAATATATAAACAAGTATATAGTTGTTTTAGCATTAAGTGTCTTTAGATAGATTAAAAATTAAAAACTATAAAAATGTATATGTCTTTGATAATACGGTAAAGAAGCCCGAGTACTTGGAATGAGAATGACCATTTTCAACGTATGCGTGAAAAAATTTTTTGAAACCTGTGACTATATTACTATTTTAAAAAGAAATTTTTAAAAAAATATTTCAAATTTTATTTTAAAAATAAATTTTAAAATAAAGGAAATAAATGTACAGTGATAAATGCAATGATTTAGCTAAGAAAGTGAAATAGGAATATGAGAAGAACACACATAAAGAGATAATGAAAAGGTTAATTAGGTGGGAAAGGGAGGGGGAGAGAGAGAGTTAATTGGAGGTGAGAAAATGAAGATAAGGAGTGTAGAAAACTCTTCTGAAGTGATTTTCTCTAAAGGAAAAAAGAGAAATCAGATTGTGGATGGAGGGAAATGTTGACTTGAGTGGTGTTTTAAGGAGATAGGATAGCTTATTTATACTGTGCTGAATGACCCAATAGAAGAGGAAGCATTGAAGAAGCTGGAGGGAGAGGTGGTCATTATACACAGTGTTTCAGGGCAGGAAGGGGAACCAGCACACAAGGGGAAAGGACGGTTAAGGACAGGAGCGTGCAGAGCCCATTGCCTGACTTGGGAGGGAAGACAGAGAAATGAGCTCAGAGAAATGAGCTCAGAGGCGAACTGACAGGTAGGTTTGTTGTGGGGGAGATGGGGTAATTCTCGGCAGAGCATCACAAGAGAGCGATAAAAGAGTGAGGAGGTGGTTTCAGGAGAGAGGAGGTGGTGTGAAGAGTTTCCTTGGAGAGTGGGAAGCAATTATGGAAATGTTACATGATTGTTCAGGAGATACAAGTGAATATTTGAGGCTCAAGGTCATAAATGTGAAGTGAAACCATTAGGCATGGTAGTGTGTTGTTCTCCAGCCACACTCAGATCTGTGAGAAGAGATATGGAGTTAATAGGAGAGCTGGATTCAACGAAGGCAAAAGACAGATGCTTCACCAAGGAGATATATGCATGGCAAATAAAGGCATAAAATGATGTTCAACATCAGTAACCTTTAGGAAAATACAAATTAATAACACAAAGAGATACTACTACACACCTTTTAATATGGCTAAAATACAAAATATTGATAGTTTCAAATATTGGTCACGATTTGGAGAAATTGGATGTTTTATACCCTGCCAGTGAGAGAGTAAAATGGTAGAGCTACTCTGAAAAACTCTTGCATTAAAAAAAATTAAACATAGAATATTTGACATACAACTCAGCAATTCAATTATGAAATTTATCCTAGAGACTAGAAAACTATATTCATTAAAAAATCTATACACATATGTTTATAGCAGCTTTATATATAAAAGACATATTAGACAAAAATGCAATGGCCTTCCACTTATGAATAGTGAAACAAAGCATCAGAACAAAGAAATACTACTCAACCATGAAAAAAATCAACAACAAATTACTAATACCTGCACCAACTTGGGTCGGTTGAGGACATTATGCTGAGTGAAAAAGCCAGACTCAAAAGATTAATTGTTGTATGATTTCATGTTTGTAACAGTTTTGAAATGACAAAATTATAGAGGTGAAGAATAGATTAGTGGTTAGAAGGGTTTGGGAAGAGACATGGGGTGGGTGTGATAATATGGGTCACCCAAGGGAATTCTTTTGTGGTGAAGAAACACTCCCATATCTTCAATGTGGTGGTGGTTAAATGAATCTATATGTGTGACAAAATGTTATAGAATTACTTGCAAAGACATATCCCACTCGTAAAAAAATGAGTGCATGCAATCACTGGTGAAATCCCATAAGATGTATATTATAGAAAATTGTTTTGTACCAACATCAATTTCCTGGTTTTGATAATAAACTCTATCTATGTAGCACGTCACCATTGGTATATATTAGGTGATGGGTACACAGGAACTCTCAGTACTATTTTTGTAACTTTTTGTTAGATTACAAATAATTCAGAATGGGAAGATAAAGAACTAAAAGTTCAGTTAGTTGGGTTGACTACGTGGATATTGAAGTCATCAAGAATGAGGACCAGAGTTATGCTCGAGAGAAACTTGTAAACTAGACACACAAGCCATAAGATAATATAATAAACATTCACACACCCACCACTAAAATGATGTATATATCAACATTTTGTCATATTTGCTTCCAATCTCTCCTAAAAATGAATACATAAAAATGTACTGATACAACTAAAGGCTCAAACCTGCATCTCTCACTGATCTTTTCGAAACTTCTGAAGCTAATATGCATTATTCTCTCACGTGTAATAACATGTTAAAACAGGAATTTTAATTGAAATATCAAGATACAATAAATATGTATTATAATGGAGGTGCAATGTGACATGTTGAATTTCGGTACAAATTTTCTGATAATAGGTTACCAACTTGTAAGCAATCATCCATATCAAGGCTATGAAAAAGTTTAGAGTTGAATTTTTATGTGACAAATAAAATATTGAACTTAATTTAAAGGTGACCTATCTTCCACACTGTCAATTTGGACCTTTTGCGGCAAAAATATTATATAAGAGGAGTGTGTACATTTCAGTGTTTCTCACTCCTACCTTAACTTCCACACTTGTAGTTTTTTATCATTGCCTTCTGACCCTTAAGTGTTGGCTGTATCCCTGTGAGGAGGGTCAGGAGAGCAGGACATTGCCTTTTTGGCTTGTCTTGCTGGGCTGACCTGGCTGGCCCTCTCTGGAATTTACAACATTGTAGAGTTCTCTCAAGGTAATATAGTAAAACTAATTCCAAGCCCTGTCACATGAAGTCCACAACAGACATTACTCAATGTTCAGAGTACTCTGCCTTATGATCCTTCTTACACGGGATCTTGTAAGCACAACCAAACACTTGGGGTGGCGCAAAGAATAAAACGCATGACATACTAATCACCATTCCTTAAAAAACTCCATGCTTTTATTAACAGTGCCATCATAAATGTCCTCTTCTTTCATTTCCATCTGACCAAATCTTACTCACGTCTCCTTGACCAACAGAAAAATTTATGTGACTGGCAGAAGTGACAGAGGATACATACTGGGTAAATTGTAGAGTCATCAGTTCAAATTCTAAATATTTCAAGAAGCCCTCCCTGATCGCACACACACTTACTAATGATATCTTCTCCATCTCTTCTCTCCCTCCTTTGTGTTTGCATCCTGCAAGGATTCAGGATAGTTTTACCAATATGTTGGGCATGAGTATGGGGCTCTCTTCTATACTCTATGTCACTGCTAAATAACAAGCAAATCCCATCTGTATCTATGGCCAGCATTGGTGCATTGGCAATATCCCTGCCCAGTCCATTCCACACAATCATAAAGGAGGAGCATCCCAGCAATCTCTTCGAATTCTGGGTAACTGCCATGTAGGTGAGAAGAACATGTGCTTATTATGATCACAGTCACTATATAGAGACATGAACTGTTCAGGATGCCTGGATCACAAGAGTAGTTATTTTCAGTTCACAGATCTGATAATGTCAAACCTTACCACTGTATTTTTAAAGCAGAGACTTGAGCACAAATGGCATAATGTCAGTCTGGGGCAATCTCATAACCTCACTATCTGCTTGGATTGCCTGGAATGAGCATGTGCCCCATGTTGATCATGCAGTCGGCTTGAGAATCCCAGTTCCACGAATTCAGGTTCACAGTGTTCTTTTCATTCTAGCACTTGAAGATTCTGCATCCCTTCAAATGCTAGGATTTCTTGATGCTGAGCTGGGCTTGGCTGTAGGCAAGGGCTTTATATGCTGGACACGTGGTAGTGGGAATAGTTAGTCTTGCAACACCCATCCATGCCCTAAGCACCTGCAGGGACTCTTCTGCTGTCTTCTGTCCATCCCTGTGTTTGCATCCTGCAAGGATTCAGGACAATTGTACCAATATTATGGGCATGAGTATGGAGATCTCTTCTTCTGTACTCTGTTGTTACTGCTAGATAACAACAAGCAAATCCCTTCTGCATCTATAGCCAGCATTTGTGCATTGACAATATTTCTGTCCAGTCCATTCCACACAATCATAAAGAAGGAGCATCACAGCAATCTCTTTGAATTCCAGGTTCCACAAATACATGCTCAGTATGTTTTTATACAGTGAACAGAGAATGAGTGAGTGAGTGAGTGAGTGATATTGCTATAAAAAGTTTACTTAATGATACATTGAGGACTGTTAAGGTGGATAGGTTAATTAAAAATATCTGTTAACCAGCAATTATAAAAAGATTACATTTGTAAGAAAAAAATTTCATTTTTACCTAGAATTAATTCACTAGAAAAGGACTAGACTGAAGGGCTTTCCATTCTGCAGGTTTCAGCAAATAGAATTCCACTCTGTCTGTCTTACAGAAGGCATAGCTATCAATCACTTTTTAGGATTTCCAGTTTAAATTTGTGTAAGTGTAGATTTTTTATCTTTGAAACTTCTATTTATTTATTTTTCTTTATTCTAGAAAAAGGGGGATAATGTGTAGAATGTGCAGGTTTGTTACATAGGTACACAGGTGCCATGGTGGTTTGCTGCACCTATTTACCCATTCTCTAAGTTCCCTCTCCTAACCCACATCCCCCAACAGGCCCTGGTAATGTGTTTTTCCCCTGCCTGTGTCCATGCATTCTCATTGTTCAGTTCCCACTTACGAGTGAGAACATGCGGTGTTTGCGTTTCTTTTCCTGTGTTAGTTTTCTGAGGATGATGGCTTCCAGCTTCACATCCTGCAAAGGACATGATCTCATTCCTTTTTATGGCTGCATAGTATTCCATGGTGTATATGTACCACATTTTCTTTATCCAAGCTATCATTGATGGGCATTTGGGTTGGTTCTGTGTCTTTGCTATTGTGAATAGTGCTGCAATAAATATACATGTACATGTGTCTTTATAGTAGAATGATTTATATTCCTTTAGGTATATGCCCAGTAATGGGATTGCTGGGTCAAATGGTATTTCTGGTTCTAGATTCTTGAGGAATCACCACACTGTCCTCCACAATGGTCGAACTAATTTACATTTCCAACAACAGTGTAGAAGTGTTCCTATTTCTCCACAGCCTTACCAGCATCTATTGTTTCCTGACTTTTTAATAATCACCATTCTGACTGGCATGAGATGATATCTCATGAAAATGGCCATACTGTCCAAAGTAACTTATATATTCAATGCTATTCCCATCAAACTACCATTCACATTCTTCACAGAATTAGAAAAAACTATTTTAAATTTCATATGAAATCGAAGAAGACCCTGTATAGCCAAGACAATCCTAAGCAAAAAGAACAAAGCTGGAGGCATCACACTATCTGACTTCAATACTACAAGGCTATAGTAACCAAAACAGCATGGTACTGGTACCAAAACAGACATATAGACCAATGGAGCAGAACAGAGACCTCAGAAATAATACCACACATCCACAGCCATCTGATCTTCTACAAACCTGACAAAAACAAGCAATGGGGAAATGTTCTCCTATTCAGTAAGTGGTGCTGGGAAAACTGGCTAGCCTTATGCAGAAAACTGAAACTGGACTCCTTCCTTACACCTTACACAAAAGATTAACTCAAGATGGATTAAGACTTAAATGTAAAATCCAAAACCATAAAAACTCTAGAAGAAAACCTAGTCGATACCATTCAGGACATAGGCACAGGCAAAGACTTCATGACTAAAACACAAAAAGCAATGGCAGCAAAAGCCAAAATTGATAAATGGGATCTAATTAAACTAAAGAGCTTCTGCACAGCAAAAGAAACTATCATCAGAGTGAACAGTCAGCCTACAGAATGGGAGAACATTTTTGCAATCTATCCATCTGACAAAGGGCTAATATCCAGAATTTACAAGGAACTTGAACATATTTACAGGAGAAAAACAACCCCATCAAAAAGTGGGTGAAGGATATGAACAGACACTTCTCAAAAGAAGACATTTACATGGCCAATAAACATATGAAAAAAAGCTCAACATCACTGATCATCAGAGAAATGCAAATTAAGTGTAGATCTTAATATCAGATATATTGCATTCTGTCTGAGAATATGTTTCAATTGTGTTCATCTATGTTCAGTCTTGTTTAGTAGGGAGGCTTACAACTAATGCACTAACAGTAATTTTGGGACTTGCTTTTCTCTTCCTTTAAGCATCCACATTACTTTTTATTGAAACCACAATTGTTCTTTAATACTCATATTTCATTGATATGTTGTGTTTAGATAAATTAGGTAATTACATTGGCAAGTCTAATTGGCATAAGCAGGACAGGAAACAGATCCAATTGGTTCTTGTGAAGCTGATGTCTCAGTGCTCTTGAGCCCAGGTGTACAGGAGCATCAGTGAATGACCATGAGGGCTCAGTATTTACTCCGCATCAACCAATACATTTTCTAGATGGAATGGATAGGATTGGTTATACAGATAGAGTCTGTTAGCCAGAGATGTATTGGAAAGGTTTTTACATGTATGTAGAATTAACACAGTGCCTGATGAATTAGGTTTAAATGTTTGTTGAATGCATACATAAAAAATAATCATGAATGGCAGCTCCCAAAATGTGCCATGAGGGACTTTCATATCATTTCTCTCTTCTTGGAGGAAACTCTTGGATGTCCTGCATGCTCTTCTTCAACACGTAAATTAGAGGAAATGATATCATTGGCCTTGGAAAGAAGGCAGCTCCTGAGCAGACTCCTGCATCTCCTGTCCCCACTTTCTTCTCTCCGGAGTCAGTGAGCAGACCTGCAATGAAAGGGAAGAGCTGTTCTCAAAACAACCAACTCCAGAGGACACTCTCTTCTCTTGAGTGGAAGGTTCCTGTAGGAGCTCCAGTGAGACCTGGTGACTAACACATCCTTTGCAAGATGCTAGACAACCCTGTGATTTTCAGGTGGGAGCTGCTTGAGAAAAATAGTTGCCGAGCATCTTGTAAATTCCACGCCTAGTCTGTTGCGCTAGAAATTCAAGGAAGTGTTTTCTGCTCTTAAAGACCTTACAGTGTGGTTGAAGAGCAAGACATGAGGACAAATCATTCAAGTACACTCTTATAAGTGCTATAGTAGAGCAATGTGTGGGGCCAAATGAGTCCAGAATGGCCTTCAGGGGCTGAATATAAGCTTTCAGGAGCTTAAAGTATTCTTATAGTTAAAAGAAAAAGGAATGTCACTGTCAACAAAATAACCAGTTTCCCAGAGAGGGCCAACAGTCTTTGGTTCAATTGTTAGGTGAAATTTCTCTCCATGGCTCCTCATTATGGACAAAATTGTTAGCTGAAGCTATACAATTGATGATACCACAGACTCAAGGTGGACTCTCCTGATAACCCCCAGTCTGAACTAATGACATCACATCAAAACCCCATGCCTGGAGAATTGACTGTAAACACTGTCTTCCTGCCTCCTTGTACCTATAGGAACCCTCACATATAGCCAAGTCCTACTATGGTATTTGTAAATCAAGCATGGACATATAGGATACAGAATCAGCAAAGAGCGAGGCCTGGAAGAGGAATGGATCTGGATTCAAGAGGCCTGAGTTCTATAGGTTGAACAGTGTTGTAAGAGCCATCAAAAATATTTTTTTTGAAAAGTGGAAAATAATGGGCTTTTTTGCCACTTTTTAAGCTACTTTATACTGTCTCCTGAGTACTCAAATTGCATTTGTCAGCTCTCCTGTGTGAGGGTCAATCTGAGGGACATCCTCACTGCTGTGAGCAGCTCAGAGCCCACTGTGATGTCCCATCTTCTCTTGGTGGTCTCTTCTGTCTGCTTGAGTTACCTGTGGAAGGGTTAACCACTGGCAGAGACTAGTCCTGATTTGTACTGATCCTAAGTTCTCATAATTAAATGTTTTTATTTGTGGTAAAGTTTATATAACATACATTTTACTAATTTAACCATTTTCAGTGTACAATCCAGTGGCATTGAGTACGTTGACAATGAGCTATAACTATTACCACTCCCTCTTTTAAGAACTTTTCATTATCACAAACAAAAATTTTATGCTGATTAAATCCTGTTTACACATTCTCCCCATTCCTCACCATCAGGTTCCTAATCTATTTTCTGTGTTCATCAGTTTTCCTAGTTTGGATACTTCAAAAATTTGAACTTACAATATTGTTCTTTAGTGTCTGGCTTATTTCACTTAGCACAGTGTTCTCAATGTTCATCTGTGTCACAGCATGTATTAGAATTCTCTAACAATGCTAAGCTATTATCAAGATACTGTAATTGACATTATCATGGAAAGGTCAGATATCTTCAATCTTGCTTCTCATGGTGACTAGCCATGAAGCTAACTAAAAGTTACAACCAGAACAACTTATACAAAAACGGGAAGTACCCAGAATTCCTCTACAACTGAAGGAATCTGTCAGCAAATAATAAATGATTTCAAGATAATTTTCACATTGAAACCAATACTGAGGTTGCAAATGGCCAAATTAGAACTGATAGGGCATATTTATATACTCTACACTTGTTCCTTGGTCCAGGGATAGCTAAATAAGCACATACTAGTTCTCAAGGGGAAGGGGCCATGGTTATCTTCACTGGAAACCTAGGCCAACCTGTCACCATGCTGTGGACAAATGACAGCGCAGGACTTTTCATAAAACCAGTTTCCTGGACTGTTTTTATGAAGACAGAGAGTTTGTCTCTTGACATTATTTTCCCTTATATCTGAGAATTCAATGAAATTTAGAGGCAACAGAACTTACTTATCAAGAGTTGAGCTTCCTACCTGCAGCAATGCCTCCAATCATGGAAGGGAACATGATTTTCCACGGAACATAGTCTGAGAGATAAATAAGGAATCTTCCTTTTTGACACTGTTAGGTAAATAAAAATTATGAAGCAGAATTTTGCAGTTTTGTGCAGGAATTCTTTCCATTCTAATGAAAATTGCAAAAAAAAATGTTTTCAGTAAAAAAAATTCAGTGGAAGAAAACAGGATAAATTGATTGCTAATGTGAAGAAGAATTTAAACATTGTACCTTAAAATTAATGCTTTCTCTGAGTAAAACTAGAAATGTGAGATTAAAAATAAAACTATTTGAAGATACTGGGGTGTCACTGGGGCATTTCAGAGGCACAAAGATGAGAAAAACGCATATAATTGTCAAGAGTGGCAGGGTAGTGTTGCTCTCAAAGTCCCATCTGACTAACAGGGCAGAGGCTCTTCCTCATGGCCCCAATCTGCTTCCCGACAGCTTCAGGGTTTCCTCAGGAAGCTGCCCTCCACCTTCATCCACCTCAAGCATGTCCTGCAGAGCCCTCTGGAGAACCAGCTTGAGGGTCTTCCTGTTTTGAAGCTGCCTAAAGGAGCCCATGAAGAAGTAAATGATGGGGTTGGCACTGCTGTTAAGAGCAGACAGGAAAATGGAAATTAAACGAACAACACAAGGTAAGTCATCCAAATCCTTCTCGATCCAGTATAATAGGAATCACTGAATGCTGAGGGGCAGGCTGCAGAAGAGGAAGACCAGCCCTGTGAGCAGGATGGTCACATACAGCCTGGTCAGCGGCATCTTCTGGGATCCACATATGATCCTGACAAGCAGGACCAGGGTGAACCCACAGAGAACCACAGATTAAAAAAATCAGCCACACAGCAGTGAGGAAATCTAATATTTGACACCAATTATCAGAGTCAACATCACTAAACAGGAAGCTACAGAACATCCACTCCAGGATGCTCTGCAACAGGGACAGGGCCCAGAGCAGGACACACATGACCGCTGACAGGTGTGTGGGGCAGTGGCAGCAGTACCAGATGGGCCACAGGACGGACAGGCGGTGCTCGGTGCTGATGGTGCTCAGCATGCTCAGGCCTGTAATACAGGCGGAGAACAACACCGTGGTGACAAATCTAGAGAAATGGATGGAGAGAGAACTAACAAAGTCACTGAAGAAATTAATGAATGTTATAATCTGGAAGCAGGTGCAGAGGAAGTCAGCCCTGGCCAGGTTGAGGATGTAGAGAGAGAAGGTGTTACTGTGCATGCAGAAGCCCAGGAGCCAGAGCATGACTGCATTTCCTGCCAGCCCGACCAGGTCAATGATGAGGATCAGCACTATGAGGACCAGGACCTCCATGCCACAACGATGAGGATGGGTCTCCTCTGTATCACTAATTGGTGCAATTTCTGTATCCAAGGCTGGGATGGTTGGATTCATGCTCAGAAACCCTAGTCTGGTGCCCCTGGGAACACAAACAAGATGTGATCAGCAGCTGTATGATCTCTGATTCTCACCACCACCCTGCTACTTGGGAAGTACTGTCCCCATTTTACAGAGGAGAGAAACAAGCTCACAGAGAATAAGTAACCTATTAAAAGTTGAGGAGTCCTCAACTCCAGATTTAAACCCAGTTCTTGCTGGCTTTAAAGCCTGGGCTCTGTCTATTGCAAAACAGTTTTCTACTGACATGGGAATAACATTATGATTGAAACACCTCCATTCAACCAGCGTGGACTGTGGACTGAAGCATTACTCTGTCCTGGGCCGGAAACTTTCTCTAAGGTGCAGGAATTCGGATAGACAAAGAGGTGGCTGTGACACCCTCATGATTTAGAGTGGTCCTCCATGGATGAAAATGAAGATCATGCATTGTGGACATGAGGAAAATGTGACATCTTGCTAGTACAAGTGTGATGATGGCTGGGCCTGGTGAGCTAGAAATGGCGCAGTGTGTCAGTCATTGACGATAGAAACCTTTTTATATCCCCAGTGCCTGGCTCCCTGTGCAGCACACTGTGTTCTTCAGAAATATTCATTCAGTGAATGAATGCATGAATGAACAGCCGAATGGTAGTTTAGCTTTAAGTAAAATGGAGAATAAAAATGAAAACACAATTCAAGACATTAGAACACACACATATAATGAGATAATGAAAATCTCATTCATCAGAATTTTGTGGACAGCTCTGTCAAAAGGAATTACTGATATGTGACCAAGTACCTGAGGTTGACCACTAATGTGCCTTTGAAATGAGGCTCAATGTGGCTTTGCTGAGCATCTAGAAAATTTTTGTATGCAGTGTCGGGGTAGGGTGTGGATCTGAACTGAATTTCTCAGCAATATAGAAGAGGAAAGAATAAGTGAGGGTGAGATCGGAGTGCCACCGAAGGGGGACTTCTAAGTGTTCTGCTGGGTATACACAATGCAGACCCACTCGATTTTGTCACACAGAAGATTTTTGGTAGAGTTTTTTTGTTGATAGAAACAATGTTTGAGAGGAGTCCACAAGGGGAAATAGGAGTTCAGGGCTTGGAGCGTAAAGACAGATGTTGATGTAGATGTCAACTGGTGAAAGGGGGCTAGCTTATATCTTGGTTAAGATGCAAAGGAGCTGGAGGCCTCTAAGTGGAAAGAAGACACATCCTCCACTGGGAGTACAGAGGAGCATCAGGAGTGAATGCATCCATCATGAGCTCTCTTGGAGAGAAAAGCTGCCACAGTGTTGGTTGGCCTGAAAAGGAAATGGGAGGAAAACTAGAACCTCTGTTATCCACACTCAGGGTACTTAACAGTTTGACCATCTAAATTTAGGGTATAATATGTTCGTCTTCCTCATGAAACTTGAAGCCCCATAAAGACTAAGCCATGCCTGTTCTTGTTCACTGTAGTATCACCAACATTCAGCTTGTATTCCTCAAAGACCATCTATTGTAATACCCTCATATAATACGCCAAGTAGCTGAGGCTTAAAGAATCAAAGGATTTTCCTGAGATTGCACCACGAAGAGCAGATCCAGCACAGCCCCTCATCCCTGGAGCCCTGCATGAGCATTCTCTATTGCTCTCTACCCCATCATTCATTATTTCTGAGGAGTTTCTGAAAAATCTTTGGGTGAGAACAGAATCTGCTAGATAATCAGGGGCTTTAGAATCTACTAGATTGCCCCAATATCTATTCTCCTTTTCAGTCATATCACTATTCTGGACTCGAAAAGCAGCACAAGGACCCACATCCCAGTTTTCTTTGATGCTGGATGACATCGTATGATCAGGTTCTGGTCAATGGGAGGTGAGCCAATGTGATGTAAGAAAGTCCTGGCTCACAGGATCAATAGAAGGAGCATAGCCTCCCCTTCCCCTCTAAATCTAAGTTCTTCTCCATAAGGCTGGAATGCTGATGTAACTGACAACCATGTAATACCACAAGGATGAGGGCACCTCTCTAGACATTGGGGAGCAGCAATTTTTGGAGTCCTAATGCCTGATGCCTTGGAGCCTCCAACTCAGGTCTTAAATACAGTCACTCCTGCGTATCAACAGGGGATTGGTTCTAGAACCCCTGCACACACAAAAATCTGCAGATGCTCAATTTTCTTATATAAAATGACATAGTATTTGGATATAACATATGCACTTTCTCCTTTATACTTTAAATCATTAGTAGATCACTTATAATACCTAATAAAATATAAATGCTATGTAAATAATTGTTATACTGCTCATTTAGGAAATAATAAAAAGGAAAAAATAAGTCTGTACCTGTTCAGTACCTATACAATTCCTGCCATATGCTGCTCTTTTGGAATGTTTTCTATCTCTGGTTTGTTAAATTTGCAGATTCAGGACCTACTGACATGGAGGGACAACTTTGTTTTCTTGTCTAAGATATTTCTACTTTGGGTCTCTATTAGAGAAACCAAACTTACACTCTAACCAAAAGAAATGTTTTCTCTTTTTGAAAATTACACTTCATTTCCTAGGCATTTTTGATGAATGCATATATTTCTCCATAATACTGAAACTTGAACAAGAATTTTTAAACAGAAAAATAACTGTAATAGAGCTGAGATGAGACATGATTTAATGACGTTTAAATAAAGAAAACCTTAGGAAGGAGGAGGATATAGAAAGGTGGAAGGACAGTCCCATTTATTATGAGGATTTGCTTTCCAATCTTCTCTACCCTGTTTGACAACCCAAGAGGGTGGCTTCTATGTACCTCATCAGTGAGATTCTTTTCATTCTGGTGTCTGGTTGAACTGAGACACTGGGAGACACCAGCAGGAGACTGGAAAGCAGGAGGGGAGTCATTTGAGATCTCCACCTGCTGGCTGTCTGCCTGTGTGGCTGTGTGTTTGTGATGCAGGGCTTCTCCACTTGCCTGGTCATCCTCTCCCAACCCTACAGCTACAGCTATCGTTATGCTTTCAATGGTACCTGCTCCTTTCCTGTTCTTTTAAGCCTAGGGAAGAAAGTCATGCTCCACTATTGCTACTTAGGGTGCATCCCCAGGCATTGTCACTTTCCTTTAATGCTGCCCATCTTTGTAAATAGTCTCCTCATGAAACACTCCTCAATTATATTTCAGACCACCTATTCCTTCCTTAGACCTTTCCTGATAGGCAAAGAATAATGTTAAAAACTAAGTAAAAAGAGTAAACCTCCTTTTACAGCAGTTCAGCTGTTAGAAGTCATGCCTGCAAGTCCCCTTGCTCCTTAAATGAATGTAAGAGACAATATTGTCTCCATGACAGCAGATTGAATAAGTGGAATAAAGGGAGTGATGTGGAAAGGTGGATCAGAAGGGAGAAAGTTCTGCCTGGCTCCATTTGGAATTCACACAGTCTAGGCTGCCAGCACTCAGTTTCCAGAAGGAAGCTTCATGTCACCCGCCTTTTCCTGAAACAGGCTCATGACCCCCTGCATGTAGCTCCTTAAGGTGGAAACACAGGGATGTGAACTTATAGCAAAAAACATAACTTACTGTGGAAAGAAGAGAGTTCTTGGTACATACCCTTACCTTTCCTCCTTCTTCTGTCCAGAGTTGAAGAAGTGCTGCCTCTTGCTAAAGAGGTAGAGCCTTTCTGGGATTCAGTGACTTCAGAGGACCCTTTTGTGTTGTGTAATTTAGGAGATATCTAGAGGAGCTAGAATGAGAGCTGGTGACCAATCCAGGCTTATGAAGATACCGGGCAGCCTTGTGATTTCCTGTATGAAGAATGCAGACAAATCAGAGGCCAGAGCTGTTTGAGCTAAAATCCCTATCTGAGATGTTTCTTGGCCTCTGTCCCATTTTAAATACATCTCAGCCACTCCAATCTCATCCCATCTTGTTCAACTCTTTGTAATTAATTGTTGTTTTGAATCTTTATAATCAATTATAGGCCTAAGTATCAATATCAGGCAATGTGAACTTGTGCTGCGAGGCATTGTAGGTACTCATCCTTTTTTACGGCTGCATAGTATTCCATGGTGTATATGTGTGATATTTTCTTTATCCAATCTATCATTGATGGGCTTTTGGGTTGGTTCCAAGTCTTTGCTATTGTGAACAGTGCTGCAATAAACATATGTGTGCATGTGTCCTTATAGTAGAATGATTTATAATCCTTTGGGTATATATCCAGTAATGGGATTGATGGGTCAAATGGTATTTCTGGTTCTAGATCCTTGAGGAATCTGTCTTCCACAATGGTTGAACTAATTTACACTCCCAACAGTGTAAAAGCATACCTATTTCTCCACATCCTCTCCAGTGTTTGTTGTTTCCTTTTTAATGATTGTCATCTTAACTGGCATGAGATGGTATCTCATTGTGGTTTTGATTTGTGTTTCTCTAATGACCAGTGATGATGAGCTTTATTTCATATGTTTGTTGGCTGCATAAATGTCTTTTGAGAGGTGTCTGTTCATATCCTTCACCCACTTTTTGATGGGGTTGTTTGTTTTTTCTTGTAAATTTGTTGAAGTTCCTTGTAGATTCTGGATATTTGTCCTTTCTCAGATGTATAGATTGCAAAAATTTTCTCCCATTCTGTAGGTTGACTGTTCACTCTGATGATAGTTTCTTTTACTGTGCAGAAGTTCTTTAGTGTAATTAGATCCCGTTTGTCAATGTTGGCTTTTGTTGCCATTGCGTTTGGTGTTTCAGTCATGAAGTCTTTGCCCATGCCTATGTCCTAAATGGTATTGTCTAGGTTTTCTTCCAGGGTTTTTACAGTTTTAATGTAAAAAGACTTATGTTTAAGTCTTTAATCCATCTTGAGTTAATTTTTGTATAAGATGTAAGGAAGGGGTCCAGTTTCTGTTTTCTGCATATGGATAGCCAGTTTTCCCAACATCATTTATTAAATAGGGAATCCTTTCTTCATTGCTTGTTTTTGTCAGGTTTGTCAAAGATCAGATGGTAGTAGATGTGTGGCATTATTTCTGAGGCCTCTGTTCTGTTCCATTGGTCTATATATCTGTTTTGGTACCAGTACCATGTTGTTTTGGTTACTGTAGCCTTATAGTATAGTTTGAAGTCAGGTGGTGTGATGTCTCCAGCTTTGTTCTTTTTGCTTAGGATTGTCTTGGCTATACAGGTTCTTTTTTGTTTCCAAATGAAATTTAAAGGAGTTTTTTTCTAATTCAGTGAAGAAAGTCAATGGTAGCTTGATGGGGATAGCATTGCATCTGTAAATTACTTTGGGCAGTATGGCCATTTTCACAATATTGATTCTTCCTATCCATGAGCATGGAATGCTTTTCCATTTGTTTGTGTCCTCTCTTATTTCCTTAAGCAGTGGTTTGCAGTTCTCTTTGAAGAGTTCTCCTTGAAGGGAGAATGTACAAATTCTCCCTTGTACGTTGTATTCCTAGATATTTTATTCTCTTTGTGGAAATTGTGAATGGGAGTTCACTCATGAATTGGCTCTCTGTTTGTCTATTATTGATGTATAGGAATGCTTGTGATTTTTGCACATTGATCTTGTATCCTGAGATTTTGCTGAAGTTGCTTATCAGCTTAAGGAGATTTTGAGCTAAGACAATGGGATTTTTTAAGTATACAATCATGTCATCTGCAAACAAAGACAATTTGACTTTTCTTCTTCCTATTTGAATACACTTTTTGCCTTATTGCCCTGGACAGAACTTCCAATGCTATGCTGAATAGGAGAGGTGAGACAGGACATCTGTGTCTCGTGCTGGTTTTCAGAAAGAATGCTTCCATCTTTTGCCCATTCAGTATGATATTGGCTGTGGGTTTGTCATAAATAGCTCTTATTATTTTTTGATACATTCCATCAATACCTAGTTTATTGAGAGTTGCTAGCATGAAGGGGTGTTGAATTTTATCGAAGACATTCTCTCCATCTGTTGAGATAATCATGTAGTTTTTGTCATTGGTTATATTTATGTGATGGATTACGTTTATTGATTTGGGAATGTTGAGTCAGCATTGCATCCCAGGGATGAAGCTGACTTGATTGTGGTGGATAAGGTTTTTCATGTGCTGCTGGATTCGATTTGCCAGTATTTTCTTGAGGATTTTCGCACTGATGTTCATCTGGGATATTGGCCTGAAATGTTCTTTTTTTGTTGTGTCTCTGCCAGGTTTTGGTATCAGGATGATGCTGGCCTCATGAAATGAGTTAGGGAGGATTCCCTCTTTTTCTCTTGTTTGGAATAGTTTCAGAAGGAATGGTACCAACTCCTCTTTGTACCTCTGGTAGAATTCAGCTGTGAATCTGTCTGGTCCTGAGCTTTTTTGGTTGGTAGGCTGTTAATTACTGCCTGAATTTCAGAACTTGTCATTGGTCTATTCAGAGATTTGACTTCTTCCTGGTTTAGTCTTGGGAGGGTGTATGTGTCCAAGAATTTATCAATTTCTTTTAGATTTTCTAGTCTATTTTCATAGTGGTGTTTTTAGTATTATCTGATGGTAGTTTGTATTTCTGTGGGATCGGTGGTAATACCCCTTTTTCATTTTTTATTTTGTCTATTTGATTCTTCTCTTTTTTCTTCTTTATTAGTCCAACTAGTGGTCTGTCTATTTTGGTAATCATTTCAAAAAAACACCTCCTGGATTCATTGATTTTCTGAAGGGTTTTTTGTGTCTCGATCTCCTTCAGTTCTGCTCTGATCTTATTTTTTTTTTTGTCTTCTGCCAGCTTTTGAATTTGTTTGATCTTGCTTCTCTAGTTCTTTTAACTGTGATGTTAGGGTGTTGATTTTAGATCTTTCCTGCTTTCTCCTGTGGGCATTTAGTGGTATACATTTTCCTCTAAACACGGCTTTAGCTGTGACCCAGAGATTCTGGTACATTGTGTCTTTGTTCTCATTGTTTTCAAAGAACTTATTTATATGTGCCTTAATTTTGTTATTTACCCAGTAGTCATTCAGGAGCAGGTTGTTCAGTTTCCATGTAGTTGTGGGGTTTTGAGTGAGTTTTTTAATCCTGAGTTCTAATTTGATTGCACTGTGGTCTGAGAGACTGTTATTATTTCTGTTCTTTTGCATTTGCTAAGGATTGTTTTACTTCCAATTATTTGGTTAATTTTAGAACAAGTGTGTTTTGGTGCTGGGAAGAATGTATATTCTGTTGATTTGTAATGGAGAGTTCTGCAGATGTCTATTAGGTCCACTTGGGACAGAGGTGAGTTCAAGTCCTGAATATTCTTGTTAATTTTCTTTCTCGTTGATCTGTCTAATATTGACAGTGGGGTGTTAAAGTCTCCCACTATTATTGTGTGGAAATCTAAGTCTCTTTGTAGGTCTCTAAGAACTTGCTTTATGAATCTGGGTGCTCCTGTGTTGGGTGCATATATATTTAGGATAGTTATCTCTTTTTGTTGCACTCATCCTTTTACCATTAGGTATTGCCCTTCTTTGTCTTTTTTGATCTTTGTTGGTTGAAAGTCTGTTTTATCAGAGACTAGAATTGCAACCCCTGCTTTTTTTTTTTTTTTTTTTTCCATTTGCTTGGTAAATCTTTCTTTATCCCTTTATTTTGAGCCTATGTGTGTCTTTGCACGTGAGATGGGTCTCCTGAACACAGTACACCTATGGGTCTGGGTTCTTTAGCTAACTTGCCAGTCTGTGTCTTTTAGTTGGGGTATTTAGCCCATTTACATTTAAGGTTAATATTGTTATGTGTGAATTTGATCCTGTTATTATGATGCTGGCTGGTTATTTTGCCCATAGTTGATGCAGTTTCTTCATAGTGTCAATGGTCTTTACAATTTGTTATGTTTTTGCGGTGGCTGGTACCAGTCGTTCCTTTCCATATTTAGTGCTTCCTTTAGGAGCTCTTGTAAGGCAGGCCTGGTTGTAACAAAATCTCTCAGCAAGCATTTGCTTGTCTGTAAAGGATTTTATTTCTTTTTCGCTTATGAAGCTTAGTTTGGCTGGATATGAAATTCTGGATTGAAAATTCTTTTCTTAAGAATGTTGAATATTGGCCCCCACTCTCTTCTGGCTTGTAGGGTTTCTGCAGAGAGATCTACTGTTAGTCTGATGGACTTCCCTTTGTGGATAACCCTACCTTTGTCTCTGGCTGCCCTTAACATTTTTTCCTTCATTTCAACCTTGGTGAATCTGACAATTATGTGTCTTGGAGTTGCTCTTCTCGAGGAGTATCTTTGTGGTGT
This sequence comes from Homo sapiens, assembly GCF_000001405.40. NCBI lineage: Eukaryota > Metazoa > Chordata > Mammalia > Primates > Hominidae > Homo > Homo sapiens. The sequence goes on from NC_000011.10 coordinate 18,896,117, forward strand.
TCTCTGTATTTCCTGAATTTGAATGTTGGCCTGTCTTGCTAGGTTGGGGAAGTTCTCCTGGATAATATCCTGAAGAGTGTTTTCCAACTTGGTTCCATTCTCCCTGTCACTTTCAGGTACACCAATCAAATGTCGGTTTGGTCTTTTCACATAGTCCTATATTTCTTGGAGGCTTTGTTCATTCCTTTTTATCCTTTTTTCTCTAATCTTGTCTTCATGCTTTATTTCATAAAATTGATCTTCAATCTCTGATATCCTTTCTTTTGCTTGATCAATTCAGCTATTGATACTTGTGTATGCTTCACGAAGTTCTCCTGCTGTGTTTTTCAGCTCCATCAGTTCATTTATGTTCTTCTCTAAACTGGTTATTCTAGTTAGCAATTCCTCTAACTTTTTTTTTCTTTCAAAGTTCTTAGCTTCCTTGCATTGGGTTAGAACATGCTCCTTTAGCTCAGAGGAGTTTATTACCCACCTTCTGAAGCCTACTTCTGCCAATTCGTCAAACTCATTGTCCAGTTTTGTTCCCTTGCTGGCGAGGAGTTGTGATCCTTTGGAGGCAAAGACGTGTTCTGGATTTTGGAATTTTCAGCGTTTTTGCACTGGTTTTTCCTCATCTTCATGGATTGATCTACCTTTGGTCTTTGATGTTGGTGATCTTCAGATGGGGTTTCTGTGTGGACATCCTTTTTGTTGATGTTGATGTGATTTATTTCTGTAGTTTAGTTTTTCTTCTAACAGTCAGGCCCCTCTACTGCAGGTCTGCTGTAGTTTGCTGGAGGTCCACTCCAGAGCCTGTTTTCCTGGGTATCACCAGTGGAGGCTGCAGAATAGAAAAGATTGCTGTCTGTTCCTTCCTCTGGAAGCTTCTTCCCAAAAAAGTACCCACTAGATGCCATCCAGAACTCTCTTTATGAGGTGTCTGTCTACCGCTGCTGGGAGGTGTCTCTCAGTCAGGAGGCACAGGAGTCAGGGGTCCACTTGAGGAGGCAGTCTGTCCCTTAGCAGAGCTCGAGTGCTGTGCAGTGAGATCTGCTGATCTCTTCAGAGCCGGCAGGCAGGAGCGTTTAAGTCTACTGAAGCAATGCCCACAGCCACCCCTTTCCACAGGTGCTCTGTCCCAGGGAGATGGGAATTTTATCTATAAGCCCCTGACTGTGGCTGCTGCCTTTCTTTCAGAGATGCCCTTCTGAGAGAGGAGGAATCTAGAGAGGCAGTTTTGCTACAGTGGGTGTGCTGAGCTGTGGTGGGCTCTACCCAGTCAGAACTTCCAGGTGGCTTTGTTTACACTGTGAAGGGAAAACCACCTACTCAAGACCCAGTAATGGTGGATGCTAGTGGATCTTAGCTTGCTGGGCTCCATGGGGGTGGTATCCACTGAGCTAGACCACCTGGCTCCCTGGCTTCAGCCCCCTTCTCAGGGGAGTGAATGCTTCTGCCTCACTAGCATTCCAGACGCCACTAGGGTACAAAAAAAACCTCCTGAAGCTAGCTCAGTTTCTGCCTAAATGGCCGCCCAGTTTTGTGCTCGAAACCCAGGGACCCGGTGGTGTAGGCACCCAAGTGAATCTCCTGGTCTGCAGGTTGCAAAGACTGTGGGAAAAGCATAGTATCTGGGCTGAGAGCACTGTTCCTCATGGCATGGTCCCTCACGGCTTCCCTTGGCTAGGGGAGGGATTTCCCTCACCCCTTGTGCTTCCAGGGTGTGGTGACACCCCACCCTGCTTTGGCTTGTCCTCCATGACCTGCACCCGCTGTCTAACAAGTGCCAGTGAGATGATCCAGGTACCTCAGTTGGAAAGGCAGAAATCGCTTGCCTTCTGCATTGATCTTGCTGGGAACTGCAGACTGGAGCTGTTCCTATTTGTCCATCTTGCCAGCCACCCCAACCATAATTTCATATTCAGCCAAACTAAGCTCCATAAGCAAAGGAGAAATAAAATAATTCCCTGACAGGCAAATGCTGAGGGATTTTGTCACCACTAGGCCTGCTTTACAAGAGCTCCTGAAGGAAGCACTAAATATGGAAACAAAAAACCGGTACCACCCACTGCAAAAACACACCAAAATATAAAGACCTATGACACTATGAAGAAACTGAATCAACTAATGTGCAAAATAACCAGCTAGCATCATAAGGACAGGATCAAATTCACACATAACAATATTAACTTTAAATGTGAATGGGCTAAATGCCCCAATTAAAAGACACAGACTGGCAAATTGAATAAAGTGTCAAGACCCATAGGTGTGCTGTATTCAGGAGACCCATCTCATATGCAAAGACACACATAGGCTCAAAATAAAGGGATAAAGGAAGATTTACCAATCAAATGGAAAGAAAAAAAAAAGCAGGGGTTGCAATTCTAGTCTCTGATAAAACAGACTTTCAACCAACAAAGATCAAAAAAGACAAAGAAGGGCATTACATAGTGGTAAAGGGATCAATGAAACAAGAAGGGGCTAACTATCCTAAATATATATGCACCCAATACAGGAGCACCCAGATTCATAAAGCAAGTTCTTAGAGACCTACAAAGAGACTTAGACTCCCACACAATAATAGCAGGAGAATTTTACACCCCACTGTCAATATTAGATCAACAAGAAAGAAAATTAACAAGAATATTCAGGATTTGAACTCAGCTCTGGACCAAGTGGACCTAATAGAAACTGACAGAACTCTCCACCCCAAATCAACAGCATATACTTTCTTCTTAGTGCCACATAGCACTTATTCTAAAATCAGCCACATAATTGGAAGTAAAACACTCCTCAGCAAATGCAAAATAATGGAAATCATAACAAGCAGTCTCTCAGACCACAGTGCAATCAAATTAGAACTCAGGATTAAGAAACTCACTCAAAACTACACAACCACAAGGAAACTAAACAACCTGCTCCTGAATGACTACTGGATAAATAATGAAATTAAGGCAGTAATAAAAAAGTTCTTTGAAACCAATGAGAACAAACAGACAATTTACCAGAATCTCTGGGACACAGTTAAGCAATGTTTAGAGGGAAATGTATAGTACTAAATGCCCACAGGAGAAAGCAGGAAAGATCTAATATCAACACCCTGACATCACAATTAAAGAACTAGAGAAGCAAGACCAATTAAAAGACACAGACTTTGTCTTTTAATTCAAGTTCAAAATCTAGGAGAAGATAAGAAATAACTAAGATCAGAACAGAACTGAAAAAGATAGAGACATGAAAAACTCTTCAGAAAATCAATGAATTCAGGAGCTGGCTTTTTGGAAAGATTAACAGAACAGATAGACCACTAGCTAGACTAATAAAGAAAAAAAGGAAGAAGAATCAAATAGATAAAATGAAAAATGATAAAGGGGATATCACCAGGGAACCTACAGAAATGCAAACTACCACCAGAGAATACTATAAACACCTCTACGCAAATAAACTAGAAAATCTAGAAGAAATGGATAAATTCCTGAACACATATACATTCCCAAGACTAAACCAGGAAGAAGTCAAATCCCTGGGTAGACCAATAACAAGTTCTGAAATTGAGGCAGTAATTCATAGCCTACCAAAAAAAGCCCAGGACCAGACGGATTCACAGCCAAATTCTACCAGAGGTACAAAGAGGAGCTGGTACCATTCCTTCTGAAACCATTTCAAACCACTGAAAAGGAGGGACTTCTCCCTAACTCATTTCATGAGGCCAGCATCATTCTGATACCAAACCAAGCAGAGACAAAACAAAAAAAGAAAACTTCAGGCCAATATCCCTGATGAACATCAATGCAAAAATCCTCAATAAAATACTGGCAAACTGAATCCAGCAGCACATGGAAGTCTTATCCACCACGATCAAGTCGGCTTCATCCCTGGGATGCAAGGCTGGCTCAACATACGCAAATCAGTAAATGTAACCCATCACATAAACAGAACTGATGACAAAAACCACCCGATTATCTCAATAGATCCAGAAAAGGCCTTCGGTAAAATTCAACATCCCTTCATGCTAAAAACTTGTGGGGAAAAGAGAGATCAGACTGTTACTGTGTCTATGTAGAAAGAAGTAGACATAAGAAACTCCATTTTGTTCTGTACTAAGAGAAATTCTTCTGCCTTGAGATGCTGTTAATCTGTAACCCTAGCCCCAACCCTGTGCTTGCAGAGACATGTCCTGTGTTGACTCAAGGTTTAATGGATTTAGGGCTGTGCAGGATGTGCTTTGTTAAAAAAGTGCTTGAAGGCAGTATGCTTGGTAAAAGTCATCGCCACTCTCTAATCTCAAGTACCCAGGGACACAATACACTGTGGAAGTCCGCAAGGACCTCTGCCCAGGAAAGCCAGGTATTGTCCAAGGTTTCTCCCCAAGTGATAGCCTGAGATATGGCCTCGTGGGAAGGGAAAGACCTGACCATCCCCCAGCCGACACCCATAAAGGGTCTGTGCTGAGGAGGATTAGTGAAAGAGAAAGCCCTCTTTGCAATTGAGATAAGAGGAAGGCATCTGTCTCCTGCTCGTCCCTGGGAATGGAATGTCTCAGTGTAAAAGCTGATTGTATGTTCTATTTACTGAGATAGGAGAAAACCACCTTAAGGCTGGTGGTGAGACATGCTGGTGGCAATACTGCTCTTTAATGCACCGAGATGTTTGTGTACGTGCACAGCAAAGCACAGGACCTTTCCTTAAACTTATTTATGACACAGTGACCTTTGCTCACATGTTTTCCTGCTGACCCTCTCCCCACTATTACCCTATTGTCTTGCCACATCCCCCTCACCGAGGTAGTAGAGATAGTGATCAATAAATACTGAGGGAACTCAGAGATCAGTGCCGGCACGGGTCCTCTGTATGCTGAGTGCCTGTCCCCTGGGCCCACTGTTCTTTCTCTATACTTTGTCTCTGTGTCTTATTTCTTTTCTCAGTCCCTCGTCCCACCTGAGAGAAACTCCCACAGGTGTGGAGGGGCTGGCCCCCTTCAAAACTCTCAATAAACTAGATATTGATGGAACGTATCTCAAAATAATAAGAGCTATTCATGACAAACCCATAGCCAATATCATACTGAATGGGTGAAAGCTGGAAGCACTCCCTTTGAACAGTGGCACAAGACAAGGATGTCCTCTTCTGCCACTGCTATTCATCACAGTATTGAAAGTTCTGGCCAGGGAAATCAGCCAATACAAAACAATTAAGAGTATTCAAATAGGAAGAGAGGAAGTCAAATTGTCTCTATTTGCAGATGACAATATTGTATATTTAGAAAATCCCATCCTCTCAGTCTCAAAATTCCTTAAGCTGATAAGCAACTTCAGCAAAGTCTCAGCATAGAAAATCAATGTGCAATAATCACCAGCATTCCTATGCATCAATAATAGTTAAGCAGAGAGACGAATCATGATGAACTACTGTTCACAATTTCTACAAAGAGAATAAAATTCCTAGGAATACAACATCAAGGAAATAAAAAACGACACAAACAAAAGAAAAAAGTTTCATGCTCATGGATAGGAAGAATCAATATCGTGAAAATGGCCATACTGCCCAAAGTAATTTATAGACTCAATGCTATTCCCATAAAGCTACCATTGACTTTCTTCACAGAATTTAAAAAAAAAAAACTACTTTAAATTTCATGTAGAACCCAAAAAGAGCCCATATAGCCAAGGCAATCCTAAGCAAAGAGGACAAAGCTTGAGGGATCACCCTGCCTGACTTCAAACTATACTACGAGGCTACAGTAACCAAAACAGCATGGTAGTGGTAACAAAAGTGATATGTAGACCAATGAAACAGAACAGAGTCCTCAGAAATAACAGCACCAGGTATAGACCAATGAAACAGAACAGAGTCCTCAGAAATAACACCACACAGGTACAATCATCTGATCTTTGAGAAACCTGACAAAAACAAGCAATGGGGAAAGAATTCCCTATTTAGTGAATGGTGCTGGGAAACTGGCTAGCCAAATGCAGAAAACAGAAACTGGACCCCTTCCTCACACCTTATACAAAAATTAACTCGAGAATGATTAAAGACTTAAATGTAAAACTGAAAACGATAAAAACCCTGGAAGAAAACCTAGGCAATACCATTTAGGACATAGGCATGGGCAATGACTTCATGACTGGAACAGCAAAAGCAATGGCAACAAAAGCCAAAATTGACAAATGAGATCTAATTAAACTAAAGAGCTTCTGCACAGCAAAGGAAACTATCATCAGATTGAACAGATGTCCTACGGGATAGCAGAAAATTTTTGCGATCTCATCTAACAAAGGTCTAATATCCAGAATCTACAAGGAAGTTAAACAAATTTTTTTTTTTTTTTTAATTTGAGATGGAGTCTCACTCTCTTGCCCAGACTGGAGTGCAGTGGCACAATCTTAGGTCACTTGAACCTCCGCCTCCTGGGTTCAAGCAATTCTCCTGCCTCAGCCTCCTGAGTAGCTGGGATTACAGGCGCCTATCACCATGCCTGGCTAATTTTTTTATTTTTAGTAGAGATGGGGTTTCACCATGTTGGCCAGGCTGGTCTCAAACTTCTGACCTCAGGTGATCCACCCGCCTCGGCCTCCCAAAGTACTGGGATTACAAGCATGAGCCAACACACCTGGCCAAAGTTAAACAAATTTATAAGAAAAAAACAAACAACCTCATCAAAAAGTGGGCAAAGGATATATATAAACAGACACTTCTCAAAAGAAGACATTTTTTGTAGCAAAAAAATATGAAAAAAAGCTCATCATCACTGATCATTAGAAATACATATAAAAACAATGAGACACCATCTCACACCAGCCACAGTGAAGATTATTAAAAAGTCAGGGACCAACAGATGCTGGTGAGACTGTGGAGAAATGGGAACGCTTTTACACTGTTGGTGGGAGTGTAAATTAGTTCAACCATTGTGGAAGACAGTGTGGAGATTTCTCAAGGATCTAGAACCGGAAATATCATTTGACCCAGCAATCCCATTACTGGGTATATACCCAAAGGATTATAAATCATTCTACTATAAAGACACATGCACACACATGTTTATTGCAGCAGTATTTACAATAGCAAAGACTTGGAACCAACCCAAATGCCCATCAATGATAGACTGGATAAAGAAAATGTGACACATATACACTATGGAATACTATGCAGCCATAAAAGAGAACGAGTTCAGTCCTTTGGAGGGACATGGATGAAGCTGGAAGCCATCATTCTCAGCAAACTAACACAGGAATAGAAAACCAAACACTGCATGTTCTCACTCATAAGTGGGAGTTGAACAATGAGAAAACATGCAACAGGGAGAGGAACATCACACATGAGGGCCTGTCGGGGGTGGGGGGCAAGGGGAAAGAGAGCATTATGACAAATACCTAATGCATGTGAGGCTTAAAACATAGATGATGAGTTGATAGGTGCAGAAAATCACCATGGCACATGTATACCTATGTAAGAAACCTGTACGTTCTGCACATGTATCCCAAAACTTAAAGTAAAAATTAAAAAAATGTACACATATGTTTATAGCTGCTTTATTTTTAAATGTTACATTAGAAAAAACAGCAATATCCTTCCACTTACCAATAATGAAACAAAGCATAGTACATCCATACAATGGAACACTACTCAGTAGTATAAAAAATTAGCAATAAGTTATTGATACTTGCAAAAACTTGCATGGATCTTGAGGACATTATGCTGAATGAAAAAAGCCAAAGTCAAATGATTAGATACTGTATGATTCTATTTATGTAACACTTTTGAAATGACAAAATTATAGAGATGAAGAATAGAACAGTGATTAGAGGGGTTTGGGAAGAAGAATAGTGTGGGTGTGGCAGTAGGGGGAACCCAGGGGAAATCTTCTGTGGTGAAGAAACACTTCTATATTCAATGTCGTTCTGGTTATATGATCTACACATGTGACAAAATGTTATGGAATGAAACATAGAGAAATATCTCACTCCAAAAATGAGTGCATGCAAACACTGGTAAAATTTGGTAAGATCGTACTGTAGATATTTGGTGAAGTCTCATAAGATTTGTAGTGTAGATAATTGGATGGTACCAATGTCATTTTCCTGGTTTTGATAATACATTCAATTAAAAAGTCAGTATTACTGTGGGTTGGTTGATGGGCATACAGGAACTCTCTGTACTATTTTAGTAACTTCTTAATAGTCTACAATTAATTCTGAATGAAAACTTAAAAACAACTGAGAGACTGGTTTGTTGTGTGGACTCACTCCAAGAATATTGAAGTCACCAAGAATGAGGACATGGGGTATGCTGGAAGGGAGTTTGTTAACCGAGTACATAGGTAGAAGGTAATATAATTTGCATTCACCAACCCAACACGAAATTAAGCACATATTAAATTTTTATCATATTTATTTCCAATAACTCTTAAAATGAGTACATACACTTTTACAGACACAAGGCTGAATCATGCATCTCTACTCTCACCAATAATTGTACATATCTTTGATAAGAAGGCAAGGGTGCCTGCACACCTGGAATGGGAATGACAACTTTCTTCAACTTCAGAAAGTCTGAGGTTGATATGTGTTATTCTCTCACATGTTTACCAGGATTTAAAAATGTCAAGTCACTATAGAAATTACGTTACAAAGAGGTTCTAGACAACACAGAATTTGAATAGGAATTTTGGGACATCCATATCAAGGCTATGCAGAGTTTAGATTTAAATTTTGATGTGACAATTACAATGGTGAATTTAATTCAAAGATTAACTATCTCCCCTACTCCCAATGTGGGCCTTTTGCAGGTAAAAATGCTGCTCCAGAGAAGGGGCTGCATTCCATTGCTTCTCTCTTCTCCCCTAACCCCCACACTTTTTTTTGTATTTTTATCCATGCCTTCTGACCCTGGAGGGCTGGACATATCCCTGTGAGGAGGGTGAGGAGAGAAGGGAATTGACTTTGTGGCTTGTCCTGTTGGCCTGACCTGCCTGGCCCTCTCTGGACTTTATATTATTATAGAGCTCACTCCTATGAATATCACAAAACTAACAGCAAGCCCTATCACTTCAAGGCCACAGAAGATGATGCTCATTATTCAGAGCACTCCAGCCTTATGATTCTATATAAGAGGAATATTGCCACCATGACCAAAATACATGGAGTGGGAGACACAAGGAATAAAACTCATGTATGAATTCTTCACCATTCCCTAAAAAACTCTCTGCTATTATTAACAGTGCCACTGTAAATTATTTCTTTCCCGATTTCTATCTGTCCAAATTTACAGCAAATTTTACAGCAAATTTACAGCAAATTTACAGACTGGCAAAATTTACAGCAGGTGCAATTATAATAATAATAATAATGCTGGGTCAATTATAGTCATCAGTTAAAATTCTACGTATTACACAAAGCCTTCCATGATCCACTCACTTCTACGTAGACACTTAGAAATGAGATCCACTGTGTCTTTTCTCTCCTTCCTTGTGTTTGCATCCTGCAAGGTTTCAGAACAATTGGACCAATATGATGGGCATGAGCATTGAGATTTCTTCTTCTATACTCTGCTGTCACTGCTAGAAACAGCAAACCAGTTCCGCCTATATCTATAGCCAGCATTGATACATTGACAATAGTGGTGCCCAAATGATACCACACCATCATATAGAACAAGCATCATAGCAGTCTCTGGATTCTAGAGCGCTGCCACATAGGTGAGAAGAATATATGCTTACTGTGATTATTGTCACGGTGTAGTGATGTGAATTTCTCAGGTGGCCTGTGGCCTGGATCACAACACTAGTTATCTTCAGCCTATGGTTATGGTAAAGTCATGCTTTACCCACATATTCTGAAAAGAGATACCTGAGCACAAATGCACAAATGGCACAGTTTCAGACTGGGGCAATCCCATAACCTCACTATCTGCTTGGCTTGCCTGGAATGAGCACGTGACTCATGTTGGCCATGCAGTCAGCTTGAGAATCCCAAATCCCTGAAACCAAGTCCAGTGTTCTTCCCATTCTAGCACTTACACATTCTGCTTCCCTACCTATCCTGGGATTTCTAGGTGCTGAATTGGGTTTGCCTGAAGACAAGGGCTTCTTCTGCTGGAACCTAGGGTAATAAGCACCTGCAGGGTCTCTTGAAAATACTTTCAGGAACTTTGCATTGGTGTGCTGTTGTACTATAGAATGAGGGCTGTTGTAATGTTCAGCCAATTCAGTCATCAATTATAAAACCATTGCTGATATTGTTTTCTTGCGTGAGTAGCCACCTGGTGAATATTCTTTTGTGTGTGTGTGTGTGTTTTGAGATAGAGTCTCACTCTGTCGCCCAGGCTGGAGTGCAGTGGTGCGATCTCTGCTCACTGCAAGCTCCGCCTCCTGGGTTCATGCCATTCTCCTGCCTCAGCCTCCCAAGTAGCTGGGACTACAGACACCCACCACCACACCCAGCTAATTTTTTGTATTTTTAGTAGAGACAGGGTTTCATCGTGTTAGCCAGGATGGTCTCGATCTCCTGACCTCGTGATCTGCCCCCCTCGGCCTCCCAAAGTGTTGGGATTATAGGCGTGAGCCACCGCGCCTGGCGTGAATATTCTCTAATTTATTAAAATCATGTTGTCCTGCTTCAGCTGGGTGCTTGGGTGTGGCATTGCTCTTCAGGATGGCAGCAAGATAACTTGGAATTTTTAGATACCCTCTCCTCTGAACACCCTTGAGCCACAAACACAATCCTTGGATAGCATGTGTCACACTGGGAGGCAGTCTTTCCTGTACTAGTGTCCTTCCTTCACAGGCTGTGCGCTCTGGGAATGTGGGTATGTTTACTTTGACTCCCAAGTGTCTGGCATGCAAGCTAGAGAATGGAAGATGCTCAGTATATATTTATACAACAAACAGTAGAAAAAGTGATAGATATTGCTATGAAAAGCCCACTTAATGATATATTCAGGAGTGTAAGTAGATAGATTAATTGAAAATGTCTGTTAATCAGCATTTAAACAAAAGGATACATTTGTAACATGAATATTTCAATTTTACCTAGAATTCATTCACTGTAATAGAACTAGACTGTAGAACAATCCTTTTGTAGGGTTCAGCAAATAGAATTCTGCTCTGTCTGGCTGAAAGCGTATCTATCAATCACTGTCTATAATTTGCAGTTTGAATTAGTTTAAGTGTAGATCTTAGCATCAGATGCATAGCATTCTGTCTTAGGAAATTGTTCAATATTGCTCATTTTTGTTTAATCTTGTAGAGTTGGAAGACTCACACCTACTAAACTAACAATAATTTTGGAACCTGCTTTTATTTTCCATTTGATCATTCATGTTAGTTTTTATGGAAATTGCAATTCTTCTTTCATACTATTTTTTCATTGATCTGTGCTGTATTTTGATAAATTAGGAAATTATATTCACTAGCCTAATTGGCAAAAGCAGGGCAAGAAACAGATTCAATTGGTTCTTGTGAGGCTGATGACTCAGTGCCCTTGTGCCCAGTGTACTAGAGCGTCAGTGAATGGCCATGAAGACTCAGCATTTGCTTGGCATCAGTCACTGTATTTGCTTCATGAAGTGGAAAGGATTAATTATACAGATAGAATGTATTAGTGAGAGACTTATTTGAAAGATGTTTGCTTTTATGTAGAATTAGCACAGCGCTTGATTAATTACGATTCAATGTTTGTTGAATTCATGCCTAAAATATAGTCATGAATGGCAGCTCCCAAAAAGTGCCAAGAGAGACTTTCATGTATTTTCTCACTTTCTGGAGAAAACTCCTGGATGTACTGCATGCTTCTCCTCCATATGAAACCAAGAGGAAATGATATCATTGGCCTGGTAAAGAAGGCAGCTCATAAGCCGACTCCCGCATCCCCTCCATTCTTCTTCCCAGAGGCAGTGAGCAAACCTCCAATGAAAGGAAACAGCTGTTCTCAGAATGACCAACTGCAGAGGACACTGTTAAGTGGAAGGTGCCTATAAGAGTTCCAGTGAGACCTGGTGACTGAGCCAGCCTTTGCAAGATGCTGGATGACCCTGTGATTATCAGGTGGGAGCTGCTTGAGAAAAATACCGAGTATTTTCTAAATTTCACACCTAGGCTGTTGCACTAGAAATTCAAAGACATGAATCCCTGCTCTTAAAGACCTCAGAGTGTGGTAGGAGAGAAAGATGTGTGGACAAATAATTCAAGTACACTGTTATAAGTGTTGTAGTAGAGCAACGTGTGAGGCCAAGTGAATTCAGAACGGGCTTCAGGGACAGTATCTAAGCTTTCATGAAGCTAAAGTTTTCTTCTGTCAAAGAAAAAGAATGTCACTAACATCAAAATAAGCAGTTTTTCATGTGAGGAACAAAATTATTTGAGTCAATTGCTAGGTGAAAATTCTCTACAGAATTCCTCATGATAGACAACATCTTTAGCCAAAACTGTACAATTGATATCACAGAATTCCAGAGTGGACTCTCCCAATAACCCTCAGTCTGAAAAGCTCCTTGCTTGGAGAATTGGCTGCAAACATTGCCTTCCTGCTTCCTCCGACCTTTAGGAAACCCTCCCCTACAGCCACATTCTAATACAGCATTTGAAAATTGAGAGTGGATAGATAGGATTCAGCATCAGCAGAGTGCTGGGCCTGGAAGAGGAATGGATCTGGACTGAGGGGACCTGAGTTCAACATTGTGAACAGTGTGATAGGAGCCACCAATAAATTTGTTTGGACAAATTGAAAACTATATACCTCTTTATTGCTTTCATAGCTCCTTTGTAATGTCTCTCCTGCATTCAAATGGCATGTGTCAGCTCCCCTCAGTGAGGGTCAATCTGAGGGGCAGCCTCACTGTTGGTGAGAAGCACAGAGCCAGCTGTGATGTCACATCTTCTCTTGATGTCTCTTCTGTCTGCTTGAGTTATCTGGGGAAGAAATTACCACTGGTAGAAAATAGTTCTGAGTTTTGTACTGATTCCATTTCTAAAATTACGTTTTTAATTGTGGTAAAATTTACATAACATACATTTTACAACTATAACCATTTAAAGTGTACAATTCAGTGTCAGTAAGTACATTCAAAATAAATTGTAACTGTTACGACTGTGCCCTTTAAGAACTTTTAATTATTCCACACAGAAATTCTGTGCTCTTTAAATAATGGCTACTCATTCTCTCCATTATCCAGCACCAGGCTCCTCCTAATTTATTTTCTGTATTCATGAATTTCCTAGTTTCAATACTTCATAAAATTTGAACTTACAATATTGTTCTTTGGTGTCTGGCTTATAATGCTGAGCATGATGTTTCCAGGTTCATCTATGTCACAGCATGTATTAGAATTTTGTACGAACTGGAAGTTATTATCCAGATACTATAATTGACATGAGCAAGGAAAGGTCAGATGTTTTCAGTGTTGCTTCTCATGTTAACAGCCATAAAACTAACTGAAAGTTAAGCCAGAACAATTTATACAAACCCTGGAAGTATGGAGAATTCTCCTGTAACTGAAACAATGTGTAAGCAAATACATGATTTTTGAGATAATTTCCACTTTGAAACCAATACTGAGGCTTCCAATGGCCAAATTGAACTGATGGAGCATATTTATGAGCTCCTCACTGGTTCATTAGTCCAGGAAGAGCTAAATAAGAACTTACCGGTTCTTAAGGGGAAGGGGCCATGGTTATCTTTGCTAGAAACCAAGGCCAACATGTCACCATTCTGTAGACAAATGACAGCGGAGGACTTTCCATAAAACCAATTCCCTAGACTGTTTTTATGAAGAGACATTGTATCTAATGTATACATAATGTATAAAATAATGTATCGAAGTACGTTATTTTGCTCTATATATGAGAATTCAATGGAACTTAGAGACAGCAGAACTCACTTATTCAGAATCTAGTTACCAGCTGCAGTAATGCCTCCAGTCATAAAAGGGAACATGATTTTTAGGGGAACATAATCTGAGAGATTAAAAAGGAATCTTCCTTTTTGATACAATCAGGTTCAAACAAGCATAAAGAAGAGTTTTAAGGTTTCGGACAGAAACTCCATGCATTACAATGAAAATTACAGAAAAAGTGTTCTGTAGGAAAGATTCAGTGTAAGACAACAGAGAAAATGTGTTGGTAATATCAGGAGAATCTAAATATTGTACTGTCAGACTAATGCTTTCCACAGGTGAAAACCGCAATTGTCAGGTTAGATAAACATCTATTCGAAGACCTTGAGGAACCACTGAGACATTTCTGAGGCGGAAGGCTAAGAAAAATGCATATAATTGTCAAGGGTGGCAGGGCAGTGTTGCTCTCAAAGTCCCATCTGACTGACAGGGTAGAGGCTCTTCCTCACTGCCTGAATCTGCTTCCCGACAGCTCCAGGGTTTCCTGAGGAAGGCACCATCCACCTTCATCCACCTCAGGCGTGTCCTGCAGATCCCTCTGGAGAACCAGCTTCAGGTTCTGCCAATTTTGATGCTGCCTAACGAAACCCATGAAGAAGTAAATGATGGGGTTGGCACTGCTGTTAAGAGACGACAGGAAAATGGAAGGCAGATGAACATGAGAATATAAGACTTCCCAGTCCATGTGGATCCTGGAAAACAGGGCCCACTGAATGCCAATGGGCAGGCCGCAGAGGAGGAAGACCAGCACTGTGAGCAGATGGTCATGTACAGCCTGGTCAGCGGCATCTTCTGGGATCCACAGAGGATCCTGACCACTAGGACCAGGCTGGACACACAGAGAACCACAAATAAAAAAATCAGCCACGTAACTGTGATGAATCTGATGTTTGACACCAAACAGAATCAGCATCACTAAACAGGGAGTCACAGAACATCCACTCCAGGATGCTCTACAGCAGGGACAGGGCCCAGAGCAGGACACACACGACCGTTGACAGGTGTGTGGGGTGGCGGCAGCGTTACCAGATGGGCCACAGGATTGACAGGCAGCGCTTGGTGCTCATGGCACTCAGAATATTCAGGCCTGCCAAGTAGGGAAAGGTCATCACAGGCTAGAGGATTAGAGAGATGGGATGGACGTTATTGATGAGGTGTAACAGGGATGTATAATGTGGCTGCTGAGGAGGAGGAAGTTGGCCGCGACCAGGTTGAGGATGTAGATGGAGACAGCGTTCCTGCACATGCGGAAGCCCAGGAGCCAGAGCACAACCGCGTTTCCTGTCAGCGCGACAAGGGAAACGATGCACGTCAGCACCGTGAAGCTCAGGGTCTGATTGTAGCAAGGAGTCTCCTCAGTTCCGTTGATTGGTGTCAGTTCTGTACCCAAGACTGGGATGGTTGGATCCATGCTCAGAAACCCCAGTCTGGTGCCCCTGGGAACACAAACCAGATGTGATCACCAGCTGTATCATCTCTGATTCTCCCCACCACCCTGCCATGTGGGATTTACTGTCCTTACTTTAAGGAGAGAGAAAAAGAGGCTCGCAGAGAATAAATCACCTATCAAAAGGTGGGGGTCCTCAAATAGAGTTTGAAATCCAGTTCTTATTGATTCTGAAGTCTGACCTCACTCTGCTGCCACACAAGTTCTGTACGGACATGGGAGTAACTTATGATCAAAACACCCTCACTCATCCAGCCAGGGCTGTGGACCCGATGATTACTCTATCCTGGGCCTGACATTTTCTCTCAGGTGGAGGAATTCAGATCCACAAAGAGGTGGTTGTGACACCCTCATGACTAGGACTGATCATCCATGGACAGGAAAGAAGACCATGCATTATGAACCAGAGGAAAATGTGACTTTCACTAGGATACGTGTGGAAATGGCTGGGCCTGGTGGGTGAGAAATAACTCAGTGTGTCAGTCATTGCAGACAGGAACACATTTTACATTTTATACTTCCAGTGCCTATTTCCATGAGCAGCATACTGTGCTCTTCATAAATATTCATTCAATGAATGAATGCATGCATGAGGAGCCTAATGGTACTGGTAGATTTTGGTGAAATGGAAAATAAAAATGAAAGCACTATGTACATCATTAGAACACATAAGTGTAATTAGATGAAGAAAATTTCATCCATCAGAATTCTATTTGTGGACAGCTCTATCTGTGTTGAGAAGAATTATTGATGAGTGCCCAAAACCTGAAATTGTCCACTGATGTGCCTTTAAAATGAGGACTTGATGTGGTTATGCTGAACACCTAGAAGCATTTTGTATACAATGTTTGTGTAGGGTGTGGGTCTGAGCTGAATTGCTCAGCCATATAGCAGAGGAAAGAGTAAGTGAGGGCGAGGTCTGAGTGCCACTGAAAAAGGTAATTGAAGTGTTGGAATATCTATGGGGGAGTGTTAAGTGTTCTGCTGGGTATATACAATGTAAACCAATTTCATTTTTTCTTTCAGGAGATCTTTGTTAGCATTTCTTTGTTGCTGTAAACATTTGTATGAGAGAAGTCCATGATGGGAAATAGGAGATGTTAGGGCTTGGAGTATAGAGAGATGTTCATGCAGATTTCAACTGGAGAATGAGGATTAGGTCTAATCTGGGAGAATAACAGCTGCTGATTGAGAGTTTTAAGGTATTGTCTCTTTTAATCATCTGAAGAGCCTAGGAGGTAAGAATGAGTATTATTCCCATATGGCAGATAATGCATTGGAACACACAAAAAAAGTGAACTATTCATTCTGGGACTCATATAGTGTGAATTTGAGCCCAGTAGGGCTGACTCACGATCCAGTCTTGGAGCAGCCCTTTAGACCCGCACCACTCTGTCAATTATACATGTTAGAGGGGGGTAAAGCAGAGGAGGGATTCTCAAGTTAAATCCAAGTTGGCAGGTAAAATTGTGGGTTGAAAAAAAAACTAACCTAAACAAATTTCAGATAGAGAAAGAGAAGCAAATCAAAAAGGGAACAAAATAGAGGAGAGTGAAAGCCATTTAGGAACAAATTCAGGAGCTCCTTTTTGCTATCAGAGGCCACCTTTGCTCTGGAATCCCGAGAATGCACATGGGCAGGAGCTCTCCAGGTGGAAAGAAGATGCATCCTCCTCTGGGAGTATAGAGGAGCATCTGGAGTGAGTGCATCCATCATGAGCTCTCTTAAAGAGACAAGCTGCCACAGCTCTGATTGGCCCGAAAAGGAAATGGGAGGAAAAGGAGAACCTCTGTTATCCACACTCAGAGCACTAAATACTTTGTCCATTTATATTTAGGGTAATGGTGTACTTGTCTTCCTCATGAAACCTGAAGCTTCATAACAACTAAGTCATGACTGTCTTTTTCACTGTGGTATGACCAACATTTGGCATGTGTTCCTTAAAGATCATCTATGGTATTATTTTCTTATAACGTAAGATGAAGCCAAGACCTAGAGAATTAAAGCGTTTTCCTGAGATCACAACACAAACAGCAGGTCCAGTACCAGTCCCTGGTTCCTGGAGCCCTCATGAGACTTCTCTGCCCCATCATTCATTATTTCAGAGGAGTTCCTGATAAACCTTGATGGGAGCACAGAATCAGAGACAGTCAGAGGCAGAGAAGACTGCTATGTTGCCCTAATATTCATTTTCCTCTTTGGTCACATAACAATTCTCAGAGTTTAAAAGCAGCACAAGGACCCACATTCCAGTTTTCCTTGATGCAGGGAGCCATCATATGACCAGGTGCTGTTCAATGAAAGATGCACAAAAGTGATATAAGCAAGTCCTGGCTCAGAGGATCAATCAAAGAAGCAAAGCCTCTCCTTTTCTTCATTTTTTCCTATCATGCTGGAATGCTAGTGTGGCTGGAAACCATGTAAGATCACAAGGATGAGTGCAACTCTCTAGGGACTGCAGAGTAGTAATTTTCGGAATTCTGATATACAATACCTTGGAGCATCCAGCACAGATCTCAAAGATAGTCATTTCTGGGTATTCACAGAGGCTTGTATCTGGAACCACAGCACACACCAAAATCTGCAGACGCTCAATTTCCTTATATAAAATGAGGTGATATTTGTACAAAACCTGTGCACTTTCTCCCAGACACATTAAATCATTTTTAAGTTACTTAGAATAACTGGCAAAATGCAAATGCCATGAAAATTCTTGTTTTACTGTATTTTTTGGAAGTAATGACAAGGAAAAACAAGTTTCTGCCTGTTCAGTACATACACAACTCCGCCATACCATTATTTTTAAAATAGTTTTCACCTGTGGTTTGTTGAATCTGCAGATTGAGGACCTAGCGACCCAGAGGCACAACTGTACTTTCTTGTTTAAGATATTTCTACTTTGTGTATTTGTGAAAGTAGCCAAACTTATACTCTTAACAAAAGAAATATGTTCTGTCTTTAACATTATAATTTATTTTCTATGCATTTTTGATGAATGCAAACATTTCTGCATAGAAGTGACAGTAGAGAACGACATGCCAAATGTTAAAGTAGTCTGATAGAGCTGAAATGAGACAGGTATCAATCACCTTTAGACAGAGGAAGCCCCAGGAATTAGGAGGATATAAGAAGGAGAGAAGGATAGTCCCATTTGCTATGACGATTTGCTTTCCACTCTTCTTTATCTTGTTTGACATCCCAAGAGAGTGGCTTCTATGTACCACATCAGTGGGAATCTTTTTTAATTCCAGTTTCTGGTGGAATTGTGACACTGGGACACACCAGCAGGAGACTGGAAGACAGCAGGAGAGCACTTTGGGATTTCCACCTCCTGGCTCTCTGCCTGTGTATTAGTTCATTCTCAAATTGCTATAAAGAAATACCTGAGACCGGGAGATTTGTGAAGAAAACAGGTTTAATTGGCTCATGGCTCTGAAGGCTATACAGGAAGCATAGCAGCTTCTGCTTCTGGGGAGGCTTCAGGAAGCTTCCAATCCTGGTGAAAGGCAAAGGGGGAGTGAGGCATCTCACACGGTGAGAGCAAGAGTAAGAGAGAGAGGGAGGACGTGCTACACGCTTTTAAATAACTAGATTTCATGAGAACTCACTCGCTATCACTACAGCAATACCAAAGGGGGATGGTGTTAAGCCATTCATGAGAAACCATCCCCACCATCTAATCACCACCCACCAGGCCCTCCTTCCAACACCGGGAATTACAATCAACATGAGATTTGGGTGGGGACACAGATCCAAAGCATATCAGCCTGTGTGGCTGTGTGTTGGTCGTGCAAGGCTTCTCTACCTGCCTGCTCATGCTCTCCCACCCTTATGGCTACAGCTATGGCTATGGTGTCAATGGTAACTGCTCCTTCCCTCTCCCTTTCAGCCTAAGGGAGGAAGTAGTGCTCCCTTAGGTATTGCTGCTTAGGGTGCTCATCCATGCATTGTCGCTATCCCTTAACACTGCACATCTTTGTAAATACTTCCCTCATGAAACACTCCTCAGTCATTTCAGTTGGGACCTCCTGTTTCTTCCATGAACCTTTACAGACAGGCAAGGATGAATAATTTAGAAAAGTAAGTAAAACAACAAAACTTGCTTCTACAGCAGTTCAACTCTGCGAAGCAATGCCTGCATGTCCTCTAACTCCTTAAATGAATGTGAGAGACAGCATTCTCTCCATGAGGACAGATTCAGTGATTGGAATAAAGGAGGTGATATGGGGAGATAAATCAGAAGTGGGGATCCCAGTTGAAGGTCAACACACTCTGAGTTGGCAGCACTCAGTTTCCAGAAGGAAACATCATGTCTCCTGTCTTTTCCTGAAACAAGCTCATGATCCCCTGCCTGTAGCACCTAGGTGGAAACACAGAAACGATCTTATAGCAAAAACCATAACTGACTGTGGAAGAAGACAGTTCTTGGTACTTATTCTTCTCTTTTGTCCAGTGGTGAAGACTTCCCTTGTGCTAAAGCTGGAGGGCCTTTCTGGGATTCAGTGACTTCAGAGAACCCTTCTGTGTTGCTTAATTCAGGAGATGCCTACAGGAGCTGGAGTCAAAGCTGGTGAGCAATCCAGACTTATGAAGATGCAGGATTGCCTTGTTATTTCCTGTATAAGGACTATGGACAAATGAGCGGCCAGAGGTATTGAAGACACAAACCCTGAGATGATTCTTGGCCTCTGTCTCATATCCAGTACATATAAGCCTCTCCCATCACACTCCATCTTGTTCAACTTCCTTGATAAAAACAGTGGCAAGGTTTGAGAGAATTGACTTTCATTTTAAAAGAAGTTCTACTGTGTATAAAATGCTATCAAATAGCATTCCATGCTACATTAAAATCTTTCATAAAAGGATGAGTCAATCAACGTGGCAAACTTTACTGTTGTCTTGTTTTTTTTCTTGTTTATTTTATTTTATTTTATTATTATTATACTTTAAGTTTTAGGGTACATGTGCACTATGTGCAGGTTAGTTACATATGTATACATGTGCCATGCTGGTGTGCTGCACCCATTAACTTGTCATTTAACATTAGGTATATCTCCTAATGCTATCCCTCCCCTCTCCCCCCACCCCACAACAGTCCCCAGAGTGTGATGTTCCCCTTCCTGTGTCCATGTGTTCTCATTGTTCAATTCCCACCTATGAGTGAGAACATGCGGTGTTTGGTTTTTTGTCCTTGCGATAGTTTACTGAGAATGATGATTTCCAATTTCATCCATGTCCCTAAAAAGGACATGAACTCAACATTTTTTATGGCTGCATAGTATTCCATGGTGTATATGTGCCACATTTTCTTAATCCATTCTATCATTGTTGGACATTTGGGTTCGTTCCAAATCTTTGCTATTGTGAATAGTGCCGCAATAAACATACGTGCGCATGTGTCTTTATAGCAGCATGATTTATAGTCCTTTGGGTATATACCCAGTAATGGGATGGCTGGGTCAAATGGTATTTCTAGTTCTAGATCGCTGAGGAATTGCCACACTGACTTCCACAATGGTTGAACTAGTTTACAGTCCCACCAACAGTGTAAAAGTGTTCCTATTTCTCCACATCCTCTCCAGCACCTGTTGTTTCCTGACTTTTTAATGATCGCCATTCAAACTGGTGTGAGATGGTATCTCATTGTGGTTTTGATTTTCATTTCTCTGATGGCCAGTGATGGTGAGCATTTTTTCATGTGTTTTTTGGCTGCATAAATGTCTTCTTTTGAGAAGTGTCTGTTCATGTCCTTCGCCCACTTTTTGATGGGGTTGTTTGTTTTTTTCTTGTAAATTTGTTTGAGTTCATTGTAGATTCTGGATATTAGCCCTTTGTCAGATGAGTAGGTTGTGAAAATTTTCTCCCATTCTGTAGGTTGCCTGTTCACTCTGATGGTAGTTGCTGTGCAGAAGCTCTTTTAGTTTAATTAGATCCCATTTGTCAATTTTGACTTTTGTTGCCATTGCTTTGGTGTTTTAGACATGAATGAAGTCCTTGCCCATACCTATGTCCTGAATGGTATTGCCTAGGTTTTCTTCTAGGGTTTTTATGGTTTTAGGTCTAACATTTAAGTCTTTAATCCATCTTGAATTAATTTTTGTATAAGGTGTAAGGACAGCCTGTCTTGCCTTCAGCAGCCACCTCAACAGCCATCAATATCAGGCAAGACCTTCCAGCAGGAAAATGTTTGGCTTGATAAAGGTTCTGATGATGGTTACCATTTCCTAGTAAAAATATTTCTTAAGTAATACATGTATATTGCTTTAGACATAAGGCCACTGCAACTCAATAGACTACAGTATAGTGTAAGCATAACTTTTACATGTACTGGTACACCAAAAATTCATGTGATTCACTTTATTGTAATATTTGCTTTATTGTAGTGTTTTAAGCAGACTTCCAATATCTTCAACATATTCCTATATATGATAAAGTTTGTATATCAAAGTAGTGTGTAAAACAGGCACTATTGAATGAATGGGATTGGGACAACTGAGTTTCTGTGTGAAATAAGTAAAGGTGGAAGCATACTTTACATATGATTTGAGGATAAATCCAAATACACTACTTAAAATTTTATAATGAAAATACAATTACCTGGAGGAGCCATAGCAAAATAGTTTTCAAATCGAAGTGGGAAATGACTTTCAATTATAGAATAGAAAACAGAAGATATTAAAGAAAATATTAGTAAAGACAAAAAGAATGCCAGCTGTGATTGCCCACTCATATATATTAATAAAGACAAAAAGAACACCAGCTGTGATGGTCCACTAATATAATTCCAGCACTTTGGGAGGCCAAGGTGAGTGGATAACTTGAGCTCACGAGTTTGAGACCATCCTGGGCAACATGGTGAAAACCTGTCTCTACAAAAAATACAAAAATTAGCCAGGTGTGGTGGTGCATGTCTGTAGTCCCAGTTACTCGGGACATTGTGGTGGGAAGACGGCTTGAGCCCAGGCTGCGGAGGTTACAGTGAACCAACATCACAGCACTGCATTCCAGCCTGGGTGATAGAGCCAGACCTTGCCAAAAAGAAAAAAAAAAAAAAAAAAAAAAAAAAAGGGAAAGAAAAGAAAAAGAAAAAAAAAAGAAAAAGCTATTTTTAGCGTGACATGAACCATCATAATCAAAATATAAATAAACTGTGGCTAGCCATGATGGCTCACTCCTGTAATCCCAGCACTTTGGGAGGCTGAGGCAGGCAGATTACCTGAGGTCACGAGTATGAGATCAGCTAGTCTCTACTGAAAATACAAAAAGTAGTTGGGTGTGGTGGCACAGGCCTGTAATCCCAACTACTGGATAGGATGAGTAAGAGAATCTATTGAACCCAGTAGAGAAAAGTTGCAGTGAGCCAAGAATGCACCTCTGCACTCCAGCCTGGGTGACGGAGACTCCGTCTCAAAAAATTAATTAATAAATAAAATAAATAAACTGGGAGATATTTCGTAATGTATATTATAGCCAAAGTATAAATTTTCTCTACTGATACAAATTTTTCTAAAATGATATTAATAATTCAAAATTCAAAAAGCTAATAAGAAAATAACCTTAAGTTACGATTCACAACTTCTAGAAAATAAAAATGGCTCCTAAACATATGGAAAGAGGAGAAATGCAACTCTTAATAAAAGACATGCCAATTAAAATTACAGAGTTATATTTTACTTACCAAAATCTAAAAAACCATTAAGTTTTATAGCATACAACATGGGGATGGCGTGGGATCAGGCACCCTCACCCATTTCTGCTGAGGATGCAGTTGCTTAGAACTTACAGTGAAGGCAATTTTCAACTTATGTAAGCATGTATAAAGTATCATTCTTTTTTCTCTGTAATTACTCATCTAGGAATTTATCTTGGAGATGTATTTGTGCATGGCCAAAAGATCTATGTACTAAGTTAATAAATGCAGTGTTATTTACAGTAAAAGACTGGTAACAGCCAAAATGGCCATCAATACTGTATAAATTATGGTCTATCTGTGCAGTAGAATACTCTATAGCTACACAGAAAGAGCAACAAACCTAATATAAAAGGCCCTCCAGAATTTGTTAGATTTTTAAAAAAGAATGCAGACCAATGTATATATTGTATGACGAAGCTATATAGTTGCTTTATCACTAAATATTTGCAAATTAATGCAAAATTATTAATAAGTATAATATGATATGTCTTTGTTAACAAGGCAAGGATGCCTGAGGATCTAAAATGGGAATGACAGTTTGCAGTGCATGTATTTAAAGATTATTTTTGAAAGTTCTGACTTTATTACTATGTCACAAATAAATTATCAAGCAAAAAAATAAATATAATGATCTAGCTAAGAGACAGAGATAGACACATGAGAAGATATGAGGAAGGGTGAGAATATGAAGATAATGAGTACAGAAAACTCTTTGGAAGATATATATACATGTATATTTTTCTAAAGGATTGTAGAGAAATCAGGCTGTGGATGGAGAGGAATGGGGGCTTGGTTGGTATTTTAGGCCAAGAATAGGATAGTGTGTTTCAATTGCAATGGAAGGATCCATGAGAGAAGGAAACATTGAAGATGCAGGAGAGAGAAGTAATAATGCTATAAAATGTTTCTCGGGAGGGAAAAGGGGAAACTGCACAAATTGAAAGGGTGGTTTCAAACAGGAATTTGCAGAGCCCATTTCCTGGCATGAGAGAAAATGCAGAGAGATGCGCTCAGAGGCACATGGGGAGGTAGGTTCCCTCTGGGGAGATTGAGTAATTCTCAGAGGAGCATCACCTGACAGTGATTTAAAAAAAAATGAAGAGTAGGCGGTTTCAGGAGAGAGAAAATGTCGTGAAGATTTTCCTTTGGAGAGTGAGAGGCAATTATGGAAATGTCACGTGAGTGTTCAGGAGATATAAATGGACCTTTCAGGTTCAAGGTTATAAATGTACAGTGAAACCGCTGGGCATGGTTGTGTGTTGTGCTGCAGCCACCCTCAGTTCTATGGGAACAGGCATGGAGTTAGTGGAGAGCTGGATTCAAGCAGGGTAAAAGACGAACTGATACTTCAGCAAGGACATATATGCATGACAAATAAACACATAAAAAGATGCTCAACATCACTAATGTTTAGGACAACAAATAAAAGTCACGAGATACCACTCTACCCTCTCAATATGGCTAAAATATAAAATACTGATAGTTTCAAATATTGGCTGAGATTTGAAGGAATTGGAGGTCTCATACACTGCCAATGAGAAAGTAAAATAGTAGAGCTACTCTGGGAAATCTTCTTGCATTTTCATATAATCCAGCAATCCAGCGTATCCTAGAACCTGGAAAATGTATCCTAGAAACTGGGAAACTGTGTTCACTTAAAAATCTGTACAGGAGGGGGGCCAAGATGGCCAAATAAAAACAGTTCTGGTCTGCAGCTCCCAGCGGGACCAACGCAGAAGACTGGTGATTTCTGCATTTCCAACTCAGGTACCCAGTTCATCTCATTGAGACTGGTTAGGCAGTGTGTACAACCCACGGAGAGCAAGGAGAAGCAGGGTGGGGCATCGCTTCATCTGCGAAGTACAAGGAGCCAGGGGACACCTGTCCCCCAATCAAGGGAAGCTGTGAGGAACCCTGCTACCAGCCCAGTACTACGCTTTTGAAATGGTTTTTGCGATCCGCAGATCAGGAGATTCCCTCGTGTGCCTACACCACCAGGGCTCTGGGTTTCAAGCACAATATTGGGCAGCTGTTTGGGCAGAGACCGACCTAGATGCAGGAGTTTTTTTCATACCCCAGTGGTGCCTGGAACTCCAGTGAGACAGATCCGTTCACTCCCCTGGAAAGGGGGCTGAAGCCAGGGAGACAAGTGGTCCCCTGCCTCAATGGGTCCCACTCCCACAGAGCCCAGCAAGCAAAGAACCACTGGCTTGAAATTCTCACTGCCGGCGCAGCAGTCTGAAGTCGACCTGGGGCGATTGAGCTTTGTGGAGAGAGGGGTATCCGCCATTCCTGAGGCTTTAGTAGGCGGTTTTCCCCTGACAGTGCTAAGAAGGCTGGGAGGTTTGGACTGGGCGGAATTCACCACAGCGCGGCTAAGCAGCTATGGCCAGACTACTTCTCTAGATTCCTCCTCACTGGGCAGGACATCTCTGAAGGACAGACAGCAGGCGCAGTCAGGGGTTTACAGATAAAATTCCTATCTCCCTGGGATGGAGCACGTGGGGGAAGGGGAGGCTGTGGGCGCAACCGCAGCAGATTTAATCTTTCCTGCCTGCTGCCTCTGAAGATAGCAGCTGATCCTGACAAGGGGGGTTCTCCCAGCACAGTGCACCAGCTCTGCTAAGGGACAGATTGCCTCCTCAAGTGGGTCCCTGACCCCCGTGCCTCCCAACTGGGAGAGACCTCCTAACAGGGGTGGACAGACACCTCATACAGGAGAGCTCTAGTTGGCATCAGGCCAGTGCCCCTCTGGAATGAAGCTTCCAGAGAAAGGATCAGGCAGCCATCTTTTGCTGTTCTGCAGCCTCCACTGGTGATACCCAGGTGAACAGGGTCTGGATTGGACCTCCAGCAAACTGCAGCCGACCTGCAGAAGAGAGGCCTGACTGTTAGAAGACCAACTAGCAAACAGAAAGCAATAACATCAACATCAACTAAAAAGACCCCCACACAAAAACCCCACCCAAAGGTTATCGGCCTAAAAGATCAAATGTAGATAAATCCAGAAATATGAAGAATAAGCAGTGCAAAAATATTGAAAATTCCAAAAACCAGAATGCCTTTTCTCCTCCAAATGTTAGAAGCTCCTCTCCAGCAAAGACACAAAACTGCATGGAGAATGAGACTGATGAATTGACAGAAGTAGGCTTCAAAAGATGGGTAATAACAAACTCCTCTGAGCTAAAGGAGCATATTCTAACCCAATGCAAGAAAGCTAAGAACCTTGATAAAAGGTTACAGGAACTGCTAACTAGAATAACCAGTACAGAGAGGAACATAAGTGACCTGATGGAGCTGAAAAACACAGCACAAGGACTTTGTGAAGTATACACAAGTATCAATAGCTGAATCAATCAAGCAGAAGAAAGAATATCAGAGGTTGGAGATCAACTTACTGAAATAAGGCATGAAGACTAGATTAGAGAAAAAAGAATGAAAAGGAATGAACAAAACTTCCAAGAAATATGGGACTATGTGAAAAGACCAAACCTACAATTGATTGGTGCAACTGAAAGTGATGGGGAGAATGGAACCAAGTTCGAAAATACACTTCAGGATATTATCCAGGAGAACTTCACCATCCTAGCAGGACAGGCCAACATTC
Source organism: Homo sapiens (assembly GCF_000001405.40). Taxonomy (NCBI): domain Eukaryota; kingdom Metazoa; phylum Chordata; class Mammalia; order Primates; family Hominidae; genus Homo; species Homo sapiens. The sequence goes on from NC_000011.10 coordinate 18,922,733, forward strand.
AAATTTAGGAAATAGAGAGAACACCACTAAGATACCCCTCAAGAAGAGCAACCCTAAGACACAGAATTGTCAGATTCTTCAAAGTTAAGTTGAAGTAAAAAATATTAAGAGCAGCCAGAGAGAAACGTTAGGCTATCTAAAAAGAGAAGCTCATCAGAATAACAGTAGATCTCTCTATAGAAACCCTACAAGTCAGAAGAGAATGGGGGCCAATATTCAACAGTCAAAAAAAAAAAAGTATTTTCAACCCAGAGTTTCATATCCAGCCAAACTAAGCTCAACAAACAAAGGAGAAATAAAATCCTTTCCTGACAGGCAAATGCTGAGGGATTTTGTCACCCCCAGGCCTGCCTTACAAGAGCTCCTAAAGGAAGCACTAAATATGGAAACAAAAAACCAGTACCAGCCTCTACAAAAACACACCAAAATATAAAGACCAATGACACTATGAAGAAACTGAGTCAACTAATGTGCAAAATAACCAGCTAGCATCATAAGGACAGGATCAAATTCACACATAACAATATTAACCTTAAATGTAAATGGGCTAAATGCCCCCAATTAAAAGACAAGGATGGGCAAATTAGGTAAAGGGTCCAGACCCGTAGGTGTGCTGTATTCAGGAGACCCACCTCACGTGCAAAGGCACTTGGGCTCAAAATAAAGGGATGGAGCAATATTTACCAAGCAAATGGAAAGCAAAGAAAAAACAAAACAAAAACAAAACAAAAAAAACCAGTGGTTGCAATCCTACTCTCTAATAAAACAGGCTATAAACCAACACAGAAAAAAAAGCAAAGGAGGGCATTACATAGTGGTAAAGGGATCAATGCAACAAGAAGAGCTAACTATCCTAAATATATTTGCACCCAATACAGGAGCACACATATTCATAAAACAAGTTGTTACAGACCTACAAATAGACTTAGACTCCAGCATAATAATAGCAGGAGACTTTTACACCCCACTGTCAGATAGATCAACAAGACAGAAAATTAACAAGGATATTCAGGACTTGAACTGAGCTCTGGACCAAGTGAACCTAATAGACATCAAAAGAACTCTCCACTCCAAATTAGAGAATACACATTCTTCTCAGTGCCACGTAGCACTTCTTCTAAAATTGACCACATAATTGGAAGTAAAACACTTCTCAGCAAATGCAAAATATTGGAAATTATAAGAAACAATCTCTCTGACCACAGTGCATTCAAATGAGAACTCAGGATTAAGAAACTCACTCAAAACCACACAACTACATGGAAGTTGAACAAGCTACTCCTGAATGACTACTGGGTAAATAAAAAAATGAAGGCACAAATAAAGAAGTTCTTTGAAACTAATGAGAACAAAGAGACAACATACCAGTATCTGGGACACAGCTAATAAAGAAGTTCTTTGAAACTGATAAGAACAAAGAGACAATGTACCAGAATCTCTGGGACACAGCTAAAGCACTGTTAAGAGGGAAATTAATAGCACCAAATGTCCACATCAGAACGCTGAAAAGGCTTGAAATCAACACCCTAACATCACAATTAAAAAAACTACAGAAGCAAAAGCAAGCAAATTCAAAAGCTAATGGAAGACAAGAAATAACTAAGATCAGAGCAGAACTGAAGGAGATAGAGACACCAAAAACCCTTCCAAAAAATCAGTGAATCTAGGAGCTAGCCATAGCCATACTGTTTTTTTGAAAACATTAACAAGATAGATAGACCACTAGCTAGACTAGTAAAGAAAAAAAGAGAGAAGAATCAAATAGACACAATAAAATGATAGAGGGGATATCACCACTGATCCCACAGAAATACAAACTACCATCACAGAATACTATAAACACCTCAAAGCAAATAAACTAGAAAATCTAGAAGAAATGGAAAAATTCTTGGACACATACACCCTCCCAAGACTAAACCAGGAAGAAGTTGAATGCCTGAATAGACCAATAACAAGTTTGGAAATTGAGGCAGTAATTAATAGCATACCAATGAACAAAAGCCCAAGACCCGATAGATTGACAGACAAATTCTACCAGAGGTACAAAAGGAGCTGGTACTCTTCCTTCTGAAACTATTCCAAACAATAGAAAATGAGGGACTCCTCCCTAATTCATTTTATAAGGCCAGCCTCATCCTGATACCAAAACCTGGCAGAGACACAACAACAACAAAAAAAATTGCAGGCCAATATCCTTGAGGAACATCAGTGCAAAAATCCTCAATAAAGTAATGGCAAACCGAATCCAGCAGCACGTCAAAAAACTTATCCATCATGACCAAGTCGGCTTCATCCCTGTGATGCAAGACTGGTTCAACATACACAAATCAACAAGTGTACTCCATCACATAAACAGAACCGATAACAAACACCACGTGATTATCTCGATAGATGCAGAAAAGGCCTTTGATAAAATTCAACATCCCTTCATGTTAAAAACTCTCAATCAACTAGGTATTGATGGAATATACTCAAATTAATAAGAAGTATTTATGACAAACACATAGCCAATATGATACTGAATGGGCAAAAACTGGAAGCACTTCCTTTAAAAACCGGAAACAAGACAAAAATACCCTGTCTCACCGCTCATATTCAACATAGCATTGGAAGTTCTGGCCAGGGAAATCAGGCAAGAAAAACAAATGAAGGGTATTCAAATAGGAAGAGAGGAAGTCAAATTGTCTCTGTTTGCAGATGACATGATTCTATATTTAGAAAACCCCATCGTCTCAGCCCCAAACTCCTTAAGCTGGTAAGCAACTTCAGCAGTCTCAGGATACAAAATCAATTTGTAAAAATCACAAGCATTTCTATACACCAATAATAGACAAGCAGAGAGCCAAGTCATGAGTAAACTCCCACTCACAATTGCTACAAAGAGAATAAAAGGCCTAGGAATACAATGTACAAGGGTTGTGAAAGACCTCTTCAAGGAGAACCACAAACCACTGCTCAAGGAAGTAAGAGAGGACACAAACAAATGGAAAAAAATTCCATTCTCATGGGTATGAAGAATCAGTATCGTGAAAATGGCCATACTACCCAAAGTAATTTATAGTTTCAGTGCTATTCCCATCAAGCTACCCTTGACTTTCTACACAGAATTAGAAAAAACTACTTTAAATTTTAAAACCAAAAAAGAGCCCGTATAGCCAAGACAATCCTAAGCAAAAGGAACAAAGCTGGAGGCATCATGCTACCTGACTTCAAACTATATCACAAGGCTACAGTAACCAAAACAGGATGGTACTGTTACCAAAACAGATATATATAGACCAGTGGAACAGAACAGAGACCTCAGAAATAACACCACACATCTACAACCATCTGATCTTCGACAAACCTGACAAAAATAAGCAATGGTGAAAGGATTCCCTATTTAATAAGTGGTGCTGGGATAACTGGCTAGCTATATGCAGAAAACAGAAACTGGACCCCTTCCTTACACCATATACAAAAATTAACTGAAGATGGATTAAACACTTAAATGTAAAGGCCAAAACCATAAAAACCCTAGAAGAAAATCTAGGCAATACCATTCAGGACATAGGCATGGGCAATGACTTCATGATGAAAATGCCAAGAGCAATTGCAACAAAAGCCAAAATTGACAAATGGGATCTAATTAAACTAAAGAGCTTCTGCACAGCAAAAGAAACTATCATCGGAGTGAACAGGCAACCTAAAGAATGGTAGAAAATTTTTGCAATCTCATCATTTGACAAAGGTCTAATATCCAGAATTTACAAGGAAGTTAGAAGCACTTAAAAGAGGAAAACAATCAACCCCATCAAAAAGTGGGCGAAGGATATGAACAGACACTTCTCAAAAGAAGACATTTATGCAGCCAACAAATGTATGAAAACAAGCTCATCATCACTGGTCATTAGAGAAATGCAAATCAAAACCACAGTGGGACACCATCTCGTGTCAGTCAGAATGGTAATTTAAATTAGGAAACAAGAGATACTGCTGAGGCTGTGGAGAAATAGGAACGCTTTCACACTGTTGGTAGGTGTGTAAATTAGTTCAACCATTGTGGAAGACAGTGAGGAGATTTCTCAAGGATGTAGAACCAGAGATACCATTTGACCCAGCAATCCGATTACTGGGTATACATCCAAAGGATTATAAATCATTCTAATATAAAGACACTTGCATACGTATGTTTATTGCAGCACTATTTACAATAGTGGGTTAGGTTGGAACCAACCCAAATGCCCATCAATGATAGACTGGATGAAGAAAATGTAGTACATATACACTATGGAATACTATGCAGTCATAAAAAAGAATGAGTTCGTGTCCTTAGCAGGGACATGGATGAAGCTGGAGGCCATAATTCTCAGCAAACTAACACAAGAATAGAAAACCAAACAACATATGTTCTCAATCATAATTGGGAGTAGAAAAATGAGAACCGTTGAACACAGGGAGGGGAACATTACACACAGGGGCCTGTCAGGAGGTGGGCAGGAAGGGGAGGGAGAGCATTATGACAAATACCTAATGCACGTGGGGCTAAAAACCTAGATGATGGGTTGATAGTTGCAGCAAACCACCATGGCAGATGTATACCTATGTTAGAAACCTGCAGATTATACACATGTATCCCAGAACTTAAAGTAAAATAAAAAAGTCTGTACACATACGTGTATAGCTGCTTTATTTATAAATGCCACGTTAGAAAAAACAGCAATGTCTTTCCACTTGTGAATAGTGAAACAAAGCATAGTACATCCATACAATGGAACACTACTCAGTAGTATAAAAAAAAGTCAGCAATAAGCTATGGATACCTGCAAAAAGTTGGGTGGATCCTGAGGACATTATGCTGAATGAAAAAAGCCAAAGTCAAAAGATTAGATACTATATGATTCCATTTATATAACACTTTTGAAATGATGAAATTATAGAGATGAAGAATAGATCAATCACTAGAGGAATTTGGGAAGAAACATACTGTGGGTATGACAGTAGGAGGAGCCCAAGGGAAATCTTTGTGGTGAAGAAACACTTCTGTATGTAATGCGATTGTGGTTATGAATCTACACCTGTGACAAAATGTTATGGAATGAAACATAGAGGAATATCTCACTCCAAAAATGAGTGCATGCAAACAGTGGTAAAATTTGGTAAGATGGTACCATAGATATTTGGTGAAATTTGATAAGTTTTGTAGTGTAGATAATTAGATGGTATCAATGTCAATTTCCTGGTTTTGATAATACATTTATTTAACATGTAAATATTGCTGTAGATTGGGTGATGGGCATACAGGAACTCTTTGTACTGTTTTCATAACTTCTTCATAGTCTACAATTAATTTACAACGAAAACTTAAAAAACAAAGACCTGTTCGTTCTATGGACTTACCTCCATGGATATTGAAGTCACCAAGAATGAAGACATGGGGTTTGCTGGAAGGAAGTTTGTAAACCAGGCACATAGGCTAGAAGATAACATAGTAAGCACTAACAGACACCTTCCACAAAATTAAGCACATATTAAATTTTTATCATATTTGTTTCCAATAACTCTTAAAATGAATACATACACTTTTACAGACACAACTTAAGTCTGAATCATGCATCTCTACTCTCAGCAATAATTGTACATGTCTTTGATAAGAAGGCAAGTGTGCCTGCACACCTGGAGTGGGAATAACAATTTTCTTCAGAATGTCTGCGGTTAATATGTATTATTCTCTCACATGTGTACCAGGATGTTAAAACAGGAGTATTAAACTCAATGTCAAGTCACTACAGATATTACGTTACAAAGAGGTGCTAGGTGACACATAATTTTAATAGAAATTTTTGGGCATCCATATCAAAGCTATGCAGAGTTTGGGTCTGAATTTTTATGTGACAGTTACAATGTTGGATTTCCAGAGAAGGGGCTGCATTCCATTGCTTTTCTCTTCTCCCTTAAACCCCAGACTTTTTCTTGTTTTTTTTTAATCGATGCCTTCTGACCCTGGAGGGCTAGACATATCACCGTGAGGAGGGTAAGGAGAGCAGGGCATTGCCTTTGTGATTTGTCCTGTTGGGCTGCCCTGCCTGGCCCTCTCTGGACTTTACATTAATATAGAGCTCACCCCTGTGAATATCACAAAACGAACACCAACCCCTATCACTTCAAGGCCACAAAAGTTAATGCTCATTATTCCGAGTACTCCAGTCTTGTGATTCTATTTAAGATGGATCTTGCCACCATGACCAAATACATGGGGTGACACAAGGAATAAAACACATGTATGAATTATTCACCATTCCCCAAAAAACTCTATGCTTTTATTAACGGTGCCACTGTAAATTATCTCTCGTCCAATTTCCATCTGTCCAGATTCTATTTATCTCTCCTTGCCCAATACAAAAATTTAGGTGACTGGCAAAATTTACTAGGGTATAATTACAATAGTAATGCTGGGTTAATTGTAGTCATCGGTTAAAATTCTACCTATTACACGAAGTCTTCCATGATCCACTCACTTCTACATACACGCTCAGGAATGAGGTCTGCTCTGTCTCTGCCCTCCTTCCTTGTGTTTGCATCCTGCAAGGTTTCAGAACAATTGGACCAATATGATGGGCATGAGCATTGAGATTTCTTTTTTTATACTCTACTGTAACTGCTAGATAACAGCAAACAAATGCCATCTGTATCTATAGTGAGCATTGGTACATTGACAAAAATGGTGCCCAGCTGATACCACACCGTCATACAGAACAAGCATCAGAGCAGTCTCTTTGGATTCTAGGTCGCTTCCACATGGGTGAGAAGAACATATGCTTACTGTGATTATAGTCACTGTGTAGAGACGTAAATTTCTCAGGTGGTCTGGATCACAACACTATTTATCTTCAGTCCATGGTTATGGTAAAGTCACACTTTACCCACATATTCTGAAAAGAGATACCTGAGCACAAATGCACAAATGGCACAGTTTCAGACAGGGGCAATCCCATAACCTCACTATCTGCTTGGCTTGCCTGGAATGAGCATGTGATCCATGTTGGCCATGCAGTCAGCTTGAGAATCCCAAATCCCTTAAACTAGGGGAGTGTTCTTCCCATTCTAGCACTTGTACATCCTACTTCCCTACATATCCTGGGATTTCCAGATGCTGAATTGGGTTTGCCTGGAGGCAAGGGCTTCTTCTGCTGGAACACAGGTAATGGTAGTAGGTAGTTCTGCAATGCCTGTTGCCTAAGCAACTGCAAGGCCTCTTGAAAATCTTTTCAGGAATTGTACATTGGTATGATGTTAGATTATAGACCGAGGGCTGTTGTAAGATTCAGCCTATTCGTTTTGTGATGTCATTAATTACAAAACTGTTGCAGAGATTGTTGTCTTGCATGAGCAGTCACCTGGTGAATATTCTCTAATTTATTAAAATCGTGTTGTCCTGCTTCAGCTGGGTGCTTGGGTGTGACATTCATCTTCAGGATGGCAGCAAGATAACTTGGGATTTATAGATACCCTCTCTTCTGAGCACCCTTGAGCCACAAACACAATGCTGGGATAGCATGTGTCACATTGGGAGGCAGTCTTTCCTGCACTAGTGTCCTTCACAGGCTGTGCGCTCTGGGAATGTGGGTATGTTTACTTTGACTCCCAAGTGTCTGGCATGCAAGCCAGAGAGTAGAAGATGCTCAGTATGTATTTAAACAATAAATAGTGGAATAAGTGGAGATATTGCTATGAAAAGCCCAGTCATAATATATTCAGGAATGGAAGTGGATAGGTTAATTGGAAATGTCTGTTAATCAGTATTTATAAAAAATGATACATTTGTAACATGAATATTTCATTTTTACCTGTAATTTGTTCAGTATAATAGAAATAGACTAAAGAACATTTCTTTGTGTAGGTTTCAGCAAATAGAATTCTACTCTGTCTTGCTGAAAGCATAGCTATCAATCATTCTCTGTGATTTGCAGTTTGGATTAGTTTAAGAGTAGAATTTAGCATCAGATGCATAGCATTCTGTCTAAAAATGTTGTTCAATATTTTTCATTTTTGTTTAATCTTGTAGAGTTGGAAGACTCACAGCTACTAAACTAACAATTTTGGAACCTGCTTTTATTTTCCATTTAAGCATTCACATTAGCTTTATGGAAACTGCAATTCTTCTTTCATACTCTTGTTTCATTAACTTGTGCTGTATTTTGATAAATTAGGAAATTATATTGACAAGCCTAATTGGCAAAAGCAGGACGAGAAACAGATCCAATTGGTTCTTCTGAGGCTGATGACTCAGTGTCCTTGAGCCCAGGTGTACTACTAGACCATCAGTGAATTGCCATGAAGGCTCAGCATTTGCTCGGAATCAATCAATATATTTTCTTCATGAAGGTGAAAGGTTTGGTTATAGACATAGAATATATTAGTGAGAGGCTTATTTGAAAGGCGTTTGCTTTTATGTAGAATTATCACAGTGCCTGATGAATTAGGTTTGAATGTTTGTTGAATTCATGCCTAAAAAATAGTCATGAATGGCAGCTCCCAAAAGGTGCCGTGAGAGATTTTCATATCATTTCTTACTTTCTGGAGAACACTCCTGAATGTCCTGCATGCTCTTCCTTGACATGTACCTGAGAGGAAATGATATCATTGACCTTGGAAAGAAGGCAGCTCATGAGCAGACTCCCACATCCCCTCCATTCTTCTTCCCAGAGGCAGTGAGCAGACCTGCGATAAAAGGCAACAGCTGTTCTCAGAATGACCAACTGCAGAGGACACTCTGTTAAGTGGGAGGTGCTTATAGGAGTTCCAGTGAGACTTGGTGACTGAGCTAGCCTTTGCAAGATGCTGGACAACCCTGTGACTCCCAGGTGTGAGCTGCTTGAGAAAAATAGTTCTGAGCTTCTTCTAAATTCCACACCTAGTCTGTTGCACTAGAAATTCAAAGACATGTTCTCTGCTCTTAAAGAACTGAGGGTGTGGTAGAAGAGAAAGAGGTGAGGACAAATAATTCAATGCACTGTTATAAGTGCTGTAGTAGAGCAATGTGTGAGGTCAGGTGAGTTCAGAATGGGCTTCAGCGATATAATCTAAGCCTTCTCGAAGTTGAAGTTTTCTTCCGTCAAAAGAAAAGAAATGTCACTGACATCAAGATAAGCAGTTTCCCAGGTGAGGACAAACTTTATTTGATTCAATTGCCAGGTGAAAATTTTCTACAGAATTCCTCATGATAGACATCATCTTTAGCCAAAACTGTACAATTGATATCACAGACTCCCAGAGTGGACTCTCCCAATAACCCTCAGCCTGAACTGAAGACATCACATCAAAGCTCCTTGCCTGGAGCATTGGCTGCAAACACTGGCTTCCTGCTTCCTCCGACCTGTAGGAAACCCTCGCCAACAGCCATGTCCTACTACAGCATTTGGAAATTGAGGGTGGACAGATGGGATTCAGCATCAGCAGAGGGCTGGGCCTGGAAGAGCAATGGATCTGGAGGACTGAGGGGACCTGAGTTCAACATTGTGAACAGTGTTATAAGTGCCACCAATAAATTTGGTTGGACAAATTGAAAACTATATACCTCTTTATTGGTTTCACAGCTACTTTGTACAGTCTCCTGCGTACTCAAATTGCAGTTGTCAGCTCCCCTCAGTGAGGGTTAATTGCTGTGATGTCACATTTTCTCTTGATAATCTCTTCTGCCTGCTTGAGTTATCTGTGGAAATTATAACCACTGGTGGGGAATAGTCCTGAATTTTGTACTGATCCCATTTCTATAATTAACTGTTTTTAATTGTGGTAAAATTTACATAACATACATTTTACATCTTTAACCATTTTAAGTGTACAATCAGTGTCAGTAAGTACATTCACAATAAGTTGTAACTGTTACTACTGTCCCTTTTAAGAATTTTTCATTATTCCACACAGAAATTCTGTGCTCATTTAATAATGGCTACATATTCTCCCCATCATCTAGCACCAGGATCCTCCTAATTTAATTTCTGTGTTCACGAATTTCCTAGTTTGGATACCTGGTAGAATTTGAACTTACTGTTCTTTGGTATCTGGCTTATTTTCCTTAGCAGAATGTTTCCAGGTTCATCTATGTCAAGCATGTATCAGAATTCTATACCAACTGTAAGTTATTATCAAGATACCATAATTGACATTAGCATGGAAAAGTCAGATGTTATCAGTCTTGCCTCTCATGTTAATGGCCATTTAACTAACTGAAAGTTACAGCCAGAACAATTTGTACAAAACCTGGAAGTATGAAGAATTCTTCTACAACTGAAAGAGTCTGTAAGCAAATAATAAATGGTTTTCAAGATAATTTCCACTTTGAAACCAATATTGAGGTTTCCAATGGCCAAAATAGAACTGGGGCACATTTATGGGCTCCTCACTGGTCCATTAGTCCAGGAAGAGCTAAATAAGCACTTAAAAGTTCTCAAGGGGAAGGGGCCACAGTTGTCTTTACTAGAAACCAAGGCCAACATATCACCATGCTGTGAACAAATGACAGGGGAAGACTTTTTATAAAACCAATAGGTGAGAGTGTTTTTATGAAGAGAGAGTCTGTCTCTAAGGACATTATTTTGCTCTGTATCTGAGAATTCAATGGAATGTAGAGATAGCAGAACTCACTTATTAAGAATCGAGCTTCTAACTGCAGTAATGCCTCCAGTCATAGAAGGGAACATGATTTTCAGGGGAACATAGTCTGAGAGATTAATAAGGAATCTTCCTTTTTGATGCTATCAGGTAGGAAAGAAGTATAAAGAGTGTTTTAGGGTTTTGTACAGGAACTCCTTTTATTACAAAGAAAATTGCAGAAAAAGTGTTCTGTAGGAAAGATTCAGTGTGAGATAACAGGGAAAATGTGTTGGTAATATCAAGGAGAATCTAAACATTGTACTGTCAGACTAATGCTTTCCATGGGTGAAAACCGCAACTGTCAGGTTAGATAAACATCTATTTGAAGACCTTGAGGAACCACTGAGACATTTCTGAGGCAGAAGGCTAAGAAAAACGCATATAATTGTCAAGGGTGGCAGGGCAGTGTTGCTCTCAAAGTCCTGTCTGACAGGGCAGAGGCTCTTCCTCACTGCTCCAATCTGCTTCCCGACAGCTCCAGGATTTCCTCAGGAAGCTGCCCTCCACCTTCATCCACCTCAGACGCGTCCTGCAGAGCCCTCTGGAGAACCAGCTTCAGGTTCTGCCTATTTTGACGCTGCCTAAAGGAGCCCACGAAGAAGTAAATGATGGGGTTGGCACTGCTGTTAAGAGCGGACAGGAAAATAGAAACTAGATGAACATGACAAAATAAGACTTCCCTGTCCACGTGGATCCATAAAAATAGGAAAAACTGAATGCCAAAGGGCAGGCCACAGAGGAGGAAGACCAGTACTGTGAGCAGGATGGTCACGTACAGCCTGGTCAGCGGTATCTTCCGGGATCCACAGAGAATCCTGATCAGCAGGACCAGGCTGGACCCACAGAGAACCACACATAAAAAAATCAGCCACGCGACTGTGATGAAATCTGATGTTTGACACCAAGCAGAATCAGCACCACTGAACAGGAAGCCACATAACATCCACTCCAGGATGCTCCGCAGCAGGGACAGGGCCCAGAGCAGGACACACACCACCGCTGACAGGTGTGTGGGGCGGTGGCAGCGGTACCAGATGGGCCACAGGACGGACAGGCAGCGCTCGGTGCTCACGGCACTCAGAAAGCTCAGGCCTGCAAAGTAGGAAAACATCATCACAGGATAGAGGATTTTAGAGATGGTATGGGGGATACTGATGAAGCTTAACAGGGAATATATAAGGCGGCCGCTGAGGAAGAGGAAGTCTGCTGCGGCCAAGTTGAGGATGTAGATGGAGAAGGCGTTCCTGCGCATGCGGCAGCCCAGGAGCCAGAGCACAACTGCGTTTCCTGTCAGCCCGACAAGGGAAACGATGCACGTCAGCACCGTGAGGCTCAAGGTCTGCTTGTAGCAAAGAGTCTCCTCAGTTCCGTTGATTGGTGTCAGTTCTGTGTCCAAGGTTGAGATGGTTGGATCCATGCTCAGAAACCCTAGTCTGGTGACCCTGGAAACAGAAACCAGTTGTGATCACCAGCTGTATGATCTCTGATTCTCCCCACCACCCTGCCATGTGGGATTTACTTCCTCATTTAAAGAGGGCAGATCAGAGACTCACAGAGAATAAGTCACCTATCAAAAGGTGGGGGTCCTCAAATCCAGTTTGAAATCCAGTTCTTGCTGACTCTGAAGCCTGACCTCTCTCTACTGCCACACAAGTTCTGTGCTAACATGGGAATAACATTAGGATCAAAACACCCCCACTCATCTAGCCAGGGCTGTGGACCCGATGATTACTCTATCCTGGGCCTGAAATTTTCTCTCAGGGGGAGGAATTCAGGTATGCAAAGAGGTGGTTGTGACACCCTCATGACCAGGACTGATCATCCATGGACAGGAAAGGAGACCATGCATTATGAACCAGAGGAAAATGTGACCTTCGCTAGGATAAGTGTGAAAATGGCTGGGCCTGGTGGGTGAGAAATAACTCAGCATGTCAGTCATTGCAGACAGGACCACATTTTACATTTTATACTCCTAGTGCCTATTCCATAAGCAGCACACTGTGCTTTTCATATACATTCATTCAATGAATGAATGCATGCATGAGAAGCCTAATGGTAATGGTAGATTTGGGTGAAATGGAAAACAAAAATGAAAGCACAATGTAAGTTATTAGAACACCCATGTTTAATTAGGTACAGAAAATTTCATTCATCAGAATTCTATTTGTGGACAGCTCTATCTGTGTTGAGAAGAATGATTGATGAGTGCCCAAAACCTGAAATTGACCACTGATGTGCCTTTAAAATAAGGACTCAGTGTGGCTTTGCCGAACCCCTAGAAGCATTTTGTACACAGTGTTTTGGGTAGGGTGTGGGTCTGAGCTGAATTGCTCAGCAATAGAACAGAGGAAAGAGTAAGTGAGGGTGAGCCTGAGTGCCACTGCAGCAGGTAATTAAAGTGTGGGAATATCTGTGGGGCACTACTGAGTATTCTGCTGAGTATACACAATATAAACCTATTTCATTCTTTCTTTCAGGAGATCTTTGGTTCGTTTCTTTGTTGATGCAAACATTTGTATGTGAGGAGTCCATGAGGCGAAATAGGAGATATGTAGGGCTTGGAGTATAAAGAGAGATATTCATGTAGATTTCAACTGGAGAATGAGGACTGGGTCTAATCTGGGAGAATAAGAGCAGCTGATGGAGAGTTTATTAGGTATTGTCTGTTTTAATTATCTGAAGAGCCTAGGAGTTAAGAATGAGTATTATTCCCATATGTCAGATAATGCATTGGAACACAAAAAGAGTGAATTATTCATTCTGGGACTTATATAGTATGAATTTGAGCCCAGCAGGGCTGACTCATGATCCAGTCTTTGAGCAGCCCTTTACACCCAGCACGACTCTGTGTCGATTATACATGTTAGAGCGGGTAAAGGAGAGGAGGGATTCTCAAGATTAAATCCAAGTTGGCGGCAAAATTGTGGGTTGAAAAAAAAAAAAACTAACCTAAACCAACTTCAGATAGAGAAAGAGAAGCAGGTCAAATAGGGAACAAAATAGAGAAGAGTGAAAGCCATTTAGTAACAAATTCAGGAGTTCCTTTTTGCCTATCAGAGGCCACCTTTGCTCTGGAATCCCGAGAATGCACAGGGACAGGAGGCCTCCAGGTGGAAAGAAGACTCACCCTCCTCTGGGATTACAGAGGAGCATCAGGAGTGAGTGCATCCATCATGAGCTCTCTTAGAGAGACAAGCTGCCACAGCCTTGCTTGGCCCAAAAAGGAAATGGGAGGAAAAGGAGAACCTCTGTTATCCACAGGCAGGGCACTAAACACATTGTCCCTCTATATTTAGGGTAATGGTGTGTTTGTCTTCCTCATGAAACCTGAAGCTTCATAACGGCTAGTCATGCCTGTCTTTTCCACTGTGGTATCACCAACATTTAGCATGTGTTCTTTAAAGATCATCTATGGTATTATCTTAATATAACATAAGATGAAGCCGAGGCCTAGAGAATTAAAGTGTTTTCATGAGTTCACAACACGAAGAGCAGGCCCAATGCCAGCCCCTGGTCCCTGGAGCCCTGCATGAGACTTCTGTATGGTTCTCTGCCGCATGATTCATTATTTCAGAGGAGTTCCTGAAAAATCTTGATGTGAGTACAGAATCAGAGACAGAGGCAGAAGAGACTGCTAGGTTGCCCCAGTGTTCATTTTCCTGTTTGGTCACATAAAAATTCTGAGAGTTTAAAAGCGGCACAAGGACCTACATTCCAGTTTTCCTTGATGCTGGGTGCCATTTTATGACCAGGTGCTGTTCAGTGAAAGATGCACAAAAGTGATGTAAGCAAGTCCTGGCTCACAGGACCAATAGCAGGAGCAACGCATCTCCTTTCCTTATTTTTTTTCCATCATGCTGAAATGCTGGTGTGGCTGGGAACCATATAGGATCACAGGTATGAGGGCAACTCTCTAGGGACTCGAGAGTAGCAGTTTTTGGAATTCTGATGTACGATGCCTTGGAGCTTCCCGCACTGATCTCAAAGAGTGTCATTTCTGGATATTCACAGGGGCTTTCGCATATGGCAGATGTGTGTGCTGCTACCCCAGCACACACCAAAATCTGCAGATGCTCAATTTCCTTATATAAAATGATGTGATAGTTGTACAAAACCTATGCACTTTCTCCCAGATACATTAAATCACTTCTAAGTTACTTAGAATAACTGACAAAATGCAAATGCCATGTAAGTTCTTGTTTTACTGTGTTATTTCAGAAGTAATGACAAGGAAAAACAAGTTTGTACCTGTTCAGTACATGCACACCTCCGCCATACCCTTATTTTTGGAACAGTTTCCACCTGTGGGTTGTTGAATCTGCAGATTCAGGACCTAGTGACCCAGAGGCACCACTGTACTTTCTTATTTAAGATATTTCTACTTTGTGTCTTTATGAGAGGGGTCAAACTTGTATTCTAAACAAAAGAAATATGTTCTCTTTTTAAAATTACATTTTATTTTCTATGCATTTTGGATGAATGCAAACATTTCTGCATAGAAGTGACAGTAGAGAAAGACATGCCGAACATTAAAGTAGTCTGAAAGAGCTGAAATGAGACAGGAATCAATCACCTGTAGACAGAGACTGTCCCAGGAATTAGGAGGATATAAGAAGGAGAGAGGGATAGTCTCATTTGCTATGATGATTTGCTTTCCATTCTTCTCTATCCTGTTTGACACCCCAAGAGAGTGGCTTCTATGCACCACATCAGTGGGATTCTTTTTAATTCCAGTTTCTGGTGGAATTGAGACACTGGGAGACACCTGGATGAGACTGGAAGACAGCAGGAGAGCCACTTGGGATTTCCACCTCCTGGCTCTCTGCCTGTGTATTAGTTCATTCTTGAATTGCTACAAAGAAATACCTGAGACTGGGAAATTTATGAAGAAAACAGGTTTAATTGGCTTATGGCTCTGCGGGCTATGCAAGAAGCATAGCAGCTTCTGCTTCTAAGAAGGCCTCAGGAAGCTTCCAATCATGGTGAAAGGCAAAGGGGGAGCAAGTCATCTCACATGGTGAGAGCAGGAGCAAGAGAGACAGGGAAGAGGTGCTACACACTTTTAAACAACTAGATTGCATGAGAACTCACTATCACTAAGGCAATACCGAAGGGGGATAGTGTTAAGCCATTTATGAGAAACCATCCCCACTATTTAATCACCTCCCACCAGGCCCTCCCTCCAACACTGGGAATTACAATCAACCTGAGATTTGGTTGGGGACACAGATCCAAAGCATATCAGCCTGTGTGGCTGTGTGTTGGCCGTGCAAGGCTTCTCCACCTGCCTGCTGGAGCTCTACCACCCCTATGGCTACAGCTATGGCTATGGCGACAATGGTAACTGCTCCTTCCTTCTCCCTTTCAGCCTAGGGGAGGACTTAGTCCTCCCCTATGTATTGTTGCTTAGGGTGCTGACCCATGCATTGTCTCTTTCCCTTAACCTTGCACATCTTTGTAAATACTTCCCTCACGAAACACTCCTCAGTCATTTCAGTTTGGACCACCTATTTCTTCCTTGAACCTTTCCAGACAGGCAAGGAATAATAATTTAGAAAAGTAAGTAAAACAACAAAACCTGCTTCTACAGCAGTTCAACTCTGTGAAGCAATGCTTGCATGTCCTCTAGCTCCTTAAATGAATGTGAGAGGCAGCATTTTCTCTAAGAGGACAGGTTCAGTGATTGGAATAAGGGAGGTGATATGGACAGATAAATCAAATGGGGGGACTCCAGTTGAAACTCACACAGTCTGGGTTGGCAGCACTCAGTTTCCAGAAGGAAACTTCATGTCCCCTGTCTTTTCCTGAAACAAGCTCATGATCCCCTGCCTGTAGCACCTAGGTGGAAACAGAAACGATCTTATAGCAAAAACCATGACTGACTATGGAAGAAGACAAATCTTGGTACTTACCCTTATCTTTTTCTCCTTTGTCCAGTGGTGAAGACGTCCCTTGTGCTAAAGGTGGAGGGCCTTTCTGGGATTCAGTGACTTCAGAGAACCCTTCTGTGTTGCTTAATTCAGGAGATGCATACAGGAGCTGGAGTCAAAGCTGGTGAGCAATCCAGGCTTATGAAGATGCTGGACAGACTTGTTATTTCCTGTATGAGGACTATGGACAAATCAGTGGCCAGAGGTATTGGAGACACAAACCCTACCTGAGATGATTCTTGGCCTCTGTCCCATATCCAATAGAGATAAGCCTCTCCCATCACATTCCATCTTGTTCAACTTGCTTGATAAAAACAGTGGCGCAGTTTGAGAGAATGGACTCCCATTTTAAAAGAAGTTCTATTGTGTATAAAATGCTATGCAAATAGCATTGCATGCTACATTAAAATCTTTCATAAAAGGATGAGTCAGTTGATGTGGCAGACTTCACTGTTGTCTTGTTTTAAGATATTGGCACAGCCTGTCTTACCTTCAGCAGCCACTTCAGCAGCCATCAATATCAAGCAAGACCCTCCAGCAGCAAAACGTTTGGCTTGATAAAGTTTCTGATGCTGGTTACCATTTCTTAGTGAAAAAGTATTTTTTTAAGTAATGCATGCACATTGCTTTAGACATAATGCCATTGAGACTCAATAGAGTACAGTATAGTGTAAGCATAAATTTTACATGTACCGGGACACCAAAAATTCATGTGATTCACTTTATTGTAATATTTGCTTTATTGCAGTAGTGGAAGTGGACTTCTAATATCTTCAATGTATGCCTATTATGATAAAGGTTGTATATCAAAGTAGTGTGTAAAACAGGCACAATTGAATGAATGGGATTGGGACAACTGAGTTTCTGTGTGAAATAAGTAAAGGTGGAAACATACTTTACATATGATTTGAGGATACATGCAAATACACTACTTAAAATTTTATAATGAAAATACAATTACCTGGAGAAGCCATAGCCAAATAGTTTTTAAATCAAAGTGGAAAAAGACTTTCAATTATAGGATACAATTCAGAAGATATTAAAGAAAATATTTATAAAGACAAAAAGGCTAGCTGTGATGGCCCATTCCTGTAATCCCAGCACTTTGGGAGGCTGCGTGGGTGGATTGCTTGAGCTTACAAGTTTGAGACCATTCTGGGCAACATAGTGAAAACCCGTTTCTACAAAAAATACAAAAACTAGCCTGGTGTGGTGGTGCATGTCTGTAGTCCCAGCTACCTGGGACGTTGTGGTGGCAGGATGGCTTGAGCCCAGGCCGTGGAGGTTACAGTGAGCTGACATCACACCATTGCACTCCCCTGGCTGATAGAGCCAGACTTTGTCTCAAAAAAAAAAAAAGTTATTTTTTTTAGCATAACATTAACCATCATAATCAAGATATAAATAAACTGTGGCCAGGCATGGTGGTTCACCCCTGTAATCCCAGCACTTTGGGAGGCCAAGGCAGGCAGATCACCTGAGGTCAGGAGTATGAGACCAGCCTGGCCACCATGGTGAAACCTGGTCTCTACTAAAAATACAAAAATTAATTCGTTGTGGTGGGACACGCTTGTAATCCCAGCTGCTCGAGAGGCTGAGCAAGAGAATGGATTGAACCTAGTAGACGAAATTTGCAGTGAGCCAAGACTGTGCCTCTGCACTCCAGCTTGGGTGACAGAACGAGACTCCATCTCAAGAAATAAATTAGTAAATTAATAAAATTAAATAAATAAACTGGGAGATGTTTGGTAATGTATGTTATAGCCAAAGTATAAATTTTCTCTATTGATACAAATTTTTCTAAATGATGTTAATAATTCAAAATTGAAAAAGGTAATAAGAAAATAACTTTAAGTCATGATTCACAATTTCTAAAAAATAAAAATGGCTCCTAAACATATGGAAAGAGGAGAAATTCAACTCATAATGAAAGACATGCCAATTGAAATTACAGAGTTATATTTTATTTACCAAAATCTAAAAAACCATTAAGTTTTATAGCATACAGTGTGGGGATGGAGTGGGATCAGGTACCCTCACTCATTTCTGCTGGGGATGCAGATGGATACAACTTCCAGTGAAGGCTGTTTTCAACATATGGAAGCATGTATAAAGCACCATCCTTTTCTCTCTGTAATTCCTCATCTAAGAATTTATCTTAGAGATATATTTGTGCATGTTCAAAAGATCTATGTTCTGAGTTAATAAATGCAGTGTTATTTACAGTCAAAAACTGGTAACAGCCAAAATGGCCATCAATACTGTATAAATTACTGTCTATCTATGCAATAGAATACTCTGTAGCTACCCAGAAAGAGCAACAAACCTGATATAAAAGGCCCTGCAGAATTTGTTAGATTTTTTAAAAAGAATGCAGACCAATGTATATATTGTATGAAAAATATATATATTGTTTTATTATTAAATATTTGTGAATTAATATACACTTATTAGTAAGTATAATAGGATATGTCTTTGTTAACAAGGCAAGGATGCCTGAGGACCTAAAATGGGAATGACAGTTTTCAGTGAGTGTATTTAAAGATTATTTTTGAAAGCTTTGACTTTATTACCATGTCACAAATAAATTTTCAAACAAAAAACATAAATTTAATGATCTAGCTAAGAGAGGGAGTTAGAGATATGAGAAGATACAAGGAAGGGTGAGGAAATGAAGATAATGAGTACAGAAATCTCTTTGGAAGATATTTTTTTCTAAAATAAAGAAGATAAATCAGGCTGTGGATAGAGACGAATGGTTGCTTAGATGGTGTTTTATGCCACAAATAGGATGGGGTGTTTCAGTTGCAATGGAAGGATCCATTAGAGAAGGAAACATTGAAGATGTAGAAGGGAGAGGCAATAATGCTATAAAATGTTTCTGGGGAGGCAAAAGGGGAAACTGCACAAATGGAAAGGGTGGTTTCAAACAGGAATTTGCAGAGCCCATTTCCTGGCATGAGAGAAAATGCAGAGAGGTGTGCTCAGAGGCACATGGGGAGGTAGGTTCCCTCTGGGGAGATTGAGTAATTCTCAGAAGAGCATCACCTGACAGTGATTAAAAAAATAAATAAAGAGTAGGCGGTTTCAGGAGAGAGAAAATGTCGTGAAGATTTTCCTTTGGAGAGTGAGAGGCAATTATGGAAATGTTACGTGAGTGTTCAGGAGATATAAATGGACCTTTCAGGTTCAAGGTTATAAATGTACAGTGAAACCGCTGGGCATGGTTGTGTGTTGTGCTGCAGCCACACTCTGTTCTATGGGAACAGGCATGGAGTTAGTGGAGAGCTGGATTCAAGCAGGGTAAAAGACGAACTGATACTTCAGCAAGGACATATATGCATGACAAATAAACACATAAAAAGATGCTCAACATCACTAATGTTTAGGACAACAAATAAAAGTCACGAGATACCACTCTACCCTCTCAATATGGCTAAAATATAAAATACTGATAGTTTCAAATATTGGCTGAGATTTGAAGGAATTGGAGGTCTCATACACTGCCAATGAGAAAGTAAAATAGTAGAGCTACTCTGGGAAATCTTCTTGCATTTTCATATAATCCAGCAATCCAGCGTATCCTAGAACCTGGAAAATGTATCCTAGAAACTGGGAAACTGTGTTCACTTAAAAATCTGTACAGGAGGGGGGCCAAGATGGCCAAATAAAAACAGTTCTGGTCTGCAGCTCCCAGCGGGACCAACGCAGAAGACTGGTGATTTCTGCATTTCCAACTCAGGTACCCAGTTCATCTCATTGAGACTGGTTAGGCAGTGTGTACAACCCACGGAGAGCAAGGAGAAGCAGGGTGGGGCATCGCTTCATCTGCGAAGTACAAGGAGCCAGGGGACACCTGTCCCCCAATCAAGGGAAGCTGTGAGGAACCCTGCTACCAGCCCAGTACTACGCTTTTGAAATGGTTTTTGCGATCCGCAGATCAGGAGATTCCCTCGTGTGCCTACACCACCAGGGCTCTGGGTTTCAAGCACAATATTGGGCAGCTGTTTGGGCAGAGACCGACCTAGATGCAGGAGTTTTTTTCATACCCCAGTGGTGCCTGGAACTCCAGTGAGACAGATCCGTTCACTCCCCTGGAAAGGGGGCTGAAGCCAGGGAGACAAGTGGTCCCCTGCCTCAATGGGTCCCACTCCCACAGAGCCCAGCAAGCAAAGAACCACTGGCTTGAAATTCTCACTGCCGGCGCAGCAGTCTGAAGTCGACCTGGGGCGATTGAGCTTTGTGGAGAGAGGGGTATCCGCCATTCCTGAGGCTTTAGTAGGCGGTTTTCCCCTGACAGTGCTAAGAAGGCTGGGAGGTTTGGACTGGGCGGAATTCACCACAGCGCGGCTAAGCAGCTATGGCCAGACTACTTCTCTAGATTCCTCCTCACTGGGCAGGACATCTCTGAAGGACAGACAGCAGGCGCAGTCAGGGGTTTACAGATAAAATTCCTATCTCCCTGGGATGGAGCACGTGGGGGAAGGGGAGGCTGTGGGCGCAACCGCAGCAGATTTAATCTTTCCTGCCTGCTGCCTCTGAAGATAGCAGCTGATCCTGACAAGGGGGGTTCTCCCAGCACAGTGCACCAGCTCTGCTAAGGGACAGATTGCCTCCTCAAGTGGGTCCCTGACCCCCGTGCCTCCCAACTGGGAGAGACCTCCTAACAGGGGTGGACAGACACCTCATACAGGAGAGCTCTAGTTGGCATCAGGCCAGTGCCCCTCTGGAATGAAGCTTCCAGAGAAAGGATCAGGCAGCCATCTTTTGCTGTTCTGCAGCCTCCACTGGTGATACCCAGGTGAACAGGGTCTGGATTGGACCTCCAGCAAACTGCAGCCGACCTGCAGAAGAGAGGCCTGACTGTTAGAAGACCAACTAGCAAACAGAAAGCAATAACATCAACATCAACTAAAAAGACCCCCACACAAAAACCCCACCCAAAGGTTATCGGCCTAAAAGATCAAATGTAGATAAATCCAGAAATATGAGGAAAGCAGTGCAAAAATACTGAAAATTCCAAAAACCAGAAAGCCTCTTCTCCTCCAAACTATCGCAACTCCTCTCAAGCAACAGCGCAAAACTGCATGGAGAATGAGACTGATGAATTGACAGAAGTAGGCTTCAAAAGGTGGGTAATAACAAACTCCTCTGAGCTAAAGGAGCATATTCTAACCCAATGCAAGAAAGCTAAGAACCTTGATAAAAGGTTACAGGAACTGCTAACTAGAATAACCAGTACAGAGAGGAACATAAGTGACCTGATGGAGCTGAAAAACACAGCACAAGGACTTTGTGAAGTATACACAAGTATCAATAGCTGAATCAATCAAGCAGAAGAAAGAATATCAGAGGTTGGAGATCAACTTACTGAAATAAGGCATGAAGACTAGATTAGAGAAAAAAGAATGAAAATGAATGAACAAAACCTCCAAGAAATATGGGACTATGTGAATAGACAAACCTACAATTGATTGGTGCAACTGAAGGTGATGGGGAGAATGGAACCAAGTTCAAAAATACACTTCAGGATATTATCCAGGAGAACTTCACCATCCTAGCAAGACAGGCCAGCATTCAAATTTAGGAAACAGAGAGAACAACACTAAGATATTCCTCGGGAAGAGCAACCCCAAGACACATAATTGTTAGATTCTCCAAAGTTGAAATAAAGGAAAAAATGTTAAAGGCAGCAAGAGAGAAAGGTCAGGCTACCTAAAAGGGAAGCCCATCAGAATAACAGCGGATCTCTTTGCAGGAACTCCACAAGGCAGAAGAGAGTGGGGGCCAATATTCAACATTCTTAAAGAAAAGAATTTTCAACCGTGAGTTTCATATCCAGCCAATCTAAGCTCCATAAGGAAAGAAGAAAAAAAATCCTTTCCCGACAGGCAAATTGTAAGGGATTTTGTCATCACCAGGCCTGCCTTACAGGAGCTCCTGAAGGAAGCACTAAATATAGAAAGGAAAAACTGGTACCAGCCACTGCAAAAACACGCTAAAATATAAAGACCAATGACACTATGAAGAAACTGCATTAACTAATGTGCAAAATACCCAGCTAGCATCAGGCAAATTGGATAAACAGTGAAGACCCATAGGTGTGCTATATTCAGGAGACTCATCTCACGTGCAAAGACACACATAGGCTCAAGATAAAGGGATGGAAAAATATTTGCCAAGCAAATGGAAAGCAAAAAAAAGCAGCGGTTGCAATCTTAGTCTCTGATAAAACAGTCTTTAACTAATGAAGATCAAAAAAGACAAAGGAGGGCATTACATAATGGTAAAGGGATCAAGGCAACAAGAAGAACTAACTATCCTAAATATATATGCACCCAATACAGGAGCACCCACATTCATAAAACAAGTTCTTACAGACCTACAAAGAGACTTAGACTCCCACATAATAATAGCAGGAGACTTTTACACCCCACTGTCAATATTAGATCAAAGAGACAGAAAACAAGGATATTCAGGACTTGAACTCAGCTCTGGACCAAGTGAACCTAATAGACATCGACAGAACTCTCCACCCCAAATCAACAGAATATACAGTCTTCTCAGTGCCACATAGCACTTATTCTAAAAATCGACCACATAACTGGAAGTAAAATACTCCTCAGCAAATACAAAAGATTGGAAACAATAACAAACAATCTCTCTGACTGCAGTACAATCAAATTAGAACTCAGGATTAAGAAACTCACTCAAAACCACACAACTACATGGAAATTGAACAACCTGCTCCTGAATGACTACTGGGTAAATAACAAAATTAAGGCAGAAATAAAGACGTTCTTTGAAATCAATGAGAACAAAGAGACAATGTACCAGAATCTATGGGACACAGCTAAAGCAGTGTTAAGAGAGAAATTTATATACCAAATGCCCATATCAGAAAGCTGAAAAGGCTTGAAATCAACACCCTAACATCACAATTTAAAAAACTAGAGAAGCAAGAGCAAGCAACTTCAAAAGCTAGCAGAAGACAAGAAATAACTAAGATCAGAGCAGAACTGAAGGAGCTAGAAACACGAAAAACCCTTCAAAAAAATCAATGAATCCAGAAGCTGGCTTTTTCAAAACATTAACAAGATAGATAGACCACTAGCTAGACTAGTAAAGAAGAAGAGAGAAGAATCAAATAGACACAATAAACAATGATAGAGGGGATATCACCACTGATCCCACAGAAATACAACTACCATCAGAGAATACTATAAACATCTCTAAGCAAATCAACTAGAAAATCTAGAAGAAATGGATAAATTCCTGGACACATACACCCTCCTCCGATGAAACCAGGAAGAAGCCAAATCCCTGAATAGACCAATAACAAGTTCTGAAATTGAAGCAATAATTAATAGCCTATCAATGAAAAAAAGTTCAAGACCAGATGGATTGACAGACAAATTCTACCAGAGGCACAAAGAGGAGCTGTTACCACTCCTTCTGAAAGGATTCCAAACAACAGAAAAAAAAGATCTCCTCCCTAACTCATGAGGCCAGCTTCATCCTGATACCAAAACCTGGCAGAGACACAACAAAAAAAGAAAATTTCAGGCCAATAACCCTGAGGAACATCGATGTAAAAATCCTCAATAAAATAATGGCAAACCGAATCCAGCAGCACATCAAAAAGCTTATCCACCACGATCAAGTCAGCTTCATCCCTGGGATGCAAGGCTGGTTCAACATATGCAAATCAATAAGTGTAATCCATCACATAAACAGAACCAATAACAAACACCATGTGATTATCTCAATAGATGCAGAAAAAGCCTTTGATAAAATTCAACATCCCTTCATGTTAAAAACTCTCAATCAACTAGGTATTGATGGAACATATCTCAAAATAATGAGAGTTAATTATGATAAACCCATAGCCAATATGATACTGACTGGGCAAAAACTGGAAACACTTCCTTTAAAAACTGGAAACAAGACAGAAATGCCCTCTCACCACTCCTATTCAACACAGTATTGAAAGTTCTGGCCAGGGAAATCAGGTAAGAGAGATAAATGAAGGGTATTCAAATAGGAAGACAGGAAGTCAAACTGTCTCTCTTTGCAGATGACATGATTGTATATTTGGAAAACTCCATCATCTCAGCCCCAGAACTCCTTGAGCTGATAAGGAAATTCAGCAAAATCTCAGGATACAAAATCAATGTACAAAAATTACAAGCATTCCTATACACCGATAATAGAAAAGCAAAGCGCCAAATCATGAGTGAACTCCCTCTCACAATTGTTGCAAAGAGAATAAAAGACCTAGGAATACAGCATACAAGGGATGTGAATGACCTCTTCAAGGAAAATTGCAAACCACTATTCAAGGAAATAAAAGAGGATACAAACAAATGGAAAAAAATTCCATTCTCATGGATATGAAGAATCAGTATCATGAAAATGGCCATACTACCCAAAGTAATTTATAGTTTCAGTGCTATTCCCATCAAGCTACCCTTGACTTTCTACACAGAATTAGAAAAAACTACTTTACATTTCATTTAAAACCAAAAAGAGCCCATATTACCAAGACAATCCTAAGGAAAAGGAACAAAGCTGGAGGCATCACGCTACTTGACTTCAAACTATACTACAAGGATACAGTAACCAAAACAGCATGGTACTGCTACCAAAACAGATACATAGACCAGTGAAACAGAACAGAGACCTCAGAAATAACACCACACATCTACAACCATCTGATCTTCAACAAACCTGACAAAAATAAGCAATGGTGAAAGGATTCCCTATTTAATAAGTGGTGCTGGGATAACTGGCTAGCCATGGGCAGAAAACAAAAATTGGACCCCTTCCTTACATTGTGTACAAAAATAAACTCAAGATGGATTAAACACTTAAATGTAAAACCCAAAACCATAAAAAAACCCCAGAAGAAAATCCAGGCAATCGCATTCAGGACATAGGCATAGGCAATGACTTCATGATGAAAACACCAAGAGCAATTGCAAAAAAAGCCAAAATTGACAAATGTGATCTAAGTAACCTAAAGAGCTTCTGCACAGCAAAAGAAACTATCATCAGAGGGAACAGGCAACCTACAGAATGGTAGAAAATTTTTGCAATCTCACCATCTCACAAAGGCCTAATATCCAGTATCTTAAAGGGAGTTAAATAAATTTAAAAGAGGACAAAGTTCCTCTTTGCCCATCAAAAAGTGGGCAAAGAATGTGAACAGACACCTCTTAAAAGAAGACACTTATGTGGCCAACAAACATATGAAAAAAAGCTCATCATCACTGGTCATTAGAGAAATGCAAATAAAAACCACAATGAGATACCATCTCACAACAGTCAGAATGGTAATTATTAAAAAGTTAGGAGGCCGGGCGTGGTGGCTCATGCCTATAATCCTAGCACTTTGGGAGGCCGAGGTGGGCGGATCATGAGGTCAGGAGATCGAGACCATCCTGGCTAACATGGTGAAACCCTGTCTCTACTAAAAGTACAAAAAATTCGCCAAAAAAAAAAAAAAAAAAAGTTAGGAAAGAACAGATGCTGATGAGGCTGTGGAGAAACAGGAAAGCTTTTATACTGTAGGTAGGAGTGTAAATTAGTTCAACCATTGTGCAAGACAGTGAGAAGATTTCTCAAGGAGGTAGAACCAGAAATACCATTTGGCCCAGCAATCCCATTACTGGATATATATCCACAGGATTATAAATCATTCTAGTATAAAGACACATGCACATGTATGTTTATTGCAGCACTATTTACAATAGCAAAGACTTGGAACCAACCCAAATGCCCATCAATGATAGACTGGATGAAGAAAATGTAGCACATATACACTATGGAATACTATGCAGTCATAAGAAAGAATGAGTTCACGTCCTTAGCAGGGACACGGATGAAGCTGGAGGCCATTATTTTCAGCAAATTAACACAGGAACAGAAAACCAAACAACGCACGTTCTCACTCATAATTGGGAGTTGAAAAATGAGAACTGTTGAACACAGGGAGGGGAACATTACAGAACACATCCTGTTGGGTGGTGGGGATCAAGGGGAGGGAGATCATTATGACATATACCTAATGCATGCAGGGCTTAAAACCTAGATGATGGGTTGATAGGTGCAGCAAACCACCATGGCAGATGTATACCTATGTTAGAAACCTGCAGATTATGCACATGTATCCCAGAACTTAAAATAAAATAAAAAAGTCTGTACACATACGTGTATAGCTGCTTTATTTATAAATGCCACGTTAGAAAAAACAGCAATGTCTTTCCACTTGTGAATAGTGAAACAAAGCATAGTACATCTATACAATTGAACACTACTCGGTAGTATAAGAAAGTCAGCAATAAGCTATTGATAGCTGGAAAATGTTGGGTGGATTTTGAGGACATTATGCTGAATAAAAAAAGCCAAAGTCAAAAGATTAGATACTGTATGATTCCATTTATGTAACCCTTTCAAAATGATGAAATTACAGACATGAAGAATAGATCAGTGATTAGAGGGATTTGGGAAGAAGCACACTGTGTGTGTGACAGTAGGAGAAGCCCAAGGGAATTCTTCTGTGGTAAAGAAACACTTCTATATTCAATGTGATTGTGTTTATGAATCTACACCTGTGACAAAATATTATGGAATGAAACATAGAGGAATATCTCACTCCAAAAATGAGTGCATGCAAACACTGGTAAAATTTGGTAAGATTGTGCTGTAGTTATTTGGTGAAATCTGATAAGATTTACAGTGTAGATAATTAGATGGGATCAATGTCGATTTCCTGGTTTTGACAATACATTTATTTAACTTGTAAGTATTGCTGTAGGTCGGGTGATGGGCATACAGGAACTCTCTGTACTGCTTTCACAACTTCTTCGTAGTCTACAATTAATTCACAGTAAAAACTTAAAAACCAACTGAAAGGCCAGTTCATTGTATGGACTTATCTCCATGGATATTGAAGTCACCAAAAATGAGGACATGGGTTATGCTGGAAGGAAGTTTGTAAACCAGGCACATACGCTAGAAGATAATGTAGTAAGCATTAACAGACATCTTCCACAAAATTAAGCACATATTAAATTGTTATCATATTTGTTTCCAATAACTCTTAAAATGAATACATACACTGTTACAGATACAACTTAAGGCTGATTCATGCATCTGTACTCTCAGCAATAATCGTACATGTCTTTGATAATAAGGCAAGGGTGCCTGCATACCTGGAATGGAAATGACAATTTTCTTCAATTTCAGAACGTCTGCGGTTGATATGTATTATTCTCTCACATGTGTACCAAGATGTTAAAACAGCAGTATTAAACCAAATGTCAAGACACTATAGATATTATGTTACAAAGAGGTGCTAGGTGACACAGAATTTGAATAGGAATTTTTGATTACCCATATCAAGCTATGCAGAATTTAGGTCTGAATTTTTATGTGACAATTACAATGTTGATTTAATTCACAGATTAACTGTCTCCCTTACTCCCAATGTGGGCCTTTTGCAGGTAAAAATGCTGCTCCAGAGAAGGGCCTGCATTCCATTGCTTCTCTCTTCTCCCCTAACCCCCACACATTTTTTTTGTTTTTTAATCCATGCCTTCTGGCCCTGGAGGTCTGGATATATCACTGTGAGGAGGGTAAGGAGAGCAGGGCATTGATTTTGGTTTGTCCTGTTGGCCTGACATGCCTGGTCCTCTCTGGGCTTACATTATTATAGAGCTCACTCCTACGAATGTCACAAAACTAACAGCAAGCCCTATCACTTCAAGGCCACAAAAGATAATGCTCATTATTTAGAGCACTCCAGCCTTGTGATTCTATTTAAGAGGAATCTTGCCGCCATGACCAAATACATGAGGTGGCACAAGGAGTAAAACTCATATATGAATTATTCACCATTCCCTAAAAAACTCTATGCTTTTATTAACAGTGCCACTGTAAATTATCTCTTCTTCCATTTCCATCTGTTAGATCCTATTTACCTCTCTTTGCCCAATACAAAAATCTACGTGACTGGCAAAATTTACAGAGGGTATAATTATAATAATAATGCTGAGTCAATTGTAGTCATCAGTTAAAATTCTACCTATTACACGAAGCCTTCCATGATCCACTCACTTCTACCTACACACTCAGGAATGAGGTCTGCCCTGTCTCTGCTCTCCTTCCTTGTGTTTGCATCCTGCAAAGCTCCAGAACAATTGGACCAATATGATGGGCATGAGCATTGAGATTTCTTTTTCTATACTCTGCTGTCACTGCTAGATAATAGAAAACACACGCCATCTATATCTATATCCAGCATTGATACATTGACAATAATGGTGCCCAACTGATACCAGACAGTCATACAGAGCAAGCATTTCAGCAGACTTTTCAGACTCTAGGTCACTGCCCCATAGTTGAGAAGAACATTCACTTACTGTGATTACAGTCACTGTGTAGAGACGTAAATTTCTCAGGCTGTCAGGATCATAACAGTAGTTATCTTCAGTCCATGGTTACGGTAAAATCACACCTTACCCACATATTCTGAAAAGAGATATATAAGCACAAATGCACAAATGACACAGTTTCAGGCTGGGGCAATCCCATAACCTCACTTCTGCTTGATTTGCCGCGAAGGAGCATCTGACCCATGTTGGCCATGCAGTCAGCTTGAGAATCCCAAATTCCTGAAACCAGGTCCAGTGTTCTTCCCATTCTGGCACTTGCATATCCTGCTTCCCTATATATCTTAGGATTTCTAGATATTAGTTGGGTTTGCCTGGAGGCAAGGGCTTCTTCTGCTGAAACACAGGGTAATGGTAGTAGGTAGTCCTGCAACGCCTGTGACCTAAGCACCTGCAGGGTCTCTAGAAAATGCTTTCAGGAATTGTGCATTTGTGCGATGTTAGACTATAGACCAAGCGCTGTTGTAACATTTAGCCTGTTAATCTTATAATGTCATCAATTATAGAACTGTTGCTGAGATTGTTGTCTTGCATGAGCAGTCACCTGGTGCACATTCTCTTATTTGTTGGAATTATATTGTCCTGCTTCAGCTGGGTGCTTGGGTGTGGCATTCCTCTTCAGGATGGCAGCAAGATAACTTGGAATTTTTAGATACCCTCTCCTCTGAACACCCTTGAGCCACAAACACAATGCTTGGATAGCATGTGTCACATTGGGAGGCAGTCTTTCCTGCACTAGTGTCCTTCCTTCACAGGCTGTGAACTCTGTGAACGTGGGTATGTTTACTTTGACTCCCAAGTGTCTGGCATGAAAGCTAGAAAATAGATGATGCTCAGTGTGTATTTATACAATAAACAGTAGAAAAAGTGAGAGATATTGCTATGAAAAACCCACTTAATGATATATTCAGGAATGCAAGTGCGTAGATTAATTGAAAATGACTGTTAATCAGTATTAACAAAAATGATACATTTGTAATATGAACATTTCAATTTTACCAGAATTCATTCACTATAATAGAACTAGACTGTGGAACATTTGTTTGTGTAGATTTCAGAAAATAGAATTCTACTCTGGCTGAAAGCATATCTATCAATCATCGTCTATGATTTGCAGTTTGGATTAGTTTATGTGTAGATCTTAGCATCAGATACATAGCATTCTGTCCTAGCAAATCATTCTGTATTTCTCATTTTTGTTTAATCTTGTAGAGTTGAAAGACTCACACCTACTAAACTAACAATAATTTTGGAATCTGCTCTTATTTTCCATTTGAGCATTCACATTAGTTTTTATGGAAACTGCAGTTCTTCTTTCATACTCTTTTTTCATTGATCTGTGCTGTATTTTGATAAATTAGGTAACTATACTGAGAAGTTTAATTGGCAAAAGCAGGACAGGAAGCAGATCCAGTTGGTTCTTGCGAGTGTGATGACTCAGTGCTCTTGTGCCCAGGTGTACTACAGCATCAGTGAATGGCCACGAAGGCTCAGCATTTGCTCGGCATCAATCAATATATTTTCTTCATGAAGTGGAAAGGATTGGTTATAGACATAGAAGTGTATTAGTGAGAGAGTTATTTAAAAGCTGTTGCTTTTATGTAGAACTAGCACAGTGCCTGATGAATTAGAATTCAATGTTTGTTGAATTCATGCCTAAAATATAGTTATAAATGGCAGCTCCCAAAAGTGCCAACAGACTTTCATGTATTTTCTTACTTTCTGGAGAACACTCCTGGATGTCCTGCATGCTCCTCCTTGATATGAAACCAAGAGGAAGTGATATCATTGACCTTGGAAAGAAGGCAGCTCATGAGCAGACTCCCACATCCCCTCCATTCTTCTTCCCAAAGGCAGTGAACAGACCTGCAATGAAAGGGAACAGCTGTTCTCAGAACAACCAACTGCAGAGGACACTCTATGAAGTTGGAGGTGCCTATAGGAGTTCCAGTGAGAACTAGAGACTCAGCTAGCCTTTGCAAGATGTTGGATAAACCTGTGATTTACAGGCGGGAGCTACTTGAGAAAAATATTTACCAAGCATCTTCTAAATTCCACACCTAATCTGTTGCACTAGAAAATCAAAGACTATCCCTGCTTTAAAAGACCTCAGAGTGCAGTTGAAGAGAAAGAAGTGAGGACAGATAATTCAAGTACACTATTATAAGTCCTGCAGTTGAGCAATGTTGAGGTCAAGTGAGTTTGGATTGGGCTTCAGGGACAGAATCTAAGCTTTCATGAAGCTGAAGTTTTCTTCTGTCAAAAGAAAAAGAATGTCACTAACATCAAAATAAGCAGGTTTCCAAATGAGAAACAACATTCTTTGATTCAATTGCCAGGTGAAAATTCTCTACAGAATTCCTAATGATAGACAACATCTTTAGCGAATACTGTACAATTGATATCACAGACTCCCAGAGTGGACTCTCCCAATAACCCTTGGTCTGAACTAAAGACATCCAATCAAAGCTCTTGGCCTGGAGCATTGGCTGCAAACACCAGTTTCCTGCTTCCTCCGACCTGTAGGAAACCCTCACCTACAGCCATGTCCTCCTACAACATTTGGAAATTGAGGGTGGACAGATGGGATTCAGCATCAGCAGAGTGCTGGGCCTGGAAGAGCAATGGATCTGGACTGAGGGGACCTGAGTTCAACATTGTGAACAGTGTGATAGGAGCCACCAATAAATTTGTTTGGACAAATTGAAAACTATATACCTCTTTATTGCTTTCATAGCTACTTAGTACTGTCTCCTGCATACTCAAATTGCACTTGTCAGCTCCCCTCAGTGAGGGCCAATCTGAGGGGCAGCCTCACTGTCTGTGAGCAGCACAGAGCCTGCTGTGATGTCTCTTCTTCTCTTGGTGGTCTCTTCTGTCTGCTCGAGTTATCTGTAGAAGGGATAACCACTGGTGGAGAACAGTCCTGAATTTTGTACTGATCCCATTTCTATAATTAACTGTTTTTAATTGTGTTAAAATATACATAACATACACTTTCTAACTATAATGATTTAAAGTGTACAATTCAGTGTCATTAAGTACATTCAAAATAAGTTGTAACCGTTACCACTGTCGGTTTTAAGAACTTTGCATTATTCCACACAGAAAGTCTGTGCTCATTCAATAATGGCTACACATTCTCTCCGTCATCCAGCACCAGGATCCTTCTAATTTACTTTCTGTATTCACAAATTTCCTAGTTTCGATACCTCATAAAATTTGAACTTACAATATTGTTGTTTGGTCTGGCTTATTTCCCTTAGCACAATGTTTCCGGGTTCATCTATGTCACAACATGTATTAGAATTCTATACCAACTGTAAGTTATTATCCAGATACTATAATTGACATTAGCATGGAAAGGTCAGATACGTTCAGTTTTGCTTCTCTTGTTAACAGCTGTAAAACTACCTGAAAGTTACACCCAGAACAATTTGTACAAAACCTGGAAGAATGAAGAATTCTACAATTGAAAGTATCTGTAAGTAAATAATAAATGGCTTTCAAGATAATTTCCACTTTGAAACCAATATTGAGGTTTTCAGTGGCCTAAATGGAACTGGTGGGGCATATTTATTAGCTCCTCACTGGTCTATTAGTCCAGGAAGAGCTAAATAAAAACTTACCAGTTCTCAAAGTCTTAAAGGGAAGGGGCCATGGTTGTTTTTACTAGAAACCAAGGCCACGTGTCACCATGCTGTGGACAATTACAGCAGAGAACTTTTCATAAAACCAATTTTCTAGACTGTTTTTATGAAGAGAGAGTTTGTCTCTAAGTACATTATTTTGCTCTATATCTGAAAATACAATGGAACATAGAGATAGCAGAACTCATTTATTCAGAATCGAGCTTCCAACTGTGGTAATGCCTCCAGTCATTGAAGGGAACATGATTTTCAGGGGAACATAGTCTGAGAGATTAATAAGGAATCCTCCCTTTTGATATAATCAGGTAGGAAAAAAGTATAAAGAAGAGTTTTAAGGTTTTGGACAGGAATTCCTTTCAATACCAGGTAATTGCAGAAAAAGTGTTCAGCAAGAAAGATTCAATGTAAGATAACAGGAAAAATAGATTGGCAATATCAAGGAGAATCTAAACATTGTATTATCAGACTAATGCTTTCTATGGTTGACAACTGCAACCGTCAGGATAGATAAAAATCCATTTGAAGACCCTGAGGAACCACTGAGACATTCCTGAGGTGCAACGCTAAGAAAAACACATGCAATTGTCAAGGATGGCAGGGCAGTGTTGCTCTCAAAGTCCCATCTGACAGGACAGAGGCTCTTCCTCACTGCCCAAATCTGCTTCCTGACAGCTCCAGGGTTTCCTCAGGAAGCCATCGTCCACCTTCATTCACCTCAGTCGTGTCCTGCAGAGCCCTCTGGAGAACCAGCTTCAGGTTCTGCCTATTTTGACACTGCCTAAAGGAGCCCACGAAGAAGTAAATGTTGGGGTTGGCCGTTAAGAGAGGAAAGGAAAATGGAAACTAGATGAACGTGACAATATAAGACTTCCAAATCCACGTGGTTCCATGAAAATAGGAAAAACCGAATGCCAAAGGGCAGGCCACAGAGGAGGAAGACCAGCGCTATGAGCAGGATGGTCACGTACAGCCTGGTCAGTGGCATCTTCCGGGACCCACAAAGGATCCTGACCAGCAGGACCAGGCTGGAACCACAGAGAGCCACACATAAAAAAATCAGCCCCCCTACTATGATGAAATCTGATGTTTAACACCAAACAGAATCAGCACCACTAAACAGGAAGTCACAGAAACTCCACTCCAGGACGCTCCGCAGCAGAGACAGGGCCCAGAGCATGACACACACGACCGCTGACAGGTGTAGGGGCGGGGGCGGCAGCGCTACCAGATGGGCCACAGGACGTACAGGCAGCGCTCGGTGCTCATGGCGCTTAGAAAGCTCAGGCTTGCAAGGTAGGAAAACATCATCACAGGGCTGAGGATTTTGAAGATGGGATGGAGGATATTGATGAGGCTTAACGGAAAACGTATAATGTGGCTTCTGAGAAAGAGGAAGTCGGCCATGGACAGGTTGAAGATGTAGATGGAGAAGGCGTTCCTGCGCATGCGGAAGCCCAGGAGCCAGAGCACGACTGCATTTCCTGTCATCCCGACAAGGGAAACGATGCACGTCAGCCCTGTGAGGCTCAGGGTTTGCTTGTAGCAAGGAGTCTCCTCACGTCCATTGATTGGTGTCAGTTCTGTACCCAAGGCTGGGATGGTTGGATCCACGCTCAGGAACCCTAGTCTGGTGTCCCTGGGAACACAAACCAGAGGTGATCAACAGCTGTATCATCTCTGATTCTCTGCACCACCCTGCCACGTGGGATTTACTGTCGTCATTTTAAGAGGAGATATCAGAGACGTGCAGAGAATAAGTTACCTATCAAAAGGTGGGGGTCCTGAAATCCAGTTTGAAATCCAGTTCTTGCTGACTCTAAAGCCTGACCTCTCTCTATTGCCACACAAGTTCTATGCTGACATGGGAATAACATTATGGTCAAAACACCCCCACTCAAGTGGCCAGGGCTGTGGACCTGATCATTGCTTTATCCTGGGCCTGAAATTTTCTCTCAGGTGGAGGAATTCAGATACACAAAGAAGTGGTTGTGACACACTCGTGACTAGGACTGGTCATCTATGGACAAGAAAGAAGACCATGCATTATGAACCAGAGGAAAATGTGACCTTCACTAGGACAAGTGTGAAAATGGCTGGGCCTGGTGGTTGAGAAATAACTCAGTGTGTCAGTCATTGCAGACAGGACCACATTTTACATTTTGTACTCCCAGTACCTATTTCCATGAGCAGCACACTGTGCTCTTCATAAATATTCATTCAATGAATGAATGCATGCATGAGGAACTTAATGATAATGGTAGATTTGGGTGAAATGGAAAATAAAAATTAAAGCACAATGTAAGGCATTAGAACACCCATGTTTAATTAGGTACAGAAAATTTCATTCATCAGAATTCTATTTGTGGCAGCTCTATCTGTGTTAAAAAAGAATTACTGATGTGTGCCCCAAACCTGAAATTGACCACTGATGTGCCTTTGAAATGAGGACTCAGTGTGGCTTTGCTGAACACCTAGAAGCATTTTTGTACAGAATATTTGTGTAGGTTGTGGGTCTGAGCTGAAATGCTCAGCAATAGAGCAGAGGAAAGAGTAAGTGAGGGTGAGGTCTGAGTGCCACTGAAGCAGGTAACTGAAGTGTGGGAATATGTATGGGGGGACTACTAAGTGTTCTGCTGGGTATACACAATGTAAACCTGTTTCATTCTCTCTTTCAGGAGATCTTTGGTTTGTTTCTTTGTTGATGTAAACATTTGTGTGAGAGGAGTCCATGAGGGGAAATAGGAGATATGTAGGGCTTGGAGTATAAAGAGAGATATTCATGCAGATTTCAACTGGAGAATGAGGACTGGGTCTAATCTGGGAGAATAACAGCAGCTGATTGAGAGTGTTTAAGATATTGTCTCTTTTCATTATCTGAAGAGCCTAGCAGGTAAGAATGAGTGTTATTCCCATATGGACAATAATACATTGGTACACAAAAAGAGTGAATTATTTGTTCTGGGACTTATATAGTATGATTTGAGGCCAGCAGGGCTGACTCATGATCCAGTCTTGGAGCAGCCCTTTACACCCAGTGCCACTCTGTGTTGATTATACATGTTAGAGGGGGTAAAGCAGAGGAGTGATTCTTAAGATTAAATCCAAGTTGGCAGGCAAAATTGTGGGTTGAAAAAAAAAAACTAACCTAAACAAATTTCAGATAGAGAATGAGAAGCAAATCAAATAGGGAACAATATAGAGGAGAGTGAAGGCATTTAGGAATGAATTCAGGAGTTCCTTTTTGCCTATCAGAGGCCACCTTTGCTCTGGAATCCCAAGAATGCACATGGGCAGGAACTCTTCAGGTGGAAAGGAGACACACCCTCCTCTAGGAATACAGAGGAGCATCAGGAGTGAATGCATCCATCATGAGCTCTCTTAGAGAGACAAGCTGCCACCACCCTGATTGACCCGAAAAGGAAATGAGAGGAAAAGGAGAGCCTCTGTTATCCACACTCAGGGCACTAAACACTTTGTCCATCTATATTTATGGTTTGATATGTTTGTCTTCCTTATGAAACTTGAAGCTCCATTAAGGAGTAAGTCGTGCCTGTCTTTTTCACTGTGGTATCACCAACATTTAGCCTGTGTTCCTTAAAGACCATCTGTGGTATTATCCTCATATAACATAAGATGAAGCTGTGGCCTAGACTAGTAAAGTGTTTTCCTGTGATCACAACAAGAAGAGTAGGTCCAGTACCCGCCCCTGGTCCCTGGAGCCCTGCATGAAACTTCTGTACTGTTCTCTGCCCCATCATTCATTATTTCAGAGGAGCTCCTGAAAAAAATCTTGATGTGAGCACAGAATCAGAGACAGTGAGGGGCTGAAGGAACTGCTAGGTTGCTCCAATGTTGATTTTCCTCTTTGGTCACGACCGAGTCTAAAGGCAGCACAAGGACCCACATTCCAGTTTTCCTTGATGCTGGGTGCCATTGTATGACCAGGTGCTGTTCAGTGAAAGGTGCACAAAAGTGAAGTAAGCAAGTCCTGGCTCATAGAATCAATCAAAAGAGCAAAGCACCTCCTTTTCTTCATCCTTTTCCATCACGCTGGAATGCTGATGTGGCTGTGAACCATGTAGGATCACAAGGATGAGGGAAGCTCCCTGGGGACTGGGGAGTTGCAGTTTTGGAATTCTGATATATGATGTCTTGGAGTTTCCAGCTCAGATCTCACAGATAGTCATCTCTGGGCATTCCCTGGTTCTTGCTCCGGAACCCCAGCACACACCAAAATATGCAGATGCTCAATTTCCTTACATAAAAAGATGCGATATTTGTGCACACCCTATGCTCTTTCTCCCAGATACATTAAATCATTTCTAAGTTATTTAGAATAACTGACAAAATACAACTGCCATGTTAATTCTTGTTTTACTATACTTTTTTTTGGAAGTAATGACAAGGAAAAACAAGTTTCTACCTGTTCACTACATACACACGTCTGCCATACCCTTATTTTTAAAATAGTTTCCACCTGTGATTTGTTGACTCTGCAGATTCAGAATCTAGAGACCTAGAGGCACAACTATACCTTCTTTTTAAAGATATTTCTACTTCATTCTTTATTACAGCCACCAAAATTATATTCTAAACCAAAGAAATATGTTCTCTCTTTTTTAGATTACATTTTATTTTCTATGCATTTTTGATGAATGCAAACATTTCTGCATAGAAGTGACAGTAGAGAAAGATATGCCAAACATTGAAGTGGTCTGATAGAGCTGAAATGAGAAAGAAATCAATCACCTTTAGACAGAGAATGCCCAGTAATTAGGAGGATAGAAGAAGGTGAGAGTGATAGTCTCATTTGCTATGAGGTTTTGCTTTCCATTCTTCTCTATCCTGTTTGACATCCTAAGAGAGTGGCTTTTATGTCCCACATCAGTGGGATTCATTTTAATTCTAGCTTCTGGTGGAATTGTGACACTGCGCCACACCAGCAGGAGACTGGAGGACAGCAGGAGAGCAACTTCAGATTTCCATCTCCTGGCTCTCTGCCTGGGTATTAGTTCATTCTCACATTGCTATAAAGAAATACCTGAGACTGGCAAGTTTATGAAGAAACTAGGTTTAATTGGCTCATTGCTGTATAGGCTATGCAGGAAGCATAGCAGCTTCTGCTTCTGGGGAGGCCACAGGAAGCTTCCAATCATGGTGAAAGGCCAAGGGAGAGAGAGGCATCTCACACGGTGAGAGCAAGAGAAATACAGAGAGAGAGGGAGGCACTACACACTTTTAAACAACTAGATTTCATGAGAACTCACTCACTATCACTACAGCGATACCAAAGGGGGATGGTGTTTATACCATTCATGTGAAACTGTCCCCAAAATCTAATCAGCTCCCACCAGGCCCTCCCTCCAATATTGGGAGTTACAATCAATATGAGATTTGGGTGGGGACACAGATCCAAATCTTATCAGGCTGTGTGGCTGTGTGTTGGCCATGCAAGGCTTCTCCACCTGCCTGCTGGTGCTCTCCCACCCCTATTGCTACAGCTATGGCTATGGCGACAATGGTAATTGCTCCTTCCCTGTCCCTTTCAGCCTAGGGGAGGACTTAGTGCTCCGCTATGTATTGCTGCTTAGAGTGCTGACCCATGCATTGTCTCTTTCCCTTAACCCTGCACATCTTTATAAATACTTCCCTCATGAAACACTCCTCAATCATTTCAGTTGGGACGGTCTGTTTCTTCCTTGAACCTTTCCAGGCAGGCAAGGAAGAAAAATTTAGAAAAGTAAGCAAAACAACAAAACCTGCTTCTACAGCATTTCACCTCTGCGAAGCAATGCCTGCATGTCCTCTAACTCCTTAAATGAATGTCAGAGGAAGCATTCTCTCCATGAGGATAGGTTCAGTGATTGGAATAAAGGAGGTGATATGGGGAGACAAATCAGAAGCCGGGATCCCAGTTGAAGCTCAACACAGTCTGAGTTGGCAGCACTCAGTTTCCAGAAGGAAACATCATGTCTCTTGTCTTTTCCTGAAACAAGCTCATGATCCCCTGCTTGTAGCACCTAGGTGGAAACACAGAAACGATCTTATAGCAAAAGCCATAACTGACTATGGAAGAGGACAGTTCTTGGTACTTACCCTTATCTTTTTCTCTTTTGTCCAGAGGTGAAGACTTCCCTTGTGCTAAAGGTGGAGGGCCTTTCTGGGATTCAGTGACTTCAGAGGACTCTTCTGTGTTGCTTAATTCAGGAGATGCCTACAGGAGCTGGAGTCAAAGCTGGTGGTCAATCCAGGCTTATGAAGATGCTGGACAGACTTGTTATTTCTTGTATGAGGACTATGGACAAATCAGCAGCCAGAGATATTGGAGACACAAACCCTACCTGAGATGATTCTTGGCCTCTGTCCCATATCCAATATATATAAGCCTCTCCCATCACATTCCATCTTATTCAACTTGCTTGATAAAAACAGTGGCAAGGTTTGAGAGAACTGACTTCCATTTTAAAAGAAGTTCTACTGTGTATAAAATGCTATCAAACAGCATTGCATGCTACATTAAAATCTTTCATAAAAGGATGAGTCAATCGACGTGGCAAACTTCACTGTTGTCTTGTTTTAAGATATTGGCACAGCCTGTCTTACCTTCAGCAGCCACTTCAGCAGCCATCAATATCAAGCAAGACCCTCCAGCAGCAAAGCGTTTGGCTTGATAAAGGTTCTGATGATGGTTACCATTTCCTAGTAAAAAAGGATTTTTTAAGTAATGCATGTAGATTGCTTTAGACATAATGTCATTGCGCACTCAATAGACTACAATATAGTATAAGCATAACTTTTACATGTACTGGGACACCAAAAATTCATGTGATTCACTTTACTGTAATATTTGCTGTATTACAGTGATGGAAGAAGACTTGCAATATCTTCAATGTATGCTTATTATGATAAAGGTTGTATATCAACGTAGTGTGTAAAACAGGCACTATTCAATGAATGCTATTAGGACAACTGAGTTGCCATGAGAAATAAAATAAAGGTGGAAACATACTTTATATATGATTTGAGGATAAATCCAAATACACTACTTATAATTTTATAAAGAAAATACAATTACCTGGAGGAGCCATAGCCAAATAGTTTTTAAATCAAAGTGGAAAAAGACTTTCAATTATAGGATACAATTCAGAAGACATTAAATAAAATATTAAAAAAGACAAAAAGAATGCCAGCTGATGGCCCACTTCTATAATCCCAGCACTTTGGGAGGCCGAGGTGAGTGGATTGCTTGAGCTCACAAGTTTGAGACCATCCTGGGCAACATGGTGAAAACCTGTCTCTACAAAAAATACAGAAACTAGCCAGGTGTGGTGGTGCATGTCTGTAGTCCCAGCTACTCGGGACATTGTGGTGGGAGGACGGCTTGAGCCCAGGCTGCAGAGGTCACAGTGAGCTGACATCACATCACTGCACTGGAGTGCAGTTGATAGCACAAGTGTCACAAGACCAGACCTTTTCACAAGACAAACAAAACAACAACGACAACAACAAAAAATACCCAAAAAACCAAAAGCTATTTTTAGCATGACACGAACCATCATAATCAAAATATAAATAAACTGTGGCCAGTCATGGTGGCACACCCCTGTAATCCCAGCACTTTGGAAGGCTGAGGTGGTCAGATCACCTGAGGACAGGAGTATGAAACCAACCTGGCCAACATGGTGAAACCTAGTCTCTACTAAAAATACAAAAATTAGCCGAGTGTGGTGGCGCATGCCTGTAATCCCAGCTACTCGAGAGGCTGAGCAAGAGAATGGATTGAACCTGATAGGCGAAAGTTGCAGTAAGCTAAGATTGCGCCTCTCTGCACTCCAGCCTGGGTGACAGAGCGAGACTCCATCCCAAAAGATAAATTAATAAATTAATAAAATTAAATAAATAAACTGGGAGATTTTTTGGTAATGTATGTTATAGCCAAAGTATAAATTTTCTCTATTGATAAAAATTTTCTAAAATGATATTAATAATTCAAAATCCAAAAAGCTAATAGGAAAATAACTTTAAGTCATGATTCACAATTTCTAGAAAATAAAAATGGCTCCTAAAGATATGGAAAGAGGAGAAATGCAACTCATAATAAAAGACATGCCAATTAAAATTAGAGAGTTACATTTTACTTACCAAAATGTAAAAGGCCATAAAGTTTGATAGATTATCATGTGGGGATGGAGTGGGATCAGGTACCCTCCTCACTCATTTCTGCTGAGGATGCAGATGGATACAACTTCCAGTGAAGGCTATTTTCAACATATGTAAGCAGGTATAAAGTATCATCCTTTTCTCTCTGTAATTCCTCATCTAGGAATTTATCTTAGAGATATATTTGTGCATGTTCAAAAGATCTATGTACTAAGTTAATGAATGCAGTGTTATTTACAGTAAAAGACTGGTGACAGCCAAAATGGCCATCAATACTGTATAAATTATTGTCTATCTGTGCAGTAGAATACTCTGTAGCTGCACAGAAAGAGCAACAAACCTGATATAAAAGGCCCTCCAGAATTTGTTAGCTCTTTTAAAAAGTATGCATGCCAATGTATATATTGTATGACAAAAAATATATATTGTTTTATTATTAAATATTTGTGAATTAATATAAACGTATTAATAAGTATAACAGGATATGTCTTTGTTAACAAGGCAAAGATGCCTGAGGACCTCAAATGGGAATGACAGTTTTCAGCGCATGCATTTAAAGATTGTTTTTGAAAGCTTTGACTTTATTACTATGTCACAAATAAATTTTCAAGCAAAAAACATAAATTTAATGATCTAGCTAAGAGAGGGAGATAGAGATATGAGAAGATATGAGGAAGGATGAAAAAATGAAGACATGAGTGCAGAAAACTCTTTGGAAAAATTTTTTTTTCTAAAGGAAAGAGGACAAATCAGGCTGTGGATAGAGGGGAATGGGGGCTTGGATGGTGTTGTAAACAAGAATAAGATGGGATGTTTCAATTGCAGTGGAAGGATCCATTAGAGAAGGAAACATTGAAGATGCAGGAGGGAGAAGCAATAATGCTATAAAATGTTTCTGGGGAGGCAAAAGGGGAAACTTCACAAATGGAAAGGGTGGTTTCAAACAGGAATTTGCAGAGCCCATTTCCTGGCATGAGAGAAAATGCAGAGAGATGCGCTCAGAGGCAGATGGGCAGGTAGGTTCCCTCTGGGGAGATTGAGTAATTCTCAGAAGAGCATCACCTGACAGAGATTTAAAAAAAATAAAAAGTAGGAGGTTTCAAGAGAGAGATGGCATGAAGATTTTCCTTTGGAGAGTGAGAGGCAATTACGGAAATGTTACATGACTGTTCAGGAGATATAAGTGAACATTTCAGGTTCAAGGTCATAAATGTACAGTGAAACCGCTGGGCATGGTTGTGTGTTGAGCTCCAGCCACACTCAGTTCTATGGGAACAGGCATGAAGTTAGTGGAGAGCTGGATTCAACCAGGGCAAAAGACGAACAGATGCTTCAGCAAAGACATATATGCATGACAAATAAACACGTAAAAAGATGCTCAACATCACTAATGTTTAGGGCAATAAATAAAAACTACAATGAGATACCATTCTACCCTCTTAATATAGCTAAAATATAAAATACTGATAGTTTCAAATACTGGCTGAGATTTGAAGGAATTGGAGGTCTCATACACTGCCAGTGAGAAAGCAAAATAGTATAGGTACTCTGGAAAATCCTTTTGCATTTTCATACAATCCAGCAATTCAGCCATTAAATTTATCCAATAAACTGGAAAACTTTGTTCACTTAAGTATCTGTACATATATGTTTATAGTTGTTTTATTTATAAATGCCACAATAGAAGAAACAGCAATGTCCTTTCACTCATGATTAGTGAAACAAAGCATAGTACATCCATACAATGGAACACTACTCAGTAGTTCAAAAATGAATCAGCTATAAGGTATTTATACCTGCAAAAAGTTGGGTGGATCTTGAGGACATTATGCTGAATTTTAAAAAGTCAAGAGATTAGATACTGTATGATTCCATTTATGTAACACTTTTGAAATGACAAAATTATAGAGATGAAGAATAGATCAGTGATTAGAGGGGTTTGGGAAGAAACATAATTTGGGTGTGACAGCAGGAGGAGCCCAAGGGAATTCTTCTGTGGTGAAGAAACACTTCTATATTCAATGTGATTGTGTTTATGAATCTACACCTGTGATGAAATATTGTGGAATGAAACGTAGAAGGAATACCTCACTCCAAAAATAAGTGCATGCAAACACTGGTAAAATTTGATAACATCGTATTGTAGATATTTGGTGAAATCTCATAAGATTTGTAGTGTAGATAATTAGATGGTACCAATGTCAATTTTCTGGTTTTGGTGCTACATTTACTTAACATGTCAGTATTGCTGTAGGTTGGGTGATGGGCATACAGGAAATCTCTGTACTGTTTTAGTAACTTCTTCATAGTCTACAATTAATTCTGAATGAAAACTTAAAAACAACTGAAATGCCTCTTCATTGTATGGACTATCTTTATGGATGTTGAAGTCACCAAGAATGAGAAAATTGGGTATGCTGGAAGGAAGCTTGCAAACCAGGCACATAGG
The DNA here is from genome assembly GCF_000001405.40 of Homo sapiens. Classification (NCBI taxonomy): domain Eukaryota; kingdom Metazoa; phylum Chordata; class Mammalia; order Primates; family Hominidae; genus Homo; species Homo sapiens. The sequence goes on from NC_000011.10 coordinate 18,966,012, forward strand.
CTAGAAGGTAATATAATTAGCATTCATACACCCAACACAAAATTAAGCACATATTAAATTTTTATCATATTTGTTTCTAATAACTCTTAAAAATAAATACATACATTTTACAGATACAATTTAAGGCTGAATCTTACATCTTTACTCTCACCAATGATTACACATGTCTTTGATAAGAAGGCAAGGGCGCCTGCACACCTGGAATGGGAATGACAATTTTCTTCAACTTCAGAATGTCTGAGTTTGGTATGTATTATTCTGTCACATGTGTAGCAGCATGTTGAAACAGGAATATTAAATTTCAAGTCACTATAAATATTACATTACAAAAGAGTTGCAAAGTGACACAGAATTTGATTAGGAATTTTTGGACATCCATATCAAGGCTATGCAGAGTTTAGATTTGAATTTTTATGTGACAAATAAAATGTTGAATTTAATTCAAAGATTAACTATCTCCCCTACTCCCAATATGGGCCTTTTGCAGGTAAAAATGCTGCTCCTGAAAAGGGGCTGCATTCCATTGCTTCTCTCTTCTCCTCTAACCCCCACGTGTTTTATTATTATTATTATTATTATTTTAATTTTTTAATTTTTTAATCTATGCCTTCTGACCCTGGAGGGCTGGACATATCCCAGTGAGGAGGGTAAGGAGAGCATGGCATTGACTTTGTGGCATGTCCTGTTGGCCTGACTTGCCTGGCCCTCTCTGGACTTTACATTATTATAGAGTTCACTCCTATGAATATCACAAAACTAACATCAAGCTCTATCACTTCAAGGTCACGAAAGATGATGCTCATTATTCAGAGCACTCCAGTCTTGTGATTCTATTTAAGAGGGATCTTGCCATCATGACCAAATACACAGGGTGACACAAGGAATAAAACTCTGGTGTGAATTATTCACCATTCCCTAAAAAAACTCTGTGCTTTTATTAACAGAGCCACTGTAAATTATCTCTTCTGCCATTTCCATTAGTCCAGATCCTATTTACCAATCCTTGCCCAATACAAACATTTAAGTGACTGGCAAAATCTACAGAGGGTACAATCATAATAATAATGCTGGGTCAATTGTAGTCATCAGTTAAAATTCTACCTATTACACAAAGCCTTCCATGATCCACTCACTGCTACATACACACTCAGGAATGAGATCTGCTCTGTCTCTGCTCTCCTTCCTTGTGTTTTCATCCTGCAAGGTTTCAGAAAAATTTGGACCAATATGATGGGCATGAGCATTGAGATTTCTTCTTCTATACTCTGCTGTAACTGCTAGATAACAGCAAACAAATGTCGTCTATATCTATAGCCAGCATTGATACATTGACACTAATTGTGCCCAAATGATACCACACCGTCATACAGAACAAGCATCAGAGCAGTCTCTTTGGATTCTAGGTCGCTTCCACATAGGTGGGAAGAACATATGCTTACTGGTCGCTGTGTAGTGACATGAATTTCTCAGGCAACCTGGATCACAACACTAGTAATCTTCAGTCCATGGTTATGGTAAAGTCACACTTTACCCACATGTTCTGAAAAGAGATACCTGAGCACAAATGCACAAATGACTGGGGCAATCCCATAACCTCACTTCTGCTTAGTTTGCCTGGAATGAGCATGTGATCCACGTTGGCCATGCAGTCAGCTTGAGAATCCCAAATCCCTGAAACCAGGTCAGGTGTTCTTCCCATTCTAGCGCTTGCACATTCTTCTTCCCTCCATATCCTGGGATTTGTAGATGCTGAATTGGGTTTGCCTGGAGGCAAGGGCTTCTTCTGCAGGAATGCAAGGTAGTGGTAGTAGGTAGTTCTGCAATGCCTGTGACCTAAGCATCTGCAGGGTCTCTAGAAAATGCTTTCAGGAATTGTGCATTGGTGTGATGTTAGACTATAGACTGAGCGCTATTGTAAGATTTAGCCTATTAGTCTTGTAATGTCATCAATTATAGAACTGTTGCTGAGATTGTTGTCTTGCATGAGCAGTCACCTGGTGCACATTCATTCTCTCATTTGTTGGAATCATATTGTCCTGCTTCAGCTGGGTGCTTGGATGTGGCATTCCTCTTGAGGATGGCAGCAAGATAACTGGGAATTTTTAGACACCCTCTCCTCTGAGCACACTTAAGCCACAAACACAACGCTTGGATAGCATGTGTCACATTGGGAGGCAGCCTTTCCTGCACTAGTGTCCTTCCTTCACAGGCTAGGAGCTCTGTGAATGTGGGTATGTTTACTTTGACTCCCAAGTGTCTAGCATGCAAGCTAGAGAATAAAAGATGCTCAGTATATATTTATACAACAAACAGTAGAAAAAGTGAGAGATATTGCTATGTAAAGCCCACTTAATGATATATTCAGGAGTGTAAGTAGATAGATTAATTGAAAATATCTGTTAATCAGTATGCATAAAAAAGGATACATTTGTAACATGAGTATTTCAATTTTACCTAGAATTAATTCACTACAATAGAACTAGGCTGTAGAACAATCCTTTGTGTAGGGTTCGGCATATAGAATTCTACTCTGTCTGAAAGCATATCTATCAATCATTGTCTATAATTTGCAGTGTGGATTAGTTTAAGTGTAGATCTTAGCATCAGATGCATAGCATTCTGTCTGAGGATATTGTTCAATATTGTTCATTTTTGTTTAATCTTGTAGAGTTGGCAGACTCACACCTAGTAAACTAACAATAATTTTGGAACCTGCTTTTATTGTCCATTTACACATTCACATTAGTTTTTATGGAAACCACAATTCTTTCATATTCGTATTTCATTGACTTGTGCTGTATTTTGAAAAATTAGGTAATTATATTGACAAGCCTAATTGGCAAAAGCAGGACAAGAAACAGATCCAGTTGGTTCTTGTGAGTGTGATGGCCCAGTGCCCTTGAGCCCAGGTGTACTAGAGCATCAGTGAATGGCCACGAAGGCTCAGCATTTGCTCCGCATCCATCAGTATATTTTCTTCATGAAGTGGAAAGGATTGGTTATAGATACAGAATGTATTAGTGAGAGACTTATTTGAAAGGTGTTTGCTTTTATGTAGAATTAGCACAGTGCTTAGTGAATTATGTTTGAATGTTAGTTGAATTCATGCCTAAAATATAGTCATGAATGGCAGCTCCCAAAAAGTGCCATGAGAGATTTTCTTATCATTTCTCATTTTCTGGAGAACACTCCTGGATGTACTGCATGCTCTTCCTTGACATAGAACTGAGAGGAAATGATATCATTGACCTTGGAAAGAAGGCAGCTCATGAGCAGACTCCTGCATCCCCTCTATTCTTCTTCCCAGAGGCAGTGAGCAGACCTGCAATAAAAGGGAACAGCTGTTCTCAGAAAGACCAACTGCAGAGGACACTCTGTTAAGTGGAAAGTGCCTATAGGAGATCCAGTGAGACCTGGTGACTGAGCCAGCCTTTGCAAGATGCTGGACAACCCTGTGATTTTCAGGTGGGAGCTACTTGAGAAAAATATTTACCAAGCATCTTCTAAATTCCACACCTAGTCTGTTGCACTAGAAATTCAAGGACATGTTCTTTGCGTCTTAAAGACTTCAGAATGCAGTTGAAGAGAAAGATGTGAGGAAAAGTATTTCAACTATGCTGTTATAAGTTTTATCGTAGAGCAATCTGTGAGGCCAAGTAAGTTCAGAATGGGCTTCATGGACTGAATCTAAGCTTCATGAAGTTGAAGTTTTCTTCTGCCAAAAGAAAAAGAATGTTTCTAACATCAAACCAAGCAATTCCCAGGTGAGGACCAACATTATTTGTTTCAATTGTCAGGTGAATATTCTCTACAAAATTCCTCATGTAGACAACATCTTAGGCCAAAACTGTACAGTTGATATCAGAGACTTCCAGAGTGGACTCTCCCAATAACCCTCAGTCTGAACTGACGACATGACATCAAAGCTCCTTGCCGGGAGCATTGGCTGCAAGCACTGGCTTCCTGTTTTCTCCGACCTGTAGGAAACCCTCACTAACAGCCATGTCCTACTACAGCATTTGGAAATTGAGGGTGGACAGATAGGATTCAGCATCAATGGAGTCTGGGCCTGGAAAAGCAATGGATCTGGACTGAGGGGACCTGAGTTCAACATTGTTAACAGTGTGATAAGAGCCGCTAATAAATTTGGTTGGACAAATTGAAAACTATATACCTCTTTATTGTTTTCATAGCTACTTTACACTGTCTCCTGCATACTCAAATTGCATGTGTCAGCTCCCCTTAGTGAGGGTCAATCTGAGGGGCAGCCTCACTGTCTAAGAGCAGCACAGAGCCTACTGTGATGTCACATCTCTTGGTGGTCTCTTCTGTCTGCTTGAGTTATCTGTGGAAGGGATAATCACTGGTGGAGAATAGTTCTGAATTTTGTACTGATCCTGTGTTTATAATTAAATGTTTTTAATTGTAAAATTTACATAACATACATTTTACAACTTCAACTATTTTAGTTGTAAAATTCTGTTTCATTAAGTATATTCCAATAAGTTGTAACCATTACCACTGTCCCCTTTAAGAACTTTGCATTATTCCACACAGAAAGTCTTTGCTCATTAACTAATGGCTACACATTCCCTCCATCATCCAGCACCAGGCTCCTCCTAACTTATTTTCTGTGTTCACAAATTTCCTAGTTTCAATATCTCATAAAATTTGAACTTACAATATTGTTCTTTGGTTTGGCTTATTTTCCTTAGCACAATGTTTTCAGGTTCATCTATGTCACAGCATGTATTAGAATTCTATACCAACTGTAAGTTATTATCCAGATACTATAATTGACATTAGCATGGAAAGGTCAGATATTTTCAGTTTTGCTTCTCACGTGAACGACCATAAAACTAACTGAAAGTTACAGCCAGAAAAATTTGTGCAAAACCTGGAAGTAAGAAGAATTCTCCTACAACTGAAAGAATCTGTAAGTGAATAATGATTTTTCAAGATAGTTTCCACTTTATAATCAATACTGCCATTTCCAATGGGCAAAATGGAACTGGTGGGGCATATTTACAGGCTCCTCACTGGTCTATTAGTCCAGGAAGAGCTAAATAAGAACTTACCAGTTCTCAAGGGGAAGCGGCCATGGTTGTCTTTACTAGAAATCAAGGCCAGTGTGTCACCATGCTGTGGACAAATGACAGGAGAGGACTTTTCATAAAACCAATTTGTGAGAGTGTTTTTATGAAGAAAGAGTCTGTCTCTAAGGACATTATTTTGCTTTATATCTGAGAATTCAGTGGAATGTAGAGATAACAGAACTCACTTATTCAGAATCGAGCTCCCAACTTCAGTAATGCTTCCAGTCATAGAAGGGAATATGGTTTCAGGGGAACATAGTCTGAGAGATCAATAAGGAAACTTCCTTTTTGATACAATCAGGTAGGAAACGTATAAAGATGAGTTTAGGGTTGTGGAGAGGAACTCCTTTTATTACAATGAAAATTGCAGAAAAAGTTTTCAGTGTAAGATAACAGGAAAAATGTGTTGGTAATATCAAGGAGAATCTAAACATTGTACTGTCAGACTAATGCTTTCTGTGGATGAAAACTGGAACTGTCAGTATAGATAAACATCTATTCGACGACCTTGAGTTACCGCTGAGACATTTCTGAGGCACAACACTAAGAAAACGCATGTAATTGTCAAGCGTGGCAGGGCAGTATTGCTCTCAAAGTCCCGTCTGACTGACAGGGCAGAGGTTCTTCCTCACTGCCCGAATCTGCTTCCCGACAGCTCCAGGGTTCCCTCAGGAAGCCGCCCTCCACCTTCACCTCAGGCATGTCCTGCAGAGCCCTCTGGAGAACCAGCTTCAGGTTCTGCCTATTTTGACGCTGCCTAAAGGAGCCCACGAAGAAGTAAATGACGGGGTTGGCACTACCGTTTAGAGGGGACAGGAAAATGGAAACTAGATGGACATGACAGAAAATGACTTCCAAATCCAGGTGGATCCCAGTAGACAGAGCCCACCGAATGCCGAAGGGCAGGCTGCGGAGTAGGAAGACTAGCACTGTGAGCAGGATCGTCACGTACAGCCCGGTCAGAGGCATCTTCCAGGATCCACAGAGAATCCTAATCAGCAGGACCAGGCTGGACCCACAGAGAACCACACATAAAAAAATCAGCCACACGACTGTGATGAAATCTGATGGTTGACACCAAATAGAATCAGCATCACTAAACAGGAAGTCACAGAACATTCACTCCAGGATGCTCCGCAGTAGGGACAGGGCCCAAAGCAAGACACACACGACCGCTGACAGGTGTGTGGGGGGAGGAGGCAGCGGTACCAGATGGGCCACAGGACGCACAGGCAGCGCTCGGTGCTCATGGCACTCAGAAAGCTCAGGCCTGTAAAGTATAGAAAGGTCATCACAGGAATGAGGATTTTGGAGATGGGATGACAGATATTGATGAGGAGTGAGGCGGAATGTATAACGTGGCCGCTGAGGAAGAGGAAGTCTGCCGCAGCCAGGTTGAGGATGTAGATGGAGACGGCGTTCCTGCGCATGCGGAAGCCCAGGAGCCAGAGCACAACCGCGTTTCCTGTCAGCGTGACAAGGGAAATGATGCACGTCAGCCCCATGAGGCTCAGGGTCTGCTTGTAGCAAGGAGTCTCCTCAGTTCTGTTAATTGGTGTCAGTTCTGCATCCAAGGCTGGGTTGCTTGGATCCACGCTCAGAAACGGTAGTCTGGTGTCCCTGGGAACACAAACCAGATGTGATCACCAGCTGTTTGATCTCTGATTCTCCCCACTACCCTGCCATGTGGGATTTACTGTTCTCATTTTAAAGAGGAGAGAAACAGAGGCTCACAGAGAATAAGTCACCTATCAAAAGGTGGGGGTCCTCAAATCCATTTGAAATCCAGTTCCTGCTGACTCTGAAGCCTGACCTCTCTTTATTGCCACACAAGTTCTGTACTGACATGGGGATAACATTAGGATCAAAACACCCCCATTCAAGTGGCCAGGGCTGTGGACCCGATGATTACTCTATCCTGGGCCTGAAATTTCTCTCAGGTGGAGGAATTCAGATACACAAAGAGGTGGTTGTGACACCCTCATGACTAGGACTGGTCATCCATGGATAGGAAAGAAGACCATGCATTATGAAGCAGAGGAAAATGAGACCTTTGCTAGGATAAGTGTGGAAATGGCTGGGCCTGGTGGGTGAGAAATAACTCAGTGTGTCAGTTATTGCAGACAGGACTGCATTTTACATTTTATACTCCCAGTGCCTATTTCCATGAGCAGCACACTGTGCTCTTCATAAATATTCATTCAATGAATGAATGCATGCATGAGGAGCCTAATGGTACTGGTAGATTTTGGTGAAATGGAAAATAAAGATGAAAGCACAATGTAAGGCATTAGAACACACATTTGTAATTATATGAAGAGAATTTCAACAATCAGAAATCTATTTGTGGACAGCTCTATCTGTGTTGAAAAGAATGATTGATGTGTGCCCAACACCAGAAAATGACCACTGATGAGCCTTTGACATGAGGTCTCAGTGTAGCTTTGCTGAACACCTAGAAGCATTTTTGTACACAGCGTTTGTGTAGGGTGTGGGTCTGAGCTGAACTGTTAAGCAGTAGAGCAGAGGAAAGAGTAAGTGTGGGTGAGCCTGAGTGCAACTGAAGGAAGTAACTGAAGTGTTGGAATATCTATGGGGGACTAATAAGTGTTCTGCTCCGTATACAAAATGTAACCCAATTTCTGTCTCTCTTTCAGTAGATCTGTGGTTTATTTCTCTGTTGATGAAAATATTTGTATTAGCAGAGTCAATGAGGGAAATAGGGCTAGTATAGGGCTTGGAGTATAAAGAGAGAGATTCATGCAGATTTCAGCTGGAGAATGAGGACTGGGTCTAATCTGGGAGAATAACAGCAGCTGATTGAGAGTTTATTAGGTATTGTCTCTTTTAATTATCTGAAGAGCCTAGGAGGTAAGAATGAGTATTATTCCCATATGGCCAATAATGCACTGGAGCACAAAAAGAATGAATTATTTGTCCTGGGACTTATATAGTATGAAGTTGAGCCCAGCAGGGCTGACTCATGATCCAGTCTTTGACTAGCCCTTTCGAACCAGCACGACTCTGTGTCGATTATACATGTTAGAGGGAGTAAAGCAACAGAGTGATTCTCAAGTGAAATCCAAGTTGGCAGTCAAAATTGTGGGCTGAAAGAAAAAACTAACCTAAACAAACTCCAGATAGAGAATGAGAAGCTAATCAAATAGGGAACAATATAGAGGAGAGTGAAAACCATTTAGGAACAAATTCAGGAGTTCCTTTTTGCCTACCTGAGGCCACCTTTGCTCTGGAATCCCAAGAATGCACATGGGCAGGAGGCTTCCATGTGGAAAGAAGATTCACCCTCTGGTGGGAGTACAGAGAAACATCAAGAATTAATGTATCCATCCTGACCTTTAGTAGAAAGACAAGCTGCCATATCCATGATTGGCCCGAAAAGGCAATGGGAGGAAAAGGAGAACATCTGTTATCCACATTCAGGGCACTAAACACTTTGTCCATCTATATTTAGGGTATGATATATTTATCTTCCTCATGAAACCTGAAGCTCCATAAGCTGTCTTTTTCACTGTAGTATCATCAACATTTAGCATGTCTTTCTTAAAGACCATCTATGGTATTATCCTCATATGACATAAGATGAAGCCGAGGCCTATAGAATTAAAGGGTTTTCCTGAGATCATAACATGGAAAGCAGGTCCAATACCAGTCCCTGGTCCCTGGAGCCCTGTTTGAGACTTCTGAACTGTTCTCTGTCCCATCATTTATTATTTCTGAGGAGTTCTTGAAAAATCTTGATGTGAGCACAGAATCAGAGACAGTGCGGGGCTGAAGAGACTGCTAGGTTGCCCCAATAATCATTTTCCTCTTTGGTCACATAACAGTTCTGAGAGTGTAAAAGCAGCACAAGGACCCACATCCCAGTGTTCCTTGATGATGGTGCCATCATATGAGCAGGAGCTCTTCAATGTAAGATGCACAAAAGTGATCCCTGGCTCATGGGATCAATAGAACAAGCAAGGCCTCTCCTTCCTTTCATCCTTTTCCATGATGCTGGAATGCCGATGTGGCTGGGAATCATGCAGGATCACAAAAATGAGGGCAACTCTCTAGGCACTGGGGAGTTTCAATTTTGGAATTCTGATTTATGATGCCTTGGAGCTTCCAGCTGGGATCTAGAAGATGGTCATCTCTGGGTATTCATTGGGGCTTGCTTCCGCAACCTCAGCACACACCAAAATATGCAGATGCTCATTTCTTTATACAAAACGATGTGATATTTGTATACAACCTATGCACTTTCTCCTAGATACATTAAATAATTTCTAAGTTACTTAGAATAACTGACAAAATGTAATTGCTATGTAAATTCTTTTTTTTACTCTATCAATTCAGAAGTAATGACAAGAAAAAACAAGTTTATACCTGCTCAGTATATACACAACTCCGCCATACTCTTATTTTTAAAATAGTTTCCACCTGTGGTTTGTTGAATCTGCAGATTCAGAATGTAGTGACCCAGAGGCACAACTGTACTTTCTTGTTAAGATATTTCTACTTCGTGTCTTTATGAGAGCAACCAAACTTATATTCTAAACAAAAGAAATATGTCCTCTCTTTAAAAAATTACATTTAATTTTCTACGCATTTTTGATGAACGCAAACATGTCTGCATAGAAGTGACAGTAGAGAAGGACATGCCAAACATTAGTCTGATAGAGTTGAAATGAGACCAGAATCAATCACCTTTAGACAGAAAAAACCACAGGAAGTAGGAGGATATAAGAAGGTGTGAGGGATAGTCTTAGTTGCCAGGAGGATTTGCTTTCCATTCTTCTCTATCCTGTTGACATCCCAAGAGAGTGGCTTCTATGTACCACATCAGTGGGATTCTTTTAAATTCTTGTTTCTGGTGGAATTGAGATACTGGGAGACACCAGGGGGAGACTGGAAGACAGCAGGAGAGCCACTTGGGATTTCCACCTCCTGGCTCTCTGCCAGTGTATTAGTTCATTCTTGAATTGCTACAAAGAAATACCTGAGACTGGGAAATTTATGAAGAAAACAGGTTTAATTGGTTCATGGCTCTGCAGGCTATACAGGAAGCATAGCAGCTTCTGCTTCTAAGGAGGCCTCAGGAGGCTTCCATTCATGGTGAAAGGCCAAGGGGGAGAGAGGCATCTCACATGGTGAAAGCAGGAGCAAGAGAGAGAGGGAGGAGGTGCTACACACTTTTAAACAACTAGATATCATGAGAACTCATCAGTGTCACAACAACAATACCAAAGGGGGATGGTGTTAAAACATTCATATGAAAACATCCCCGTGATCTAACAATCATCTCCCACCAGGCCCTCCTTCCAACATCGGGAATTACAATCAACATGAGATTTGGGTGGAGACACAGATCCAAAGCATATCAGCCTGTGTGGCTGTGTGTTGGCCATACAGGGCTTCTCCACCTGCCCGCTCTTGTTCTCCCACCCCTATGGATACAGCTATGGCTATGGCTATGGTGACAATAATAACTGCTCCTTCCCTGTCCCTTTCAGTCTAGGGGAGGACTTAGTGCTCCCCTAGGTATTGCTGCTTAGGGTGCTGACCCATGCATTTTCTCTTTCCTTAACCCTGCATGTCTTTGTAAATACTTCCCTCATGAAACACTCCTCAATCATTTCAGTTTGGACCATCCATGTCTTCCTTGAAACTTTCCAGATAGGCAAGGAAGAAAAATTTTGAAAAGTAAGTAAAACAGCAAAACTGGCTTCTACAGCAGTTCAGCTCTAGGAAGCAAGGCCTGCATGTCCCCTTGCTCATTAAATGAATGTTAGAGGTAGCATTCTCTCCATGAGGGCAGATTGAATGATTGGAATAAAGGAAGTGATATGGGGAGATAAATCAGAAGCGGGGACCCTATTTGGAACTCACACAGACTGGGCTGGTAGCAATCGGTTTCCAGAAGGAAGCTCCATGTCTCCTGTCTTTTCATGAAACAAGATCATGATCCCCTGCATGTAGCACGGAGGTGGAAACACAGGAAAGTGATCTTGTAGCTAAAACCATAACTGACTATAAAAGAAGACAGTTCTTGGTACTTACCCTTGTCTTTCCTTTTTCTTTTGTCCAGAGGTGAAGATCTCCCTTGTGGTAAAGGTGGAGGGCCTTTCTGGGATTCAGTAACTTCAGAGGACCCTTTTGTGTTTCTTAATTCAGGGGATGCCTACGGGAGCTAGAGTGAACACTGGTTAGCAACTCAGGCTTATGAAGATGCTGGACAGACTTGTTATTTCCTGCATGAGGACTGTGGACAAATCAGAGGCCAGAGAAGTTCGAGACACAAATCCCAACTGAGATGATTCTTGGCCTCTGTCCCATATCCAGTACATATAAGCCTCTCTCATCACGTCCCATGTTGTTCACCTTCCTGTAAGTAATTGCTGTCCTGATTTTAAAAATCAATTATGGGCCTAGGTATCACATCAAGTAATGTGAACTATCATTATGAGGCTTTATAAATAATGAAAAAAGTGGATCATAGGATCATTCAAGGCTGACAATGTCCTGACACCATTTTTTTTGGTGTTTTCTTTATTATAGTGGTAATATATTCATGTGTATACTTTCTTTCCAAATGCTAGAGAAGTGTATGCAAAGTGAAAGTCTAGAATCCCATTGTCTAGAGGCTACCACTTGCTACACTGTTCATTTTTACTTCTTTTATCAACTCTGAACAGCTAACTTTTTTTAAGTTCTGTGAAATCAAATCATTTATTATTATTTGTATTTCAATGGGTTTTTGGGGAACAGGTGGTGTTTGGTTACATGTATAAGTTCTTTAGTGGTGATTTCTGAGATTTTGGTGCACCCATCACCCAAGCAGTGTATACTGTACCCAATGTGTAGTCTTTTATCTCTCATCTCTCTTTCATTCATCCCCCCAAGTCCTCAAAGTTCATTGTATTATTCTATGCCTTTGTGTCCTCACAGCTTAGCTCCCACTTATAAGTGAGAACATATGATGTTTGGTTTTCCATTCCTGAGTTACTTCACTTAGAATAATGGTCTCCAATTCCATCTAGGTTGCTGAGAATGCTATTATTTCATTCCTTTTTATTACTGAGTAGTATTCCATGGTATATGTGTGTGTGTGTGTGTATATATATATATATATAAATATATACAGACACATATACATATATATACATACACATATACATACACACACTATATATATATAATTTTCTTTATCCACTTGGTGATTGATGGGCATTTGAGCTGGTTCCATATTTTTGTAATTGCAATTGTGCTGCTATAAACATGCAAGTGCAAGTGTCTTTTTCGTAAAATGACTTCTTTTCCTCTGGGTAGATACCCAGGAGTGGGATTACTGGATCAAATTGTAGATCTACTTCTAGTTCTTTAAGGAATTTCCACACTGTTTTCCATAGTGGTTGTGCTAGTTTACATTCCCACCAGCAGTGTAAAAGTGTATCTTTTTCACCACATCCCTGCCGACATCTATTATTTTTAGATTTTTAAATTATGGCCATTCTCGCAGGTGTAAGGTGGCATTGCATTATGGTTTTGATTTGTGTTTCCCTGATGATTACTGGTGTTAAGCATTTTTTCTTATGTTTGTTGGCCATTTGTATATCTTCTTTTGAGAATTGTCTATTCATGCCCTTAGCCCACTTTTTGATGTGACTGTTTTCTTCTTGCTAATTTGTTTGAGTTCCTTGTAGATTCTGGATATTTGTCCTTTGTCAGATGCATAGTTTGTGAAGATTATCTCCCACTCAGTGGGTTATCTCTTTGTTCTGCTGATGATTTCCTTTGCTGTGCAAAAGCTTTTTAGTTTAATTAAGTCCCATCTATTTATTTTTGTTTTTGTTGCATTTATCTTTGGGTTCTTGGTCGTGAAGTCTTTGCCTAAGCGGATGTCTAGAAGGGTTTTTCTGGTGTTATCTTCTAGAATTTTTATGCTTTTAGGTCTTATATTTAAGTCTTTGATCCATCTTGAGTTGATTTTTGTATGAGGTGAGAGATGAGGATCCAGTTTCATTCTTCTACATGTGGCTTGCCAATGATCTCGGCACTATTTGTTAAATAGGGTGTCCTTTCCCCACTTTATGTTTTTGTTTGCTTTGTCAAAAATCAGTCAGCTGTAAGTATTTGGCTTCATTTCTGGATTCTCTATTCTTTTCCATTGGTCTATGTGCCTAATTTTATGTCTCTGCCATGCTGTTTTGGTGACTTTAGCTTTGTGGTATAGTTTGAAGACAGGTAATGTGGTGCCTCCAGATTTGTTCTTTTTGCTTAGTGTTGCTTTGGCTATGCAGGTTTTTTTTTTTTTTGTATTAATTTTAGAATTGTTTTTTCTAGTTTTGTGAAGAATGATGATGATATTTTTGTGGGAATTGCATTGAATTTGTAGATTGTTTTTGGCAGTATGGTCATTTTCACAATATTGATTTTACCCATCCATGAGCATGGGGTGGATTTCCATTTGTTTGTGTCATCTATGATTTCAGCAGTTTCATAGTTTTCTTGTAGAGGTCTTTCACCTCCCTGGGTAGGTATATTCCTAAGTTGTTTTTTTTTTTTTTTTTTTTTTGCAACTATTGTAAAAGGGTTTGAGTTCTTGATTTGATTCTCAGCTTGATCACTATTGGTGTATAGCAGTGCTACTGATTTGTGCACTTAATTTGTACCCTGAAACTTTACTGAATTTATGTATCAATTCTAGGAGCTTTCTGGATGAGTCTTTAGGGTTTTCTAGGTATACATTCATATCATTGGTGAACAGGGACAGTTTGACTTCCTCTTTACTGATTTGGATGCCCTTGATTTCTTTCTCTTGTCTGATTGCTCTGGATAAAACTTCCACTACTATGTTGAACAGAAATGGTGAAAGTGGGCATCTTTGTCTTGGGAGAATGTTTTCAACTCTGGGAGAATGTTTTCAACTTTTCCCCATTTAGTATAATGTTGGCTATAGGTTTGTCATCGGTGGCTTTTACTATGTTAAGATATGTCCCTTCTATGCCGATTTTGCTGAAGGTTTTAATCATACACGGATGCTAGATTTTGTCAAATGCTTTTTCAGTGTCTATTGAGATGATCATGAAATTTTTGTTTTTAATTCTGTTTATCCAATGTGTCACATTTATTGACTTGTGTATGTTAACCCATCCCTGCATCCCTGGTATGAAACCCACTTGATAATGGTGGATTATCTTTTTGATATGCTGTTGGATTGGGTTAGCTAGTATTTTGTTGGGGATTTTTGCATCCACATTCATCAGGGGTACTGGTCTGTAGTTTTCTTTATTTGTTACATCCTTTCCTGTTTTTTGTATTAGGTTGACACTGGCTTCATAGAATGCTTTTGGCAGAATTCTCTGTTTCTCTATATTTTGGAATAGTTTCAGTAACATTGGTACCAATTCTTCTTTGAATGTCTGATAGAATTCAGCTGTGGATCCATCTGGTCCTGTACTTTTTTGGTTGGCAATTTTTTAAATTTTTATTTCAATCTCACTGCTTTTTTATTGGTCTGTTCAGAGTTTCTATTTCTTCTTGGATTAATCTAGGAGGTTTGTATATTTCCAGGAATTTATGAATATCCTCTAGGTTTTCCGGTTTGTGTATGTAAAGGTGTTCACAATAGCCTTGAATGATCTTTTGTATTTCTGTGGTATTGGTTGTAATATCTCCTGTTTCATTTCTAATTGAGCTTAGTTGGACCCTCTCTGTTCTTTTATTGGCTACACTCATCAATGGTCTGTCAATTTTGTTTATGTTTTCAAAGAACCAGCTTTCTGTTTCACTTATCTTTTGTTTGTTTGTTTGTTTCAGTATCATTTAATTCTGCTCTGATCTTTGTTATTTCTTTTCTTCTGCTGGGTTTGGGTTTAGTTTGGTCTTGCTTCTCTGGCTCCTTGAGGTGTGACCTTAGATTGTCTATTTGTGCTTTTTCAGACATTTTGATATGTGCATTTAATGCTATAAACTTTCCCTTTAGCATCTCTTTTGCTGTATCCCAGAGGTTTTAATAGATTTTGTCACTATTATGGTTCAGTTCATAGAATTTCTTAATTTCCATCTTGATTTAATTATTGATCCAGTGATCGTTCAGGAGCAGTTTATTTAATTTCCATGTATTTGCATGGTTTTGAATGTTCCTTTTGGAGTTGATTTCCAATTTTATTCCACTGCAGTCTGAGAGAGTACTTGCTATAATTCTGATTTTCTTAAATTTGAGAATTGTTTTGCGGCCTATCATACGGTCTGTCTTGGAGAATATTCCATGTGCTGATGAATAGAATGTACATTCTGCAGTCGTTGGGTAGAATGTTCTGTAAATATCTGTTAATTTGTCCTAGGGTATAGTTTAAATCCATTGTTTCTTTTCTGGCTTTTTGTCTTGATGACCTGTCTAGTGCTGTCAGTGGAGTATTGAGGTCCCACACTATTATTGTGTTACCATCTATCTCATTTCTTAAGTCTAGTGGCAACTATTTTTGTAAACTTGGGAGCTCCAGTGTTAGGTGCATATATATTTAGGATTCTAATATTTTCCTGTTGGACTAGACCTTTTATCATTATGTAATGTTGGAGGCTGCATAAATGTTTCTTATGATTAGGCAAAATTGAAGCCTGTCTGTAACAATATGAACCTGTGATCAATTAAGCAGCTGACCAATTGTTACCTCCTCCTCCTTGCTCTTGTTACCCAATAAATATGAAGGGCTGAGAAGCTCGGGCAGTGGCCTTTGCTCACTAGAAGCAGGGAGCTCTTTTCTTTTTCTCTCCTCTCTTCTCCTCATGTTGCCTTTCCTTAAAACAGTTTCTTTTTTTTTTTTTGGTTATCATTTCTGCATTTGTCCCTTCGTTCAGTCATAATGACGGTCTCAAGCAGTAAGAGTAATTGCTGAATGATGGTCTCAAGCCATAACAGTAGTAACTGCTGTAGTGACCGTCTCAAGTAGTAGTTGTGGCAGTCAGCCACAAGTGGCACACTAACAAGGAATATCAGGGACAAAGAGACCTGAAGAGACCTGAAGGGATCTGAAGAGGCCTGCAGGGATAAATAGAGATAAACAGAAATAGAGATAAATAGAAACGAATAGAGATAAGTAAGTAGAGATAGGTAGGGAAAGACAGGGACTTGCAGGAACTTGCAGGAACTAACAGGTACCATAGGGACAGATAGGGATAGATAGACTAGCAAAGACTAGCAATATAAGGTCAATGCCCTAAAGAGGTACACAAGTAGAGACAAGCAAAGACTAGCAGAGATTTGCAGGGACAGACATGGACAGATAGGGATAGATAGGGTCCTATAGGGACTTGAATGAGGAAGGTCTGCTGGAACAGAAAAAACTAAAGCCCAGAAAAATCTAAAACCAAGTAGGCAAATGAGAAACCCCATCACAAGTCTGCCGGGAGCTGTGCTCTATAAAGGTACTGGTCAGTGCCCTAGAGGTACAAACAACGGGAAGTTTTTGAATCAGAGTAACATGAGGAAGAATTTGGTTGTTTCTGTTTATTTTCTTTTTTGTTTGGAGTTTGGTATGTACCACCTTTTTGTTATTTCAGGGTTTGAGAATTTTTTGCTACACCTACAGTACCTATCCAAAGTGCTGTAGGATGATCAGGAGAGGGAGGATGAAAATTGGGTTGTACCGTCTTCTTTTGTGGCTACTGAAAGGCTGACTTTAGCTTTCGCTTTCATGGATTGCAACATGCATTGGCACCTGTGAGATGTGCAGAGGACTTGGGAGGCTTTTTCGGAGCCTGTCAAGATGTGGGAATTGAGCTTCATTGCTCTGCAGTATTGACTCAGGCAATGGCTAATTTGGTAGCTGACAGATATAAAGGAAGCCAAGGGTCAAGCCCTCAAGTGGGAAAGTGTTATAAGTGTAGAAAAATTGAATGTTTCAAAAAAGAACACTACCAGACCACTGGGCAAAAGGGATCTTGTAACACAGTTCCCCTCTCAACAGAAAAAAATGCCAGGACTTTGCCCTCGTCGCAACAAAATAAATCATTGGGCTAATCAGTGTCACTCAAAATTTCATCAAAATGGCACCCCCCTGTTGGGAAGCGAGAAGGGGGCCTGGACCTGGGCACCTCAAACTATGAAGGCATTTCCCCATCCAGGCCCTAACTCTGTCTCAGGGATGGGTTTCTGGAGGCACACTGATTCCCTTTCCCCAGGAACATCTGGAAATGCAGGATTAGATCCCCTCCAGAACAAATTATATTAATTGATAGAACAAACTCAGTAAGATTCACATTGATATTTGGGGATCTTTGCCAACAAAATACTTGGGATTGATTTTGGTAAAAGTTGTCTTAACTTACAGGCCCAGGAGTTGTTGATTTTTATTGTGAAGGAGAAATTCAGGTAATGGTAATGTCACAAGATCTTTGGGTTTTTGAACCAGGAGAATATGTTGCTCAACTGTTGCTTGTTCCCTTTAAGTTGTACCCTTCTCTACATAAGAAGAAGCAAGGAGGTCAGGGATTTGGAAGTGCAACTAGGAGAGAGATTTACCTTACACAATCCATAGCTTCTCATAGACCCACTTGTGCAGTTAAGTTTTGTGGGCTTATGGATGTGGGAGGAAGAGACTGGTCTCTCATGGTAATAGATCTTGAGGATTGTTTACAAGAAGGATAAGCCTCAATTTGCTTTTTCTGTGTCTTCTTTAATCAGAAAGAGCCTGTCTCTCATTATGAAGGGAAAGTTTTACCCCACGGTAATTAACCAAAGAGGCAGAAGCTGAGTTACTGTCTGTAAAACAAATGCTTCAGCAACAGCATACCTCCTGGCTACAGCCACAAAACTTTTGCTTCTGTTTCAGTAGCTTTACTAGGGTGGGGATGAGGGTATGCTTGTGTTTTTGCAGGAGATGAACAAGCCATGCGGGTGCCCTCAAGATGTGTGTGACCACGGAATGGGAGACTGGAGGGACCCATGAATTCCAACTACAGGCCTGGTTCCCCCAGTACGAGCCATAAGCCAGTTGAATTCGGACGCGAAGACAGAAGGAGGACCGACCAGAGTCACGTTGACATCAACCACCATAATATGGGGACAGATCAAGAAAACCACACAGGAAGCTGAGAAACTGCTGGAGCACCAAGGTTTCACCTTTTGCTGGAACTCAGATGTACAATCAATGCTTAACGGACCAATGCTTTCTGACTGGGCTCCTCTCTACCCTGAATACAAGAGACCCTAAGAGTTAAGCAGGAATATCAGTCTCTATTCAGCAAGAAGAAGTTGCAGAAGATGGACCTTCATCCTTCTGCAACTCTTAGGATTAAGGGTCTTCTTGTGAAAGGGAAGGGGGAAATATGAAAGAAGCATTCAAACCAGAGTGACTCCATTTTGAATAAGGGCTAAGAAAAATTAAGCTGGATCACCAACTGGCAATTAAGGGCTGCACAGCCTGCAATTGCCTTGCTCAATTAATTTAAAAACAAAAAGGAGATGTTGGAGGCTGCACAAGTATTTCTTATGATTAGGCACAATTGAAGCCTATTAGTAGTAATATGAACCTGTGATCAATTAAGCAGCTGAACAATCGTTACCTCCTCCTTGCTCTTGTTACCCAATAAATATGAAGCTCTGAGAAGCTTGGGTGGTGGCCTTTGCTCACTAGGAGTAGGGAGATCTTCTCTTCTCTCCGTGTTGCCTTTCCCTAAAAGTTTTTTGTTGTTGTTGTTATCATTTCTACATTTGTCCCTTCGTTCAGTCATAAGGACGGTCTCAAGCAGTAACAGTAGTAACTGCTGTAATGATGATCTCAAGTAGTAATAGCAACTGCCGTAATGACGGTCTCAAGTAGTAACAGTAGTAACTGTCGTAGTGACCGTCTCAAGTAGTGGTTGTGGCAGTCAGCCACAACATAATATCTGTCTTTGTCTTTAACTGTTGTTGCTTTAAAGTCTGTTTTTTCTGATATAAGAATAAGAATATAAGATATAAGAATAGCTCCTCCTGCTCACGTTTAGTGTCCATTTGAGTGGACTTTTCCCACCCCTTTACAGTGTTAGCATTGAGATGTGAGGTGTTATTCTATTCATAATGCTAGTTGTCTGAATACCTTATTTTTTTCATCGTGTTGCTGTTTTATA
Source organism: Homo sapiens (assembly GCF_000001405.40). Taxonomy (NCBI): domain Eukaryota; kingdom Metazoa; phylum Chordata; class Mammalia; order Primates; family Hominidae; genus Homo; species Homo sapiens. The sequence continues at coordinate 18,985,220 of NC_000011.10, forward strand.
GGTCCTGTGAGATTTAATCTCTGACAAGGTTCTATTTTGGTGTATTTCAAGGTTTTATTTGAAGATTTAGAGCTCCTTTCAGTAGTTCGTGTAGTGCTGGTTTGGTAGTGGGGAAATCTCTCAGCATTTGTTTGTCTAAAAAAGACTGCATCTTTCCTTCATTTATGGAGCTTAGTTTCATTGGATACAATATTCTTGCCTGGTAATGGTTTTGTTTAAGGAGGCTAAAGATGGGGCCCCAATCCCTTCTAGCTTGTAGGGTTTCTGCTGAGAAATCTGCTGTTAATTTGATATGTTTTCCTTTATAGATTACCTTGTGCTTTTGCCTCACCACTCTTAAGGTTCTTTCCTTCATCTTGACTTTCTATAACGTGATGACTGTGTGCCTAGGTGGTGGTCTTTCTGTGATGAATTTTATGGGATGTTTTTTGAGCTTCTTGTATTTGGGTGTCCAGATCTCTAGCAAGGCCAGAGAAATTTTCCTTGATTATTCCCTCAAATATGTTTTCCCAACTTTTAGATTTTTCTTCTTCCTCAGGAACACCAATTAGTCTTACGTTTGGTCGTTTAACATATTGGGAACTCCAATTATTCTTAGATTTGGTCATTTAACATCCCAAATTTCTTGGAGGATTTGTTAATTTTTTTAAGTTATTTTTTATTTGCCTTTGTCATATTGGGTTAATTTGAAAGCCTTGTTTTCCAACTCTGAAGTTCTTTCTTCTGCTTGTTTGATTCTATTCAGATTTTCCAGTGTATTTTGCATTTCTCTATGTCCTTCATTTTCAGAAGCTGTAATTTTTTAAATTTATGCTGTCTATTTCTCTGGGGAATTTTTTCTGCCCATATCCTGTAACATTTAAAATATTTCTTTGAGTTGGTATTCACCTGTCTCTGGTGCCTCCTTGAGTAGCTTAATAATCGACCTTCTGAATTCTTTTTTTGTGGCAATTCAGAGATCTTTTCTTGGTTTGGATCCATTGCTGGTGAGCTAGTGTGATTTTTGGAGGGTGTGAAAGAACCTTGTTTTGTCATATCAGAATTGTTTTTCTGGTTCCTTCTCATTTGGGTAGACTATGTCAGAGGGAAGCTCTGGGGCTCAAGGGCTGCTGTTCAGATTCTTTTGTCCCATGGGGTGATCCCTTGAAGTGGCCCTCTCCCTTTTCTCCTAGGGATGGGACTTGCTGAGAGCCAGACTTCAGTGACTGTTATTTCTCTTTTGAGTCTAGCCACCTACGGGAGCTCTTAGGCTCTGGGCTGGTACTGGGGAGTGTCTGCAAAGGGTCCTGTGATGTGATCTGTGTTCAGGTCTGTCAGTCATGAATACCAGGACCTGCTCTGGTGGAGGTAGTAGGGGAATGAGGTGGACTCTATGTGGGACCTTGATTGTAGTTTTGTTTAGTGTATTGGTTTTTTAAAATGCTGGTTGTGCTGGCAGTAAAGTCACATGGACAGATTCAGGACCTCTGGTTAGCCAGAATGTTACAGGCTGTGCAGTTATCTGATATTTTCTCCTTTCTTCAGGCAGGGTTGTTTCGTGAGTTGCTGTAATGGTTGTGTGGTTGGCCTCCAGCCAGGACATGAGGCTTTCAACAGCATCAGCTGCAGTATTTTAGGGAGGATACAAGTTTTCCCTGAAGTCACCTGGTTAAGTATTCCGGTTTCTCAGGTGCTGGGTGGGGCTGTAGAGCTCCCAAGAGATTATGTCTTTTGTCTTTGGCTTCCAGGGCAGGCAGAGAAAGATCATCAGTTGGGGGTAGGGTTAGGTACGTCTGAGCTCAGACTATCCTTGGGTGCAGCTTGCAGTGGCTGCTGTGGGAGATAGGGGTGTGTTTCTCAGGCTGATGGAGTTACATTCCCAGGGCTATTAGGGCTGCTTCTGCTGCATCATACAGGACTTCAGGGAAGTGGGGGGAAAGCTGGCAGTGACAGGCCTCACCCAGCTCCCATGCAGCCAGAAATGCCAGTCTCACTCCTGCTGTGCTCCCCCAACAGCACCGACTTTATATCCAGGGGCTGAGAACTTGCCAGAGGAAAGCCCGCCTGCTGAGAAAGCAAGCAGGGCTTTCAGGCATTGCCCCCTTCCTGCCCCGGCTTCTGTGCTTTTATTGGCACTTTGTTTTTGCCTCCCACCCCCAAATTGTGTCCTGGAAAATTCACGCTTAGTTGATATTATCACAAAGTTCAGCTGGAAGTTTCCTTCTCCCTGTGGTCCTTCCCCAATTTTACTGGCATCCCTCTGTTATAAATAAAGTTTCAGTGCCACAAAAGAAATAGCACTCGAATATAAAATTTTCTTTTTAATTCTCAGCAAGGCAAGTCACTTCTATAGAAGGGTGCACCCTTACAGATGGAGCAATGGTGAGAGCACACTTGGACAAGGGAGGGAAACAGGTTCTTATCCCTGACTCATGTGGCCCCTGCTGCTGTGTTGTTCCCCTATTGGCTAGGGTTAGACCGCACAGGCTAAACTAATTCCGACTGGCTAATTTAAAGAGTGACAGGGTGAGTGGTTTGGTGGGAAAAATGGTTATGACAGAGCAGGTAATTGGAATGAGTCAGGGTAGAGCAGGTAATCAAAAAAGGTTGCTTTACAATAAAGTTAAGTTTAAAAATCAAAGGCAAAGAATTGAATATACTGACACTGATTCTTTGAAAAGAAATTTAGAACTGATATCTAACATTGGCAAAACATGAAAAGGAGAAACGGGGCGGGGGAAGAAGAAAATGAGGAGATTATGATATTCCAGAATTCCAAGCCATGGAGTCATTGATGAGTAAGTAGTGTCAGTAGCGGCTACATGGTTTCAAGATTAACCTTTGGCTGAGCAATGAGGAGTCATTGCCAATGTTGTCAAAGTGGTTGCAGAGAAAGAGTGGCCGGAAGACGAAGCAGAGCAGGTGTGCGAGAGAATGGCAAATGGTGTGATGGATTTCCTGGACACCCTGATGTGAACTGAAACACCACAGACAAGACAGTTCAGGTAGGTGGCTGCATGCCATGTTATTGTATAACAACCAATAGTGTTTCTATATACAAAATAAGCAGTAGGAAGAAATAAGAGAAAATGAACCCAACCACATCTTCTGAAAAAGAAGGGTAATGAGGATGGATGATTAAAACATAGTGTAAAGCCTGAATAAGCACAATATTGTAGTAGTCATTCATATATAGAAAAGCTAATCAATGGAAAAGTTGTAAAACTAACACAAATGCATATGGAAACATAGTACGGTCATATCTCTTATTTTTATAATTTTTTATTTTTGTAAATTTTTGTGGGCACATGGTAGATGTATATATTTATGGGGTACATGAGATGTTTTGATATAGGCATGCCATGTGAAATAAGCGTATCATGGAGAATGGTGTATCCATCCCTCAATAATTTATCCTTTGAGTTACAAACAATCCCATTATATTCTTGAAGTTACTTAAAAATATACAATTCAGTTATTATTGACTACAGTAGCACTATTGTGCTATCAATGGTAGGTCTTACTCATTTTTTCTTTTTTTAGTTTTTTTTTTTTAAGTTCTAGGATACGTGTGCACAACGTGAAGATTTGATAAATAGGTATACATATGCCATGTTGGTTTGTTTCACCCATCAACTCATCATTTACATTAGATATTTCTCCTAATGCTATCCCTCCCTCAGTGCCCCCACCCCCTACAGGCCCCTGTGTGTGATGTTCCCCGCCATGTGTCTAAGTGATCTCATTGTTCAATTCCCACCTATGAGTGAGAACATGCAGTGTTTTGTTTTCTGTCCTTGTGATAGTTTGCTGAGAATGATGGTTTCCAGCTTCATCCATGTCCCTGCAAAGGACATAAACTCATCCTTTTTTATGGCTGCATAGTATTCCATGGTATGTATGTGCCACATTTTCTTAATCCAGTCTAACATTGATGGACATTTGGGTTGGTTCCAAGTCTTTGCTATTGTGAATAATGCCACAAGAAACATACGTGTGCATGTGTCTTTATAGTAGCATGATTTATAATCCTTTGGGTATATACCCAGTAATGGGATGGCTGGGTCAAATGGTATTTCTAGTTCTAGATCCCTGAGGAATCGCCACACTGTCTTCCACAATGGTTGAACTAATTTGCACTCCCACCAACATTGTAAAAGTGTTCCTACTTCTCCACATCCTCTCCAGCACCTGTTATTTCCTGACTTTTTAATGATTGCCATTCTAACTGGTGTGAGATGGTATCTCATTGTGATTTTGATTTGCATTTATCTGATGACCAGTGATGATGAGCATTTTTTTCATGTGTCTGTTGGCTGCATAAATGTCTTCTTTTGAGAAGTGTCTGTTCATATCCTTTGTCCACTTTTTGATGGGGTTGTTTGATTTTTTCTTGTAAATTTGTAGTTCTTTGTAGATTCTGGATATTAGCCCTAGATTGCAAAAATTTTCTCCCATTCTGTAGGTTGCCTGTTCACTCTGAAGGTAGTCTCTTTTGTCATGCAGAAGCTCTTTAATTAGATCCCATTTGTCAGTTTTGGCTTTTTGTTGCCATTGCTTCTGGTGTTTTAGTCATGAAGTCTTTGCTCATGCCTATGTCCTGAATGATATTGCCTAGGTTTTCTTCTAGGGTTTTTAATGGTTTTAGGTCTAACATTTAAGCCTTTAATCCACCTTGAATTAATTTTTGTATATGGAATAAGGAAGGGATCCAGTTTCAGCTTTGTACATATGGCTAGCCAGTTTTCCCAGCACCATTTATTAGATAGGGAATTCTTTCCCCATTTCTTGTTTTTGTCAGGTTTGTCAAAGATCAGGTGGTTGTAGATGTGTGGTGTTATTTCTGAGGCCTCTGTTTTGTTCCATTGGTCTATATCTCTGTTTTGGTACCAGTACCATGCTATTTTGGTTACTGTAGCCTTGTAGTATAGTTTGAAGTCAGGTAGTGTGATGCCTCCAGCTTTGTTCTTTTTGCTTAGGATTGTCTTGGCAATCTGGGTTCTTTCTTGGTTCCATATGAACTTTAAAGTAGTTTTTTCCAATTCCGTGAAGAAAGTAATTGGTAGCTTGATGGGGATGGCATCGAATCTATAAATTACCTTGGGCAGTATTGTCATTTTCATGATATTGATTCTTCCTATCCATGAGCATGGAATGTTCTTCCATTTGTTTGTGTCCTCTTTTATTTCATTGAGCAGTGGTTTGTAGTTCTCCTTGAAGAGGTCCTTCACATCCCTTGTAAGTTGGGTTCCTAGATATTTTCTTCTCTTTGTAGCAAGTGTGAATGGGAGTTCACTCATGATTTGCCTCTCTGTTTGTCTGTTATTGGTGTATAGGAATGCTTGTGATTTTTGCACATTGATTTTGCACCCTGAGAATTTGCTGAAGTTGCTTATCAGCTTAAGGAGATTTGGGACTGAAACAATGGAGTTTTCTAAATATACAATCATGTCATCTGCAAACAGGGACAATTTGACTTCCTCTTTTCCTAATTGAATACCCTTTATTTCTTTCTCTTGCCTGATTGCCCTAACCAGAACTTCCAACACTATGTTGAATAGGAGTGGTGAGAGAGGGCATCCCTGTCTTGTGCCAGTTTTCAAAGGGAATGCTTCCAGTTTTTGCCCATTCAGTATGATATTGGCTGTGGGTTTGTCATAAATAGCTCTTATTATTTTGAGATATGTTCCATCAATGCCTAGTTTATTGAGAGTTTTTAGCATTAAGGGCTGTTGAATTTTGTCGAAGGCCTTTTCTGCATCTATTGATAATCATGTGGTTTTTGTGGTTGGTTCTGTTTACATGACGGATTATGTTTATTGATTTGCATATGTTGAACCAGCCTTGCATCCCAGGGATGAAGCCAACCTGATTGTGGTGGATAAGCTTTTTGATGTGCTGCTGGATTTGGTTTGCCAGTATTTTATTGAGGATTTTCACATTGATGTTTATCAAGGATATTGGTCTAAAATTCTTTTTTTTGTTGTGTCTCTGCCAGGCTTTTAGTATCAGGATGATGTTGGCCTCATAAAATGAGTTAGGGAGGATTCCCTCTTTTTCTATTGATTGGAATAGTTTCAAAAGGAATAGTACTAGCTCTTCTTTGTACCTCTGGTAGAATTCGGCTGTGAATCCATCTTGTCCTGGACTTTTTTTGGTTGGTAGGCTATTATTACCTCAATTTCAGAGCCTGTTATTGGTCTATTCAAAGATTCAACTTCTTTCCAGTTTAGTCTTGGGAGGGTGTATGTGTCCAGGAATTTATCCATTTCTTCTAGATTTTCTAGTTTATTTGTATAGAGGTGTTTATAGTATTCTCTGATGGTAGTTTGTATCTCTGTGGGATTGGTGGTGATATTCCCTTTATCATTTTTTATTGCATCTATTTGATTCTTCTCTCTTTTCTTTATTAGTCTTGCTAGCGGTCTATCAATTTTGTTGATCTTTTCAAAAAACCAGCTCCTGGATTCATTGATCTTTTGAAGAGTTTTTTGTGTCTCTCTGATCTTAGTTATTTCTTGCCTACTGCTAGCTTTTGAATGTGTTTGCTCTTGCTTCTCTAGTTCTTTTAATTGTAATGTTAGGGTGACAATTTTAGATCTTTCCTGCTTTCTCTTATGGGCATTTAGTGCTATAAATTTCCCTCTGCACACTGCTTTAAGTGTGTCTCAGAGATTCTGTGTTGTGTCTTTTTCTCATTGGTTTCAAGGAACATCTTTATTTCTGCCTTCATTTCTTTATTTACCCAGTAGTCATTCAGGAGCAGGTTGCTCAATTTCCATGTAGTTGTGCAGTTTTGAGTGAGTTTCTTAATCCTGAATTTCAATTTGTTTGCACTGTGGTCTGAGAGACAGTTTGTTTTGATTTCTGTTCTTTTACATTTGCTGAGGAGTGCTTTACTTTCAATTACATGGTCAATTTTAGAATAAATGTGATGTGGTGCTGAGAAGAATGTATATTCTGTTGATTTTGGGGTGGAGAGTTCTGTAGACGTCTATTAGGTCTGCTTGGTGCAGAGCTGAGTTCGAGTCTTGGATATCCTTGTTAACCTTCTGTCTCATTGATCTGTCTAATGTTGACAGTGGGGTGTTAAAGTCGCCCATTATTATTGTGTGGGATTCTAAGTCTCTTTGTAGGTCTGTAAGGATTTGCTTTATGAATCTGGGGGCTGCTGTATTGGGTGCATATGTATTTAGGGTAGTTAGTTCTTCTTGTTGAATTGATCCCTTTACCATTACGTAATGGCCTTCTTTGTCTCTTTTAATCTTGCTGGTTTAAAGTCTGTTTTATCAGAGACTAGGATTGCAACCCCTGCTTTTTTTTTTCCTCCCCCTTTTGCTTGGTAGATCTTCCTCCATCCCTTTATTTTGAGCCTATGTGTGTCTTTGCACATGAGATGGGTCTCCTGAATACAGCACACTGATGGGTCTTCACTCTTTGTCCAATTTGCCAGTCTGTGTCTTTTAATTGGGGCATTTAGCCCATTTACATTTAAGGTTAATATTGTTATGTGTGAATTTGATCCTGTCATTACAATCTTAGCTGGTTATTTTGCCCGTTAATTGATGCAGTTTCTTCATAGCATCAATGGCCTTTACAATTTGGCAAGTTTTTGCAGTGACTGGTACCGGTTGTTCCTTTCTGTGTTTAGTGCTCTTGTAAGGCAGGCCTGGTGGTGACAAAATCTCTCAGCATTTGCTTGTCTGTAAAGGATTTTATTTCTCCTTCACTTATGAAGCTTAGTTTGGCTGGATATGAAACTCTGGGTTGAAAATTCTTTTCTTTAAGAATGTTGAATATTGGCCCCCCCTCTCTTCTGGCTTGCAGGGTTTCCACCAAGAGATCAGCTGTTAGTCTGATGGGCTTCCCTTTGTGGGTAACTTGACCTTTCTCTCTGGCTGCCCTTAACATTTTTTCCTTCATTTCAACTTTGGTGAATCTGACAATTATGTGTCTTGGGGTTGCTCTTCTCGAGAAGTATCTTTGTGGCATTCTCTGTATTTCCTGAATTTGAATGTTGGCCTGCCTTGCTAGGTTGGGGAGGTTCTCCGGGATAATATCCTGCAGAGTGTTTTCCACCTTGGTTCCCTTCTCCCCATCACTTTCAGGTACACCAGTCAAATGTAGATTTGGTCTTTTCACATAGTCCCATATTTCTTGGAGGCTTTGTTCATTTCTTTTTACTCTATTTTCTCTAACCTTGTCTTCTCCCTTTATTTAATCAATTTGATCTTCAATCACTGATATCCTGTCTTCCACTTGATTTATTCGGCTATCGAAGCTTGTGCATGCATCACAAAGTTCTCGTGCCATGGTTTTCAGCTCCATCAGGTCATTTAAGGTCTTCTCTACACAGTTTATTCTAGTTAGCCATTCATCTAAACTTTTTTCAAGGTTTTTAGCTTCCTTGCAATGAGTTCAAACATGCTCCTTTAGCTCAGAGAAGTTTGTTATTACCGACCTTCTGAAGCCTACTTCTGTCAGCTCGTCAAAGTCACTCTCCGTCCACCTTTGTTCCATTGCTGATGAGGAGCTGCGATCCTTTGGAGGGAAGAGATTCTCTGAGTTTTAGAATTTTCAGCTTTTCTGCTCTGGTTTCTCCCCATCTTTGTGGTTTTATCTACCTTTGGTCTTTGATGTTAGTGACCTACAGATGGGGTTTTGGTGTAGATGTCCTTTTTGTTGATGTTGTTGCTATTCGTCTCTGTTTGTTAGTTTTCCTTCTAACAGTCAGGTCCCTCAGCTGCAGGTCTGTTGGAGTTTGCTGAAGGTCCACTCCAGACCCTGTTTGCCTGGTTATCACCAGTGGAGGCTCAGTTGGAAATGCAGAAATCACCCGTCTTCTGCATCAATCACGCTGGGAGCTACAGACCAGAGCTCTTCCTGTTCGTCCATCTTGGAACGGATCCCGGTCTTATTCATTTTTTCTAACCATTTTTTGTACCTATTAACCATCCCCACTTCCCCCCACACACACCCACATGACCCATCCCAGCCTCTGGTAACCATCCTTCTACTCTGAATGTCCATGAGTTCAATTGTTTTGATTTTTAGATCCCACAAACAAGTGAGAAAGTGTGATGTAAAGTTATTTCACTTAACATAATGATCTCGAGTTTTATCCATGCTGTTGCAAATGATTGGATCTCATTCTTCTTTATGGCTGAATAATACTCCATTGTGTACATGTACCACATTCTCTTTATCCATTCATCTGTTGATGGACACTTAGGTTGCTTTTAAATCTTGGCTATTGTAAAAAGTGTTGCAACAAACATAAGAGTGCAGATCATATCAATTTCCTTTCTTTTGTGTATACCCAGCAGTACGATTGCTGGATCATCTAGTAGCTCTATTTTTAGTGTTTTGAGGAACCTCCAAACTATTCTCCATAGTGGTCATACTAATTTATTAACATATTCTTACCAACAGTATACAAGGGTTCCCTTTTCTTCACATCTTCACCAGCATATGTTATTTCTTGTCTTTTGGATATAAGCTTTTAACTGGGATGTGATGACATCTCATTGTAGTTTTGATTTGTATTTCTATGATGATCAGTGAGGTTGAGCACCTTTTCATATACCTCTTTGCCATTTATATGTCTTCTTTTGAGAAATGTCCATTCAAATCTTTTGCCCATTTTTAATCGGATTATTGGATTTTTTTTTTCCTGTAGACTTGTTTTAGCTCCTTGTATATTCTGGTTATTAATCCCTTGTCAGATGGGTAGTTTGCAAATATATTCACCCATTCTGTGGGTTGTGTCTTCATTTTGTTGATTGCTTTCTTTGCTGTGCAGAAGCTTTTAAACTTGATGTAATCCCATTTGTTTGTTTTTGCTGTGGTTGACAGTGCTTGTGGAGTATTGCTCAAGAAATCCTCACCCAGACCAATGTCCTGGAAATTTTCACCAATGATATTGATTCTTCCAGTCCACAAACATGAAATGTCTTTACATTTTTTCTGTCCTCTTTAATTTCCTTTATCAGTGTTTTATAGTTTTCATTACAGATATCTTTCACTTCTTTGGTTCAGTTAATTTCTAGGTATTTAATTTTATGTGTGGCTATTGCAAATGGGATTACCTTTTTATTTCTTTTTCTGATTTTTAACTGTGGGCATATAAAAATCCTACTAATTTTTGTATGTTGATTTTTGTATCTTATAACTTCACTGAATTTGTCAGTTCTAATAGTTTCCTTGTGGAATCTTTAGGTTTTTCCAAATATAAGATTTTTATCAGCAAACAAGGATAATTTGACTTCATCCTTTCCAATTTGGATGCTCTTTATACCTTTCTGTTGTCTTCTTGCTGTAGCTAGGACTTCCAGTACTATGCTGAATAACAGTGGTGACAGTGGGCATCCTTGTTGTGTTCCAGTTCTTTGAGGGAAGACTTTGTTTTCTCCCACTTAGTATGATACTAATTGTGGGTCTGTCTTATATAACTTTTATGTTAAGGTATGTTTCCTCTATATCCAGTTTTTGGAGATTTTTTTTTTTTATCCTGAAGGGTTACTGAAATTTATCAAATTCTTTTTCAGCAACAGTTGAAATGGTCATTTTTTTTTGTCCTTCATTCTGTTGATATGATGTATCACATTGATTGATTTGCATATGTTGAACCATTCTTGCATCCCAGGGATAAATCCCACTTGGTCTTGATGAATGATCTTGCTAATGTATTGTTAAATTTGGTTTGCTGATATTTTGTTGAGGCTTTTTGCATCAATATTCATCAGAGATATTGGCCTGTAGTATTCTGTTTTTGATGTGTCTTTGCCTGGTTTTGGTATCAAGGTAATACTGACCTTGTAGAATGAATTTAGAAGTATTCCTTTCTCTTCTATTTTTCTGAATAATGTGAGTAGGATTAATTCTTTAAATGTTTGGTAGAATTCAGCAGTGAAGCCATAGAGTCCTGGGCTTTTTTTTTTTTTTTTTTTCTGGGAGACTTTTTGTTACATCTTAGATCTTGTTCCTTGATCTTTTCAGGTTTTGGATTTCTTCCTGGTTCAATCTTGGAAGGTTGTATGTATCTAGGACTTTTTCTATTGGGATATGGTTGTTCATAGTAGCCACTAGTGATCATTTGAATTTCTGCAGTGTCAGTTTAGTGTCTTTTTTCATGTCTGATCTTATTTATTGGGATCGTCTCACTTTTTTTCTTAGTCTGGCTAAAGTTTTTGGAATTTTGCTTAACTTTTCAAAAACCTTTCAGTTTTTATTGATATTTTTTATTCATTTTAATTTAGTTTATTTTTGCTTTGGTCTTTATGATTTCTTTTCTCCTACAAGTTTTGGGTTTGGTTTGCTCTTGCTTTTCTAGCTATTTACAACGCATTGCTAGATTATTTATGTAAAGCTTTTCTTTTTAACTCTAAGCACCTATAGCTCTAAATTTCCCTCTGGGTACTGCTTTTGCTGTATCTCATAGGTTTTGGCATGTTGTGATTCCATTATTATTTGCTTAGAGAGATTTTTAAATTTTCTTCTTAATTACTTCACTGACCTATGGGTCATTCAGAAGCATATTGTTTAATTACCATGTATTTGTATGGTTTCCAAAATTCCTCTTGTTATTAATTTCTAGTTTTATTTCATTGTGGTCTGGGAAGATGCTTGATATTATTTCAATTTTTTGAATATTTTAAGACTTGCTTTCTGATCTTACATGCAGTTTATCTTCGAGAGTAATCCATGTGCTGAGGAAAAGAATATTCTGCAGTTCTTGGATAAAATGTTCTGTGCGTATCTATTAGGTCCATTTTGTCTATAGTGCAGATAAATTGTGACATTTCTTTGCTGATTTTCTGTCTAGAAGATTTGTCTAATGCTGAAAGTCTCCAGCCATTATTGTACTGGGGCCTACCTCTCTATTTAGCTGTAATAATATTTGCTTATATATCTGGGTGCTCCAATGTTGGATGCATATATATTTAAAATTGTTATATCCTCTTGGTGAACTCATCCCTTTATCATTATATAGTGACCTTCTTTGTCTCTTCTTATAGTTTTTGTCTTGAAATCTATTTGGCTGATAAAAGTATAGCTACCCCTGCTTTTTTGGTTTCCATTGGCATGAAATATCTTTTTCCATCCTTTTATTTTCAGTCTATGTTTCTTTATAGGTGAAGTGTGTTTCTTGTAGGCAACAGATCAATGGGTCTTGTTTTTTCATCTACTTAACCAGTCTATGGCTTTTGATTGGAGAGTTTAGTCCATTCAATAACATTCAGTGTTATTATTGATAAATAAGGACTTACTCCTGCCATTTTGTTATTTGTTTTCTGGTGGTTTTGTAGTCGTCTCTTTCTTCTTTCTTTCATTCCTGTCTTCCTCTAGTGAAGATAATTTTTCTGATAATATCATTTGGCTTTTTACTTTTTATTTTTTGTGTATTCTATATTTTTTGATTTGAGGTTACCAAAAGGCTTGCAAATACTTTTATAACCCATTATTGTTACCTAATAACAACTTAACACTATTTACATGAACAAACAAGCAAAAAGAAAACTAATAAAAACTCTCTTTAACTTCATTCCCTGGCTTTCTGTTTTGTTGTTTCTATTTATATGTTAATATAGTGACCATGTCTTGAAAGGTTGTTGTCATTACTTTTGATTGGCTCATTGTTTATCTACTTAGGATAAAAGAACTTTACACACCCCACTTACAGTGTTATAATAATCTGTGTTTTTTTGTGTATTTATTATTACCAGTACATTTTGTACCTTCAGGAGATTATTTATTGCTCATTAATCCCATTTTCTTTCTGATTGAAATACTCCATTTAGCATGTCTTGTAGAATGGGTCTGGTATTGATAAAATCCATCAGCTTTTGTTTGTCTGGGAAAGTCTTTATTTCTTCATATTTAAAGAATATTTTTACCAGATATACTATTCTGGGGTAAAAGTTTTTTTTTCCTTCAGCACTTTAAATGCCAGTCTCTCCTGGCCTGTAAGGTTTCCTCTCAATAGTCTGCTGCTAGATGATTGAAACTCCAATGTATGTTATTTGTCCCTTTTCTCTTGCTATTTTTAGGATTCCTTCTTTATTCTTGATCTTCACGAGTTTAACTATTAAATGCCTTGAGAGGTAGTCTTATTTGGGTTAAATCTTCTTGGTGTTCTATAACCTTCTTGTACTTGGACATTAATATCTTTCTCTAGGTTTGGGAAGTTCTCTGTTATTAACCCTTTGAATAAACTCTTTACACCATCTCTTTCTCTGTCTCTTCTTTAAGGCCAATAATTCTTAGATTTGCTTTTTTGCAGCTATTTTCTAGATCCTGCAGCTGTGCTTCATTGTTTATTTTTGTCTTCTCTGTGTATTTTCAAATAGCCTTTCTTCAAGCTCACTAATGCTTTCCTCTGTTTGACCCATTTTGCTGTTAAATGACTGTCATGCATTCTTCAGTAAGCCAATTGCATTTTTCAGTTCCAGAATTTCTGCTTGAGTTTTTAAAATTATTTCAATCTCTTTGTTAAATTTATCTGATGAAACTCTGAATTCTTCCTCTGTGTTATCCTGAATATCTTTGAGTTTCCTCAACACAGCTATTTTGAATTCTCTGTAAGGTCACATATCCGTTTCTCCAGGATTTGTTCCTGGTGCCTTGTCTATTTCATTTGGTGAAGTCATGTTTTCTTTAAAGTTGTTCATGCTAGTAGATGTTCTTCAGTGTCTAAACATTGAAGGGTTAGGTATTTATTGCAGTCTTCACTGTCTGGACTTATTTGTACCCATACTTCTTGGGAAGGCTTTCAAAAGGACTTGGGTGTTGTTATCTAAGCTGTTTCTGCTTTAGGGGGCACCCCAGGCCATTTAATGCTGTGGTTCTTGCAGACTTGTAGACATACCACCTTGATGGTGTTGGACAAAATCTGGAAGAATTCTCTAGATTACCAGGCAGAGACTATTGTAGCCTTTCCTTACTTTTTCCCAAACATACAGAGTCTCTCTCTTGCTGTGTTCTGAGCCACCTAAACCTGGGGGTGGAGTGAAACAAGCACCCCTGTGGCCACCACTACTATGACTGTGCTGGGTCCCAGCACAATGCTGGGTCTCATCCAAAGGCCTGCTGTAGCCACTCCCTGGCTACTGTTTATGTTCCCTCAAGGTCCTAGGCCTCTATTATCAGTATGTGGCAAATTCACCCAGGTCTATGTCTTTCCCTTCAGGATGATGGGGCCCCCCAGGCCCTGGGTGGATCCAGAAGTACCATCTGGGAATCAGAGTCTAAAGTCAAAAACCTTAGGAGTCTACCTGGTATTCTATTGCATTGCAGTTAGGCTGACACTCAAACCACAAGACACAGTCCTTACCACTCTTCCCTCCCCCTCACAAAGGCAGAAGAGCCTCACTCTGTAGCCACCACCACGCCGGGTCACAAGAAGTCCTCTCAGACTACCACCAATATTCCCTTAAGGCCCAAGGTCTCTTAAGTCAGCTTGTGGTGAATGCTGCCTGGCCTGGGACTCACCCTTCAGAAAGGTAGACTTCCCTCTAGCCCAGAGCAGGTCCAGAAATGCTGTTCCAGAGTCAAGTCCTAGAAATGGGGATCCCAAAGAGCCTCCTTGGTGCTCTACCCCCATATGGCATTGTTGGTACCTGAAGCCAGCAAGTCTCAGCTTCACCAAGGCCCTTGATGTAGTACTGCTGCTAAACCTGGGTGTTGCTGCTGGTTATTTAGGGCCCAAGGGCTTTTAAGTTTGCAGGTTATGAGTGCTGGAAGGGCTGGGTTGTTTCCTTTAAGGAAGTGGGTTCTCTCTAGCCCAGGATATGTCTAGAAATGTTGTCTGGGAGCTAGGGCCTAGAATGGGGGACTCAGGACTGACCTGTGCTTTATCTTGCTGTGGCTGAGCTGGTATCCAAGATGCAAGACAAAGTTCTCCCCAGGCTTCCCTCTCCTCTCCTCTCCTCAAGCAGAAGAAAGGGAGCCATAAGCTGTGCAGCCTGGGTTAGGGGAGGGTTGTTGATTCCAGCACTACTTTAGCCACTCCAGCTAGTATGTCGGTGGGTGGTGTCTCCTGTTCCCCAGTTCACTGCCTCTGGGCCTAGTTGAGCCCTAGGACTGGCCTATGCATTACAGTTCTTATGGCCTAGACTGACTTTCAAGATGAGACACCCAGAACACTTTGGCCCTAGGTGGCAAGGTTTGCAGGCACTCAAGTTCAGACTGCTGGTATTGGAAATTCCCCTCTGGCTGGGGCTGCTTTAAATGCTCCCTCTGTGGGTGGGGGTCAGCAGAGTTCAATGCCTTACAATTGCTGTATCCTCCCTCCCCCAGCACCCAGAGATGCTGTCAGCACCACACTGCCTCTGCTAGGGGTCAGGGAGGGGTGGTGTCTGTGATTCAGGGCTGTTTCTTTTCTATCTCTTCAGTGCCTCTTTCAGGAATATGAAGTTTAAAGTAGGTATTATGAGTGCTTACCTGATTTTTGGTTCTTATGAAGGTATTTTTGTCCATGTAGATAGTTGTTAACTTTGTCTCCTTGCTTGGGGGACAACTGGGGAAGCTTTGTATCCCACCACCTTGCTCTGCCTCCCTCCTGCATATCATTTTATCTTGCTTCACTTTATTGGGCTTCACACATACTGCATTTACAGAAGTTTAAAGTTAGTGGCAACCCTGTCTGTCAGCAAAATTTTTCCAGCAACATATGCTCACTTCAGGTCTGTGTGTCACATTTTGGTAATTTTCACAATATTTCAAAATTTAAAATTATTGTTCTATCTGTTATAGTAACTTGTAATCAGTGACCTTAGATGTTACTTATTGTAACTGTCTTGGGACACCACAAACTATGCCCATAAAAGACCGTGAGCTTAGTTGATAAACATTGTGTGTGTTCTGACTGCTCCACTGACAGGGCATTCCCCCATCTCCCTTCTTGGGTGTCCCTATTCCTTGGGACACTAAAATATTGAAATTAAGTCAACTAACAATGCCACAATGGGGAATAAGTGTTCAAGGGAAAGGAAGAGTCCCATACCTCACACTTTAGATCAAAAGTTAGAAATGATTAAACTCAGTGGGGAATGCATGAAAGCTGAAAGCTAAAATAGGCAGAAAGTGAGGCTTCTTTTGCCAAATAGTTCACAAAGTTGTAAATGCAAAGGAAAAGTTCATGAAAGAAATGAAAGTGCTACTCCAGTGAACACATGAATTATGAGAAAGAGAAACATCCTTATTGATGATATGAAGAGAGTTTTAGTGGTCTGGCTCAATAAAACCAGCTGCAACATTCCCTCAAACCAAAGCCTCATCCAGAGCAAGGCCCTTCCTCTCTTCAAGTCTATGAAGGGTGAGAGAGGTGAGGAAGCTCCAGAAGAAAAATTTAGTTCATGAGGTTTAAGTAAAAAACATAAAAGTTCCAGGTAAAGCAGCAAGTGCTGATGGAGAAGCTGCAGTATGTTATGCAGAAGGTCCTGCTAAGATAATCGATGAAGGTGGCTACATTAAACAACGATTTTCAATGTAGACTAAACAGCCTTCTATTGGAAGAAGATGCCATCTAAAACCTTCATAGCTAAAGAAGAGACTCAATGCCTGGCTTCAAAGAACAGGCTGACTCTCTTATTAGAGGCGAATGCAGCTGGTGACTTTAACTTGAAGCCAATGGTCATTTACCATTCTAAAAACACCACAGCCCTTAAAAACTAAGGTAAACAGATCTCACCAATCCTCTATACATGCAACAACAAAGCCTGGATGACAGCACATCTGTTTACAGCATCAATTACTGAATGTTTTAAGCCCGCTGTTGAGATCTTGTACTCAGAAAAAAGATTCCCTTCAAAAAATTACTGCTCATGGGCAATTCACCTGGTCACCCATTAACTGTGATAGAGATGTGCAGGAAGTGAATATTTTTTTCATGCCTCCTAACACAATATCCATCTGTGCCCTTGGACCAAGAAATAGTCTTGACTTTTAAGCTTTGTTATTTTAGAAATATATTTGAGAAGGCTATAGCTGCAATATATAGTGATTCCTCTGATGGATCTGGGTAAATTGAAAATCTTCTGGAAAGGATTCACCACTCCAGATGCCATTAAGAACATTTGTGATTCATGGGAGGAGGACAAAACATCAATATTATCAGAAATTTAGAAGTTGATTCAAACTCTCATGGATGATTTCAAGAGGTGCAAGACTTCAGTGGAGGAAGTAACTGCATATGTGGTAGAAACAACAAGAGAACTAGAATTGGAAGAAGAGCTGGAGATGTGAATAAATTGTTTCAAATCTCATAAAACTCAAGTGAATGAGGAGTTGCTTCTTGCAGATGCACAAAGCAAGTGGTTTCTTGAGATGGGTGAAGATCCTATGAACAACATTGAAGTGACTACAAAGGATTTAGACTATAGCATAAGTTTAGTTGATAAAGCAGTGGCAGAGTTTGAGAGAATTGACCTCAGTTTTATTTATTCATTGATTTTTAAATTTTAGGTTTGAGGGTACATGTGAAAGTTTGTTATACAGATAAACGTGTCATGGTGGTTTGTTGTCCATATTATTACATCACACAAGTATTAAGCTCAGTACCCAATAATTATCTGTTCTGCCCCTCCTCCCACTCTCCCCACTCAAGTAGACTCTAGCGTCTGTTGTATCCTTCTTCGTGTTCATAAGTTCCTATTATTTAGCTCCTATCGGGGAACCTGCCCTGATAGTCACATAGGTTCTTTTCTATTTTCCTTAAGTGTCAGCCGGCTTGAGAAATAAAGGAACAGAGTACAAAAGAGAGAAAATTTAAAGCTGGGCATGTGGGGGAGACAGCACATGTTGGTAGGTTCCGTGATGCCCCACAAGCTGCACAAACCAGCAAGTTTTTATTAGAGAGTTTCAAAAGGGGAGGGAGTGTGCAAATAGGTGTGGGTAACAGACATCAAGTACTTTACAAGGTAATAGAATATCACAAGGCAAATGGAGGCAGGGCGAGATCACAGGACCACAAGACCGGGGCAAAATTAAAATTGCTAATGAAGTTTCAGGCACCATTGTCATTGATAACATCTTATCAGGAGACAGGGTTTTGAGATCAACCGGTCTGACCAAAATTTATTAGGTGGGAATTTCCTCTTCCCAATAAACCTGGGAGTGCTATGGGAGACTGGGGTCTATTTCACCCCTGCAGTCTCAACCATAAGAGATGGTCATGCCTGGGGGTGCCAGTTCAGAGACCCACCCCCAGGTGCACATTCTCTTTCTCAGGGATGTTCCTTGCTGAGAAAAAGAATTCAGCGATATTTCTCCCCTTTGCTTTTGAAAGATGAGGAATATGGCTCTGTTCCACCTGGCTCACTGGCGGTCAGAGTTTAAGGTTATCTCTCTTGTTTCCTGAACATTGCTGTTATCCTGTTCTTTTTTTCAAGGTGCCCAGATTTCATATTGCTCAAACACACATGCTGTACAATTTGTGCAGTTAATGCAATTATTACAGGGTCCTGAGGTGATATACGTCCTCAGCTGATAGGATTAAGAGATTAAAGTAAAGACAGGCATAGGAAATCACAAGGGTATTGATTGGGGAAGTGATAAGTTTCCATGTAATCTTTACAATTTATGTTTAGAGATTGCAGTAAAGACAGGTGTAAGAAATTATAGAAGTATTAATTTGGGGAACTAATAAATGTCCATGAAATCTTCACAATTCACGTTCTTCTGCCATGGCTTCAGCCGGTCCCTCCATTTGGTGTCCGTGACTTCCCGCAACAAGCTCCCACTTATAAGTGAGAACATGAGGTATTTGGTTTTCTGTTTGATATAGTTTGGCTCTGTCCCCACCCAAATCTCATCTTGAATTGTAGTTCCTATAATCCCTACATGTTGACCAAGTAGGAGGTAATTGCATCATGGGGGTGGTTACCCCCACGCTGTTCTTGTTACAGTGAATGGGTTCTTATGAAATCTGATGGCTTTATAAGGGGCTTTTCCCTGTTTGCTTGGCACTCATTCTCTCTCTTGCTGACCTGTGAAGAGGTGCCTTCTGCCATAATTGTGAGCTTCCTGAGGCCTCCCCAGCCATGCAGAACTGTGAGTCAATTGAACTTCTTTTCTTATAAATTGCCCAATCTCTATGTATTAGTCCATTTTCACACTGCTGATAAAGACATACTTGAGACTGGGAAGAAAAAGAGGTTTCATGGACTTACATTTCCATGTGGCTGGGGAGGCCTCACAATCATGGCAGAAGACAAGGAGAAGCAAGTCACATCTTACATGGATGGTGATAGGCAAAAAGAGAGCTTGTGCAGGGAAGCTCCCATTTTTAAAACCATCAGATCTCATGAGACTCATTCACTATCAGAAGAACAGCACAAGAAAGACCTGGTGGGAAGTGATTGGATCATGGGGAGCAGTTTCTCAGGCTGTTTTCATTATAGTGAGGGAGTTCTTGTGAGAGCTGATGGTTTTAAAAGTGTTTGCAAGTTCCCCCTTCCCAGCTTTTCTCTCTTGCTTGCTACCATGTAGGACATGCTTTGTTTTCCCTTTGCCTTCCACCATGATTGTGAGATTCCTGAGGCCTCCTAGCTGTGCTTCTTCTTAAGCCTGTGGAACTGTGAGTCAATTAAAATTCTTTCCTTTATAAATTACCCTGTCTCAAGCATTTCTTTATAGTAGTGTGAAAACACACTAATACAGAGAATTGATACCAGTAGAGTGGGGTACTGCTATAAAGATAACCAAAAATGTGGAAGTGACTTTGCAACTGGGTAAGAGGCAGAGGTTGGAATAGTTTGGAGGGCTCAGAAGAAGTCAGGATGGTGTGGGAAAGTTTGGAACTTCCTAGAGACTTGATGAATGGCTTTGACCAAAATGCTGATAGTGATATGGACAATGAATTCCAGGTGGAGGTGGTCTCAGATGGAGATGAGGAACTTGTTGGGAACTAGAGTAAAGGTGACTCTTGCTATGCTTTAGCAAAGAGACTGGCAGCATTTTGCCCCTGCCCTAGAGATTTGTGGAACTTTAAACTTGAGAGAGATGATTTAGGGTATCTGGCAGAAGAAATTTTTAAGCAGCAAAGCATCCAAGAGGTGACTTGGATTACTCTGAAAGCATTCAGTTTTATGTGTTCACAAAGAGATGGTTTGAAATTGGAACTTATGTTTAAAAGGGAAGCAGAGCATAAAGGTTTGGAAAATTTGCAGCCTGACCATGTGATGGGAAAGAAAAACTAATTTTCTGGGGAGGAATTTAAGCAGGCTGCAGAAACTTACATAAGTAATGAGGAGCTGAATGTTAATATCAGAGACAATGGGGAAAATGTCTCCAGGGCATGTTAGAGACCTTTGAGGAAGCCCCTCACATCACAGGCCCAGAGGCCTAGGAGGGAAAAATGGCTTTATGTGCCAGGCTCAGGGCTCCTCTGCTCTGCAGCCTTAGGACTTAGTGCCCTGCATCCCAGTTTCTCCAGCTCCAGTCATGGCTAAAAGGTATAGCTTGGGCCGTTGCTTAGCCTTGGCAGCTTCCAAGTGGTATTGAGCCTGTGGGTGCACAGAATACAAGAGCTGAGCTTTGGGAATTTCTGCCTAGATTTCAAAGGATGTATGGAAATGCCCAGATGTCCAGGCAGAAGTCTGTTGCAGCAGTGGACCCCTCATGGAGAACCTCTTCTAGGGCAGTGCAGAAGGGAAATGTGGTGTTGGAGCCCCCACACAGAGTCCACACTGGGGCACTGCCTGCTGGAGCTGTGAAAAAAGGGCCACCATCCTCCAGACCCCAGAATGGCAGATCCACTGACAGCTTATATTGTACACCTGGAAAAGTTGCAGACACTCAATGCCAGACTGTAAAAGCAGCTGTAGGGGCTGTACCCTGCTAAGCTACAGGGGCAGAGCTGCTCAAGACTGGGGGAGCCCACCCCATGCATCAGTGTGCCCTGGATGTGAGACATGGAAATCATTTTGGAGATCATTTTGGAGATTTAACATTTAAAGACTGCCTCATTGGATTTCAGACTTGCATGGGGACTATAGCCCCTTTGTTTTGGCTAATTTCTTTCATTTGGAAATGGGAACATTTATGCAATGACTGTACCGTCATTGTATCTTAGATGTAACTAACTTGTTTTTTATTTTACAGGGTCATAGGTGGGAAAAACTTGTCTCGGATGAGACATTGGACTTGGACATTTGTGTTAATGCTGTAATGAGTTAAGACTCTGGGGGAATGTTGGAAAGGCATAATTGGTTTTGAAATGTGAAAGGGACGTGAGATTTGGGAGGGGCTGGGGGTGGAATCATATGGTTTGGCTCTGTGTTCCCCACCAAAATCTCATCTTGAATTGTAATCCCGACATGTGGAAGGAGGGACCCAGTGGAAGGTGATTGGATCATGGGCGTGGTTTCCTGCATTCTGTTCTCATGATAGTGAGGGAGTTCTCATGAGAGCTGATGGTTTTAAAAGTGTTTGAAAGTTCTCCCTTTGCAACTCTTCTTTCACCTGCAGTCATATAAGAGATGCTTTTGCCTCCTCTTCACCTTCTGCCATAATTGTACGTTTCCTGAGGCTTCCCAGCCATGCTTCCTGTTAAGCCTATGGGACTGTGAGTTGATTAAAACTTCCCTTTATAAATTACCCAGTCTCAGGCATTTCTTTATAGCAGTATGAAAATGAATTAATACAAGTACCATGTTGTTTTTAACCCCAATTTTAAAAGAAGTTCTACTGTGGGTAAAATGCTATCAAATAACATTGCACGCTGCAGTAAAATCTTTTATAAAAGGAAGAGTCAACCAGTGTGACAAACTAAACTATTGCATTGTTATTATTATTATTATTATTATTATTATTATTATTACTACTACTACCACTACTACTACTACTAGTTTTGAGACAGTGTCTCACTGTTGCCCATACTGGAGTGCAGTCATGCAATCATGACTCACTGCAAATTCCACCTCCCAGGCTCAAGTCATTCTCCTGCCTCAGCCTCCCAAGTAGCTGGGACTACAGGCAGGTGCCGCTGCATCCAGCTAATTTTTGTATTTTTTGTAGAGATGGGCTTTGCCATGTTGTCCAGGCTGGTCTTGAACTCCTGAGCTCAGGTGATCCTCCTGACTTGGCCTCCCAAAGTGCTGGGTTTACAGGTGTGAACCACTGTGCCTGGCCCTGTTGCATTATTTTAAGATTTTGCCACAGCCACTCTAACCTTCAACAACCACTACCCTGATCAGTAGGCAGTGATCAACATTGAGGCAAGACCCTCCAACAGTAAAAAAGTTTATGACTCATTGAAGGCTCAGATGATCGTTAGCATTTCTTAGCAATAAAGTATTCTTTAATTAAGGTATGTACTTTTCTTTAGACATCATGCCATTGCACTCAATAGATGATGGGATAGTATAAATATATTTTTGTGCATCTTTTTAAAATTTTTCCATAAATTATTGGGGTACAGGTGGCATTTGGTTACATGAGTAAGTACTTTAGTGGTGATTTGTGAGATCCTGGTGCACCCATCACCCGAGCAGTATACATTGCACCATATTTGTAGTCTTATCTTTCGCCCCCTCCCACTAATTCCCCCAACTCCCCAAATTCCATTGTATCATTCTTATGCCTTTGCATCCTCATAGCTTAGATCCCACATATCAGTGAGAACATACAACATTTGGTTTTCTCATTCCTGAGTTACTTAAGTTAGAATAATAGTCTCCAATCTCATCCAGGTCACTGCAAATGCTGTTAATTCATTCCTTTTTATGGCTGTGTAGTATTCCATCTGTATATATACCAAGTTTCTTCATCTACTCATTGATTGATGGGCATTTGAGTTGGTTCCACAATTTTGTGAATGTGAATTGTGCTGCTATAAACATGTGTGTGCAAGTATCTTGTTTGAGTAATGACTTTTTTTTCCTCTGGGTAGATACCCAGTAGTGGAATTCCTGGGTCAAATGGTAATTCTACTTTCAGTTCTTTAAGGAATCTTCATATTGTTTTTTATAGTGGCTGTACTAGTTTGCATTCCTACCACCAGTGTAGAAGTGTTCCCTGTTCACCACATCCTCACCAACATCTACTGTTTTTTGATCTTTTGATTACGGCAATTCTAGCAGGAGTAAGGTGGTATTGCGTTGTGGTTTTGATTTGCATTTCCCTGATCATTAGTGATGTTGAGCATTTTTTCATATGTTTGTTGGCCAATTGTATGTCTTCTTTTGAGGATTGTCTATTCGTGTCCTTAGCCCACTTTTTGATGTGATTTTGTTATTTTCTTACCGATTTGAGTTATTATAGATTCTGGATATTAGTCCTTTGTCAGGTGTATAGACTGTGAAGATTTTCTCTGACTGAGGATTGTCTGTTTACTCTGCTGACTGTTCCTTTTGCTGTGCAAAAGCTCTTCAGTTTAATTAGGCCCCAGCAATTTATCTTTGTTTTTACTGCATTTTCTTTTGGGTTCTTGATCATGAAATACTTGCCTAAGCCAATGTCTGGAAGGGTTTTTCCAATGTTATCTTTTAGAATTTTCATAGTTTCAGGTCTTAAGTTTGAGTCTTTAATCCATCTTGAGTTGATCTTTGTATAAGGTGAGAGACGAGGATCTAGTTTTTCTCCTATATGTGGCTAGCCAATTATCTCAGCACCATTTGTTGGAAAGGGTGTTCTTTCCTCACTTTATGTTTTTGCTTTGTCAAAGATCAGTTGGCTGTAAGTATTTGGGTTTATTTCTGGGTTCTCTATTTTGTTTCATTGGTCTATATGCCTATTTTTATACCAGTACCACAATGTTTTTGGTGACTATGGCCGTACAGTTTGAAATCAGATATTGTGATACCTCCAGATTTGTTCTTTTTGCTTAGTCTTGCTTTGGCCATGTGGGTTCTTTTTTGGTTCCATGTGAATTTTAGAATTGTTTTTTCTAATTCTGTGAGGAATGATGGTGGTATTTTGATGGGAATTGCATTGAATTTGTGGATTGCTTTCGGCAGTATAGTCATTTTCACAATATTGATTCTACACATCGATGAGCATGGGATGTATTTCCATTTGTTCATGTCATCTGTGATTACTTTCAGCAATGTTTTGTAGTTTTCCTTGCAGAGGTCTTTTAACTCCTTGGTTAGGTATATTCCTAAGCTTGCTTTTTTTTTTTTTTTCAGCTATTATAATAGGGGTTGAGATCTTTATTTGATTCTCCACTTGGTTGCTGTCAGTGTATAACAGAGCTACTAATTTGTGTACATTAATCTTGTATCCAGGAACTTTGCTGAATTCTTTTATCAGTTTTATGAGCTTTCTGGAGGAGTCCTTAGAGTTTTCAGGGACTGAAGTTTTCTTCTGTAAACAGTGACAGTTTGACTTCCACTCTACTGATTTGGATGCCCTTTTCTTTTTCTTGTCTGATTGCTCTGTCTAGAACTTCCAGTACTATGTTGAAGAGGAGTGGTGAGAATGGACATCTTTGTCTTGTTCCCATTCTCAGAGGGAATGCATTAAACTTTTCCTCATTCAGTATAATGTTGGCTGTGGGTTTGTCATAGATGGCTTTTATTACATTAAGGTATGTCTCTTGTATGCCAATTTTGCCGAGAGTTTTATTCATAGAGGGATGCTGGATTTTGTCAAATGCTTTTCTGCATCTATTGAGATGATCATGTGATTTTTGTTTTTAATTTTGTTTAGATGATGTATTACATTTATTGACTTTTGTATTTTGAACCATCCCTGCATCCCTGGTATGAAATCCACTTGATCATGGTGGATTATCTTTTTGATATATTGTTGGATTCAGTTAGCTAGTATTTTGTTAAGGATTTTAGCATCTATGTTTATCAAGGATATCAGTCTGTAGTTTTCTTTTTTGGTTGTGTCCTTTCCTGGTTTTGGTATTAGGGTGATGCTGGCTTCATAGAATGAACTAGGGAGGGTTCCTTCTTTCTTTATCTTGTGAAATGCTGTCAAAAGGATTGATACCAATTCTTCTTTGAATGTCTGGTAGAATTCTGCTTGAATCTCTCGGGTCCTGGACTTTTTTTTGTTGATAATTTTTAGATTACCATTTCAATCTTGCTGCTTGTTATTGGTCTGTTCAGGTTATCTAATTCTTCCTGATTTAAGCTAGGAGGTTGTATTTTTTCAGGAATTTATCCATCTCTTCTAGGTTTTCTAGTTTATGTGTGTAAAGGTGTTCATAGTAGCCTGAATGATCTTTTGTATTTCAGTGGTGTCAGTTGCAATGTCTCCTGTTTCATTTCTTAGTGAGTTTATTTGAATTTTCTGTCTTCTTTTCTTGGTTAATCTTGCTAATGGTCTATCAGTATTATTTATCTTTTCAAGGCACCAGTTTTTTGTTTCATTTATCTTTTGTATTTTTTTATTGTTTCAATTTCATTTAGTTCTGCTCTGATCTTGGTTATTTCCTTTCTTCTGCTGGATTTGGGTTTGGTTTGTTCTTGTTTCTCTAGTTCCTCGAGGTATGACCTCAGAATGTCAGTTTGTGCTCCTTCAGTCTTTCTGATGCAGGCGTTTAGGACTATGAACTTTCCTCTTAGCAGCGCCTTTGTTCTATCCCAGAGGTTTTGATAGGTTGTGTCATTGTCTTTCAGTTCAAATAATTTTTAAATTTCCATCTTGATTTTGTTTTTTACCCAATGCTCATTTAGGAGCAGGTTATTTAATTTCCATGTATTTGCATGGTTTTGAAGGTTCCTCTTGGTGTTGATTTCCAGTTCTATTCCACTGTGGTCTGAGAGAGTGCTTGATATAATTTCAATTTTCTTAAATTTATTGAGGCTCATTTTATGGCCTATCATATGGGCTGTCTTGGAGAAAGTTCCATGCCCTGTTGAATAGAATGTATATTCTTTGGTTGTCAGATGAAATATTTTCTATATATCTGTTAAGTCCATTTGTTTCAAGGTGTAGTTTAAATCCATTGTTTCTTTGTTGACTTTCTGTCTTGATGACATGTGTAGTGCTGTCAGTGGAGTATTGAAGTCCCCCACTATTATGGCATTACTGTCTATCTCATTTCTTAGGTCTACTAGAAATTGTTTTATAAATTTGGGAGCTCCAGTGTTAGGTGCATATATGTTTAGGATTATGATATTTTCCTGTTGGACAAGGCGTTTTACCATTATATAATGTCCCTCTTTGTCTCTTTTAACCATTTTAAAGTGTGTTTTGTCTGATATAAGAATAGCTACCCCTGCTCACTTTTGATGTCCATTTGCATGAAATGCCTTTTTCCACCCTTTTACTTTAAGTTTATGTGAGTCCTTATGTGTTAGGTGAGTCCCCCGAAGGGAGCACATTGTTGATTGGTGAGCTCTTATCCATTCTGTGGTTTTGTACCTTTTAAGTGGAACGTATAGGCCATTTACATTCAATGTTAGTATTGACATGTGAGATACAGTAGCATTCATCATGCTCTTTGTTGCCCGTATACTTTGTTTTTTTTCTTTTTTGTTTTTGCTTTTTAACTTTTATTTCAGTTTTATGGGTCCTGCGTGATTTATTCTTTAAAGAGGTTCTGTTTTGTTGTGTTTCTGGGATTTGTTTCAAGATTTAGTGCTCCTTTCAGCAGTTAATAGTGGTGGTGGCTTGGTAATGGTGAATTCTGTCAGCATTTGTTTGTCTGAAAAAGACCATCTTTCCTTCATATATGATTCTTAGTTTGCTGAATACAAAATTCTTGGCTGATAATTGTTTTGTTTGAAGAGGCTGAAGATACGGCCCCAACCCCAAACCCTTCTAGCTTGTAGGGTTTCTGCTGAGAAATGTGCTGTTAATCTGATAGGTTTTCCTTTATAGGTTACCTGGTGCTTTTGTCTCATAGTTCTTAAGATTCTTTCCTTCATCTTAACTTTGGATAACCTGATGACAGTGTGCCTAGTGAAGATCTTTTTGTGATGAGTTTCCCAGGTGTTCTTTGTGCTTCTTGGATTTGGATGTCTAGGTCTCTAGCAAGGCCAGGGAAGTTTTCCTCAATTAGTTCCCCAAATATGTTCTCCAAGCTTTTAGAATTGTCTTATTTCTTGGGAACATCAATTATTCTTAGGTTTGGTTGTTTAACATAACCCACAATTCTTGGAGGCTTTGTTTCTATTTTCTTCTTTTTTCTTTGTCTTTGTTGGATTGGGGTAATTCAAAGACCTTGTTTTCCATCTCTAAATTTCTTTCTTCTACTTGTTCAATTCCATTGGTAAGACTTTCCAGAGCATTTCACCATTTTTTTTTTTTTTTTGAGATGGAGTCTTTCTCTGCCACCAGGCTGGAGTGCAGTGGCGTGACCTCAGTTCACTGCAACCTCCACTTCCTGGGTTCAAGCAATTCTCCTGCCTCAGCCTCCCAAGTAGCTGGGACTACAGGTGTGTACCACCACACCCAGCTAATTTTTGTATTTTTAGTAGAGACGGGGTTTCACCATGTTGGCCAGGATGGTCTCAATCTCTTGAACTTGTGATCCACCCACCTAGGCCTCCCAAAGTTCTGGGATTACAGGCATGAGACACTATGCCCAGCCTAGCATTTCACATTCCTAAAAGTGTGTTAAAGTTTCCTGAATTGTTTTTTTTTTCTTTCAGCTATCTATTTCCTTGAATACTTCTCCCTTTACTTCTTGTATCATTCTTTGGATTTCCTTGCATTTGGCTTTGCCTTTCTCTGGTTCCTCCCTGATTAGCTTAATAAATAACCTGGATTCTTTTTCAGGTAATAACTAACCTCCTGAATTCTTTTTCAGGAATTTCTTCTTGGTTTGGATCCATTGCTGGTGAACTAGTGTGATTTTCTGAGGGTGCTGAAGAGCTTCACTTTGCTATATAACCAGCATTGGTTTTCTGATTCCTTCTGATTTGGGTAGGCTCTGTCACAGGGAAGGTCTAGGGCTGAAGGCAGTTTTTCAGATTCTTTTGTTCCACAGGGTGTTTTCTTGATGTAGCACTCTCTCCCTTTTGCTATGGATGTGGCTTCCTGGAAGCTGAACTGCTGTGATTGTTGTCTCTTCTCTATCTAGCCACCCAGCTCTGGGCTGGTATTGGTGGTTGTCTGCACAGTGTTCTGTGATGTGAACCATCTGTGGGTCTCTCAGCCTTGGATACCAGCGCCTGTTCCAGTGGAGGTGGCAGGGCTTGGGGTGCAATGGACTCCATAAGCGTTCTTAGCTTTGGTGGTTTATGCTCTATTTTTGTGCTGGTTGGTATCCTGCCAGGAGGTGGCGCTTTCCAGAGAACATCAGCTGTGGTAGTATGGTGAGGAACTTGTGGTGGGCATCACTCTAGAACTCCCAAGATTATATGTCTTTTGCCTTCCACTGCCAGAGTGGGTAGGGAAGGACCATCAGGAGAGGGTGGGGTTAGGTGTGTCTGAGCTCAGACTCTCCTTGGGCAGGACTTGCTGTGGCTGCTGTGGGGGATGTGGGTGAGATTCCCAGGTCACTGGAGTTGTGTACCTAGGAGGATTATGGCTGCCTCTGCTGAGTCATGCAGGTTGTCAGGGAAGTGGGGGAAAGTCAGCAAGCACAGGCCTCACCCAACTCTCCCCCAAGTTCTGGCCAGGAGGCTTCTTACCCTGTTCAAATTGTTACAAAGTTCAGCTGGAGATTTCCTTCTCTCTGTGGAGTTTTATCCCCTGCTCCTCTGGCACCCTTTGGATGGATACCTGTGGTGCCAGGCAGGAATGGCCTGCTAGGGGACCCAGTGCACTCCCAGGGCCTTTCTGCTGCTTCCTCTACCCCGGTATTACACTCAGCTCTCCAAATTGACTCAGCTCCCCAAATTGACTCAGCTCCTGGTAAAGTCCCAAACTTCTCCTGCAAACAGACCTTTTGCTTTAGCAGTGGGGGTGTGTGTTCAGGAGAGGAGAGTCTCCCTTTCCCACTTCTGCAGTTGGGGTACTCACAGTATTTGGGGTTTCTCCCAGGTCCTTCAGGAGCAGTCTGCTTCCTTCAAATGGTCTGTGGGTCCTCTTGGGATTGTTGGTTTGTTCTTGCCACAGATCTGGAGCTAAAATTCACAGTGTGAGCCTCCACATGCTGCTCTGTCCAGAGCTGCAGTCTAGTCCTGCCTCCCTGTTTCCTTATTGTTGATTTTTAAGAGATTTTTTAGTATCTTAGATAACTGTCCTTTGTCAGCTGTATCAAACAAAATTTACTCCAAGTTGGTGACTTGTTTTCTTGTCATCTTGATGTTGTCTTTTGCAGAACAGATGTTTTTAATTTTAATATGGTCTAACTTATTAATTATTTATTTCCTATATTATTTCTTTGGTGTTGTATCTAAAAAGTCATCATACCCAAGATCATCTAGGGTTTCTCCTATGTTATCTTCTAGGGGTTTTATACTTTTGCATTTTTATATTTATGTCTATGATCTATTTTGACTGAATTTTTGTGAAGATTTTCCATTTTTGATTCAGTGTTGGTGGGTTGTATATTTCCAGGAATGTATTTATTTTTCTAGGTAATTCAACTTGGTGTAAAAATGTTTACAGTAGTCTCTTATGATTATTAGTATTACTGTGGTATTAGTTGTAATGTTTTCACTTTCATTTATGATATTTGAGTCTTCTCTCTTTTCTTAGTGTAGCTACAGGTTGTCGATTTTGTTTATCTTTCCAATAAACCAACTCTTGTTTATTGATCTTTTCTATTGTTTTTGTATTCCTATTTAGTTTATTATTTTCTCTGGTATTGATTATTTCCCCCTTTCTGTGGATTTTGGGCTTAACTTTGTTTTTCTTTTCCTACTTCCTCGAGATGTAAAGTTAGGTTGTTTATCTAATATCTTTTTTCCTTTAGTTTTTTAAATTTTATTTTAAATTCAGGGGTGCATGTGCAGGTTTGTTATACAGGTAAACTCATGTCATGGGGGTTGTTGTACAGATGATTTCACCACCAGGTAATAAGTCTAGTACCCTTTAGTTATTTAATATCTTTTATCTTAATGTAGGTGTTTATCACTATAAACTTTCTTCTTTGCACTGCTTTAGCTGCATCCATTAAGTTTGTTACATTGTGTTTTCATTTTCATTTCTCTCATTTTGAAATGTCTTCATTTTCATTTGTCTCAAGATATTTTTTGTTTCCTTTTTGATATCTTCTTTGACCCATTGGCTTTCAGGAATTTGCTGTAAAATTTCCACATATATTTGAGAATTTTCCAATTTTTGACATCTCTTTGATTTCTTGCTTCATACAGTTGTGGTCAGAAATGATATTTGGTATGATCTCATTCATCTTCAATTTGTTAAGACCTTTTTTACAGCCTACCACATGATGTATCCTGGAGGATAATCCATGTGAGCTTGGCTGCTTTTGGATGGAATGTTCTGTGTATATTTCCTAGGACTATTTGGTCTATAGCATTGTTCAAGTCTGCTATTTCCTTATTGATTTTTCTATCTGGATGATCTATCCCTTATTGAAACTGGGGTATTGAAGTTCCCTATTATTATATTGCTTTTTGTTTCTCCCTTCTGTTCTATTAACAGTGTTCCTATGTTGGGTGCATATATATTTACAATTGTTATATCATCTTGATGTATTGACCTCTTTATCATTATATAATAACCTTCTTCATCTCTTATGGCAATTTATGACCATCTATATTTTGTCTAACATAAATACAGCTACCTCTACTGTCTTGCTTCCCATTTGAGTGGGATATCATTTTCCATTCCTTTAATTTCAGTCTTTGTGTGTACTTGAAGCTAAAGTAATTCTCTTTTAAGCAGCACATAGTTGGATCAGGGAAGAAACTTTAAAATACTGTGGATTTCCATTTTACCCACAACTTTGCATGAAGAGAGAGATGGTCATACACATTTCAGGAGTAAAGCAAGGACTGTCAACTGGGTGTCAGCAGCAGTTGGTTGAAGAGTTAATTGATAGTACCTCTTTTAATCCTCTAATTAGTCATGTGAAGTAAGTACTATTATTATTCCTCTCCTTCATATGAGAAAACAGAGAAACAAGGATATTGGGTAATTTGTTCCAGTTCTCCCTCCAAATTGGTAGAGATTGGATTTGAGCCCACAGGTCCGGATTACGGTCCTCACCCGTTACCCATTCTGCTGCACCACATGGAAGGAAAATAAACAGTGAAACTTTTACTCTTGGGGATTGAAAAATAGCAACTCACACTTTTTTTTTTTTTTTAGCAAAGTAGAGTAGGCAAATTTTGGAAATAGCAAGGAAAAAAAACTCTTGAAGTATGGAACACACAAAAGGTGGGTGGATAACAATGGAAAACAAATCCTGTAACTTAGCAGACCCTTCCTATCTTTAAAAAGACCCCAGTTCATTCAGACTGCCCAGTACTGGCACAGTACAGGATGACCTGAATGGCAGAGAGCAGCAACCTCTGGACATCAAGGACTGACTGCATCTATCACGTGATTTCTTAGTCCTTCCAGCCCTGATTGTCCTCATAAGAATATGGAGGAAAATCACAACTTCATCATGTTCCTTTAGGGCACATTAGGCTTTTTATTCATGGAAGTGAACACAGTTTGCAGCTCTATTTTTTAAGTGTATAGTTCTAAGTGTATATTTTAAAAATGTGTAAGAAATGATTTCTGGAAGATCACAAACCAAGTGGATGACTGAACTGAAACCAAAGCTCAGGGCTTCCCAGATGTTCCGTTCCCAACCATCCCACTGTCTTTTAGGCTAGAAGGCACAAAGCAGAAACCTGAGGCTGAATTCAGATTCCAATTGGGTTCTGTTTGGCCTGCAATTAATTCAAATTAGTTTTTGTCATTTTAAAACATTGGGGCATTTCATATTTTTAAAAATAACAGAATACTTGGCAACCTCAGGCTCATATCCCTACATGACAGTGACCAAATAGAGATGGAGAGCAGTTGCCTCCTTGAGGCAGGGCATGTCCAGGTTGCCACAGTCCTTGCTCTTATCCCCATTACTAAAGGCATGTATTGTTTGCCATTTATCAAATGTTTGCTCAGTTCTTTCTCTTAAAAGGGAAAGTCACACATTTCCTGTAACATATTAAAGTATCTCTTACCTGGTCCCAGCTTGCTTCATTTACCTGGAACCTGTAAGCAATTGAGTTATTATCCTATCCCTTCCCCTCTGAACCATGCATTTCTCATTTGCAAAGTGAGGAATATAAACGTGATGATTCCAAGGCCTCTTCTGGTTCTGGCTTCCAGGGCTTTCCAGGTCTACACTTCAGAAATGTGTTGTGATGTTGACAATACTTAATTGTTCTGCAGATGGTTTTTGAGAGATCTAACCATTTGAGGGCTCTAACCATTAAAAGAGTCTAACCCTTGACTCTTTTGTCCTATAATTATGATTTATCTCATTCCTTGAAAGAAAATGTCCTCTTGTTTTTTTGGGAGGTTTATTGTTAATCTTTGAATAAAATGAGTACTTCAAAAATGCAGCATAGCTGCAGTTGCTAAGAAGACGGAACAGCAACAGAGGCTGCCTGGGAACAAGACCATCAGAAAACTCTTACTTTACTTCCTGCCTCCTCTCCCCCTTCTCTCTTTCTTTCTGTCTCTCTCAAAGGTATCAACCTTTTCTACAAAGACAAGTCTTAGTCAAGAGTAGTTTAAGTTGTCTTGAATCCACAAAATTCAATTCTAAAGACAACTCCCAAGCAGCCAAACAAATAGTAAAATAATCTCCTTGGTTTTAATTTTGGCTCTGTCACTAGATAGTCATTTGACCTTGGGCAAGTAATTAATTTTTCTCTGGGCCTTAATTTCCCCTGTGTAAAATAGAAGAGTACCGGAATGGCTGGATGCTCTTGCAGCTCCTTCTAGCCCTAACATTTTGTAAGGAAACTGCCAGAGATTTAGAGAGTGAGGTGGCACCACAGGGTAACTTCTCTACAACTCTGAAACCAGGTAAGCCAGGTCCTGGGACCCCTTCACCTGGTAGCCATAATACACAACTCTAGGTCTTTGGCTTTCTCTCCTCTGACTCTCTGCTGGCTATCTAATAAATGGTAAAGGAGGGGCTTGCTTTCTACCTTTCTCACTGTATGTGATGTTCCCTAAGTATCAGCTTTGCTTGGTAATATTTCTTTTAAGTTAGTTCCTGTGTTGTAGAAAGGGCTAATGACAAGACCTAAATGTCTTTGATTATTTATTATTCAAGTCCAGAATCACCTTCAGATTCTTCAGGTGCTCAGCTTCAGGGATGATGAAGTGATGATTTAAGCAACATGTTCACTCCCTGGTAACCTATGTAAAAATTACAGAAATGGCTCTGCCATTTAACCAACTCTGTCTTGGCCTAACCCTCAAGGTAGGATAAAATGTACCTAAATGTCTTACAAAGTAAAATACAGCCTACCAGTGGGAAAGCTATTGTGTCCGAGCTTGTATTTTCTCTTTCACAGATGAATTTTGCCCATTTGTCATGGCACCCTTCTGCCACCCAGGTTCTTGACTTAGCAGGGTTAGGGGATATAGGGAGCTCAACACCACGCTCCTCTGCCTATCTCTTAATGAAACAATGGAGTGGGCTGTTTTGGGAGATAACTCTCAGTTTCTGGAGATGTAGAAGCAGATGTTCATGAGTCCTTCTCGAGAATGCTGGGAAACAGAGGGATAAGATTAGATTCAAATGAGTAAATTGCTGAGTACCTGCTATGTTCCAGAAATTTTCCTAGGTGACTTGTGAATAAAACGTAGTCCTTGTTTTAGGAGCTTATATTTTATAGGGGGAAATAACCTCCAATGTTCTTTTCTAACCAGAGATTCCAAGATTCATCAGTTCCAAGTAATGATGGCAAAAATTTGCCAAGAATTTTTAAAAAAATTATATAGAAATTTTGGCACAAATATTTAACAGTGATTTTTGGCCAGGGATTCAGGGCCCTAACGATATTTGCACCTCACAGTGAAAGCAATAGGGGCCTCTGGACAGTACCTTGACAGGTAGAAACCCGACCACTGGGAGCTGTTCTGGGTCCTGAAAATGGAGTCAGAGTCGGGAGAGGTTGATTCAAAGTTTGTATTTCCAAGGTACAAATGGTCCAGAGTGTAGCTTGTGAAAGAGAGAGTTGGAGAGGAACATGTACAGGCATCAGGTGTTGTATATATCCACAAATCACCAGGAATACATCTTAGAGATGATAACTTCTATATCTTTCTTTCAGAGATGGAGTAACTTAGACCTAGAGGGAAGCGCCTTGCATGAAATCACAATGCTCAATAGCAAATTGGAATTAAAATTAACCTTATTAAATATTGATAAGAAGAAACATCATACATATAAGTGTAAATAGTATGACTCCACTTTTGATTGAAAATCATATGTGGTTATCTTTTGGAGGTGAGATTGCAAGGATTTTTAATTTTCTTTGGTATACATTGATGTATTGAAAAATGTTCTACAGTGAGAATACATAACTGAAAAAGAAACATTATTCAAAAGAACTTGTATTTTCAATGATTCAAAGGAAATAAACCAAATACCAACAGCAGTGGTGATGTGTGTGTGTGCTTGTGTATATATCTTTACCTTTTTTCTACTTTCATGAATTTCCACATTGTATTTAATAACTACTGACATTGCTAGTCTACCCAGTATGAAGTCATCCTTTCACTTGGGGCATACAGTAGAATTACCCCTCCTTGCTCTTGCACTTTTGGAGCAAGGAAGGGTAATATGACTAATTCTTGTCAATAGGTGTGGCCTGCATGATCAATAGAAGTAGTCAAATTTGCCTCAGGGCCACAGCATTTAATTTCCAGTGCAAATCTTTCTAGAAACAGTAGACTTGAAGCCTCCTGTTGAGATGGATATACCTCAAGATAGAAGCTGCTTGCACTGCTAAGCAGTAAACCTGAAAGACAGCTGCCCTGGAGAGGTTCCCAGACATGCTTTATACTTTGTATGAATAGGAAATAAACATTTGCTGTGTTAAGTCACTGAGATTTTGGTGTTGGTTTTTGCCACAGCCTAACCTAGTCTATTCTGACTAA
Source organism: Homo sapiens (assembly GCF_000001405.40). Classification (NCBI taxonomy): domain Eukaryota; kingdom Metazoa; phylum Chordata; class Mammalia; order Primates; family Hominidae; genus Homo; species Homo sapiens. The sequence continues at coordinate 19,020,134 of NC_000011.10, forward strand.
TAAAGTAACACATATATCTTTTGTACTAAAAAATTACTACCATTTTATAAAATATAATCAACTAAAGATGTACCATATGCAGAAAACTTTGTTAGAATTTCAGAAAAAACACATTTGTAATTAATCATTATTCTAAGATTGTTTTACAATGAAGATCAATTGTTTCAGTTAACAAATACTGATTTGTGATGCACAGATAACTGAATTATAGACTTGTAATATTGGAAGGGACCTCAAAATTTCTTTTTGCACACCTTATAAGTTCATATAGAGGTATATCTAAACCAGCCAATATGGTTTAGCCATTGTCTAAACCAATGGATTCCAAAGCCTTGATCATCAGAAATACCAGAACTTGAAAAAAAGAGACTCCTAAGTCACACTTCTGGAGTTTTGGTTAAGGAGATTTAAGACAGGACCTGGGAAATGGCATTTAAAAACTGCTATGTGATTTCCATCCCAGATAGATCTGGGAACCACTGGTTGAGAGGAAGACTTTCAAATGTTCATTACTTCAATTTAAACTTCACTTAGACTTTGTGTCGATGTCGATGTTGAGATCACTTTTGTAATTTCAGGTCAGGTGCTCCAGAAGCAGAATCCAAGGTGAGGAATCATATGCATGTGACTTGTTAAGGAGTGCCCTCAGGGGAAGCCTGTAAGGGAGTGGGGAAAAGAGGACAGGGAAGGGGACAAAAACTGGGCAGAAATATGATTTCAGAAAAGTCTAGCTTCAGCTGGCTCCTGTAGGCAGCCCTGAGTATAGACTGCACTGTAGATTTGTCCAGTTTGAGTCAGGTGAGCTGGGCTTCTGTACACTGCACATATTGGTCAGTCATTAGCTCTAGGCAGCCTGGGTTGGGGGTAATGTGAACTGTGAGATCTCTCCAATCACCCAAGGACAATTCACTGGTGAGGTTACAAGCATGAGTTGTTAGCAGAAATTCAGTTGGCAGCTGGGGGTAAGTGTACCAAACTGGAAAAAAGGAATCCCTGGGGAAGGGGTCACCAACAGCATCTAGCTGACATCTACTGGATTCTATTCATGTGATTGTTTCCTGCCTCTTCTGCAGTGGATGCTCTCTAGTGGGTATTACTGTGATACAAAGGGCACAGTTCAGTGGTTCTTAAGATATTCACGGATTTGTGCAAATATCATCACACTTTAATTTTAGAACATTTTCATTCTAGAAAGAAACTTTGTACCCTTTAGTAATTATTTCCAATACCTGCTTCTCTTCCCCTTGTTCTGCCTCAGCACCAAGCAACCACTAATTTACTTTCTGTCCCTATGGATTTGTCTACTCTGGGCATTTCATAGAATTGGAATCATGTAATATGTGGTGTCTGGTATCTTTCACTGAGCAAAATGCTCTCAAGATTTATTTATGTTGTAGCATAATAATTAATACCTTATTTTTATCCACATTTTGTTTATCCATTCATTAATTGATATATATTTAGGTTGCTTCCAGTTTTGTCTATTACGGATAATGCTGCTATGAACATTTCTGCACGAGATTTATGTACACACGTATTTTCATATTTCAGATATTTCTCTTGAGTATCTGCTTAGGTGTGAAATTGCTGGATCATGTGGTAACTCTGTTTGGTGTTTGAGGAACTGACAAACGTTTCCACAGTGTTTGTACCATTTTGCATTCCTGCCAGGCATTTACGAGCGCTCCATATATCTTCTTTTTCTACCCCAGATGCCTCTAGTACCATGGGATCTTTGGGTCATGTGGCTCAAGTGACAGAGTTGTTTGTACTGCAGACTAAACCTGCTACAGGGCCTTTTTCTTGCTTCGGGTTCCCCTCAAAACTGGCATCCTTGCACATCACTCAATAAATGAGTCATCTCAGTATTTTCCAGTGTGAACTATTCTGCCTTCAAACTCCAAAGAGACTGACCAAACCTTGAGTTTTTTTCTTGGCGGTAGGGGGTACAAGGTGCCATATCTTGTCTTTTACTTTGAAGAAGACCTCAAAGTAAAAGTAAACTGAAGCAAACTGCTTCTGAACCTCCTTCCTGATGTATTTTTAAGTAATACGTTTGCCAGATCAGAAGCAATACCATACACCCAAGGTCATGTTGCTATGGTTGTTACTATGGTCAGCAGCTGTGGTTGTTACTATGATTTGGTAGTTGTCAGTAGACCACTGTCATCTGCAATATCCATTTGCTTTTTACAAGAGTCAGACCAGTGAAAATAGCATGTCATTGAGACAACAACTGGTGCATCATTTAAATTGTTGCAGGTAGTACCAATATCAGTCACTACCCCTGGAATGCAATGTTATTTTTTACTACTTTGACCAGAAGAGGGTATAAATTCAGGGGCTTCCACTTAGTCTTTCACACTATAGTAGTATTCATTTCATGGTCAAGGAACCAATATGAAGCTTTTGCTGACTGCTAAGTAAGTCCATACCAATGATACATTTCAGAACTGGAGAGATGACCACTAGTAGATTTGTGGACCTAGTGGCTCAGACAGATCTGACCCAAGACTCAATTTGTTTCTTAATTCCATGTGCCACTTCACTAACAGGGTGATGATGGTGCTTTGTGTCCCTAGGTTTCTGTGTCAGCTCAAATGAGAAATAATAGCCCTCATTAGATCTAGGTATTCTCCTTTATCCAAATACTGGCACTATAGTTACCAAAATACTGGCAATAGGTCTCTTCAGGGAAGGACTAGAGGAATCACTATTACACAGTGGTATTTCAGGGCCCTTCCTTAAGTGGACTTAGCTTCTCTTTCTCTAAAATAAAATGTAGATTATTTTAAACTTTTTTCTTTTGAAATGATTTCAAAGTTACAGAAAAGTTACAACAATAGTTCTAAAAAATCTTGTACACCTTTCTCTCAAAAACCCCATTCAGATTTCAAGAATATCCTTTATAACTTAAAGATCTGGTCCAGAATCACATATTGCATTCACTTTTTGTGTCCCTATGGTCTTCTTCAATCTGCAGCAGCTCGTCAGTGTTTCCTTAATTTTCATGACCTTGATATTTTGTTGAAAATTATAAGCCAGTCATTTTGTAGAATGTCCCTCAACCTGGTTATGTCCAGTATTTCCTCATGGCTAGACCTGGGTTATACATTTTGGCTAGAATACCACAAAAATGATGCTGTGTTCTCATTGCATGCTACATGATGTGAATTCATCCCACCATCAGTGGCATTAACTTCATCACTTGATGAAAACGGTATCTGCCGTGTTTCTCCACTATTGTTATTTCCCTCCACCCCTACTTTGTAAGTACGAATTTTGCAAGGAAGTACTTTGAGACTATAATAGATACCATTCCTCACCCCCATTTCAACCCACTGGTTTTAGCATGCATTGATTTTTCTTGCCTGAATTAACTGTTATTCTAATGGTTGCCAAATGTTGAAATCAGGGCATTCGAGTAATTGAGGTAATTGAGAAAAAGATGATTCTTCCCTTTTCATGGTTTACTGGGCTTCTTTATTTTGAAGGATGTAGTCATTCATTGGATAATTTTTACATTTATTTTTGCATACACTGTATTCCTGTGTGTGTTCAGTGAAGGAATGCAGTTCAGTGAACACACACAGGGAATATAGTCTATGCAAAAATAAACAGTCTTGCTATTCCTTTAGCTTGTACTTCAGCTAATCTTAAATAACAGATTTCCTTGAATGCAGGAGGTTAAAAAAAAGAAAAGCAACAAAATTGGAACAAAAGAAAGCAATGTCTCTCCCAACCCAACCCTGCGAAAAGAACACCTCTTCTAGTTTTTGCAGATTGGCCCTGTGTTGTGTTCTTCTTCAACCTTTAGCAAGACTTGCATTGAGCCTATGGATTCAGACTGAAGTGAAGGCTTACAGTCTTCTCAGATGTTTTCTGAGCATGAATCTTGCCCTGAACATGAACATGACTTTTGAAATTTCTCTATAAACCTGAGTGCTTTTGAATGTCCTAATTTCCCAAGGAATGTTCCCCCAGCTTTTCCTCCTGGGTTTTAGGTGATTTATTGCATGTCTTGACCCACAGTCCTTTGCTCCAAATGTCCTGGGATTACTGGTTCACCTTGCAGCATTTTTGAGCAATATCTGCAGCTTTTTTGGCTTGAGTTCAATGATGGGTAAGAAAGAGACGAGTGAGATCAATGAGGGGTAAGAAAGAGACGAGTACCTTGCTTTGGGTAGCTCCTACACAAGTTAGATCACACATTCATATTAATTTTCAAATGGAGTCTGCACTGCTGTCTTTGGAACAGGGTCTTAGGTGCCACAATGAAACAGGGGCTGCTGTCACTTCAAACTGTGCTGTGATGGGAAGGATGTGGAGCAGATGAGTAAGAAAGCCACAAAGCGTTCCTAGCATTTTCATGTTTCCTTTTTCTTGATTCAGCATTCTCTTGGTTGCTGTAAACATTTGACTAGTTTCTAGAGTTCCAAAAAAGTTGTTTTGGACAGTTCTTGCTTGCTTTTTGATGTTTCTGTGAAGGTAAGCTTGGGGCTTCTACTCCCACATTTTACTGACATTACCCCTTGAATAAATCATTTATGTAAGAAAATTTAGGGAATTTTTTTTACAAAACAATAGGTCTCTAGAATTTATCCCATCTTACTGAAACTTTGTACACTTTGACCAAAATCTCCCCATTTCTGCCCCCCAAGCCCCAACCTCTGGTAACCACAATTATACTCTGTTTATAAGAGTTTGACTCTTTCTTTTAGTTCCAGGAAGTACAAACTTTATGATGGATATAAGAAGGTGATGGATGTTCTTCATTCACCCTTAAGGTCTATTTGCTGTTCTTCTCTAGCACAATTAACAACCCAGTGGGACACATTTCCGTACCTCATCAATGGGCTTCCTTTCCCTGTGGCTCCTTGTAAAGTTCAGTTAAAGGCGAACACTGATGAGATTGGAGGGCAGGATGTGAGGTATATGGGGATTGTTCATCTATCTCCTGGCTCTCTCCCTGCTAGGCTATGAATTGACAGTGGCAGTGTTACTTTACCTCATGGCATAGTCCCTGCCTGTTGTCACTTTCTATAGCTACAGCTATATCTACAGTCACAGCTACAGCCCTCTGAATTCTTGATAGCTGCTCCTTCTTCTTATTTCTTCAGTCTTGTAGTAAAACTCCTCCCAATTAATTGCCTTTGGGTTTTTATCTCTCTTAAGAGGTGCTTGACCAGTCCATTTTTGTAAATAGTGCTTTAATTAAACTCTTTTCATTTATTTCAGTTTGGACCCTGCATTTCATGCCAGGGCACTGCCAGATATACAAAAAGGAAAACTTTTGAAAAGCAAGGAAATCAGTGAAATCTGGGTTATTAACAGCGTTTTAGCTTTGAGAAACATGCATGTGCCCCAGCTTGCCTCTTTAAATTAAGGAAAACATCAGATTCATCACCATGACAGCAAATTAGTGTGGTTTGATGAAGAGAATGGTGAGAGTGTGCAATAAGGGGGCACAGTCCTGTTTTTGAGCATTCAGCTCTCCCACTGTCAAGCCTGCCAGCTCCCAAAGTTGCCAGGAGTGAGCGTCATGTCTCCTGTCTTTTCCTACTGGAGCCCCTATTGCTCCCTGAATATGCCATGCCAAGGTAGAGTTATGTGAATGTTCACTAAGAGGAAAAACATAATAATGGCTTTGGAAATAAGCTCAATAAATTCTAACATCTCCTTTATTCTCCTTGCTGGAGGTGGCAGGCTGATCTGTGTTCAAGACAGTGACAAACTGCAATTGACAGTTGCTAGAGGGCACTTCTCTGACCTACGGAGGTGCCTGCAGTAGTTGAAGGGAAGCCTGGTGCTTATCAAAGTACTGGACAGCCCTGTGATTTCCTGTGCAGGGATCTGCTGGCAAATGAGAGTGCAGAGTCGTTTGAGTCATGACCTCTCACGAGATGTGTCTCACCATTTAGTCTCACTCTATTCTTGTCTTTGAACTTCTGCCAATCCCTGCCTGCATCCAATTCCTGTTGCTGTAAATGATGGTTGTTTTGGAGTCTTTTGCTGCTAACTGTGTGCATGACCAGCAATGCCAAGCAATGTGAGCCTGTGCTGGGAGAGTTTATAACTAAGAATAAAGCACACCCTCCTCATTTGTCACTCAAGGCCCTCTGTGGCCTGTCCCACCCTTTTTCTTTATCAAAGTAGTAACGTGTCCATGTTTACTCTGTCTTTCCAGAGCACAGAAATTGTATTAATTCATTCCTGCACTGCTATAAATAACTACCTGAGGGAGGTAATTTATAAAGAAAAGAGGTTTAATTGGTTTATGGTTCCTCAGGCTGTACAGGAAGCATGACTGAGGAAGCTTCAGGACATTTTCAATAATGGTGGAAGGTGAAGCGGGCACTTCTTTCATGGCCGGAGCAGGAGGAAGAGAGGAGGGCTAGGTGCTACACACTTTTAAATAACCAGATCTTGTGATAACTTGCTCACTATCAAGAGAACAGCTCCAAAGGGAAAATCTGCTCCCATGATCTAATCACTAGCCACCAGGTCCCACCTCCAACACTGGGGATTACAATTTGACATGAGATTTGAGCAGGGACACACACCCAATCCATATCAGAAGTGTATCAAATACAAGGTCAAAGTCTTCCTAAATCCTGTTCTCTAGAAGCAACAACTTGTTAGTTTTTGTTGTTAAATCTTTCATTAGTTATGAATATAGCTTTGAACAGTAAATTTTATTACTCTGTTTAACATTTATCTGTGTTAACAGTTGGATAAATTGTCACCCCTTGTGAGATGTAAGGAAGTTAACCACACACTAGTCACACTCAGCTCTCTAGGAACAAGCATAGAGTGAGTGAAAGATGAATTCAACCAGATGGAGTTTTGTCTGGCAAGTTGGCAGAGGAAAGTGTGGCAAGGAGGTGGAGGGTATGTGCAAGGTAGTGATTACAAAAATGGGGTGTGAAATCTAAAGTTAGCAATGGTGACAGTGGGGAAGCCAAGGTCAATGAGTCATGTTGGGTGAAGATACTGGAGGCTGAGATGGTGTGCAAGAGTTGAGGCATTCGGGAAAATAAGTTGTACAGATTAGAGTTGAGGGGAAGGCAGTGCGATTTTGAAACTGAGATTGTGGAGGTGATGCCATTGGGGGTTATGACAAGATCTAAGCCTGGATGGTTAGAATGGGGTAGGTGACAAGATTAAAGGAAGGAGGTGTTTAGGAGATGGAAAGCTTAGGATGTTGGATTGCCATCTACAAGGACATTGGAGTCATCACGAATGAGGACAGGGTGATGCTGGAGAAGTCTATAAACTGGCTACTTAGGACAGAAAATATAAACGTTCACATACCCACCCTGCAAATTATTAAGCATATATTAAAAATGTGTCATATTTGTCACCAATTTCTCTTTAAAAATGAATAAATAAAACTACAGATACAACAGATGCTCCAACCTTGCATTGCTTCTCTCTGTGGCTCTTCAAAGATTTTGAAATTGATGGGCATTATTCTGCCCATCAGAATAATGGAAGTTAACAATCCAATTTCATCTAAATAAGAAGATAGTGGAAGTTAATCCAGTTTTGATAACTGGAAGTTAACAATCCCATTTTATCTAATGTGAAGATACTATCAAAAATATATTTCAAAAGCAGTGCTGTATGACATGTACAATTTTAAAATAAAGTTGCTAATTTATTTTAAAATTCTTACCTTAAAAATTCTTTTTAAAATTCTTATTTTAAAATTGGTTACCCAACTCTCAAGACATCATCTACATCAGGGTATAAAAAGATTAAGAGTTGAATTTTTATGGTAGGAGAAAAATGTTGTATTTAAAATAAAATGAGTCATCTCTCCCTCTCTCATTTTGGCCTTGCATTACAGGATTCTTTATGATGGACAACATCTTCAGCCACAGCTGTACAATTGATGGTAGATTCCCAGGGCTGACTCATAATAATTCTTAGTCTGAACTGGTGACATCACATCAAGGCACCATGCCTACTGCATGGGCTACAAACACTGTCTTCCTACTTCTTCCCTCCTGTAGGAAGCCCTCACCTATAGCCAAGACCTACGACAGCATTTGGAAGTCAAGGGTGTATGTATAGGATACAGAGTCAACAGAGTACTGAACCTGGAAGAATATCAAATCTGGAGTCAGAAAACTGATATTGTGTTTTTTTTCTTTTTAGCCTGGCCTTGAAATCTCTCTCTGAAGAGAGTGGTAATGAACTCTAGTCCTGCCCTGATGTGACTCAGGGACTGTGGTCATGGCTGTTTACAGTGTGCCTTTCAAGTAATGCTTCTTTATCCTGGCAGATGGCCTAATGACTAAGTGTCTGACCCACAACCAGGTATTCCTCGCACAGGAAACTTGTTTATACTGGCAGACACCCTTGTGGCTTTTGTATTATCTGTGTCCAGTTTACTTTTTCCAAGATAGTCACTCTCTCTCTTTTTTTTTTTTCTTTTTTTGAGACAGAGTCTTGCTCTGTTGGCCAGGCTGGAGTGCGGTGGCATAATCTTGGCTCACTGCAACCTCCGCCTCCCAGGCTCAAGCAATTCTTCTGCCTCGGCCTCCCAAGTAGCTGGGATTACAGGCGTGTGCTACCATGCCCAGCTAATTTTTGTATTTTTAGTAGAAATGGGGTTTCACCATGTTGGCCAGGCTGGTCTTGAACTCCTGACCTCAGGTAATCCACCTGCCTCGGCCTCCCACAGTGCTGGGATTACAGGTGTGAGCCACCGCTCTCAGCCAAGATAGCCACTCTCTAGGACAGCCCTGACCAGGAAAGGAGTTAGGTTCAAGTGTATTGGTCAGGTAAGACAGAGGAGGTAACTCAACAAAACACCTACAATAACAGAGGTCATTTATTACTTCCAGATCCCAGAGAGAAGAGGGCTGCATGCCTCACAGGGCCAATGTGAAGTGGGGATCCATCTGGGACATGAGCATGCTATCATTGGCGGCAGGGGGCAGCGGGGAGGCAGAGGGAGTAGAATGATGATTACCAGAGGCTGGGAGGGGTAGTGGGAAGTGGTGGATGAAGAGGGGTTGGCTAATGGGTATAAATATATGGTTAGAAGGAATAAGATCTAGTGTTTGGTAGTACAATAGGGTGACTATAGTTAACAAAATTTTATTGTATTTTTCAAAATAATGGAGTGGAATTGGAATGTCCCTAACACAAAAAGTTAGATGCTTGAGGTAGATACCTCAATTACCCCATTTGATCATAATACATTGTATGTTTATATTAAAATATCACATATGCCCCATTATATGTACAACTCTTATGTAGCCAAAATAATTAAAATTTAAGTAGATTGAAAAAAGTAAAAGATCCAGAGGAGATAATATAAGAAATTTATTCGTATCATAGAGATATTCTACTTTGGGACTAATGATTTCTCTGAGAAAAACTAGAAAAGCCACATTAAATATATCTATTTGAAGACATTGAAGAATAACTGAGGCACTTTGGCGGCATGAGGCTGAGAGAAGAGCAGGTAATTGTCAAGTCTGGCAGGGCAGTGTTTACTGTCAAAGTCACATCTGACTGACCAAGGCAGAGGCTTTTCCTCACTGCCTCAGTCTGCTTCCCGACAGCTTCAGGGTTTCCTGAACAAGTCTGCCTCCACCTTCATATACTTCAGCAGTGTCCTGCAGAGCCCTCTGGAGAACCAGCTTGAGGATCTTCCCATATTGATACTACCTAAAGGAGCCAACAAAGAAAGCAAATAATAGGGTTGGTGCAGCTGCTAGCAAGTCAAGATAAACACAATGCAATCAAGACAAAAGAATGAATTGTAGTCAATTTGAACCCACAACCCAAGAAACAATTGAACACCAGCAGGTAGGCTGCAGAAGTGGAAGACTAGGACCAGAAGCAGGTTGTCACATAAGAGCCTGGTCAGCTGCAGCACCTGCAGCCACACAGGAGTCTGACCAGTAGGGACAGGCTGGACCCAGAGAGAACACATGGTAATGAAATAAAGTGCCAGAAACCAAGCAAAATTAGAGTACCCCAAAAGAAGCTACAGTAGTTCCTTTCAAGGATGCTCAGCAGCAGGGACAGGACCAAGATGCCACATATGACAGCTGACTTCTGTCTCAGGTGGTGGTAACAGTATACCAGATGCACCACAGTACGGACTGCAGTGCTTGGTGCTAATGGCACTGAGCATGCCTAGACTCGTAATGTAAAAATAAGTTATCATAGTGATACAGAAGTAGGGGATGGAGATGGAGATGGGGTGGAAGGAGCTGATGAGTTTCAGCAGGGAATCTAAAATCTGGCAGCAGGAAAGAGGAAGTCTCTCTATGCTAGTTTTCATTTTCTTTCCAATTGACACAGATGTGTGTCAAAAGGTGAAAGTCTTTTGGTTTATCTTTCCATAAGTTATTCGGATACAGGTGGTATTTGGTTACATTAGTAAGTTCTTTAATGGTGATTTGTGAGATCCTGGTGCACCCATCACCCAAGCAGTATACACTGCACCATATTTGTTGTCTTTTATCCCTCGCCCCCCCAACTCTTCCCCGCAAGTCCCCAAAGTCTATTGTATCATTCTTATGCCTTGGCATCCTCATAGCTTAGCTCCCACATATCAGTGAGAACATACAATGTTTGGTTTTCCATTCCTGAGTTACTTCACTTAGGATAATAGTCTCATTCAGGTCACTGCAAATGCTGTTAATTCACTCACAAGGTGAAAGTCTTATTGAATTCTAGTCTCCAGAACCAACAACTTGCTTCAGTTGTTCTTTTATTAGTTATTATGTTAAACTGTTTTATTAATTCTGATTATAGATTAATGTTATATATTAATGTTGTATTATATGTTAACGTATATTTTACTAGTTAATATTATAAATATTTGTGTAGATTGTTAATATAGGTTATGTAAACATAATTATAAATTTGAGCAGTAAACTTTTTATTTCTATTTTTAAAGTTTATCAGCATTAATAACAGGATCAACTGACTCCCTATATAAGATGTAAAGTGTTTAGGATATGACAGAGAATTTTGAATTATCGGATTGGAAATTTAAAATAACTGATTAATGTGCTAAGGATGCTAAGGGAAAGTGAACATTATGCGAGAGCAGACGAATAATATTAGCAGAGTGAAGAAAATTCTAAGAGGAAATGCTAGAAATTAAAAAAAAAAAACACTGTATTAGAAATGTAGAATGTCTTTGATGGGCTCATCAGTAGACTGGACCCAACATAAAAAAGAGTGAGCCTGAAGACAGGTCAATAGAAACTTCCCGAAAATGAAAAAGAGGAAAAAACAAAAAAACCGAAAGTGAAACAGAATGTTCACAAGTGGGGGACAAATATTAAAAAAGGATAGCAACACACATATAATAGAAATACTGAAGAAGAAAGAAAGAACAGATAAAATATATGAAGTAATAATCTCCAAAGATTTTCTAAAATTATTGACAGACACCAAATCACAGATCAGGAAGCTCAGAAAACACCAAGCAGGATAAATACCAAACAATCTATACCTCAGCATATGGTATTCAAACTGCAGAAAATCAAAGACAAGAAAATCTTTTATTATTATTATACTTTAAGTTCTGGGATACATGTACACAACATGCAGGTTTGTTGCATATGTATACATGTGCCAAGTTGGTGGGCTGCACCCATTAACTCATCATTTATATTAGGTATATCTCCTAATGCTATCCCTCCCCCCTGCCCCCACCCACGACAGGCCCCGGTGTGTGATGTTCCCCACCCTGTGTCCAAGTGTTCTCATTGTTCAGTTCCCACCTATGAGTGAGAACATGTGGTGTTTGGTTTTCTGTCCTTGTGATAGTTTGCTCAGAATGATGGTTTCCAGCTTCATCCATGTCCCTACAAAGGACATGAACTCATCCTTTTTTATGGCTGTATAGTATTCCATGGTATCTATGTGCCACATTTTCTTAATCCAGTCTATCATTGATGGACATTTGGGTTGGTTCCAAGTCTTTGCTATTGTGAATAGTGCCACAAGAAACATACGTGTGCATGTGTCTTTATAGTAGCATGATTTACAATCCTTTGGGTATATACCCAGTAATGGGATGGCTGGGTCAAATGGTATTTCTAGTTCTAGATCCTTGAGGAATCGCCACACTGACTTCCACAATGGTTGAACTAGTTTACAGTCCCACCAACAGTGTAAAAATGTTCCTATTTCTCCACATGCTCTCCAGCATCTGTTGTTTCCTGACTTTTTAATGATCACCATTCTAACTGGTGTGAGATGGTATCTCATTGTGGTTTTGATTTGCATTTCTCTGATGGCCAGTGATGATGAGCATTTTTTCATGTGTCTTTTGGCTGCATAAATGTCTTCTTTTGAGAAGTGTCTGTTCATATCCTTTGTCCACTTTTTGATGGGGTTGTTTGATTTTTTCTTGTAAATTTGTAGTTCTTTGTAGATTCTGGATATTAGCCCTTTGTCAGATGGGTAGATTGTAAAACTTTTCTCCCATTCTGTAGGTTGCCTGTTTACTCTGATGGTAGTTTCTTTTGCTGTGCAGAAGCTCTTTAGTTTAATTAGATCTCATTGGTCAATTTTGGCTTTTGTTGCCATTGATTTTCTTGTTTTAGTCATGAAGTCCTTGCCCATATCTATGTCCTGAATGGTATTGCCTAGGTTTTCTTCTAGGGTTTTTATGGTTTTAGGTCTAAAATTTAAGTCTTTAATCCATCTTGAATTAATTTTTGTATAAGGTGTAAGGAAGGGATCCAGTTTCAGCTTTCTACATATGGCTAGCCAGTTTTCCCAGCACCATTTATTAAATAAAGAGTCCTTTCCCCATTTCTTAAGACAAAGAAAATCTTGAATGAAGGCAGAGAGGAAATACCTTACCTACAGAGGAGCAAGGATAAGAATAACACTAGACTTCTCTTCAGAATTCTTGCATGCAAAAAGGGCATGGCATGAAATATTTAAAGTGTTGAAAGAAAACAACCACCAACTTAAAACTGTACCTAGTGAAGTCATCCTTTAGAGGAATAAAAAGGGCTGTTTCAAACAAACAAAAATTGATGACGTTTGTTTCAGTAGACCTGCCGTGCAAGAAAGGTTAAAGTAATTCTTCAGAGAAAAGGAAACTGATACTGATCAGAAACTCAGCCCTACATGAAGAAAGAACTTTCAAGAAGGAATAAATGAAGGTAAAATATTTTTTATATCTTGTTCTTAACTAGCAAGTAACAGTTTGTTCAAAATAATAATAGTAACAATATTGGATGATTGTAGTTTATATAGTATGTAAGTGAAAAATGTATGACAGCAATGTTAGAAGACAGCAGAGAGAGGAATTGAAAATATCATATGGTACCCACACTATTCATGAAGCAAAAGTGGACTTAGAGTAGTTGTGAATGTATATTATAAATTCTAAGGCAATCACTAAAATAAACTTTTAAAAGAAGTGTAATTGATACACCGAGAGAGAAAAGAAAAAGGAATCATAAATTGCTCAGTTAAAACAAGAGAGGGCAGAAAAAGAAGTGAGGAGAGAAAGAGAGAACAGGAGCAATGAATAGAATTCAATTACATATCTGGTAGATATCAATCCAACTGTATCAATAATCACTTTAAATGTGAATGGTTTAAATATCAATTTAAAGAAAGGGTCTATAAGAGTAGTAAAAGGGCAACACCTAACTCTATGTTGTGTACAGAAACCAACTTCAAATATAATGACACAGTGGATTAAAATAAAAGATGAAGAAAGTGATGTCATACTAATACTAATTAAAAGAAGGTTATAGTAGCTATATTTATTTCAGACGAAGACTTCACAGCAAGGAAAACTATCAGGGATAAATAAGGGCAATGGCCCCATAATAAAGGGGTCAATCTTCCAATAAGATATAATAATCCTAAATTCATATGTGCCTAACAGCATAGCACCAAAATATCTGTGGCAAAAAACCAATAGGAAGGTAAGGGAAAATAGATACATCCACTATTAGCACTGGAGCCTTAACACCTCTCTTTCAGTAATTGAGAGATCCAGCAGGCAGAAAATCTTTAAGTATATATGTAATTGAATTGAACAGCACCATCAATCAACTGGATCTTGTTGATTTCCAACAGATTGATCCAATAACAGTAGAATGCATAGTCTCAAGTTTACATGGAACTTTCAAGATAAATCATATCCTAAGCTATGAAACACACCTTAACAAAATTAATATAAATATAAATCATACAGCATATGTTTTCATACAATGATACAGTTAACCCAGAGATCAATAGCAGAAAGACAGAAAATCCTCAAATTTGGAGGATTTGAGATTAAACAACACACTTCTAAAAATCACATGGGTGGCCGGGCACAGTGGCTCATGCCTGTAATCCCGGCACTTTGGGAGGCTAAGGCGGGCGGATCACCTGAGATGAGGAGTTTGAGACCACCCTGATCAACAGGGCGAAACTCTGTCTCTACTAAAAATACAAAAATTAGCTGGGCGTGGTGGTGTGAGCCTGTAATCCCAGCTACTCGGGAAGCTGAGGCAGGAGAATCACTTGAACTCAGGAGGCAGAGGTTGCAGTGAGCTGAGATTGCACCACTGGACTCCAACCTGGGGGACAGAGTGAGACTCTGTCTCAAAAAATAAAAATACAAAAATAATAAAAATCACGTGGGTTGAAGGAATCTCAAGAAAAATTTTAAAATATTAACTATATAAAAATAAAACATCAAAATGTGTGGAATGCAGCAAAAGCAGTTAATGAGTAAAATTAATAGCAGTGAAATCATGTAATTACAAAAGAAGAAAAAACTAAAATCAATGAGCTTCTACCTTAGGAAACTTTAAAAAAAAAGAGAGAGCAAATTAAGTGCAAAGTAAGCAGATGAAGAAAAAACAGATCAGAAATTAGTGAAATTAAAGATAGGAAATTAATAGAGAAAATCAATGTAACCAAAAGCTTTTCTTTGAACCTATCAATAAAATTGATATACCTTTGGCCAGCATAACCAAAGGGAAAAAAAAGACACAGATTATTAATATCAGAAAGAGGAGAGTATCACAAGTGATCCCATGGACATTAAAAGGACAATAAAGGAATACTATGAATAACTTTATGCCCACAAATTTGATAACTTGGATGAAATATAATAATTCATGAAACATGCATCTACTAACATTCACACAGAAGAAATAGATACTCTGAGTAGACCTATATCTATTTTAAAAATTGACTCAATAATAACCTTCCAAAACATAAAGCCCCAGGCCCAGATGTTTTCGCTGGTTAATTCTATTAAATATTGAAAGAAGAAATGATACTATTCTCTACAATCTCTCCCAGAAAATAGAAACAGAGTATTTCCTATCTCATTCTGTGAGGTCAGCATTACCTGAATACCAAAACCCGAAAGAGACATTACTAGAAAGAGCATCTGGCTTTTCATCTTTATGTGTGATGTTAGTTGCTGATTAACCATGTTTTAAATTTTTTTCTTTACTTTATTACACGTTGACATCTCAAAACCATGCAGACCTGGGAGATACTGCCCCTCCCCAGGTTAGGTAATTCTTACGTATAGAAAACTACTCCCATGAGAGCATTATTTTTATTTGTAAACCAACCAATCCTAAGCCTGTATCCCCAACCATCTCCTTTAAGAAGCTCCCACCCTCAAGCCAATATTCTTCTGCCCTAATCAACCAAGTCCAGATATTGGACAACATTACTAAAACTAAAATATTTGCTCTGCAAAAGACACTACACTCTTAACAGAATGAAAAGGTAAGCCATGAACTGGAGGAAACTGTTTGCAAAATACATATCTGAAAAGGACTAGTATCCAGATATACAAATAACATTTAAAATTCAACAATAAGAAAACAGACAACACAATTAAAAATGGGCAAAAGATCTCAATAGATTTTTTTACCAAAGAAGTTACAAAGATGGCAAACAAGCATGTGAAAAAATACTTACTGGGTTATGTCATTACAGTTATAAACAAACAAAAAAATGAGACACTACTACATACCTATTAGTGTTTGAACCTGAAATTTAAAACACTGACAACACTAAATTCTGGGGGAGATGTGGTGCAAGAGACATTTTTACGCATAGCTGGTTGGAATACAAAATAGTAAAGTCACTTAGGAAAACAGTCTACAAGCTTTTAATAAAGACAAAGATAGGCTTGTTATAAGACCTAGCAATCATGCTCCTAGATATTTATTCAAATGAGTTGAAAGCTTATATCCACACAAAAACCTACACAAAAATGTTTATGGCAACTTTAGTCATAATTACCAAAACTTAGGAGCAATCAAGATATCATTTAATAGTGAATAGAAAAACAAACTGTGGAATGTTTATAAATGAAGTGTTATTCAATAGAAAGAAAAAAGCTATCAAGCTATGAAAACATAAGGAAGCACTTTAAATGCCTATTGATAAGTGAAAGAAGCTAGTTTGAAAGAGCTACATACTGTGTAATTCCAGCTATATGACATCTAGAAAAGGCAAAACTATGGAAATAGTAAATAGGACAATGATTGCCAGTGGTTTGAGGATGGGGTGGTGGGGAAGAATGAATAAGTGGAATAAAAGTTGTTTTTAGGGCAGTGAAACTATTATGTACATTACTGTAATAGTAGATGCATGACATTCTGGATTTGTCAAAACCCATCAAACTGTACAATATAAAGAATAATCCATAATGTAAACTATGGATTTTAATTTATAGTAATACATCAGTCTTGGTTTATCAATTTTAACAAATGTACCACACTAACTCAAGATATTAAATATAGAAGAATGTATGGGGGTGGGGATAGGAAGAGAGAGTTTATGGAAACCATTTGTATTTTCTGTGCATTTTTTTGAAAACCTAAAAGTACTATAAAAAATACTGCATTAAAAATAAAGGGTGGCCAGGTGCAGTGGCTCACTGCTATAATCCCAGCACTTTATGAGGCCAATGCAGCCAGATCACTTGAGCTCAGGAGTTTGAGACCAGCCTGGGCAATGAGGTGAGACTCCATCTCTACAAAAAAAAAAAAAAAGAAAAATTAACCTGGTGTGGTAGCATTCACCTGTAATCCCAGTAATCCCAGCTACTTGGGAGGCTTAGGTGGGAGGATGGTTTGAGCCCAGGAGGCAAAGGTTGCATTGAGCCAAGATTGTGCCACTGCACTACAGCCTGGGCCACAGAGCTGGACCTTTTGAAAAAAAAAAAAAAAAAAAAAAAAAAAAGTCATCAACAACATGCAACATGGTGGAATAGGAGGCTCCTGACTATCCCTCCTCCCACTGACATACTGAGTAAACACTTACATATGGATCAGTTCAGTCCAAGAGAAAGATAGAATTTAGTTGAAAGACTACTACGCACCAGAATACTGAGAAAATTCCCACATCAAATTTGGTAGGAGAAGCAGAGATACACTTGTACACTAGCCCCACCTTGAGCACAGCACCTTACAATCAGGAAGGAATCTCCAACTCTCGGCTTCTTTCTGAGGGGCATGGGGTTGTACCACACATATGATGTACAACTTTTACAGTTCCTGCCTAAGGACTTGACCTTTAAATCACCTTGCTTGAGGAACAGCATGGAGAAAGATTTTCCTCAAACACAAAAAACAAGCAGAGTTTTGAACCGTGAAAACATTCCCAGCACCGATAGTCCCCAGGATCAACACATTTTCCAAAATCCCTCTAGAAAGAGTTGACTTCACACTTTTCTGGTAGTTCCCTGTGGTTCTGGCCTCTGACAAGCCAGTATCTCGGGGACTATGTAGCAAATAAAGAATACACGTACTCCAGCCTAAATGGCAAGGATGGCACCTTGTACCTTCTTCCTTGGCTTGCTTCAGTGATAATTCCCTGCAATTTCTCATTGTAAGGAGACAGAGGGAATGTCACCATGGCCTAAGGGGAAAGTGGGCACTCCCCACACCTTCTTCCCTGGATTACTCCAGCAATAATTCCAGCCCTGCAATCTCTCCATGGAAAGAGAGACTCTGACAACAAGAATGGGAAGGACTGGACTGCCTGTGCTTTCTTCCTCAGCTTGCTCCAGAAATATATCCCTTCAGTCTCTCATTGGAAGAAGGCTAGGGAACCTCCCCATGCCTAAAAAGGAAAGTGTGAACCCCTCGTGTCTTCTTCCTCGGCTTACTTCAGCAATAACTGCAATCCAGAAGTCTCTCTCTGAAAGGAGGGTGGGAGACTTCTGCTTGCTTAAACAGGAGAGTGAGCACTCCCTATGCCTTCTTCTCCAACTTGCTTCAGTGATAACTTCCAGCCCTACAGCCTCTTCCTAGAAAGAGGCTGGAGGTCTCTGCCAGCAGGAACAAGAGAGATGGCACCTTCCTGGCTTGCTCCAGCAAAATATCTAAATGTTCAGACTATCTCTGGTAGTATTTTCTGTGTGCATTGAGTGCCCCAAATTTTATAGCTCCTAACCAAGGGACTGGATCCTAAATCAGCTAGCTCTGGGAGTTGATGAGGCTCACACTCAGTCTCCTAGACTACAGAGAACAAAAAGGTAATTTCTAAACTGCAAACATTCAGCATCTGTCTCCCCATGTTCAAGGTGAGCATTTTGAAGAAGAGTATTGGCATCTGCCATGGATCCTCTTTTTGGTGTACAGCAGAACAAGTGGAAGATAAACTCTGGCACTCAGCTTCTCCACAGGAAAGAAGGAACCGGAACACACATCTAACACTCTAACTTCTCCAGCTGCATCCTGAGGGACTGGATTTTAACCCACCTCTCTCAAGGCAATAGACTCATTGGCACTTTGTAGTCTCTTGGGGCCACTAAGAACAAAGAGTGTATTAGACAATCCCAAACAGTTTAGAGGCACTTAGATCCTCTGGCAGAGCTTACTGGGGAGGAACAGTTTAACAAGACTGAGGGGAATATCTACATGAGACCAGTTTAACAAGTCTAAGGAAGGTTATTGTCTTATCTAAAGTGCAGACACCGATATAAAAAGTCAAGGAAAATGAAGAAACATGAAATACAGGTTCCAAATAAAAGAACAAGATGAATCTCCAAAAACCACTCTAATGAAATGGAGATATATTCTTTACCTGGCAGGGAATTCCAAAGAGCAAACATAAAGATGTTTACTAAGGTAGAGCAATGCATGAACAAAGAGAAAATTTCGACAAAAAGAAAACCTAAAAAGGTACCAAACAGAAATCATCAAGCTAAAGAATACAATAACCAAATTCAAAACTTCAACACAAGGATTCAACAGCAGACTAGATCAAGCAGAAGAAAAGATTAACAAACTTGAAGACTGCTACTTATAAATCATCCAATCTGAGGGGCAGAAAGGAAAAAATGAAAAAGTCACTTGTTATGTACAAGGGAACATATGTGAGACTATCAGTGGATTTTTTCAGCAGAAACTGCAGGCCAGAAGGAAGTAGGATGATGTATTTAAAAAGCTTAAAGAAAAAAATACCCTTGTCAATCAAAAATACTACACTCAGCAATTTTGTCATTAGAAAATGAAGAGGAGGTAAAAACTTCCTGAGGCAAACAAAAGCTGAGGGAATTTATCACCATGAGAACTACCTTATAAGAAATGTTGGGTGGAGCTGAGATGGCTGAATCAAGGCAGCTCCTCTCTGCTTCTCCCACCGAGAAGGACAAAAACTGGGAGTGAATGCTGCATCTTCAACTGAGGTACCAATGTCCTCTTATTGGGACTGACTAGATGGTTGGCGTGACCCACGGAGAGCCAGCAAAAACAGGGTGGAGCAAGACCCTACCCAGGAGCTGCAGGTGGCAAAGGGAACTCCCTCCCTCAGCCAAGGGAGATAGTGAGGGACTGTGTTTCCCCTCCCTGAAAACCAGGCTTTTCCCATGGATCCTTGCAACCTGCAGATTAGGAGGTCCCCTCCTGAGCCCCCGCTACCAGAGCCTTGGGTCCCAAGCATAAAGCTGTGAAGAATCATGGTGGCTACTTGGGTGGGTGGCCGCTTTGAGCAGACACTGAGACCCTAGAGTGTTTGCATACTCTGGCTCTGGGAACTCTCGTGAGGCAGGACATCCGTCCACTCTCGTGGGGAGGGGGTTGAAGCCAGGGAGCCAAGTGGCCTCACTCCCACGGAAGTCCACAAGCTGGGCATCGCTGCCGGCCAGTGCACCCAGCTAGAAACTGCCTAAGGAGACTGAGTTACCGAGGGGAGGGGTGGCCGCCATCACTGCAGCTCCAGTCAGCCACTTTTGCCAGCGAGGTAGGGAGGGACCCAGATTTACTCCTTCTCACTGGGTGGGGACTCCCTTTGGGAATCTCAGCATCCCCAGCCAGGGGTTTCTGGATGGAACACTGATCCCCCTGAGAAGAGCCCCTAAGAGGAGGAGGAGCAGCTGCGGTATTCTGGATCAGCCATCTTAGTCTTTTCTGCCTGCTGGCTCTGAAGAGCTAGAGGAGCCCAGGTGAGGGAGACTTCCCCGCAGCGCAGCATGCCCGCCCTGCCAAGGGGCAGATAGACTGCTTATTTAAGTGGGTCTCTGAACCTCCTTCTCCAGACTGGGTGAGTCCTCCCAACAGGAGTCTCCGGACATCTTATACAAGAGCGTTCCTGCCTGCATCAGGCCAGTGCCCCCCTGGGACAGAGCTCTCAGAGGAAGGAACAGGCTTCCATATTTGCTGGTCTGCAGCCTCTACTGGTGATATCTCCAGGGATAGGAGGGACCCAGGTGAATAGGGGCTGGAGTGGACCCCAAGCAAACCACAGCAGCCCTACAAGAAGAGAGGCCTGACTGCTAAAAGAAAAACAAACTGAATGCAACAACATAATGAAAAATAAACCCCATCACAAAAAACCCCATCCAAAAGTCAGCAGCCTCAAAGATTAATGGTAGATAACCCATGAAGATGAGAAAGAATCATTGCAAAAATGCTGAAAACTCAAAAAGCCAGAGTGTCTCTTCTCCTGCAAAAGATCACAACATGTCTCCAGGAAGGGCACAGAACTGGGCTGAGGCTGAGATGGATGAATTGACAGAAGTAGGCTTCAGAAGATGGGTAATAACAAACTTCACCAAGCTAAAGGATTATGTTCTAACCCACTGCAAAGAAGCTAAGAACCATGATAAAACATTACAGGAGTTGTTAACCAGAATAACCAGTTTAGAGAGGAACATAAATGACCTGATGGAGCTGAAAAACACAACACAAGAACTTCATAATGCAAACACAAGTATCAATAGCCAAATAGACCAAGTGGAAAAAAGGATATCAGAGCTTGAAGACTGTCTTGCTGAAATAAGGCAGGCAGATAAGATTAGAGAAAAAAAGAATGAAAAGGAATGAACAAAACCTCCAAGAACTATGGGATTACGTTAAAAGACCAAACCTATGACTGATAGGGATACCCGAAAGAGATGGGGAGAATGGAACCAAGTTGGAAAACATATTTCAGGATATCATCCAGGAGAACCTCCTTAACCTAGCAAGATAGCCCAATAGTCAAATTCAGGAAATCCAGAGAACCCCAGTAAAATACGCCATGGGAAGATCAACCCCAAGACACATAATCATCAGCTTTCCAAGGCCAAAATGAAAGAAAAAAATGTTAAGGGCAGCCAAAGAGAAGGGTCAGGTCACCTATAAAGGGAGCCCATCAGACTAACAGCAGACCTTCAAGCAAGAACTCTACAAGCCAGAAGAGATTGGGGGCCAATTTTCAACATTCTTAAAGAAAATAATTTCCAACCTAGAATTTCATATCTGGCCAAATTAAGCTTCATAAGTGAAGGAAACATAAAATATTTTAAGACAAGCAAATGCTGAGGGAATTTGGCACCACCAGGCCTGCCTTGCAAGAGCTCCTGAAGGAAGCACTAAACATGCAAAGGAAAAACCCTTACCAGCCACTGCAAAAAATACACTGAAGTACACAGACCACTGACACTATGAAGCAAATACATAAACAAGTCTGCAAAATAACTGACTAGCATCATGATGTCAGGATCAAATTCACACATAACAATATTGACCTTAAATGTAAATGGGCTAAATGCCCCAATTAAAAGACATGCAGTGACAAGCTGGATAGAGTAAAAATCCATCAGTGTGCTGTATTCAAGAGACCCATCTCACATGCAAAGACACACGTAGACTCAAAATAAAAGTATGGAAGAAAATTTACCAAGCAAATTTTGCTTGGTAGCAAAATTTACAGAAAAAGCAGGAGATGCAATCCTAGTTTCTGACAAAATAGACTTTAAACCAACAAAAATCAAACAAGACAAGGGAATTACCTATCACTAAAGGGGTCAATTCAACAAAAATAGCTAACTATCCTAAATATATATGCACCCAATACATCCACACCCAGATTCATAAAACAACTTGTTAGAGACCTACAAAGAGACTTAGAATCTCACACAACAATAGTGGGAGACTTTAACACCCCACTATCAATATTAGATCATTAAGACAAAAAATTAACAAAGATATTCAGGACTTGAACTCAGCTCTGGATCAAGTAGACCTGATAGATATCTACAGATATTTCCACCCCAAAGCCACAGAATATACATTCTTCTCAGTGCCACATGTCACTTACTCTAAGGTTGATCACATAATTGAAAGTAAATCACACTTTGGCATATGAAAAAGAACTAAAATCATACCAAACAGTCTCTCAGACCACAGCGCAATCAAATTAGAACTCAGGAGTAAGAAACTAACTGAAAACTACACAACTACATGGAAATTGAACAATCTGCTTTTGAATGATTACTGGGTAAATAGTGAAATTAAGGCAGATATCAAAACGTTCTTTGAAACCAGTGAAAACAAAGAGATAACATACCAGAATCTCTGGGATGCAGTTAAGCAGTGTTGAGAGGGAAATTTATAGCACTAAATGCCTACATCAAAAAGGTAGAAAGATCTCAAATTGACACCCTAGTGTTACAACTGAAAGAACTAGAGAACCAAGAGCAAAGAAACCCCAAAGCTAGAAGAAGACAAGAAATAACCAAGATCAGAGTGGAACTGAAGGAGATAGAGACATGAAAAATCCTTCAAAAAATCAATCCAGGAGCTGTTTTTTGAAAATATTAATAAAATAACTATTTTATTAATAAATAGACCACTAGCTAGACTAATGAAGAAAAGAGAGAAGAATCAAATACACACCATAAAAAAATGGTAAAGGAGATATCACCACTTACCCCCAAAATATGCAAACAACCATTACAGAATTCTATTAACAGCTCTATGCAAATAAAGGAGAAAATCTAGAAGAAATGGATAAATTCCTGGACACATATACCCTCCCAAGAGTGAACCAGGAAGAAGTGGAATCCCTGAATAGACCAATAACAAGTTCCAAAATTGAAGCAGTAATAAATGGCCTACCAACCAAAAAAAGTCAATGACCAGATAGATTTACAGCTGAATTCTATCAGAAATACAAAGGGGGCTGATTCCATTTCTTATGAAACTATTCCAAATAATTGAAAAGGAGAGACTCCTCCCTAACCCATTCTATGAGGCCAGCATTATCCTTCTACCAAAACCTGGCAGAGATACAAAAGAAAAGAAAAGAAAAGAAAACTTCATGCCAATATCCCTGATGAACATCAATGCAAAAATTCTCAATAAAATACTGGCAAACCAAATCCAGCAGCACATCAAAAAGCTTATCCACCATGATCAAGTTGCCTTCATTCCTGGGATGCAAGGCTGGTTCAACATATGCAAATCAATAAGCGTAATACATCACGTAAATAGATCTGAAGACAAAAACCCCATGACTATCTCAATAGACAAAGAAAAGGCCTCGATAAAATTCAACATCTCTTCATGTTAAAAACTCTCAATAAACTAGATATTGAAGGAACATACCTCAAAATAATAAGAGCCATTTATGACAAACCCACAACCAATATTATACTGAAGGAACAAAAGCTAGAAAATTCCCCTTGAAAACCAGCACAAGACAAGGATGCCTTCTCTCACCACTGTGATTCAACATAGTATTGGAAGTTCTGGCCACAGCAATAAGGCAAGAGAAAGAAATAAAGGGTATTCAAATAGAAAAGAATGAAGTCAAATTGTCTTTGTTTGCAGATGACATGATCCTATATCTAGAAAACCTCATTGTCTTAGCCCCAAAACTCCTTAAGCCAGTAAGCAACTTCAGAAAAGTCTCAGAATACAAAATCAATGTGCAGAAGTCACAAGCATTTGTATACAGCAACAACATGCAAGCAGAAAGCCAAATCATGAATGAATTCCCATTCACAATTGCTACAAAGAGAATAAAATACCTCGGAATACAGCTAACAAGAGAAGTGAAGGACCTCCTTAAAGAGAACTACAAGCCACTGCTCAAGGAAACCAAAGAGGACATAAACAAATGGAAAAGTACTCCATGCTCATGGATAGGAAGAATTAATATTGTGAAAATAGCCATACTGCTCAAAGTAATTTATAGATTCAATGCTATTCCCATCAAACTACCATTGACATTTCTTCACACAATTAGAAAAAACTATATTAAAATTCATATGGAGCCAAAAAAGAGCTTGTAAAGCTGACAATCCTAAGAAAAAAGACCAAAGCTGGAGGCATCATGCTACTGACTTCAAACTATACTATAAGGCTACAATAACAAAAACAGCATGGTATCGGTACAAAAACAGACACATAGGCCAATAGAACAGAATAGAGAACTCAGAAATCAGATCGCACATCTACAACCATCTGATCTTCAACAAACCTGACAAAAACAAGCAATGAGGAAACGATTCCCTATCTAATAAATAGTGCTGGGAGAACTTGCTATCCATTTGCAGAAAATTGAAACTGAGGCCCTTCCTCCCACCTTACACAAAAATTAAAGATGGATTAAGACTTAAATGTAAAGTATAAAAACCCTAGAAGAAAATCTGGGCAATACCATTCAGGACTTTGGCATGGATAAGGATGATAAAATCACTAAAAGCAATTGCAACAAAAGCAAAAATTGACAAGTGGGATCTAATTAAAGAGCTTTTGCACAGCGAAGAAACTATTATCAGAGTGATATGCAAACCTACAGAGTGAGAGATAAATTTTGCAGTCTATCCATCCAACAAAGGTCTAATTTCCAGGATCTACAAGGAGCTCAAATTTACAAGAAAAAAACCCCAACAACCCCATTAAAAAGTAGGCAAAGGACATGAACAGACACTTCTCAAAAGAATACATTCATGCAGCCAACAAACATGAAAAAAGCTCAACATTACTGATCATTAGAGAAATGTAAATCAAAACCACAATGAGATACCACCTCACACCAGTCAGAACAGCCATTATTAAAGTCAAGAAACAACAGATACTGGTGAGGTTCTGGATAAATAGGAACACTTTTACACTATTGGTGGGAAGGTAAATTAGTTCAACCATTGTGGAAGATGGTGTGGCAATTACTCAAAGATCTAGAACCAGAAATACCATTTGACCCAGCAATGCCAATACTGAGTATATACCCAAAGGAATATAAATCATTGTATTACAAAGATACATGCATGTGTATGTTCATTGCAGCACTATGCACAATAGCATAGACATGGAATCAACCCAAATGCCCATCATTGATAGACTGGATAGAGAAAATGTGGTACATACACACCATGGAATACTATGCAGCTAGAAAAAGGAATGAGATCATATCCTTTGCAGGGACATGGATGAAGCTGGAAGCCATTATCTTCAGCCAACTAATGCAGGAACAGAAAATCAAACACTGCATGTTCTCACTTATGAGTGGGAGCTGAACAACAAGATCACATGGACACAGGGAGGGGAACAACACACACTGGGGACTGTTGGGGGATGGAGTTGTGGAAGGGAGAGCATTAGTAAAACTAGCTAATGCATGCTGGGCTTAATACGTAGGTGATGGGTTGATAGGTATAGCAAACCATCATGGCATATGTTTACCTATGTAACAAACCTACACAGCCTACACATGTACCCCAGAAGTAAAAATTAAAAGAAAAAAAGAAAAAGTATTACATATAATATATTAAAAAACAAAATAAACCAAATAAACAAAAAAAGAAATGTTAAAGAAATTTCTTCAAGCTGAAGGAAAATGATGCTAAGTAGCCACATGAAAACACATAAAACATGAAGCTCACTGGTAAAAGTAAAGAATCAAATTCAAAACATTCAAATATGGTAATGATGATGTGAAATCAATAATACTTCTACATGTCAATTGTATCTAAGGTTGGAAGACAAAACAGTTAAAAACAATAGCTGCAATAATTTAGTTGTAAAACTTGATATCAAAAACATAAATTGTGTGGTAGGAATAAAAGTGTACAGATTGTGCAAGTGATCAAAGTTAAGTAGTTATCAGGTTAAAATAACCTCTTATTAGTTAAGATGTTTTACGTAAGTCTCATGGTAACCAGTAAAGCAAAAATCTTTACTAGATACAGAAAAAGATAAAAAGAAAGAAGTCAAAGCATACAACTACAGAAAATCATCAAACTACAAAGGAAGACAGCAAGAAAGAAAAAGAGATACAAATAATTTATAAATTAACTAAAAAATTAACAAAATGAAGGAATAAGTCCTTATTTATCTATATCTATATCTATATATATCTATATATTCAACATCAGCTCACCTAAATATATAAAGCAATGTAAAGGATCTTATTGGAAACATAGACTGTAATACAATAATAGAGAACTTCAATACCCCACTTTCAACACTGGACCGATGAAACAGAAAATCACTGGAAACAGCAGACTTGAACTACACTTTAGGTCAAATGGACCTAACATTAATTTACAGAACATTTCATCCAACAGCAGCAGAATATACATTCCCCTCTCAAGCATGCCAGGAATGTTCTCCCAGGATAAATGATGTATGTTAAGCCACAAAGAAAATCAGCAAATTTAAGAAGATTGAAATCATATTAAATATCTTTTCCAGTTACAATGGCATGAAACTAGAAATCTGTAACAGGAAGTACCTTGGAAAATTCACAAATATGTGGAAATTAACAGGCTTCTGAATGGTCAATGAATCAAAAGGAAAATTTAAAATATCTTGAGGCAAATGAAAATGAAAACACAATATTCCAAAACTTATGGGATGCAGCAAAAGTAGTCTTGAGAGAAAATTTTACAGAAATAAATACCTATCAAAAAAGAAGAATGATCTCAAATAAACAAGCTAATGTTATACCTGAAATAACTAAAAAAAGAAGAAAGTAAGCTCCAACTTAGCAAAAGGAATGATATAACAAAGATCAGTGCAGAAATAAAATAGACTACAAAACAATAGAAAAGATAAAAAACTAAAGTTTTTTGAAAAGATAAGCAAAATTGTCAGATTGTTACCAAGACTGAAAGAAAAAAGGAAAGAGTAATCAAAATAAATCACAAATAAAAGAGTAGACATTACAACAGATACCACAAAAATATAAAAGAACAAAGACGACTATAAACAATGATATATCAACACATTGAATAACCTAAAAGAAATGGATGTATTTCCAAAAATTAGCCAGGCATGGTGGTGCATGCCTGTAATCCCAGCTACTTGGGAGGCTGGAACAGGAGAATCGCTTGAACCCGGGAGGCAGAGGTTGCAGTGAGCCCAGTTCGTGCCATTGCACTCCAGCCTGGGTGACAAGAGTGAAACTCTGTCTCAAAAAAAAAAAAAAAAAAAAAAAAAGAAATGGATGTATTTCTAGAAACATATATCTACCAAAACTGAATCATGAAGACAGAAAAATCTGAACAAACCAATAATGAGTAAGAAAACTGAATCAGTAATCACCTAAACCTCTCAACAAAGCCCAAAGACTTCACTACTAAATTCTACTCACTATTTAAAGAATCAACACTAATCTTTCTCAAACTTTTCCAAAAAATTAAAGATGAGAGAATACTTCCAAACTCATTTTACAAGGCCTGCATTACTCAGATACAATAGCCAGACAAGGACAGTACAGGAAAACAAAAGTACAAGCCAATATCTCTGATGGACATAGATTGAAAAATTCTCAGCAAAATACTAGCAAACCAAATTCAGCAACATATTAAAGAGATCATTCACCACGATCAAGTGGGATTTCTCCATAGGATGCAAGGATGCTTCAACATATGCAAATTTATAAATGTGATACCATATTAACAAAATGAAGGCCAAAACCTCACAATTACCTGAATAGATGCAGAAAGGATTTTTTACGAAATTCAACATCTGTTCATGATTAAAGTTCCCAGTCAGATAGGTATAGAAGGAATGCACCTCAACACAATAAAGTACATATATGACAAGCCCACAGCTAACATCAAACTCAATGGTAAAAAATTGAAAGCTTGTCCTCTAAGAACAGGGACAAGACAATGATTTCTTTCTTGCCACTTCTATTCCATATAGTACTGCAAGTCCCAGCCAGAGCAGTTAGGCAAGAAAAAGAAATAAAAGGCATCTAAATAGGAAAGGAAAGAGTGAAATTGTCTGTTTGCTGGTGAAATGTAGAAAATACTAAGGATTCTCCCAAAACTGGCTAGAACTGATTCAAAAATCAATAAAGTTTCAGGTTACAAAATCAACATACTAAAATGAGTAGCAATGCTATGCGCTAATAATGAACTATCTGAAAAATAAGAAAACAATTTCAATTTACAACAGCATCAAAATTAAAATAATTAGAAATAAATTTAACCAAGGAGGTAAAAAATTTGTACACTGAAAATTATAAAACACTGATGAAAGAAACTGAAAACACACATAAATGGAATGATATCTCATGTTCATGGATTAGAAGAATTAATATTGTTAAAATGTCCATGTTATCCAAAGAGATCTACAAATTCAATACAATCTCTATCAAAATTCCAATGTTATTTGTTACATAAATAGAAAAAAAAACCTTAAAATTCTTATGAAACCACAAAAGCCCCAAATAGCCCAAGAAATCTTGAGAAAAAGAACAAAGCTGAAGGTATCAGACCCTCTGATTTCAAAATATATTATAATGCTATTGTAAAAAAAACAGCATGGTACTGGCATAAAAATAGACACATCAACCAATGAAACAGGATAGAAATTCCAGAAATAAACCCAAGTATTCATGGTCAATTGATTTTCAATAAAGGTGTGAATAATACACAATGGGGAAAAATAGTCTTTTCAATAAATTGTTTGGGAATACTGGATATCCACAGGCAGAAGATAAAATTAGACACTTATCTCTCACCACATACAAAAATTAACTCAAAATAGATTGAAGACTTAAATATAAGACCTGACTCTGTAAAACTACTGGAAGAAAACGGGAGAAAGCTTCATGACATTAGTCTGGACAACAATTTATTGGATAGGACCCAAAAAACACAGACAACAAAAGCAAAAATATACAAATGAGATTGCATCATACCAAAAAGCTGCTGCATAACAAAGGAAACAACAGAGTGAAAAGACAACCCATGAAATGGAAGCAAATATATGCAAACCTCTCTCTATTGCAGAGTAGGATAACTAGAGTAAACAATAATGTATTGTATATTTTAAAATAACTAGAAGATAGATTTTTGAATGTTTTTAAGGTGTGTTTTAAGGTGTGTTAAACACAAATGTGTTTAAGGTGATGGATATGCCAATTATCCTGATTTGATCATTACACAATTTGTACAAGTATTGAAACATCATGTTGTATCCCATAAATGTGTACAATTATTATGTGTTAGTCATATGTTGAAAAAAGAAAATATTTACAAACCATGCATATGATAAGGGCTTCTTAGCCAAAATGTATAAGGAACTCAAACATCTCATTGGCAAGAAAACATATAACTATAAAAATGGGGAAAGGGCCTGAACAGGCATTTCTCAAAGGAGGACATACAAATGGCCAAAAGATATATTTAAAAATGCTCAACATCTCTGATCATCAGGGAAATGCAAATTAAAACCACAATAAGATGTCACCTCACATCTGTTAGAATGACTATTATAAAAAGATGAAACATAAAAAGTGTTGACAAATATGTGGAGAAAAAGAACCCTCGCATACTGTTGGTGGGAATGTAAATTAGTATAACCATTTTGGAAAATAAAATGGAGGTTTCTCAAAATACTAAAAATAGAATTGCCATATGATCCAGCAATCCCACTTCTGAGTTTATATCCAAAGTAATTGAAATCAATATGTTGAAGAGATGTCAGCAACCCCATGTTTATTTCAGCATTATTCACAATAGCTAATATATGAAAGCAAACTAAGCATTTGTTAATGAAGGAATAGATAAAGAAAATGTAGTGTTACATATACAGTGGAATACTATACAGCCTTAAAAAAGAAGTTTTGTCATTTGGACAACATAGATGAAACTGGAGGATATTATCCTAAGTGAAATAAGGCAGGCACAAAAAACCAAATACTGTATGATCCCACTTACGTGTGGAATGTAAAAACGTCAATCTCAGAGTAGAAAGGTGGTAACCAGAGGCTACAGAGGGGCAGAGAAATGGAAAAGGGAAGATGATTATCAAAGGGTACAAAGTTGCAGTTAAACTGGAGGAATAAGTTTTTGTGATCTATTGCATTACATTGTAACCACAGTTGATAACAATGTATTGTGTATTTCAACATTGCTATAAGAATAGATTTTTTGCTATTCTTATCAAACTACCAGTGACATTCTTCATAGAACTAGAAAAAACTGTTCAAAAATTCATGTGGAACCAAAAAAGAGCCCAAATAGTCAAGGCAATCCTAAGCAAAAAGAACAAAGCTGGAGGAATCACATTACCTGACTTCAAACTATGCTACAAGGTTACAGTAACCAAAACAGCATGATACTGGTACAAAAACAAGCACATAGACCAATGGAACAGAATAGGCAGCCCAGAAATAAGGCCATACATCTACAGCCCATCTGATCTTTGACAAAGCTGACCAAAACAAGTGATGGGGAAAAGACTTCCTATTCAATAAATGGTGCTGGGATTACTGACTAGCCATATGCAGAAGATTGAAGCTGGACCCTGTTCTTACACCACATACAAAAGTCAACTCAAGATGAATTAAAGACTTAAGTGTAAAACACAAAACTATAAAAACTCTGGAAGACAGCCTAGGCAATACTGTCCTGGACCTAGGAAGGGCAAAGATTTCATGACGAAGACACCAAAAGCAATTGCAACAAAAGCAAAAATTTACAAATGGAATCTAATTAAGCTTTTGCACAGCAAAAGAAACTACTAACAGAGTAAACAGACAACCTACAAAATGGGAGACAATATTTGCAAATTATGTATCTGACAAAGGTCTAATATCCAGCTTCTGTAAAAAACTTAGACAAGTTTACAAGAGAAAAACAACCTCATTAAAAAGTGGGCAAAGGACATTTACAGACACTTCTCAAAAGAAGACATATATGCTGCCAACTAGCATATGAAAAAAGCTCAATATCACTGATCATTAAGGAAATTCAAATCAAAACCATAATGAGATACAATCTCACACCTGTCCGAATGGTTACTATTAAAAAGTCAAAAAAGAACAGATACTAGCGAGGATGCAGAGAAGAGGAAATACTTGTACACTCTTGGTGGGAGTGTAAATTAGTTCAACCATTGTGGAAAGCAGTATGGTGAATACTCAGCTAAAAGCAGAACTACCATTCAGCTGAGCAGTCCCATTACTGGGTATATACCCAGAGGAATATAAAGCATTCTACCATAAAGACACATGCACATAAATGTTCATTGCAGCACTGTTCACAACAGCAAAGACATAGAATCAACCTACATGCCCATCAATGACATTGGATAAAGAAAATGTGGTACATATACACCATGGAATACTATGCAGCCATAAAAAATAATGAGGTCATGTCTTTTGTGGGAACGTGAATTAAGCTGGAGGCTATCATCCTTAGCAAATGAACATGGGAAGAGATAACAAATACCACATGTTCTCAGTTACAAGTGAAAGCTAAATAATGAGAACTTATGAACACAAAGAAGGAAACAAGAGATACCACAGTCTACTTGATGGGGAGTGGGAGGAGAGAGGGGAGCAGAAAAGATAACTACTGGGTACCGGGCTTAATACCTGGGTGATGAAATGATCTATACAGCAAATCCCCATGACACGTGTTTACCTATATAACAAATCTTCACATGTACCCCCAAACCTAAGATAAAAGTTAAAAAAATGCGGAACATATGAACCATGGAATACTATTTAACCATAAAAAAGAATGAGATCATGTCTTTTGTGGGAACATGGATGGAGCTGGAGACTATTATCCTTAGCAAACTAATGCAGGAACAGAAAACCGAATACCACACGTTCTCACTTATAAGTGGGAGCTAAATGATGAGAACTCACAACACGAAAAAGGGATCAACAGACACTAGGATCTACTCGAGGGCATTGGGTGGAAGGAGGGAGAGGAGCAGAAAAGATAGCTATTGGGTACTGAGCTTAATACCTTGGTGTTCAAATAATCTGTACAATAAACCCCCATGACATGAATTTACCTATGTAACAAATATGTACCCCCCAAACCTGTACCCCCTGAACCTAAAATAAAAGTTTAAAAAAAAAAAAGAAGAAGAAGAGATTCGTTCATGTGCAGTGGCTTATGCCTGTAATCCCAGCATTTTGGGAGGCTCAGGCAGGTGGAGTACTTGAGGCCAGGAGTTCAAGACCAGCAGAGTCAACGAGGTGAAACCCCATCTCTACTAAAAATTTTTAAAAAATTAGCCAGGCGTGGTGGTGCACGCCTGTAATCCCCGCCCCAGCTACTTGGGAGGCTGAGTCATGAGAATCGCTGGAACCCAGGAGGCAGAAGTTGCAGTGAGCCAAGATTGTGCCACTGCATTCCAGCTGGGGTGACAGAGTGAGACTATATCTAAAAAAAAATAGATGTTAAAATTTATTTTTATTTTAAGTTATGGGGTACATGTGCAGGATGTGCAGGTTTGTTACACAGGTAAATATGTGCCATGGTGGTTTGCTGTACCTCTCAACCCATCATCTAGGCATTAAGCCGAGCATGCATTACTTAGTTTTCCTAATGCTCTCCCTCCCCTCACCCCACCCCCCGACAGGCCCCAGTGTGTGTTCTTCCCCTCCCTGTATTCATGTGTTCTCATTGTTCAGTTCCCACTTATAAGTGAGAACATGTGGTGTTGGTTTAAAGAATAGATTTTTAACATTCACATTACACACACAAATAAGTTGGTAAGGTGATGGATATTTTAATCAGCTTGATTTAGTCTTTCTACAAGGTATACATTGATCAAAACATCACATCGTGCCCCATAAATATATGTAATTGTTAAAAATAAATAAATATGTAAAAATGAATAGGCAAACCACCAACCAGATAAGTATAATACACATAACTACCAAAAGAATCGTTCAGCATATGAAAAAATGTATACAAATTAATAATGAAAAAGATAAATACTTAATAAAAATAGGCAAAACTTAAGCAGACACTGCCAAAAAAAAGAGTAGCTAAAAAGCACTTAAAAGATGCTCAATTTAATAAGTCATTATGGAAATGCAAATTAAAACACAATGAGATACTATTTAACACTCATTACAATGACTAAAATTCAAAGACTGGCAATACCATGTTTGTTGGGAACATGTGGAGCAACTGGAACTCTCATACATTGCTGGTGGGAATGTGAAATGGTACAAACATTTTAGAAAATAGCTTGGTACTTTCTTATAGAATTAAGTATACATCTTTCCTTGATCCTGCAATTTCATTCCAGGTTGTCTATACAAAGAAATGTAAACATATATCTACAAAAAGACTTGAATAAGAACGTTCACAGCAGCTTTATTTATAATAGCCAAAAAATTCATAACACATCACATATATATCTGTCAGTATGAAAATAGTTACACCATAGTACACTCACACAATTAAATAGTACTCAGCTTTATGAAAGGAACAAACTACTGATACATGTGATGCAATAACATAGGTAAATCTTCAAAATATTATGTTGAGTGCAAGAGCTAGAAACAAAAAATACACATATTATGATTCTAAAAAGATACAGTTAAAGGTCAGGCAAAGCTAATATTTGTTGATTGAAATAGAAACAATGGTTGCCTCTGGGGGCAGGAAGAATGAGGAAGCACAGGGGAACTTTTAGAGATGATGAAAATATTTTGTCTTGAATGAAGTTTGAGTCACATAGGTGTATTCATTTAACAAAACTCATTAAGCTGTACATTTATGATCTGTGCATATCATTCTCTTAATTATACCTTAATTAAAAATAATAAAAAATTATTAAAAGATGCAGCATTTACAATTAGTATTTTATTCTGTGGAACACGTAACTTTTAAAAATATGTGCAATTTAATTAACAAAATAAATGCTCCGAGTTCTTCGGAATAAAAGGTAAATCTGACATACAGCCTGTCCTCCAAGAACATGGAGTCTATAAGACCACTGGAAACTTCCAGGACGAATTAGAGAGCCCCCAGAGAGGGAAGATTAGAACAAAGGCAAAGGGGAAGGAATGGGAAGGCGTGTAGCTGGGATTTTAAGGGATGGCATGTGAAAGGAAACCACAGGAAGACAGTGTACCTCAAACTTTAAATATGTGTTGACATTGATTTATCTAATTATAAAACTTAATTTCATGTTTGCAAAATTCAAAAGTAGTGAAAGCAATAAATTTAGTGACTCAAATCTGGTAAATGGAGACTTTTCAGAGGTTTAACTTAAACATTAACCAGTTTATTCATTCATTAAGCCATTCAACAAAGATTTATTAAGCTAGGGGGATATTCTAAGGTCTGCCAAAATGAAAGACGACTGCTCTTTTGGAGCTAGTTTTAAATTTAATTCTTCTAATTTTGTTGAGACAGAAATTGTACGGAAGAGAAAAAGAAATTAATTAAAAATATAACATTCTTTGAGTCCCTATCAAGTGCAGTGTCCAAAGAAATGTAGATCTTTTCTGCCCTGCTTTCAGCCTTCTGCGAAAGGTAGGATTCATTAAAAGTGGGAACAGTCATGGACCGCAGAGTTGGCAAAGCTCTCATAGGGCTGTGGTGGAAGCCTGTGAGTAAGGCAGTTCCAGAGACACTGCACTTAGTGTTTGTTTCATAGGCACTGTCTCACTTAATCCTCACAAGGACTCTCTTAACTGTTTTAAAATCAGGACTGAGAAAGTTCAGCAAATCAGACAGACAGGGGCAAAGTTGCCTCTCAAAGCCACATATATCTGATGGAAGTAGAGGCTGTCCATCTCTACACCAGACTGCTTCTCGACATCTCCGGGGTGCCCTGACGGAAGCATCCTTCACTGTGATCCACCTCAGCAATGTCCTGCAGAGCCCTCTGGAGAGCCAGCTTGAGGATCGGCTGCTGCAGCCGCCACTGCTTCCTAAAAGAGCCCACGAAGAAGTAAATGATGGGGTTGGCACTGCTGTTAAGAGATGACAGGACAACTGAAACTGGATGAATATGACAAAATAAGACATCAGAATCCTTCCAGATCCATAATATTAGGAACCACTGAATGCCAAAGGGCAGGCCGCAGAGGAGGAACACCAGCACTGTGAGCAGGATGGTCAGGTACAGCCTGGTCAGTGGCAGACCCCTGGAGCCACAGAGGATCCTGACCAGCAGGGCCAGACTGGACCCACAGAGAACCATGAATAAAAAAATCAGCCACGCTGCAGTGATGAAATCAAATGTCTGACACCAACCAGAGTCACCATCACTAAATAAGAAGCCACAGAACTTCCCTTCCAAGATGCTCAGCAGTAGGGACAGGGCCCAGAGCAGGACACACACGACCGCTGACAGGTGTCTGGGGCGGCGGCAGCGATACCAGATGGGCCACAGGACGGACAGGCAGCGCTCGGTGCTGACGGTGCTCAGCATGCTCAGGCCTGCAAGGTAGGCACAGGTCATCACAGTGGTGAAGAAGCTAGGGAAATTGATGGAGATGGAACAGAAGAAGTTACTGAGGTACACCAGGCAATTTATAATCTGGAAGCAGAGGAAGAGGAAGTCGGCCCCGGCCAGGCTGAGGACGTAGACAGAGAAGGCGTTCCTGCGCATGCGGAAGCCCAGGAGCCAGAGCACAAACCCGTTTCCTACCAGCCCGACCAGGGCAATGAAAAGGATCAGGAAGACCGGGATCAGGGTCTCCTTGCCACAAAGCAGAAGAAGGGCTTGGTCATTTCCATTCACTGTTGTACTTTCTGTTCCCCAGGCCGGGGTGGTTGGATCCATGCTCAGAAAACCTCCACTGGTGCCCCTGGAAACAAAAACAAGACTTGAGCACCTGCTGCATGTTCACTGATTTTCATGACCAGCCTGTTATGTGGTAATTACCGCCCCTGTTTTACAGGAGAGGAAATCAGAGGCTTGAAGAGATTAAGTCATTTATTAAGGGCCAGGGAGTCCTAGCACCTGGATTCAAACTCATTTCTTGCTGACTCTAAATCCTGGGCTCTTTCTATTACAAGGTAGATCCTCTGCTGGTATGGGAATATTCTAAGGCCCAAACACCCCCACTCACTGTCACTGTGTCATGTCTCCTGGAGGCAGGAAGAGAAAAGTCTAGGCAGAATATGTGGGGCAGCAAGAGACAGTACTCTGAGTTCAGGATTCTTTTTATCCTGGCATACAGATTTCCTCTCAGGGGCCAGAAGAAATGACCCAGGCCATGACCCATGGCCACCCTTAATGACTGAGAGGAGTCCATCAACAGTCAGAATGGAGATTGTGATTTAGGGTCATAACGGAGAGGTGACTTCTTGCTAGGACAGGTCTGAGGACAGCCAGGCCTGTCAGACTAGAAATTGCTCAGTGGGTCAGCTTTATGAAAACAGAAAGAGTTTTTCTCTTATCCATTTCTGTGTCCTCAGTGCCTAGCTCAATGTGAGGGCATAGTGGAGGGTCAAGAAGTTTGTACCACATATAAATGAATGAATGAATGCATGCATGCATGCATGGGGAGCCAAGAGTAGTTGAAAATTTGGGCTAAGTGGAACACCAACATTTTAAAATGAAATTAGTCACTAAAAAACACACATGTAAAGAAATGAAGAAAACATCATTCTTCATGTTTCCTTCTGGGAAAGCTCTGGTGTATTTGAAGGGATTGCTTCTGCCTACACAGATAGTGAATAATGGCCACTGTCATATCTTCAATCCAGGAAGGGCTAGTATATGGCTTTTGCTCAGCACCCAAAAGAGTTTAAACTTCCAGTTTATGGAGAGGATTCAGGGTTTATCTGAATTTCTCTGCATCTTGGAGGAAAAGGGGGCAATTTGGGAAAAGGAGAGAGAGGCAGCAATTGAGAGTGTCTAGTGTCTAGAGGTAACTAGAGGGTGTTGTGGTATGAATACATCTAAGGTGGACCCATTACTTCCCCCAGATGATTTTGAGCTTTCTTTGCAAATTAAAGCATTTGTGAACAGGATTATTTGGGGAAAGGAGTGGGAAATTAGAAAAAAGAACCATGTCTACACTGTGCAGGGCTTTGAGGGGAAAAGGCAGATGCTTATGCAAATTACACTTGGGAAGGAGCCCTTACTCATAATGGGGTGAATAATAGCAGCTGGCTGAATGCTCTTCAGGTATAGCCTCTTTAAATCTTCTTCAGAGCCTGGTGAGGTCAGTACTATTATTAGTCCCATTTTACAGAGAAGGAGATTAAAGCACAAATGTATTGAGTAATATGCTTCAGGTCTCACAAACAAGTGGTAGAGCCTGCATTTGAACCCACAGGTCTGTGTCAGAGGGCTTGTTCTTAACCAGCCTTGCAGCCCCATTGCAAGGGTTCAATACCAACTACACATGAAGAAAGGAGAAAAGCAACAAGTAATGCTCATATCAAATCCAAAATGGAATGTCGAAATTGCAGTTTTTTAAGCCTAGATTAAGCAACTTTAAGAAACAGTAAGGAAGAGAGATTAATCAAATAAGGAGAAGAGATATGAATAGAAGCCAACTGAGAATAAGCAACTGAATGCAAGAGCTCTTTCTTGCTTCAGAAAAACAGCCGTCAATCACTCCACACTGCAGAAAACTCTCATGGGTTGGAGGCCTCCAAGGGGAAAGTGAATGTGTCCTCCATGGGGGTGCAGAATTGGCATCAAGGACTGAATGCATCCATCACATGCTGTCTTAGTTCCTGTAGCCCTGGTTGGCCTTGTGAGGATATGGAAGAAAACCACTTCTGTTGTCCTCCCTCAGGGCAGGTTGGCCTTTTTATTCGTGGCACTGAACACAGTTTGCACCTGTATTTTTTTTTTTTTTTGAGATGGAGTCTCGCTCTGTCACCCAGGCTGGAGTGCAGTGGCTCGATCTCGGCTCACTGCAAGCTCCGCCTCCTGGGCTCACGCCATTCTCCTGCCTCAGCCTCCCGAGTAGCTGGGACTACAGGTGCCCACCACCACGACTGGCTAATTTTTTGTATTTTTTTTTTCAGTAGAGACGGGGTTTCACTGTGTTAGCCAGGATGGTCTCGAACTTCTGACCTTGTGATCTGCCCGCCTCGGCCTCCCAAAGTGCCAGGATTACAGGCGTGAGCCACCGTGCCCGGCCCTGCACCTGTATTTTTAAGTGTATGTCTGTTTTTTCTTTTACTTCCCTCATTAAGCTCAACATTTTTGTTGTGGTTGTTCACTATTATATCCCCAGCCTCCAACACATATCCCTTGGAGGCCATCTATTGTAATACGCTCATTTAACAAAGAAAGACAGGCTTAACGTGTACAAAAGAGTTTCCTGAATCACATGGTGAAAAGCAGGTCCAATACCAGCTCCAGTCTCCTGGGGCCCTGTCCTAGGTTTATTTCTGTTCCATGTCTACATCATTCACTATTTGTGAGGCAGTGTTGAGAAAAATCTCCAGGTGAGCACAGATGCTAAAAGAGAATCGGGCTATAGAGACTGCTTGTTGCCCCAAAAGCCATTCTCCTTTTCTCACACATAATAATTCTGAGTCTTAGATCAGAAAAAGGCCCATTTCTCAGCTTCCCTTTATGCTAATGGCACCATGTAACCATATGTGATGGTCAAGGGGAGGTGAGAGAAAGTGATATAACCAGCTACTCCTGTACTCTTTCTTTTTTTCTCTTCTCTCTGGCTGGAATGCTGATGTGTTTGGGAGCCATGTAGGACCATGAGGGTAAGGGTACCGCTTTAGGGATGGGGAAATAGAAATTGGAAGGAGCCTTGATGTTTGATGTCTTAGAGTTATCAGCCCAAGTCTAGTAAACATTCTTTTTGATTATCACTATAATAGGTTTCTTTTTAGAGAAGCCAAAATCATAAACTTACATTACACATACCTGTGTACTTATAGCTGGGAGTACCTATGTACTCCCAATCCCTTTTTTTCCCAACCACATTCCATTCTCAAGGCATTTATGATGATAGTGAGAGACTAGTCCAAAGAAGTGACACTAGATGGGAAGGTCAAACAATTAAAAAAAAGGGAGGTGATAGAATGAGAA
The DNA here is from genome assembly GCF_000001405.40 of Homo sapiens. Classification (NCBI taxonomy): domain Eukaryota; kingdom Metazoa; phylum Chordata; class Mammalia; order Primates; family Hominidae; genus Homo; species Homo sapiens. The sequence goes on from NC_000011.10 coordinate 19,059,640, forward strand.
ATTGATTCAATCACATTAATAGAGAAAGTCTCAGGAAAGACAAACTGAGAAGAGGCTATGGGAAGAAATGGACTTTCCTATTTGCTATTAGGATCTCATGTCCATCCTTCTCTACCTGCCTTTGCATCCTGGGAGGAGACATGTCTGTGCCTCGTCAATGGGCTGTCTTTCACTCAGGCTCCAAAGGGTACACATTGACAGGAGATTGGAGGGTGACTTTTTTTTTCAGCCAAAGGGACACATTGACAGTAGATTGGGGGATGATTTTTTAAAAATTTCCTGGCTCTCTCCCTGCGCCCTGAAGGGCTGTGAGTTGGCAGTGGCAGTGTTTTTCTACCTAAGGACATAGCCCTGCCTGGTGGCCCTTTCCTGTAGCCACAGCTATAGTTACAGTTACAGTTACCGCTACAGCACATTCTGAGTTCTCAGAACTTCTCTTTCTCCTTATCACTTCAGACCTAGCAACGGTAACAGCCCTCCACTATCACTTGCCTTTGAGGGCTTCATCATTCCTTAATCCCTGTTCACGCCGTTGTAAACAGTCTCTTCACTAAACTCCTCTAAACTACCCCTTTAGAGTGTGTGATGTGTGTTTTCTGCTGGGACAATGACAGATATGAAGGAAAAACCTTTTGAATAACAAGAAAATCAGTGCAACCTGAGGTTTTAAATAACAATTTAGCTTAGGGAAGTAATGACTTCATTCTAGCCTGCCCCTAAATTAAAATCAGCAAAATCTTTCTCTCCATAGTTTCAGATTTGAATGGTCGAAGAGAAGGGGAGAATATTGGTAGATAGAAGAGAAGTGGGACGAACCTGCTTGACCCCATTCGGATCTCCCAGCATCTAAGCTGCCAGCATCCAAAGCTTCCTCAAAGGAGCTTCCTGTCTTCTTTTCCTAATGAATTCATCAGGATGTGGACTAAGGTAAAAACCAAAACTGCCTTTGAAAGAAGATGGTTCTTGAACAAACTCTTACCTTAACACCCTTCTTTCTACTGGAGTTGGTGAGTTGAGAAGTGCTTTCCTGGGACTGGCAAACAGCTGAGGATGGGGAGATGCCTGCAGGATCTGGAGTGAAACCTGATGACTGAGTGAAGCTTATCAAGATGCTCAACAACCCTGTGATTTCCTGTACAGAGGGTGCTGGAAAATAAGAGTATGACACAGGAAACCACATGAGATGTTTCTCAGCATTTGCCCTGACTCCAATCACTTATCTTGGTTTCTCCCCTACCCTCTCCGGCCCCACTCCCTGCAAGGAATCACCGTCCTGAAGTCTTTCATTGCCCACAATGAGCATCCAGGAAGCAGACCAATCAAGCGACGTGAGCTTTCATAGCTAAAGAATAGTCTGCCCTCTTCTGCTTGGCATTCAAGGCCCTGGCTTACTTGACCTTTCAAAATCAGGTTTATTTCAAATGACACTAAGGTGTATAAAATGAAATGCAAAGTCTCTCGAAGTCTCATTCCCCAAAAGCAACCACTGCATACAGTTTCCATTCTTTTTTTTAAAAAAGCTTTGCGTAATAAAACAACATTTCTATTTTTGATTTATCGATGTTAACAACTAGATATATTGAGTCTCCTTATAAAATATAGGGGACTTAGCACATCACATGCACCATCTGTCACGTTTCTCCCTCTACATCATGATATTTATTAGCTAGATTATTTTTAGATCATCTAGAGCCAACCAATATTTTCAGCCTTATCTCCTATGACTTCCTTTCATGTGCCTATGCTGCAGCCAAATTGAGTTATAAGTAACAATTATGAAGCATTTAAGACAATCAGAAGAAATTATTCACTCATTTATTCATTCATTCAACACTGTTTATTGTTTGCCTATGATATGTCAGGTACCGTTCCAGGCAATGAAGACACAATGATGAACACCATACAAGATCATGCCCCTTTGCATTCCAGAGCAGCTGGGTGACCTCAGACAGGGAACATGTGTTGATTGAGGCGAGTTCTGAGACTCAGCATTTTCTTGTATTATACTTTGGTGCAGTGGGTAAACCATGCATTTGTCCCCAGAAATCTGCTTTCCTCATGAGCAGCAGCAGGACCTTAGAAAGCTTTAACTTCTGTTACTGTCTAACCTACTGTGCTCTATTATTTGATTTTGATTCTGTTTCCCTCCAACAAATGAAACACTTATTATTGTTTTAAATAGTCAGTGTTTATTCAGATTTATCCACATAATCACCAATGCTTTTGCTCATCCTCCCATTTTACATCTCATATCTTCCATTTCTCAAAACACATTCTTCAGGAGTTCCTTCTGTGAGAGTCTCTGCATGGTAAATGCCTCCTTTTATCTATCTGAAAATGTCATTGTTTCACCCTCGTCTTCTAAAGATGGTTTTTCCAGGCATGGCATTGTAGGGTGATAGTTTCTTTCTTCCAGCACATTGAAGATCCATGTTCTGACTGCCAGGGTTACTGTTGCGGCCATCAGTCAGGTTGCCATTTGCTTGTGGTGATCTGCCTTTTTTTCCTCTAAGAGCTTTTATTTTTCTCTGCTATGATACATTCTCACCAAATTGTATCTGGTGACTCTTTTTCAAATCATGTTTGGGATTTGTGGAGTTTCCTAGATTTTAAAATTATCATCATTTAACATTTTTAAACAATTTAATGCTATAATCTCTTTAAATATTAACATAACGGTGAAGAACACAAGACCAGGCTACTTGGCATTTCTCCTATGGGACCTTAGCCAGATTTTGTAACTCTGTTATGTTTGTTTCCTCATCAGTAAAATGGGGATAACATTATTAATCTATAGGTTTGCTGTGAAGATTAATAATTTAATGTATATAAATGATTTACAATAGGAGCACATAGTAAGTACTATAAAATTATTAGCTCTCATTATCACTTTTAGTATTATCTCTTTCTGGAAGTCTAATTCAACATATGTTAGCCCTCTTCTTCTATCATCCTTATTTCTTTAACCTTTTCCTTATGTCTCGTCTCTGTCTCTGAGGCTGCTTTCTGGGTAATTTCTTCAGATGTATCTTCCAGTTAACTAGATTCTTTCCATTGTGTCTAATCATCTGTTTAATCTATCCACTGAAGTTTAAATCCAATTTTTATATTACTAATTTCTAGAAGTTCTATTTTATTTTTTTAAAATTATACTTTAAGTTATGCGATACATGGGCAGAACGTGCAGGTTTGTTACCTACGTATACACATGCCGTGGTGGTTTGCTGCATCCATCAACCCGTCATCTACATTAGGTATTTCTCCTAGTGCTATCCCTCTCCTAGCTCCCCACCCCCTGAGAGGCCCCAGTGTGTGATGTTCCCCTCCCTGTATCCATGTGTTCTCATTGTTCAACTCCCACATATGAGTGAGAACATGCAGTGTTTGGTTTTCTGTTCCTGTGTTAGTTTGCTGAGAATGATGGTTTCCAGCTTCATCCACGTCCCTGCAAAGAACATAAACTCATCCTTTTCTTACGGCTGCATAGAATTCCATGGTGTATATGTACCACATTTTCTTTATCCAGTCTATCATTGATGGGCATTTGGGTTGGTTCCAGGTCTTTGCTATTGTTAATAGTGCTGCAATAAACGTATGTGTGCATGTGTCTTTATAGTAGAATGATTTATAATCTCTTGGGTATATACCCAGTAGTGGGATTGCTGAGACAAATGGTATTTCTGGTTCTAGATCCTTGAGGAATCGCCACACTGTCTTCCACAATGGTTGAACTAATTTGCACTCCCACCAACCGTGTAAAAGCGTTCCTATTTCTCCACATCCTCTCCAGCATCTGTTGTTTCCTGACTTTTTAATGATTTCCATTCTAACTGGTGTAAGATGGTATCTCATTGTGGTTTTAATTTGCATTCCTCTAATGACCAGTGATGATGAGCATTTTTTCATGTTGGTTGGCCATATAAATATCTTCTTTTGAGAAGTCTCTGTTCATATTCTTCACCCACTTTTTGATGGAGTTGTTTATTTTTTCTTACAAATTTGTTTAAGTTTCTTGTAAATTCTGGATATTAGCCCTTTGTCAGATGGATAGATTGCAAAAATTTTCTCTCATTCTGTAGGTTGCCTGTTCACTCTGATGATAGTTTCTTTTGCTGTGCAGAAGCTCTTTAGTTTAATTAGATCCCATTTGTCAATTTTGGCTTTTGTTGCCATTGCTTTTGGTGTTTTATTCATGAGGTCTTTGCCCATGCCTATGTCCTGAATGGTACTGTCTAGGTTTTCTTCTAGGGTTTTATGGTTTTAGGTCTTATGTTTAAGTCTTTAATCCATTTTGAGTTAATTTTTGTATAAGGTGTAAGGAAGGGGTCCAGTTTCAGTTTTCTGCATATGGCTAACCAGTTTTCCCAACACCATTTATTAAATAAGGAATCCTTTCCCCATTGCTTGTTTTTGTCAGGTTTGTCAAAGATCAGATGGTTGTACATGTGTGGCATCATTTCTGAGGCCTCTGTTCTGTTCCACTGGTCGATATATATGTTTTAGTACCAGCACCATGTTGTTTTGGTTACTGTAGCCTTGTAGTATAGTTTGAAGTCAGGTAGTGTGTTGCCTCCAGCTTTATTCTTTTTGCTTAGGATTGTCCTGGCTATACAGGATCTCTTTTGTTTCCATATGAAATTTAAAGTAGTTTTTTCTACTTCTGTGAAGAAAGTCAATGGTAGCCTGACGTGGATAGCATTAAAACTATAAATTACTTTGGGCAGTATGGCCATTTTCACGACATTGATTCTTCCTATCCATGAGCATGGAATTTTTTTCCATTTGTTTGTATCCTCTCTTATTTCCTTGAGCAGTGGTTTGTAGTTCTCCTTGAAGAGGTCCTTCACATCCTTTGTAAATTGTATTCCTAGGTATTTTATTCTCTTTGTAGCAATTGTAAATGAGAGTTCACTCATGATTTGGCTCTCTGTTTGTCTATTATTGGTGTATGGGAATGCTTGTGATTTTTGCACATTGATTTTGTATCCTGAGACTTTGCTGAAGTTGCTTATCAGCTTAAGGAGATTTGGGACTGAGACAATGGAGTTTTCTAAATATACAATCATGTCATCTGCAAACAGGGACAATTTGACGTCCTCTTTTCCTAATTGAATACCCTTTATTTCTTTTTCTTGTCTGATTTCTCTGTGCAGAACTTCCAATACTATGTTGAATAGGAGTGGTGAGAGAGGGCATCCTTGTCTTGTGGCAATTTTCAAAGGGAATTCTTCCAGCTTTTGCCAATTCAGTGTGATATTTGCTGTGGGTTTATAAAAAATAGCTCTTATTATTTTGAGATATGTTCCATCAGTACCCAGTTTATTGAGAGTTTTTAGCATGAAGGGGTGTTGAATTTTATCGACAGCCTTTTCTGCATCTATTGAGATAATCATGTGGTTTTTGTCATTGGTTCTGCTTATGTGATGGATTACATTTATTGATTTGCGTATTTTGAGCCAGACTTGCATCCCAGGGATGAAGCCGACTTGATCATGGTGGATAAACTTTTGGATGTGCTGCTGGATTCGGTTTGACAGTACTTTATTGAGGATTTTTGCATCAATGTTCATCAGGGATATTGGCCTGAAATTTTCTTTTTTTGTTTTGTCTCTGCCAGGTTTTGGTATCAGGATGAGGCTGGCCTCATAAAATGAGTTAGGGAGGAGTCCCTCCTTTTCTATCATTTGGAATAGTTTCAGGAGGAATGGTATTAGCTCCTCTTTGTACCTCTGGTAGAATTTGGCTGTGAATCCGTCTGGTCCTGGGCTTTTTTTGATTGGTAGGCTATTAATTACTGCCTCAGTTTCAGAAGTTGTTATTGGTTTATTCAGGGATTCGACTTCTTCCTGGTTTAGTCTTGGGAGAGTGTATGTGTCCAGGAATTTATGCATTTCTTCTAGATTTTCTGGTTTATTTGCATAGAGGCATTTATAGAATTATCTGATGGTAGTTTGTATTTCTGTGGGCTCAGTGGTGATATCCCTTTTATCATTTTTTATTGTGTCTATTTGATTCTTCTCTTTTTTCTTCTTTATTAGTCTTGCTAGCAGTCTATGTATTTTGTTAATCTTTTCCAAAAACCAGCTGCTGGATTTATTGATTTTTTGAAGGGTTTTTCATTTCCCTATCTCCTTCAGTTTTGCTCTGATCTTAGTTATTTCTTGCCTTCTGCTAGCTTTTCAATTTGTTTGCTCTTGCTTTTCTAGTTCTTTTCATTGTGATGTTAGAGTGTCAATTTTAGATCTTTCCTGCTTTCTTCTGTGGGCATTTAGCGCTATAAATTTCCCTCTAAACACTGCTTTAGCTGTGTCCCAGAGATTCTGGTATGTTGTGTCTTTGTTCTTATTGGTTTCAAAGAACTCATTTATTTCTGCCTTAATTTCTTTATTTACCCAGTAGTCATTAAAAAGCAAGTTGTTCAGTTTCCATGTAGTTGTGTGGTTTTGAGTGAGTTTTTTAATCATGAGTTCTAATTTGATTGCACTGTGGTCTGAGAGACTGTTATTATTTCCATTCTTTTGCTTTTGCTGAAGAGTGTTTTACTTTTAATTATGTGGTCAATTTTAGAATAAGCGCAATGTGGTGCTGAGAAGAATGTATATTCTGTTGACGTGGGGTGGAGAGTTCTGTAGATTTCTATTAGGTCTGCTTGGTCCAGAGCTGAGCTCAAGTCCTGAATATCCTTGTTAATTTTCTGTCTCATTGATCTGTCTATTATTGACAGTGGGGTGTTAAGCTCTCCCACTATTATTGTGTGGGAGTCTAAGTCTCTTTGTAGGTCTCTAAGGACTTGCTTTATGAATCTGTGTGCTCCTGTATTGGGTGCATATATATTTAGGATAGTTAGCTCTTCTTATTGAATTGATCCCTTTAGCATTACATAATGGCCTTCTTTGTCTCTTTTGATCTTTGTTGGTTTAAAGTCTGTTTTATCAGAGACTAGGATTGCAACCCCTGTTTTTGTTTTTGTTTTTTTTTGCTTTCCATTTGCTTGGTAAATATTCTATTCCTCCATCCCTTTATTTTGAGCCTATGTGTGTCTTTACACATGAGATGGGTCTCCTGAATACAGCACACCAATGGGTCTTGACTCTTTATCCAATTTGGCAGTCTATATGTTTTAATTGGGACATTTAGCCCATTTACATTTAAGGTTAATCTATTTGATATTTTGTTTTTCTACTTTCATAGTCATTTTTTCATTTCTTGATGCTGACTTGTGTTGTCAATTCTTTCTTTTATGTCTTTAATCCTATTAAGCATGGCAATATTATAATTATCTGATAATTCTAGTGCTAAAGTCTATGTGTGTGTGACTTTACTGTCTGTAATTTCTTCTGGCACTTTCATGTGATTTGTTTGTGATTTTTGACTGTGAGTTGCCACTTGCCTTGGGAGCTTATTTGTGGAAATTCTTTAAGGCCTGAATTGTAGTTGAGTTCTTTTAGAGAGGTCTTCTGTTTTCTTTTTCTAATTGACTGGAGGAACTTCCCAATGTGCTTTCATGTATCAGGTTGTCCTCAGAAACCTCATTTGTCATTTGAAATTTTAGGAAGACCACAGGTTGTATGAATTTGGATCACAATGTGATACTGATTTATGGTTATAAATTCTCAAGAAGAGCTTTTTGTTTTGGTTTTGTTTTGTCTTTTGATGTTGTTGTTGTTGTTTTTGTTTTTGTTTTCCCCAGAGCCAAGTGTGCATCAGGCAGTTTCTTGGCAGTTGTATTTCTCATGAATGAGAATACACTAAAGGTTCGGTCTTTTGAAGTCCTGCATTTTCATGACATTTTCCTGTTAGACTTTCCACCATGAGTTGTTCTAAACTCTTTCATTCCTTTTAAGCTTGTAGCCATAATACGAAATGAGAATCTCCTTCTGAGAAGAAAGGATAACCATTTAGGAAATGAATTGATCACGTCTGTGCTTCAGAAAAGTCTTATCAGGCTGCTGAATGTACAAGATATAGAATATAGATGAAAACATAAATCACTGGTTATACTTCCACATGGAAACAACTGCATAAATACTTTAGTATATGCATACAAAATACACAATTGATATTGTTTTATAATATGTGGTTTATTTCTAATTTGATAATTACTGATTGTGGGATCTCCAACATAAATGGCAACTCTTTTGATCTCAGTTCCCCATCTGTAAAATGGGATGCCTTACAGTTGTGATGAATCTGAAACTAAGAGAACTCTGGTGCCTATGGAGGTTTCTCTCCTCCAAGTACCAAAGAGAGTAGAGAGCTCAAATAGGCCTCTCTCTGAGGCCAAACTTGGATTCCAGGATGACTCTCATCTTTTAGATCCTTAGTGGCTTCCAGAGTTTTCATAACTATGATGAAGTCATCAACCTAGGCCCCTCTCCATGGCTTACAATGTGATATTTCAATATATGTATACAATGTATAATGATCAAATTGGGTTCCTTAACATATCCATCACCACAAACATTTATCATTTCTTTGTGTTGGGAATATTCAAAATATACTCTTCTAGCTATTTAAAAATATACAGTAAATTGTCATTAATTATAATCACCCTACATTGCCCTAGGACTCTACAACTTATTTCTCCTATCTAGCTGTAATTTTGTATCTGTTAGCCAAAATTAGGCTATCCATCTGTCCATCCTTCCCAGCTTCTAGTAACCTCTATTCTACTCTCTATTTCTATGACATCAACTTTTTCAGCTTTCACATGTGTGAGAACATGTGGTATCTGTCCTTTTGTGCCTGAATTATTCCACTTAAAATAATGTCCTCCAGACTCATTCACGTTGCTGCAAATGACAAGATTCTTTCTTTTTTGTGGCTGAATAGTACTCCCTTGTGTATATGTACCACATTGTCTTTATCCATTCATCTGTTGATGGACACAGGTTGAGTCCATATCTTGACTATTGTGAATAGTGCTGCAATAAGCATGAGAGTGCAGACATCTCGTCAACATATTGATTTCCTTCCCTTCAGATATATATCCAGTAGTGGGATTGCTGGATCATGTGGTAGTTCGATTTGTAGCTTTCTGAGGAAGCACCGTACTGTTTTCCATAATGGCTGCACTAATTTGCATTCCCACCAACTGTGTATAGGAGTTCCCTTTCTCTGCATCCCCACCAGCATTTATTTACTTTTTGTCTTCTTGATAACAATCATTCTAACTGTATTAATATGATATCTCATTGTAGTTTTGATTTGCATTTCTCTGATGATTAGTGATTTTGAGCATTTTTTTCATATACCTGTTGTCTATTCCTATGTATTATTTTAAGAGACGTTTATTTAGCTCATTTGCTCATTTTTAAATTGGATTGTTGGTGGGTTTTTTTGTTTGTTTGGTTGGTTTTTGCTTTTGAGTTGTTTGAGTTCCTTGTATATTCCAGATAGTAATCCCTTGTTGAATAAATAGTTTGCAAATGTTTTCTCTCATTCTGCTAGTTGTCTCTTCACTCTGATGATTGTTTCTTTCACTGTGCAGGAATTTTTTAGTTTGATACAATCCTATTTGTCTAGTTTTGCTTTTGATCCATGTGCTTTTGAGGTCCTCTTCACAAAGTCTTTGCCCACACCAATGTTCTGATACAATGTTTTTGTTTTCTTCCAATAGTTTCATAGTTTAAGGTCTTATATTTCAGTCATTAATTCATTCAGAGTTGACTTTTGTATATAAGAGATAGGGATCTAGTTTAATTCTACTGCATGTGGATATCCAGTGTTTCCAGCGCCACACTATGAATATTTGTTCACTTAATGGTGTCCCATAAGTCTTATAGGCTTTCTTCACTATTTTTCATTCTTTTTTTTTTCTCAGACTGGATAATTTCAAATGATCTGTCTTTGAATTTAGAGTTCTTTCTTCTGCTTGATCAAGTCTATTGTTGAATCTCTCTATTGTATTATTTATTTTATTCATTGAATTCTTCAGCTTCAGGGTTTGTTTATTTTTTTAAAAAATCCACCTTCTGTTAAATTTCTCATTCATATCATGAATTGTTTTCCTGATTTTGTTAAATTGTCTATCTGTATTTTTTGTATCTCATTGAGTTTCCTTAAAATCATTATTTTGAACTCCTTTTCCAGAAATTTTTAAATTTCATTTTTAGCAGAGTCTGTTACTAGAGGGTTATTGTATTCCTTTAGTGGTGTCGTATTTCCTTGCTTGTTTATGTTTCTTCTGTCTCTGCATGATGTTTCTTGTATCTGTGCATCTGATGGAACATTTACCTCTTCCAAACTTTCTAGAATCATCTTTGCAGAGAAAGACTTTCACCTGCAGTTTGGTCTTGGTGTGCTGGTTGGTGAGGACAACTCTGTTTTTGGGTAAGTTGAGTGATATAATCTCTATGCAGCTTCCTCATTTGTTGGCTCACTGAATAACTGTGGGTGCCTCAATGACTTAGGTTGTAGAAGTTTGTGGCGGTGGCAGTAGTGGTGGAGGTTGTTAAAGTCTTCATGAGCGAGGGCTTTTGGGGTCCTCTTATTCTTATTTCCCCCACAGTGTGGAGACTTAGCTGAGAAAATCCTTCTCGGTATCAGGTCGGACATGGCCTACATGCAGCTGCAGTGGTACTAGGTTCCAGGTGAAGGTGCTTAGAGCATTTGTGGGGTTGGGGTCCTAGGCTCAGTGTATCACAAACCTATTGTGGCACCTGGATCTTGTGGTGCAGGTTTGCTCTCTGTGTTTATTGGATGTAGGTTGTCCAGAGAGCCGTGATCTGGGACTCTGAGGCACCTTTAGCAGTTTGGGCTCAGGGGCTGGGTTGTAGCTGCAATTCTACTTCTAGGGGCCAGGGCAAAGAACTGGTCTGACTCAGGAGAAGAAGGAGTGCTCTGGAGGTTTGGGCCTGGGGAGCAGAATATGGCTGCAATTCAGGACCCTGAGCCAATAGGGCTTGGTGGCAACTCAGGTGTCAGGGATGAGGAACCATGTGGTGACTCTAGACCTTGGAGATGGTGGGGTATATTTTAGACTCTGTGAGGCCAGGTACAATGGCAGCGAGGACCCTAAAATGTCAGAGCACAACTGTTGTCTTGGCCCTGGGGGGCAAGGAGCAGCACAGCAAAGACTCCACTTCCTGAGGAGTGAAGTCTGACACTTAACTTTTTGCAATACTCATTGTGTGAACTTTAAGAAGCTCCTTAACTTTCCTGGATCTCTATTCCTCATTCCTAAAATAGGACTAATCCTGTAGTTCTCCAAGGGTGTTTTGAGAGTCATTTGGTTAACTTTTGCATGCTTCATAAATGACGGTATTGGTTAGTCCTGAGTCTTCTGCATAATAACTGTTTGATATTGAATAAGCTATTTTCTCTCTCAGAGCCCCAATTTTGAAATCTGTTAAATACATATAAGATATGCCTCATAGAAGTATCAAATTAAATTGTAAATTAAGCAATATAAAGCAACTGGTACAATGCCTAGCTGATAGATGCTTGATAAATAGTACCCCTGTTATTCTAATTCAAATTTCACTGCCAAGTTTTGAGTTAAATTTAGAGTTTCAACTTCATCAAAATTTTACTGTTATATACTTTAATGAGGAATTTTTTAAGGGATTCTGAAGCAGGGAGCACAAAGAGCAAGCTCTTAACATTTTGGCTTCCGGTTGCCGAAATATTTAATACCACATCAGATTGTGAAGGGATAGAAAAGAAATGTAATGTTACCACATTACGTCACTAGGTGGTAGTCAAGGATCATTGCTTTGTTAGTATGCGGTAACCCTTGACTGGCCAGCAGGGGGCCCATGTCAATGACATTGCTGGAAAAAGTTTGGGATCTCAAGCCGATGTGTGTTTGTGCGTGGTGTGTGTGCCTGCGCGCAAGAGGGAATAGGGAGGGAGGGTGAGGACAGAGGGAGGGAACAGGAAGATGAATCCAAGTGAGACGAATGCCCTGTGAAGTTTGGGAACCGGTCTCTACTCACTGTCTACTTACCCACGCCAATTTTCTTTTCTTTTCCTTTCTATTTTTTTTTTTTTTTTTTTTTTTGACAAAGTTTCCCCCTGCACCCAGGCTGAAGTGGAGTGGCAGGATCATAGCTCGCATCTCCAAACTCCCGGGCTCAAGCCGTCCTCCCACCCCAGCCTCCCGAGTAGCCAAGATTATCCATCCCAATTTAAAGTAGAGCAATGAAGGGGACCCATGTAATTTTTGCAACCTGAGCATTCATGGATGGCAGCATGTACAGCAGCTCCTGCGAGTGTCTATTAATCAACCACTGAAATGCTGGTCTCAAATCCCGATCTACTAAGTCTGTGAATCCAGGTTAGGACTACTAATTTAATCTTACTGTCATGTTGCTTAACCTTACTAGTCAGTCCTTGGCTTCCCCATCAGTAAGATGGCTGTTGTGAGGTATTCAAGGTGCACATGTGAGTGCTTAGCACATGCTTAAAGCCGTGTGACATCAGAATGTGCCCTCTGTCATCGTCAGGACCATCTTTATTATTTCACCGACTTTCCCAGTCTTCCACAGGGTTTCTGAAGCTTGCTCCTAAAATCCCAATCCCCAAGGCCAGCTGAAACTGCTCAGCACGTGTCTGCCACGTTAGGCTTTGGGGCAGGGCAATAGCCTGAGGACAGCAGATGGAAGCACTGGGCAAAGACACGGTGCCTGCACCTGCTGCTATGCGATGGAGGGAGGTACGCCCCAGGTTCCCTTCTGTTCCTGCTCCTCTGTTAGAGCGGATACCTCATGTGAACATGGGCTGGAGACTCGATAGCCCTATAGAGATGGAAAGGGTTATTACTTCTGGTATAATTCTGTCATTTGTTGGGAAACAAAAGAGTAAGTCTTACTGCCCATTACGTCTCAGTAACAACAACTGATCTCCATGTCTTTCTGACTTTCAGGGAGCCCCAGTGACCTTCACGTCACCCTCTTCTCCCCAGGTTCCTTCAGGCCTGGCTGCCATCTGGCAAGTCCTGCCTGTCTGGTTTTCCCAGGCTTCCCTCTGCCAGTGTTTGGCCAGGGCGGGCCAGGGAGAGGCTGTAGGGACCAGCTGCCAGGGGTGGGCAGGGTGTGTCTGACCCCACGGTGGAGGGTTGGGCAGCCAGGGAGGAGGGCATAGTGTGGAGGTCTGCGTCAGTGAAGACTTGGGTGCAGTGAAGGCCTATAGCTCAGGAGGCTGAGGGCGACTCCCTGAAGGTTGGGCTGGTCCCAGGCTTTGCTTGTTGGATGGAGGAGACCTGTGGGGCCTCTGTGTCAAACCAGCTCCTGTGTCCAGCCCAAATTTAGAAAATCAGTGTGGGGGAGCCAAGCTTACCCCAATCCACAGATAACTGCACAGTTTGGAGTTATGCTTTGAGAGAGTGAAGGGAAGGACTTGTCGGGGCAGGATGTGTTCCAGAATATAAGGATCCGAACAGTGTGAGCCGTTTCTCACATCCCTCTCAAGTGCTAACCTACTCAGCCTCCAAGCCCATGCTCCGCAGGCCTCTGTGCTCTGCACTCCTCTCTCCTCTTTGCCTTCTGTAGTCCCCTTTACCTGTTAGGCCCCAGAAGGCTCCCGTTTTGGGGTATAACCCAGGTCCTAGGGCACTCCCCTCATCTGAACTCTGTAGCTGCTGCACCTGTCTCCTCTGCTCCTCTAGGCTGAAAGCTCCCTGAGAGCAGGGCCTATGTTATTCATTCATGGATTCACTCATCCATTTCTTCAATGAATATTGATTGTGCACTCCTTGCTACTTGATAGGCCTTGTTTTAGGTGCTGGAACTGGCACACTGGGTGAGGTCTGAAATTCAGCTCCTGACTCCTGGCCCAGTGCTCTTCCCAACAGATTCCCATCCCCACCTACCTCACCCAGAGCCCAGCCTCCTGGATATAGGTCAGGGAAGCAGTGCCCAGAGCACCACCTTCCCCTCAGGACCCTGATAGGATATTGCCTGCAGCATTTTCCAGCAGGCACAAAGGGCTGAGAGGTACATCTTTGCAGTTTCCTTCTTCCCCTAGGACATTCTGGGAACCACAGGGATATGCACTACCCTTTCCTTCCTTTTGCAGGGTGGCGACAGGGACCAGGGCCACACTCACTGGGCCTAGGGGCAACCCTGGTTCAGACACTCCAGGCTACATGACCTCAGATGACTCCTGTAACCCCCTGAAGCCTTGGTTTCCTCATCTCTAAAAAGGTGATAGTGATACAGGAACTAGAAAGAAATTATTTAGGCAGATAGTGAGGGTAAGAGAGTCCTCAGTAAGGTTTCCTTTTAATAAAAAGCAGCCCCTAACTTGTTTCTTTTCTAAGAAAAAGCAACCTGAAAAATCAAGCTGCAAGCATAGATAAGCAAGCTAAAAGCTCACATAGGTAAATACTGGCAGCTGTGGCAATAGAAAAGCGATATCTGGAAGCCAGGTATATTCAACACGGAGGTTCCCTCTTCCCTTTCCTTTGTCACCACATGTGCAGTAAAAAGCAGGCAACATGGCACCGGCCAGGTAGAGACCCCATCTGCATAATAAAAGATTAGGGTGGGATGACCAGCTTCTTTGCATGCTATGCAAACAGCACACCTGGTTTGACCAATCTCTCATGCCCTATGTCAATCAGACACTGCCTCCTCAAGCTCATCTACAAAACGCCTCCATGCATTTCACCGTGGAACTGGAAGATCCAGTCCGGAGCCCCTCTCTCTGCAGGAGAGAGTTTTTCTCTTTTCTCTTTCTTTCACCTATTAAACCTCTGCTCTTAAACTCACTCCTCGTTTGTGTCCATGTCCTCGATTTCCTTGGAATGAGGCAATGAACCTCGGTTATTGCCCCAGACCAATGGCACCACTTTGATACCAAGAGTATCTTCTCCCTAAGGTGTTTTGAGAATTCTTTGATTCTGTGCCTTCAATAAATGGTAGCTCCTGTCCTCCCTGCCCCCACCCCACAAGCCTGAGGACTGAAGTCAACTCCTGTCCATGGCAAATCAGGCTCCTGCTTAGCAGACTCGGAGCTACAGGAAGCCCCGTCTCCCTCTTCTAGTGCTCAGCCCTAGCGAGAGTAACAACAATAATAATAGTTATTATAACAATGTTGATCTTTTTGATAGCACTTGCTTTGTGTCAGGCACTGTTGTAAGCACTTTACATTTATTAACTCATTTACTGTTTGGTACAATCATATGAAGTGGTATCATTATCATCCCCCTTTTTCAGATGATGAAACCTAGAGAGGTTAAGCAACTTGCCCAAGATCACACAGCTGATAAGTAGCCATTAGAAATGAAGAGACATGGTTGGGCACGGTGGTTCATGCCTGTAATCCCAGCACTTTGGAAGGCCGAGGCAGGCGGATCACCTGAGGTCAGGAGTTTGAGACCAGCCTGGCCAACATGGTGAAACCCCATTTCTACTAAAAATACAAAAATTAGCCGGGCATGGTGGCACATGCCTGTAATCCCAGCTACTCAGGAGGCTGAGGCAGGAGAATCGCTTGAACCTGGCAGGTGGAGGCTGCAGTGAGCCGAGATCGCACCATTGCACTCCAGCCTAGGTGACAGAGCAAAACTCTGTCTCAAAAAAAACAAACAGAAATCAAGAGACATTCTGGACAGCAGTCAGGCTACATTTGCATATAGTTGGTTGCCACATCAATGGCCAAGGTAAAAAGGTGAGTTGAGAATATACGAACTGGGTCATAAATGATGTGAACACAGCTAAGGACTTTCCCAGGACACCTGGACAGCAGGCCTCTGCCGACTCACCCTCTTTTTGTGCCCACTGAGTTGTGCTGCCTGGCACCTGAAAGGGCACATCAATGTTCTGGAGAAGGAAAAGGATGGCAGGAGAGTAACTGGTCTCTGCTCCCTCTTTGGGGCACACAGGGCTTCCAGAAATTCTTGCAAATGTGCCTGAGCCCACATAGGTGCTCTGAAGTAAAAACCACAGAGCTCACTCACACCCCAGAAGTGTTCCCAAATACATTCCCCCATGAAAATTTTCTCTAATATATTTAACTCTACCCACCCCCCAAACTGCTGATGGCAATTTAAAATATTATTTTCCATTCTGCCTCTGTTCTCATTTGTAGAACAGGGGAAGTCAGAGAAACATGGGCTGAGGGAAAATTCATGAGGACTTAGCCACCTGGGAGGTGTTTCTCAAGAGCTGCCAGTGTCGTTGGCTCAGCCAGGGCTCTTGGCGACATGGAGACAGAGCCAGGAGGGCAGGGCTCATGTCTGCTGTGTCTTGCTTCATTCTTAGGTTCTGTGTAAGAGTCCATTTGGAAACAGCTTCTGTGCTAAAAACAGAATTTGAGGGCTGTTGGGCTAGATAATTCCTAGATTCCATCTTGACTGCTACCTCCTAGGGCTCATTCATTCATTCCTCAAATATCACGCAAATACCAGGAGCTCTGCAGGCACTGAGGATCCAGCAGTGAATAAGAGTTATGGTCTCTGCCCTCATGGACCTCAAATACAATGTGAAAAAAGATGAAAAGTAAGAAAATAATGAATAAATGGAAAAATGACACATTATCATAGCTGCCATGAGGGAAATCAATAGGACAAGGTGATGGAGAGTCACTTGGGGGCTCCTTTGGATGGAGTGGTCAAGGAAGGATTCCCTGAGAAGTTTAAGCTGAGCCCAGGAGGATGAAAAGGAACCAGATTTGTCAAAAACCAAGGAAAAAATGTTCCTGGTGTAGGGAACTGCGAGTGCAAGTGTCCTGAAGCAGGAAAGAGATTAGAGTTTACTGTGGCTGGAGCAGAGGCAGGGATAAGTCAGACCTAAGGGGAGGTTTATTCTAAGTGCAAAGCCATTGGAGAGTTCTAAGCAAGGAAGAGGCACCATCTGATTTTCTCATTTACATTAAGCAGATCACTTTTCTGTGGAGAGGAGAATGCCTTGCAAGGGGCAAGGAGATCCACTAGGAAGCTATTGCAGAAGAGGGTGATAACTAGGGCTGGGGATGGCCATAGGGATGAGGAAAGTGGATGGTTTGAGGCAGAGCCAACTGGATTTGCTGAAGAACTGGCTGTGGGAGGTGGGTGCAGGGGTGAGAATTAAGTCTCCTGAAAGTGTGAAACAGACCCCGTTTTCCTACTTGGATGATATGCGTGCTCCCAGAGGTGCCTCACCCTCCATCCTCACTCACTGGAATACTTCTGTTTGCTTTTGCCACTTGTCACACTGGCTTCTCTGTGCTTGACACCCCAAACTCATTCCTACCTCAAGGCGTTGGCACTGCCTGGGCTGGTTGCCCTGAACTTCCCGTGGTTGGTAACTTCTTGACACTTGGGGCTCAGCTCAGCCATCTCCTCTCCCCTGCCCCAGCTGGCCTTTCTTGAACACACAACTTGTAGCCTGACCCACACCCTCCTCTACTCACTCTATTACATTACCCTGTTTTATGCTCTTTACTTTCATGATCTGGAAAGATCTTGTTCATTTATCTGCTTGGGATTTTCCCCATCTGCTTCCACTAGAATGTAAATTCCATGGGCAGGCAGCCCCTTGTCTGTCTCATTCAGCAGCTCTAAAGGGCAAGGCTGGCTGGGGGTGGCCCTGCAGTGCTAGGCCTCCTCCACAAGAGGGCGCACACAAAGTTTCTTTTCTGCTTTTGTCTAGACAATCTCTCCCGGAGTAAAATGAACAGAAAACAGACTCAAATTGCACACTTTACCTAGCTGGGTACACATGCTCTCATTTTTTTTTATATAGGTTTTTAATGTTTTGTTTGATAGTTTAAAACATGTTTTTCTGTGGAACTTCAGATGTTACCCTGAGACAGGGGAAGGGGGGAATCATAGGGACTCCGTTCCCGTCGGGTACCTCTCCATCGTGTGCTATGCTTAGGCTGGCTTTTGCCCGAAAGAACCTGTACTTATGTCTCCACTAACTGTAGCCAGTGATCTCCAAACAATTGGGACATAAATTAACATTTCCTTGATCCTAAGACCGTACTTGGCAATGACCCACAGATTTCTCAACCAACTGGGTAACTCTTGAGAAGGTTTCAGTTCAGTTTGATGAAAACAGGTGAGGGTTTAACCTATGTAATAATAAAGAACAGACAGTGCTGGTTGGTTATTCATCATTGCTCTATTATTGGAGGTAGCTTGAATTAGTGGAAAGAGCACTGGGAGATGCCAGATGTGGGTGTGAGTCTTCTTTTGAGTCTTGGCTCTGTCCATTTCTAGCTGAATGACTATAACTCTGTGAACCTGTCTCCTTCATTTGTGAGGATGACCAAGCTTTCATAGACATAAAAGGTATTTTGTAAAGAAGCATGCAGATGGTGGTGGTAGCACGTAGCGTGTTTATAATAATTGCTGCTAGCACAGTCATATTTGAGACCCCCTCACACTTGGACTGAAGGTGCCCCATGAAATGTGGAGCTGAGAGGGGAGCTGAGGAGTGTCTGAATGTGTCACCTAGATAAGGAAGAGGGCCAGAAGTTGGTGCCTGGAACTGGGAAAGGAATCCAGGGAATCCCAGAGCTAGGAAAAGCAGCACAAGAGGAATGGGTCAGGCAAAAGGATGATTCTGGAAGAATATTTATGACTGTTTCCTGCTGCTGGCACAGGATGCATTTAATAGCTGGGGGTGGACTGGACATTTTCTAAATTTTTGTCTAATAGGAAGTGTGTTGGCTTTCATAGAGGAAGCTTGAGATACTTCATCATTAGTAGGTACTTGGATTATTTTTCAAATCTGCCTGGTCATTTTTATATTCTTTTGTTCTTGACTCATTTTTTATTCTTTCTTTCTTGAATTAGTGGAAAGAGCACTGGACCATGCCAGAAGATGTGGGTGTGAGTCTTCTTTTGAGTCTTTCTTTAATATGTTTATTTAAACATATTAAACATAATTTTTCTATAGTCTATATGTATCCCAATATCTGAAGTCTTTGTGGGCCTGGTTCTATAATTTGCTGTTTCTGCTGCCACTGATTCATGGTGGTCTGTTTCCTTGCACACATCATTTTGATTGTGAGCCCCTAGTTTTTGGAATCTTATGATAATTCTATAAGGCTTGGCTTGAGGGTGCATTTCTGTAGGGAAGATTCCTGATTGCTTCTGTCAGGCGTCAGGACATACTGATAACAGAACAGAGTCCACTTTATTTTTTTCTTTTTCAAGGTCCACTTAAATTCAATTGATCATCTTGAGGGTTTTAAGACCATGTGTAAATTAGTGTCATTTCAGAATCCCTAGTTATGCAATGGTCAGCCAGTAGCACTGAAACCTCAGGGCACTATTTTCTCCCCCAACTACTGTAAATCAAGGTGGACACAGACACTTTTCCTTGCTGCTTAGTTATACTGTGCAGGTTTTATGTTTTGTTTGTTTTATTTTTCATCAATCATCCTTTTTCTCAGAGAGTATAGCTGTTTCTGAGTCCTGGCTTTATTCAGAGGGCTCTCTAATTTGACTCCCTGCACTGCATGGATATAAGGATTAGTGCAGAATCACCCCTTCATTCCTAGTAAAGTCCTGTGTGTAACAGGTCTAGGCCACCAGACGGTACAGAATTCCCCGGAGTGTGTGATAGTTTCTTCCCATGTATTCACTTGGGTCTGACTTTACTTCTGGCCTTAGGTTCCTCTTCCTTTATATGTTAGATCCTCACAGCAATCCCCAAAGGTATTTGTTTTAAAGATAAGTACACTAAGGATCAGAGATGTTAAGCAAATTTCCCAAAGTCACAAAGCTAATGAGTTGTTAAGCTGAGATTTGAATTCAAGCCTTCTGATGCCTCAAGATATATATTTTCAGCTACATCCATCTCTTTAACTTGTAGGACTTAGTCTTGGGAAGGGTTGTCTCAGGGTTGACGCAGGTGGTGGAGAGGGCTATACATGGCCCTGTGGCTCCAGAGGATGGACCCTTGAGCAGTGGGTGAGAATTACACAGAGATAAATGGAGGCTGGAGATCTGGAGCAGCTTCCAGCAAGTGTCTGACAATGAGAGGGAGTGAGTTCCCCATCGCTAGGGGTGTGAGATGACCATCTCTTCAAAAAACCCCTGCCTGGGGTGGCTGCAGAGAGCAACCTCTGAGTGTCCTTTGGCTCTGATAGCCTTAGCCACTGTCATTCTCTTGGTCAGCCCTGGACATCCCTGGAAAGGATGACTCAGCTGTCCGTTTTAAACAGGGTAGTTCAGAAGAATACATTCCTGGTTATTCAAGTTTCTAGGGAGTCCTTGGGAAAGGCTCGGTTGATGAGGAAATCGTTGGGGGGTGATTAACAACTCTTGGATCAGCTCCTTCCTCCTTTGCCAGCCTCACCCAGCAGCCTTTCACAGGGGCCTGTTTTCTTCTAAACACACAGAATGAAAGAATGTGACACATCAGGTTTTAATCTTGGGTCTCAGCCCAGAAAAAAATTTGAAACCTGAAACAAGTGAAACCCATTAATTTACAATTAAATTTCAAAGGGTTGTTCCCCCAAAGTGCCTACTTCCAACCAAATAATTTGAGCTCAGAGCCATAAATTATGTGATGTGTTTTGTCCCCAGCCTGCGAAGTGTGCTGGATTAGTAGCCCAGCCTGGGGCTTCCAGCTATCTCCTCCTTCAGACTGAAAGTCTTCTAAACTATGAATGGTACAAGTAATGATTCTCATTTGTACAGAAGTTGCAATTGACAGAGCACTTCCATGTTACTCACATTTGAGCCTCCAAAGACTCCATGTGGGATAAGGCATTACATAGATGAGGAACACAAGTCTTGGGGAGATGGAAACGTTGAGGGACTTGAGCAAGACACACGGTTTCTAAGGAGCAGATCCAGGACCTGAATCCAGATTTCTTGATTATCTTTTCAGAGAAGATAATTTAACTACTTTCATCAGTGCAGCCTCCTCAGAATAATTAAATCTTATGCAGGAGAAGAATTTAATTTTTATAACTGGAAACAAAAATGCTTCAATAGATCCTCTTAGGCTACAACCATTCCCAATCTCCCTCCATTACTCCTCCCCTGTATCCCAGCAGAAAACCCTTTTAGGGCTCCACTGTGGTTATAACAATGTGCATTCCTCTTCTCACAAGTGACGACAGTGTCACGTGGTGGCTGAGCGCACAGGGCCAAGTCCTGCCTCCTCTTCAGCTGTGGCCTTGGACAAGTTAGCTAACCAACCTGAAGCTCAACTTCATACTGCTGACCTTGAGGGGATGTGGTGATGACTAAATGACATAAAGTACTGGAGAGCTTAGCACAGTCTGCAGCATGTAAGTGCCCCATAAATGCAGATTGAACATAGCTGTACAAAACAAGGACTGTAGGTCAAACCCCAGGACTGCAAAGACTCCATTCATTCCAGCAGCTTTGACTGAACACGTGCTTTGTGCCAGACGCTTCCGTGTCATTACTCATTGACTCCTCACAACAATCCTATGAGGCAGGTGTTATTATTCCCATTATACACATGGGGAAATTGAGGCTTACTTGCCAGCTACTTTGCTTTCATCTGTGTCAGAGCTGGGATTTGAATTCAACTCTGTGTGACTTTTGTTCCAGTACTCTACTGTGCAGTATGCAGAGATTTGGAGAGAGTACATTATAGATTAGGAGTGGTGACAGGAACCCCTAAATTGGGGTGTCTAGGGACTGGACCTGAGCTGTGGCTCTCCCACACTTGCTCTGCAGCTTTAAGCCAGACACATCAGTTTTCTGGGTCTTGGTGGCTTCATCTGTAATCCAAAGAGTTTGGAAAGATCATCTCAAAGATCCTTTCCAGCTCTGGCCTGCTAAGAAGCTCCTCAGATTTCAGAAAAGACTCACGGATATGATGCTGGAACAGAGGAAGCATACCAGTGGCCCCTGAAATTTCAAATCAGTTTTGCCTTTTGAACTCTGAGTTTCTGCATGAATTCAGAATCTGCCAGAGGAAAACTCTCTAATTATCCTACAGGGATTAGCCCAGCTAGTAATTACCCATATTATTTTTAATTGCATTTTATAAGGTACCTTTCATCCAAGATCTCAAAGGGCTTCTCAAATATTCATTAGCTGAACCCCACCTCCTCCCTGTGTGGATATGAAAGACAGAGACTGATTTTAATGTCAGAAAGAAGATGTGGCAGGGAGAGAAAAAGGGACTGAGATCCTGGGAGTAATATTACCTCTGAGTTTAAAGGAGAGAAGAGCAGAAATATGCCAGAGAAATGCTCACCTTTGGAAGGAGTTCATGGGATATTTGGTCAAGAGCAGATGGGTCAGGAAATGTTCCTCCTTTTTAAAAAATCAACTTCTGCCAGGGATGGTGGCTCACACCTGTAATCTCAGCACTTTGGGAGGCTGAGGCAGGAGGAATACTTGAGCCCAAGAGTTCATGCAATCAACTTGAACTCCTGTTTTGTTTTGTTTTGTAGAGATGGGGTCTCACTATGTCCTAGGCAACATAGTGAGACCCCATCTCTACAAAACAAAACAAAAACAAAAACAAAAACAAGAAATTAGCCAGATGTGGTGGCATGTGCCTATAGTCCCAGTTATTTGAGAGGCTGAGGTGGAAGGATCACTTGAGTCCAGGAGTTGGAGGCTGCTGTGAGCCGTGATGGTGCCACTGCACTCCAGCCTGGGCAACAGAGTAAGACCCTGACAAAAACAAAACAAAACAAAAAACCAAAAAGAAACAAACAAAAAAAACCTTCTGTCTGTAAGTGCTTAAGAGAGGGTCATTCGGTTTATTGCAGTTCAATTCCATTGAATCATTGGCTTTATTTCACTTTAGACTTATTCATCATCAGCTGTCCTTTGAGGAGTCAGCAGCATTCAGACATGTGCTACATAATGTGAAGGATGTAAGTGAAGCAAGATTGCAGATTTGGGCACGTTGGTTTAAGCAGCAAAGGCCACAGGAACCTCCCAGAAGAGCCCTAATAGGCTTCCTTAAATGAATGGCTGAAGCCAAGGCCAAGATGTTCAGCATGTGGCCAATGGTTGCCACAATACTTCCCTGGCAGTAGGTAGAGAAAAAGTAAATCTGGGCACATATGCTAAGTCCAGGAACCCGACTGACAAATGACATCAAAAGATCATTTTGAGTAGCTCATTATGGGGCCACTCCTCTCCTTCACTCCCAACTCCCCTCCACCAAGGAGCTAGGGTACTCTTACTAAGTTCCCATCATTCTTGTTCCAATGAGTGGATAGAGGATGTCACTGTGGAGTCTGAGAAGCTTCACTCGGGTTGGATGAGGAGCCAGCAGTCTTCTCAGCTGGTCTGTGAGTTCCTGAAAGACAGGACTCTGCCTACCTACTCACCATTCTTTCCCCAGCACACTAGCTGGGTGCAGAAGGGTGGATGTTCAGAACATATTTGCTGGCTAAAGGAAGGGATCACGAAGCTACCACCCTATTTCTGGCCTTGCAACGTGGTCTGAAACAGCCAGAGGAGGATCCTTTCCTTCGTCAGCTTGGAGATGTCTAGATCCAGAGGACAGCCAGGGCCACACAGCTCCATTGACTTCAGAAGCCAAAGATGGAAGCCATTGCTAAACTAAGTCCCAATGACCCAGTGACTGAGGGCCCCAGGTGAGGTGGTGTGGAAGGCAAGGCAGGTGCTGTGAGGTAGCAAAGAGGAAGACTGTCCTGGATACTGGGTCCTTTAGCAGGAAGGTTGGGACCAGTGGGGTAGGACTTTCAACTATTTCACTGTTGGGGGCACTTAGGGCCCTAGTTCCCTTGTTGGTGCTCTTGGGATAAAATGGCCTAGAGGGATGTGGGTGACAGAAAGATGCGTCATGGTCTTGCCCCTGAAAAGCCAGTGGTTTTATTTTGGAGATTAGACTCACACAGAGAGCAGTTAGAGCACAATGCAAGAAGGATACTTGTCTCTGACTAAACTGGGAGATCCCTGTGTGGAGAGAGAGGTCTTATTCATTGCAGTATTTCTTGTTGGGCCTGACAAAGGCCTGGGCACTTTTTCTGCTCCAAATACACCTAATGGTTAGTTGTCAGGTTGCATGGCCTGAAAAGTTAAGTGGCATAAGTCAGAAAAGGGAGGAACCTGGAGGCCAAATGCTGGCGAAGGCTTGGAGAAGGAGGAAGAGCCACAGATGGGTGCTGAATAAGGGACAAGTGAAAAGCATAAGCCCCACTTTGTCAAAGAGCTTTCACATCACAAGAAATCTATGCAGTGAGGACAGCCATGGGAGGGGGCTGAGAGGTTCCAAGTGGCAAAGGAACTGCCTTGTAGTCACCCAGCAAGAGGACTTCCAAGATTTTTGCCTGCCCAGCATCCATTTCTTTCTCTTCTGGGAATGCCACCCTGTCTTCACTCTGAGTCCATGCATTTCACTGTACAAGACATCATCTCTGGACTTTGTGGGTGGGTCCAGGGCAGACCTGACCAGTTGGAGAACTGTACCCTCTTTGCCACAGGATTTGTTCAGGGATGAGCAAATGACTCAAGCTGGGCCAATGAGAACCCTCTCAAGAACTTTTTCTAGAACTCTTGGGGGAAAGACACTCGTTTGGAGGTTGCAAAGCTGGAATAATGTAAGGCTGGAGGTGCTGATGGTAAATCTGGCCACTGGATGGGGAAAGACTAGGTAAGGATGATGTTAACATGAAAGAAACCAGAGCTGCAAGACAAAGACTCATGATAATTTTTCAGATATATTAATCAATACATTTCTTTTTTATTTCCCTGTTCGCCACTTTAAGTTTCTGTCACTTGTAACTGAAAAAATCTTTGCTCATATGCTTAGCTGATAAATGATGTTGCAGACCAGATCCTGGGTCTCCTACTTCTTTGTCAAGCTCCCTCCTGATGATTTTACCCATTCATCATCCATCCATCCATCCATCCATCCATCTTTCATCCACTCATCCCTCCATCCATCCATCTTTCATCCACTCATCCCTCCATCCTAGTCATCCATCCATTTACTAAATTATCCTCCCACTTATCCATCCTTCCATTTATTCATTCATCATCCATGCATCCAACTCATATACATTTAATGTATATAGAAGTTGCTCAATGCACATTTTTGAATGAATTAATGAATAATTTGTCATGATTTATTTAATGGCAAAGGTACATCTACCTGCCTTTTAATCCTATGTGGAAATTGGTCGACAAAGGGTAAACCAAGTTATAAACTCAGAACTTGGAACTCCATCAGGAAATCAGTCTCCCAAGGCAATACTGAATTTCATCAATGTCATCAGCATACAGCCAGACATGAGCCTTTCTTTGCCAAACATGATTTGGTCATGCTGATGCTGCAGCCCAAACGGGAGGGTCTGGAATGTCACTGACAAACATGTGGGTTTTCCTCTTGGAGGCGATGCTCATACCGTGAGCTGTCTAGTGACATGAGTAAGAATTGCCAAGAAGGACTTACTACCTATTTTGCTCTTTGTACCTCAGTGGCCACTTTAGGCACAGAGCTGCCCAAGAACCACAGAGATGAGTGCCAACTCTTTCAGGATGACTCTGTAACACTTCAGTCAGAGCATGTAGAAATAAAGCAGTCACCTATTTCAAACTCCTGTGTTTCCAAGGAAAACTGCAACTCCCAGAGAAAAAGGGATATGACCAAGGGCACATAAAGAATTACAAGGAGAGACTAGATCTGAACTCCTGACTTCCAGCCTGGTGCTTTTCCTACTACACCACTCTCCATCCTTGGACCACATTCCCAAACAGGTGGAGTACATCTCAAAGGGCTCGTTTCCTCTTTGGAAATGTGGAAATGTGGTCCAGGGTAAGCTGCAGGCACTAGACTATATTTCCTTTTTTTTTTTTTTTTTTTTTTTTGAGGTGGAGTCTTGCTCTGTCGCCCCAGGCTGGAGTGCAGTGGCGCGACCTCAGCTCACTGCAAGCTCCGCCTCCCGGGTTCACGCCATTCTCCTGCCTCAGCCTCACAAGTAGCTGGGACTACAGGCGCCCGCCACCACGCCCGGCTAATTTTTTTTGTATTTTTAGTAGAGACGGGGTTTCACCGTGTTAGCTAGGATGGTCTTGATCTCCTGACCTCGTGATCCACCCGTCTTGGCCTCCCAAAGTGCTGGGATTACAGGCGTGAGCCGCCACCAGACTATATTTCAAAGATGTTCTTCACATTGCTGTCATCTGCTTGTGAACCACATGCCACAGTAAGGATGCATGAACATCACGGTCACAGGATTTGTAAGATGGGACCTCAAGAGCCACACTTCCCAACTTCTTTCTGCTGTTTGGATGTCCTCTACAGCACCCAGTGGTCTGCTTGTCAGATTTATAGGTGGCAGAGACAAGGGGGGAAAGAACTGTGCTCTTGGTCCCCTTTCTCTCCTGACTCCTCCAGGACATAAATCCATCAGTTGCCTCCTCTCTCCCTCTTAAACTTTCTGCCTTTTCCTCCTTCAATCTTTCCTCTTGGTTAACAAATATTTTGGGTCTCCTTCTCTTCTTTTTCACTTTATTTTATTTATTTAAATTTTCAATTCAGAGGTACACGTGCAGGTTTGTTACATATATACATTGCATGATGCTGAGGTTTGGGCCTCTAATGATCTCATTGCCCAAGTAGCAAACATAATACCTGATAGGTAGTTTTTCAATCCTTATTTCTCTTTCTCCCTTCCCCCTTTTGGTATCCCCAGTGTCTACTGTTTCCATATTTGTGCCTGTGTGTACCCAATGTTTAGCTCCCACTTATAAATGAGAACATGCATTATTTGGTTTTCTGTTTCTGTGATAATTCACTTAGGATAATGACCTCCAGCTGCATCCATGTTGCTGCAAAAGACATGATGTTATTCTTTTTTATGGGCTGTATAGTATTTCAGGTGTGTATGTACCAAATTTTCTTTATCCAATTCACCATTGATGGGCACCTGGGTTGATTCCATGTCTTTGCTATTGTGAAGAGTACTGTGATAAACATACAGGTCTCCTCTTAAAGAAAATAAATTGATAAACAATAATTCTTTTGATTTTGCCATGTGCCCAGTTACCTTCTTATCACTCTCATTTTTTCCAACACATTTTTTGAAATAGTCATTTCTGCCTGTTGTCCCTTCCTTATGATCTACCTGTTCCTAAACTTTTGGTATCTTCTTTTCTCTCAGGGGTCACTAATGACCTCCCCAGTGTGAAATCTTTTTGACATTTTTGGGTGTGTGTGTGAGACAAAGTCTCACTGTCGCCCATCTTGTGAGATCTATGTGTGATCTTGGCTCACTGCAACTTCAGCCTCCCATGTTCAAGCAATTCTCCTAACTCAGATTCCCAAGTAGTTAGGATTACAGGCGTGTGCCACCACGCCCAGCTATTTTTTATATTCTCAGTAGAAACAGGCTTTCACCATGTTGTCCTGGCTGGTCTCGAACTCCTGACCTCAAGTGATCCGCCCTCCTCGGCCTCCCAAAATGCTGGGATTACAGGTGTAAGCGACTGCGCGCAGCCCTTTTTGTCTCTTTTTAGCCTTAAATTTTCTTGTTGCCTTTGTATCATTTCAGATGTTGATCACCCAGTACTCAATCTCCCTTGATAGGTGGTTACCCCCATTCGCTTTCTTTGCCTTGGGCTTTGCTTCTGATTACAACTTTGTGTTCGCTTCCTTGGATCATTTGTTTTAAGTCTCTTCCAGAGACCCTGTCCATCCATTGATAGATTTGTCCATTCCATTCTTAATTGAGCATGAGGTACTGTGCCAGGAACTGGAGATTTAGAGTGAATCACACATCATTCTTGACCTCAGTGAGCTTACCTTCTATTGACAGAGACAGCTAAGTTCATCTCAACACCATGTGATGCTATATGCTGGACCAGTTACTTCATAGATTCAAAGAAATGCAGAAATGGGAGCTAAAAGGGACATGAAGATCTCTAATGCAGGTCTCAATTTTACAGAAGAGGAAATTGAGGCACAGAGAGAGGGCATCAGTCGCCTGTGGGCCTACAAAGAATTGGTGAGGAGGTAAGAAAGTTTCTTCAAATAAATTATTCAGAGAATGGCCAATGATTACTTTTCTAGTGAAATAAGACGGTATTGGGATACAAAAAACTATCTGGAGTTTGCTGTGAGTTACAAATACATTTCACTGAGTTCTTTCTGTAACCAAAGACCCACCATTGGACCCGTGTCTTTCTCCAAATACTCCGACAAGAGGTCATGTGGCAGAGATCCCAGAATTGGGCCTTTTTTTATCGAAAGGAAGAGAAACAATACTTACTCAACACGTAATCCGGGCAAGGAAATTAAGGCCCTAAAGTTAGGTGACTCACATCAATTTTAAAGCAAAACCAGGACTGAAACTCAGATTTCCTGTTCCTTGCCTCCTGTTCCTTTCGTGAGGTCAAGAGCCACAAGCTGACTGTGTGAGCTGGAATGCTGGGCTACCATCTGCCCAGGGAAGAGGCTGTGAGCCTACTGAGTTTGGCAGCCCCCTTGAAGAAACTATGTGTGCGTTTGGATAAGAACCTGCGCCAATCTTTACCCCTAGACAGAGCCAGTGTCATGGGCATGCAACCTGTGATGTTGCATGGGACCCCATGCTTAGAAGGACCCTGTGGTTGGCTTAATGTTGCCATCTTAAAATTCTTGGTGATTTGTAAAAAATGAGGTACTGCAAATTATGTAGCCATTTTTGCTCCCAGATTCTAGCTTTTATTATTGCCACTCAAAGCACTTCCCAGGTCTTACATCTGAGTAGTTCAATCCTCTCTGCCCATATCACTGTAGGAAGGGCTATTGGAAAGATCACCTGAAAGTGAGCTAATGCTAGGCCAGCCAGGTGCCTGTCTAGATGCCCTGGACTGCTTCCTGGAAGAGTTTTTGCCTCTCTATGTTACCGGAAAGGGGTCTCAATCCAGACCCCAAGAGAGGGTTCTTGGATCTTGCACAAGAAAAAATTTGAGGTGAATCCATAAAGTGAAAGCAAGTTTATTAAGAAAGTAAAGGAATAGACAATGGCTACTCCATAGGTAGAGTAGTGGCAGAGGCCACTCAGCTGCTTGTACTTATTGTTACTTCTTGATTATATGCTAAACAAGGGGTGGATTATTTATGAGTTTTCCAGGAAAGGGGTGGGCAATTCCCGGAACTGAGGGTTCCCCCCCTTTTTAGACCATAGGGTAACCTCCTGAAATTGCCATGGCATTTGTAAACTGTCATGGCACTGGTGGCAGTGTCTTTTAGCATGCTAATTAGCATATAATGAGCAGTGAGGACAACCAGAGGTCACTTTTATCGCCATCTTTGTTTTGGTGCGTTTTGGCTGGCTTCTTTACTTCATCCTGTTATATCAGCAAGGTCTTTATGAGCTGTATCCCGTGATGACCTGCTGTGTGATCCTGTGACAGTGAATGCCTTAACCTCCTGGAAATGCAGCCCAGTAGGTCTCAGCCTTATTTTACCCAGTCTCTATTCAAAATGGAGTCACTCTAGTTCAAACGTTTCTGACACCTAGACGTTATGAAACTCTGGATCATGGTGTGGAGTGTAGAATTCATCTATCTAGCTTCACCAGACCCAAAAACCAAGCCATCTATCACTTCACTCCTTTTCTTTGGTTCAAGAGCTCTTGGTGGCTCTCAGCCTATAGGACAGTCCAGGCTCCAAAGCTAGTGTTCCAATATGGTTTCAATCCACCTTTGCAGCATTTTCTCTCAATGCTCGCATATAGTCTCTTCTCTGACTACAGTGTCTTCTTTTCTTTTCCCAGGTCCATCTTAGACATTGTGACCTCTGCACAAGGAAAAAGCTTTCCTTTTCCATTCCGGCTCACCATCCCCATCTTTCTCACCAGCTGATATTCCTCCTGTCCTTCAAGGCCCTGCTGTGTTCTCATTTCCTCTGGAAAGGGCCTTCTGTGACCACCCCTTCTATATCCTCTCTCCCAACAAGACTGCACACTTATTGAAGACAGAGCCAGTGTCCCATCTTCATACCTGCCCCTTCAAACCACACATCCAGCAATGGTCAGTGAATAGTTTCTAGTGCCTTCTCACTGGAGGGGAAAAGCAAGAACCCCATTTCCTGATGAGGCTTGATTACATGCTTCCAGACCCAGCTCACCTGCTGTTGGAGGGTGAGTCAGGGAGGGCCTTGTCTGACCTGTTTCCCCAGCTAAGACTCTGGGATCACGCCTGTCTCCATTGCTGAGGGGACAGTGGGGGATGTTGGCTGGCTGAAACATTCAGAGAAGGGAGGCAGGCTCCCTAACAAGGCTGAAAATATGTGTGGACGCTAGGGATAGAATTTCCAGGCTCTGGCCGGGCGCGGTGGCTCACGCCTGTAATCCCAGCACTTTGGGAGGCCGAGGCGGGCGGATCACGAGGTCAGGAGATCGAGACCATCCTGGCTAACACGGTGAAACCCCGTCTCTACTAAAAATACAAAAAATTAGCTGGGCATGGTGGCGGGCGCCTGTAGTCCCAGCTACTCGGGAGGCTGAGGCAGGAGAATGGCGTGAACCCGGGAGGCGGAGCTTGCAGTGAGCCGAGATCGCGCCACTGCACTCCAGCCTGGGCGACAGAGCGAGACTCCGTCTCAAAAAAAAAAAAAAAAAAAAAAGAATTTCCAGGCTCCAGGAAGGATGATTACTGTTCTCTGGCTGACCAGATTTTATCCAGTTTGGACACCATATAATTACATTAAAAGTAGGAGGTAGAAGGGATATCAGGAAGAGGAGAGAGAGGGAAGTCGTGCTAAATGGGAAGTGGCTACAGGAACTTGGAGTTAGCAAGCTGGAGAAAAGAAAGTTTGAGAGAAGGGAGAATCCTTTAATGTCTTAGATAAGGTGATCCATATCTTTAAGACTGTTGAAGCCTGCCTGGACTAGCAGAGGTGGACAGTTTTGTGTGGTCTGTCAGGGCCAAAGTTGGTCCGAGGCAGCAAAGTTACAGGAAACAGAGTTCTGCTCAAGCAGGACTGTCAAACCTGGAAGAGTAACAAGAAGGAAGGAATGAGCTGGCCCTTCCTCATTAGGAATGTCCAAGTGAAGGTTCCAACCACAATGGTTCCTGCAACACAGCCCTCAATTCTGTTTCTCTGCATGATTCTCTCACTCCATTTCTCAAAGCCATCTTTAAAACTGTGTCTTCCTCCTTAAGCCTCAGATTCTATCCCAGTGTAAATGCATCAACCATGTTCCACTGCCACGGCCCCCATTCTGGTTCTGTCATCTCTGGCAACAGTCTCCAGCAGTCTAACCAGTGCTCCAGCCTGCCACCTAGAATCCCACCAATCTGCCTCTATGCTTCCAGAATGAGATTTCTAAAATACAAATCTGGATCAGTTACATACCTGCTCAAAGCCTCCAGTGGATTCTGGATGTCCTTAGTAAGTGGGTGAATCCTTACAGTGACCTTCAAGGTCCTTCATGGCCTGACCTGGCCAGCCTATCCTATCCCGTTTTCCCTTACACCTTACACACCAGCAATACTGGAGACTCTAGATCCCATGCCCACCATGCTCACACTCCCCTCTGAGCCTACATGTGCTGTTTCTCCCTGCCTGGAAGACTATTTTCTTACCACTCCCCCCACCCCACCCACTCCACTCCACCTAGCTCTTTGCTATTTATCTATTAGGTCTTAAGTTCAGTGTCACTTCTTCTGGGAAGCATTCCTGGATTCCCGAAGTCTGGGTTATGTGTCCCTGCAGTATATTCCCTCAGCAACCTATCACTAACTTTTGGTGTGCAGTATTATATGTGCCCATATTATTACCTGTACTCCACACTTCCTCTCCCACTAGAGGGCAGGGACCATGTCTTTTTGTTCACTCTCATCTTCATTGCCTAGTTTCTGACACATAGTAACTACTCAAAATATATTTGTTGAATAAAAGATTGTTCTTTGCAGAGAGGCTGTATAAGTGACTCCTGCTTTGGGCCCTTTCCACCTCCGGGTCCCTGAGGCTGTAAGACACATCTTTTCCTACCTTAAATGATATGTTACCATGTGTAACAGGAATTTCCCATGTTCACTTCCTGCTTCAGAGATTCACTCCAGGCTATGATGCAAGGGGCAGTAGGAGCTTCCTTGAGGATCCAGTATGAACAGTGTTTGGTTGAACAACATGATTACAGAAGAAAGACTCACTGGTGAAATGTTTGGTTTCCATAGCATGAAGCTCATTCTAGATACACATGGGAGGGTAATTAATTTCCTGCAAGGGGCTGGACAGACATCCTGCATCCCTGTATGTTATCTTACTTCTGTGATTCCTATAGAACCTGGTGTTACCTCATTTGGCAGAAACAACAGACAGATCATCAACAGCCAACAAAATATCTACCCCTCACACTTTGTACATGAACTCAAAATAGATCACAGATCTAAATGTAAAATGTAAAACTATAAAATCTTTAGAGGAGAACATGGGTGAAAATGTTTGTGATCTCATGTTAAGAGAAGAGTTCTTAGACATGGCACTAAGAGAACAATCCAAAAAGTAAAAAAAAAAAAAAAAAAATGAATTCACTGAACTAAAAACATTTGCTCTGTGAGTCAGTTAAGAGAATGAAATGAAAAGTACCAACTGAGAGAAAATATTTGCAAATTACATGTCTGACAAAGGACTTGTTTTCAGAAGAAATAATTCTGTAAACTCAACAAACAATCTAATTGGAAAACAAACAGAAGACTTGGACACTTCACTAGAAAAGTGGCTATAGTTCTTCTGTATATAGTGGCTGCCACTGTACACAGATGGCAAAATAAACACATGAAAGGTGCTCAACATCACTAGTTTTTGTGGAAAACTAGTTATGATGCTACACACCTATTAAAATCACCAAAATAAAAAATACTAATAAAACAAATGCTGTCAAGAATGCAGAAACTGGATCTTGTAAAGGTTTTTGGTAGGCATGTAAAATGGTACAATCACTCTGGAAATCTGTCTGGCAATTTCTTTAAAAGTTAAACAATTAAGTACTACTAGGTTGCAAAAGTAATTGCGGTTTTGCATTAAAAGTAATGGCAAAACCGCAATTATTTTTGCACCAGGCTAATATATGGCCCATCAATCAAAATCCTGAACATTTATGTTCACACAAAAACCTTTATACAAATGTTCATAGCTGCCTTATTTGTAATAACCAGAAACTGGAAACGACCCAGGCATCCTCCAATGGGTGAAGGTTAAACAAACTGTGGTACATCCATACCATAGAATGGTAGCCAGCAGTAAAAAGGGAATGAATTACTGATACAATGAAACAAGTTGGATGGATCCTAAGAATATTGTGCTGAGTGAAAAAAGCCAATCTCAAAAAATTAGATATTAAAAAGATTTATAAGATAGTCTCAAAATGACAAAAATATAGAGATGGAAAAGAGATAAGGGGTTGTCAGGGGTGTGGGAAAGGGAAGAGGGCTGTGACTGTAAAGGGGCAGCATCAGAGAGATCCTTTGTGGTGATGAACAGTTCTGTGTCTTGACTATGGTGGTGGCTCTACCAACCTATACATGTGCAGATACACAAAACACATGAGTGCATGCAGCAGCTGGTGAAACTGTATTGTGCCAATTGATCGGTGATGCATTACAGGTATGTAAGATGTCATCATTGCAGGTAGTAGGGTGATGGGTCCATGGGACTTCTCTATACTGTTTTTATAATTTCTTGTGAGCATAAAATTATTTTAAAATAAGACCTTTAAAAGGTAGTCTGGGATAGAGGCGGTGAAGGAAGCTCTTCTATATTTAACTTGTGCTAGGTGTCTTAAGTGTGTTCATTTATTCAGTGCATTTATTGAGTGCCTTCTGTATACAGTGTTATGCCTAGGAATACAAAAGTAAACAAAAGGTTACCACCTTTTTGATATTTATAGTCTATCTCAAAAAGGTTAAGTAGCTTGTCGAAAATCACACACTGGTAAGTGATGAAGTTGAATTCAAACCTGCACAAAGCCAATGCTACCTCTAGAATTCAAGTACCATGTGGCCCTATAGCCCTCCACCCCCTGTTCTCTTTGAGCCCCTGTTAACTCCATGTCCCCAGAATGTCCTAGAGCAATTAGTAATCCTTTTTCTAAGGCCAAGATTTTGACCGTGTCAGAGTTTTTGTTTCAGTTTTGTTTTTTTTCTGCCAGATTGTCCCAGCCTTTTTGTCACTGAAACAGAAGGTATCAGGGAAAGGCATTCGAACAAGAAGTGATTTTTGGCCAGGCACCGTGACATAAGCCTGTAGCCCCAGCTACTTGGGAGGCTGAAGCAGGAAGATCTCTTTTGCCTAAGAGTTTAAGTCCAGCCTGGGCAACATGGCAAGACCCCTTTTCTAAAAAACAACAACAAAAGCCTGATTTTTGTTTCCATTTGTTTCTTTACATAAGACTTTGGACAGCTTTATTAAAATTTTAAAATTACTTATTATAGTTAAGAGTTGGTTTTCACAAATATTTCTATTGTTAAGTCAAGAATGAATACTTATTTTGAAGTTTCCATGAAAAGAAAGTTATATTTGTAAAACATAAAGACATTCTTGGCATCTTGCTGCAACCTCTGTGGAATGAGAGTAATTAGAGGTACTCAGAAGTGTTCCTTTTCGTTTTGTATCCTGGTTGTGGTCTGTCTGACTCATGGTCCCCACAGCTTGTGCTGTCAACTGGGAAGTGTCTATCTCTCCTCCCTGGAGAGTTAACCTGCTCCAGTCCCATACCCTCTTCCCGCAGTAATTAAGTGTGTTGCAATGTCTATGTGCAGATGTCACCTGACCCTCAGGATGGGGTGGAACCAGGGAGCCAAACTCATGATCACTATTAGGATGCGTAACAAAATAATCCAAACAGTGCCAGTCATCAAGGAAAGACAGACAGGGCGTCCCCAGAGCACCCTTAAAGCATCAGCACACCATTCCTTTAATCCTGAAGTTTGTCTGTTTTCCCTTCCCCAGATGGCAATGGCTTTGTGTTTTCTGATTATAAAAGTAATAGACACACTTATTTTCTTAAAGCATATAAAGATATAGAAAAGAGTGAAAATCAACCAGAATCTCACTATATCCTTCCAGATATATCACTATATCTTTCCCTTTTCCAGACGTATATCATATCTGTAAGTACAGAGGACAATATTTAGCAGGTTAAACAAAAAATTAGTTAAAATAAGAAATGATGATAATAATAAAATATATGTATACTTTAATGTTTTATTTTAACGTTATGTCAGTGGTTTAATATACTCTAATATAGACAGTCTGCTAAAGGGAGTTCACCTTTGTATTTCTTACAAAGATATCATAATATTTTGTTTTCAAGTTCTTGTTTTGGCTTCTTTGAATAAGAAAGAGAACTTAAAAACATTTGTGAAGCAACTCTGAGAGGGGAACCTTGAATTTTTATTATCTCACCCCCTTCCTTTTTAGCCACCTTACCTACTACCCACAAGACAATAGCTATTGAATTTAGTTCTTCAAAACATTCAACTTAGTTTTTTTATAGCTTTTTTTGGTCTTATCTCCTTTTTCAGTGTACATAATATTTAACTATGTAATTACAGTAGCAAGTAAATTGGCATGAGGAGAACTTCATAGAGAACTATGCAACTGACACGTGGTAAGCACACGAGCTCCCTGCTGGGAGCAAAAGAGGGTAGGTGGGAAAGCTCACAGCCTTCCCTCCAGAGCCTTCCATGGGCCTAAGCATCAGGCTTTCCAGATGGAAGGGAGAAGGCTGACTCAACTGGGGAGTCAACTAAGTGGTTGGAGGTCAATTAGGAGGGTTCACACTCTATATAAATACATATACACTCAAAATAATTTATTTACAAAAGATGGGATTGCATGTTACATGTAATCCATTTTTGTTTATTATGTTATTGACATAACCATAACTATAACTGACATAATCACTTTAAATGATTGCATATTGTGTGAATATGGCATCTTTACCTAGTCTCCAACTAAGATCTGTTAGACTTTTTTTTTGTTTTGTGCTTGTTTGCATTTTTATATACTTGTTGGATTATTTCCTCAGGATAAATTCCTAGTAGTGGAGTTGCTGCATTAAAAGTTGTTCATGTTACTGCCAGGCGCAGTGGCTCATGCCTGTAATCCCAGCACTTTGGGAGGCTGAGGCGGGTGGATCACTTGAGATCAGGAGTTCGGGACCAGCCTGGCCAACATGGTGAAACCCCGTCTCCACTAAACATACAAAAATTATCCAGGCATGGTGGTGTATGCCTGTAACTCCAGCTACTCAGGAGGCTGAGGCAGGAGAATCAGTTGAACCTGGGGGGTGGAGGTAGCAGTGAGCCGAGATCGTGCCACTGCATTCCAGCCTGGGCGACACAGCAAGACTCTGTTTCAAACAACAATAAAGAAGTTAAATATGGTATTAAGATTATTGTTGCACATTGCTACCAATTCCCCAAGAAAATGTGTCCCAATTTACATACCTCTAGTAATAAAACCCCCAAATTTTCCTATTGACCTCATGGCTGTTCCCCTCCTTGCCCAGCTTCCTGGTGAGTAATAAGGACTCTCCAGTGGAAAAAGTTTGGAGGGTAAGATGAGCCCCCCGCCTCCCCATAGAGGTGCCAAATGGGATGAACAGTGCTACTTAAATGGTAAACCCTTTAGAGACAGAAAATACTGGGAGTGGGGTAGGAGTGGAGTGAGACTACCTCTTTCCTGGAATCTCAGTGCAGCATGGTGTGGCAGAGAGGGCCAAGGATGAGATTCAAAGAGACCTGGTTGTGATGGATGGCTCTGTCATTTATATATAAATGAACTTCAGGCAAGTCATTTAATTTCTTGGAGCCTCAGTTTCTTCATCTATAAATAAAGTTATCCTCTCTTAGAGCATTTATCCCAGTTGGCCTCACATTACAGTGATACATGTTCTAGCCTGACCATCAGCATGGAATTGCTGTCTTAATGTGGGGAAGAAGCTGACCTTGGACTTGGTTCTTACAACTTGGGTCTTGTCTAGTTCCTCACAACAAGTCCTTGCTTGTTATTACAGTTTGGGTTTCTGCATTGTACTTGAAAATCACATTGCCCAAATTGTCCTATCAAATGGGTCTAGAAACACAGCTGGAGACTGGGGTAGAAGGTGAGGGAAATGGAGAGAATTGTGCCCTAGTATGAAGGTACTATGTTGACAAGATGGTGGTTAAAACTGTGATGGAAAAGCATTGAAGCACGCCCTATGAAAGCATGACTGAGACACAAAGGTGTTAATCAAAGGGTAGAGCCTCTCAAAAGTGCATCTTCCTCCACACATGATAACTTCTTTGATCATGCAGTCTCAATTCACACTGCATTCTCTGAATGCCAGTTGGTTCCTTGCTGCATCAGTGATGTTCCCCTGTAAGCCCACAACGTCCAATCTTATCTATCTTCTTTGGTCCCTATCCCTTAGAAACTTGTGCATCGGTGGAAGTCATCTTCCTGATCTCTCAAAAATCTGGAATTTGAGGGAGTGGTTCCTGCACACTTTCTGCCTGGCCTTCCCCAGCTCCCTTCAGTATCCTTTTTCCAAATATGATAACACTAGAGCAGGCAACAAGTCTGAGACCTAGTGAGTGTCCAGTCAAGGGATGGGATGTCAGTCTCCCCTTTTTAGTAGTCATCAGATATTTCCATTGATTCTCTTGAGGTGAGGAGGATACTGTCCATTGCCTGCACAATATCTTTTCCATCTCCCTTTCTTCAATTTCCATAGATAGTGGCTAGAGACCCCATGTCATTCACGAAGTAGTTCCTTACCCCATCTCTAGAGGATGACTCTTGATTGATTGAAACCAATCACAGTACCCTCATGCCCTTTGGCCATTCATTGGTCAAAGCACAGGCAAATGACCCAGTTCTGACCAATGAAACACAAGAAGTATATGTAGGGAACAGGGGAAGAAGGCCAAGTCTCCAAGACTTTCCCCCTCCCATGAAAACCAACACACGTATGGCATAACAAAAATAAAGAACCTGCGTCCCTGATGGCATAGTTGAGCATGCCCAGTGTGAGCCAACACAGCAATACCAGCTCAAAACACTTCAGGTCATACTTTTTGTAACTTGCAACCAAATGCATTCTCAATCAATACATGTGGTCTCCCTCCCTTCACTGCAGAAGGATGATCCAGTCAATAGCCTTGTTCACCTCCCCATGGGGAGATGAGCAAAGAGCCTAAACTCTCTTTTCAAACATTGCACTCTCCAAAAGCCAACCCCATCCTCGATCCCGGGCTTCCTCTTATCTTGTGTGTATTTGGGGTGGTGATGGCAGGATAAGAGATGATGCTGGTTCTGCTTGCCTGGTCCCTCTCAATCAATCCTGCAGGAGTGGGGAACGGTTGGCTTCTTAGAAAATGGGACACCTGAAGGTTTTTATTCTCAACAAGGTTTTACTAGCTAATTCCAGATAAACCAGAATGGCTTCACTTTATATTTCACCTCCTACTCAAAAGGTCATACTTTTAACACGTTCACTATCACTGGCCCTATGGAACATCCACCTCTCCAGGGTTCTCCCCATGAAGTTGGAATGTGGCTTTGCCCCAGCATGGTACCAGTCATACTCTTGCTCTTCCACCAATGGCAGGGAAAGAACAAGTGATGAACACCTGCTCTGTACCCAGCATGGTCCTAGAAACATTATACATACCATTTTTACCTTGCACTTAAGAGCAAGAGCTATGACAACAGACAGACCTGAGTTCGAAGCCCTGATCTTTTTATGTGACCTTGGGAAAGTCATGTGACCTCTCTGAGCCCCTTTTCCTCATCTGTAAAAGGAGGATAATAATACCTGACCAATAGGATTGCTGAGGGGTTAAATAAGTTGTGTGTGCCTAGGACAATTCTGTTATGCATGTTGATTGTTATCATTATGATCATTCCAACACAACCTGCCTGATCTTGAACTCAAGCCTGCAAACACTCCTTCCTTCCTAGACCAACTGCTAGACTTTCACACATGCTGCTGGGCTCCCTGCCTGGTCCCAGCCCCCTCTGTCCTGCCTAGGTGTGCCTCTGGTTTGACAATACCATCTCTTTCAACAAAAGCAATTTGTTTAAAATAACAACTCTTGTTAACTTGGGCACTTATTAGATGTGAGGTACTATGCTGAACATTATACATGTATTATCCCTGCTAATCATCCTAGAGAGCAGGTATTAGCATTCTCATTTTCCAGGTTAAAAAAAAAATGGCTCAGTGAGATTTAGCAGCTTTCCCAAGGTCACACAGCTGGCATGTGAATGAGCTGGGATTTTAACTAGTCTGTGTGCAACAAAGCCTGTGTTTTTTTTTTTTTTTTTTTTTTTTTTTTTTTTTTTTGAGACGGAGTTTCGCTCTGTCGCCCAGGCCGGACTGCGGACTGCAGTGGCGCAATCTCGGCTCACTGCAAGCTCCGCTTCCCGGGTTCACGCCAGCCTCCCGAGTAGCTGGGATTACAGGTGCCCGCCACCGCGCCCAGCTAATTTTTTGCATTTTTAGTAGAGACGGGGTTTCACCTTGTTAGCCAGGATGGTCTCGATCTCCTGACCTCATGATCCACCCGCCTCGGCCTCCCAAAGTGCTGGGATTACAGGCGTGAGCCACCGCGCCCGGCCAAGCCTGTGTTTTTTAGTCATTGCCTACAACCCCGAGAGGCAGAAGGGGCAAACATTCTACTCCCTTCTCATTTCACAGAGATGGAAGCTGAGTCTCAGAACATGTCAAGATCACACAGCTGGTCTGTAGGAGGACCACGCCTGCAACCAGATCCCAGTAAAAGCAGCCAAGCCAGAGTCATTTCAGGCACCAAAAGGTTGAGGGAGTATCTTCTGACTTCAAAAGCAGGAAGGAAAAGAGGAGACACTTTGAAATCTGGGAGGGGAATTTATAGTATTCACTTAGAGTCTTTTTGGCAGAGTCCATAAAATATCTGTGGAGACAGGGATGGAGTTGTCCCTGTTCCTATCCTAAGTTGTCCCTGTTCCTGCACATGCATTTGAAATGCATATGTAAAGTGTACTGAGGTTTACAGTTGGGAAATGCACTTCCTATCAGGGAAGACTTCCTAGAGGGATGCATTTTCAATAATCCTCAAAGGATCAATACAAAATTGAACAGGCAGAGTTGGGGGTGCCTGGATACCTGGCAAGTGTATAGTCCTGACATCAGGCCGACACATACTAGATAGTTATTATGAGCAAGGCAAGACAGTAGTGCACCATTTACATGCTTAGTGATGTGATTTTTAAGCTGTCCTTAATGTTTAAGATTGTGTTTGCTTATGTTATTTTATTAGGTGAGTAAAGGGAAGAATTATCATCTAGCAGGGGTGTCCAAGGGAGAGAATACAGTTATGGGTTCTTAGTTTCTGTTTCTGGTTGAGTCAGTAAAGCCCCCTCCTCAGTCCTCTTTTCTGCTTATCACTAGACACAGAAAATAAAAACTATGGCTTCAGGCTGCTAAAAGCCTAAAACAAAACAAAACAACAACAACAACAACAATGACGACAACAACAAAAAAATAAGGTGGGTTGGACAAGCTTGATAGAGTTCAGACCTAGGCTCGCTCACCACCCTGAACCTGACCTTCACAATCTCCTTGCAATAGAAGCCCTCTAATTTTCTAAGCAGAGGTTTCCAAGACAGTCTCCCCATGAATTCCTGTTGGGAATATAACTTCTTTATTTAGTCATCTGCTTTAGGATTCATAAAGTGTTTTCCATCCATTATGTCATTTGATCCTTACACTGTCCTTAAGAGATAGATGTGCATGGACTATTCTTATTTACAAATGAGGAGACTAAGAGTTCAATATAGGGGTGTCAAATAGGGTTAAATTCACAATTACTTCCTGAAACATTATATTAAGTATTCTGGGGTCAAGTCCAGGGGTTTAGCAAAAGCTAGTACTGTGGCCAATTAGCAATGTCTTCCTCGGGCACAGAAAAGGAGGATAATGGCACACACTCTGGCAAGTTAAGGGACTCAGTTCTCTGATTCCCTGCCCAGGGTCTTTTTCTCGCTGCATGTTCCTCACAGAAGGCTTGTGGGAGGAGGCACAGGTATGTAGATCAAGCTGAGGAAATGGCACAGAGTAAATGCTCAGTGTGGTGGATTGAAAAATGGCCCTCCAAAATACCTCCATGTTTTTATCCTAGAATCTGAGCATTGCTTTATATGGCAAAAGAAAGGGGATAAGTCTTTGCGGATGTGGTTAAATTAAGATTCTTGAGGTGGGGAGATGATTCTGGATTATCCAAGTGGGCCCTAAACACAATCACATGTATACATAGAAGAAGGAGGCAGAGAGGGATTTCACACACAGAGAAGCTGATTTGATTTGAAGATGGAGCAGAGAGATTTGGAGATGCATCCATAAGCTAAGGAATACTGACAGCCACTAACTAAAAGTAGGAAAAGACAAGGAACAGAGTTACCCCAGAACTTTTGGCGGGTGCACAACCCTGCTGACACCTTAATCTTGGCCCAGTGCTACTGATATCTGACTTCTAGATGCCAGAGCTGTGAGGGAATATATTTCTGTTGTTTTAAGTCACCAACTTTGTGGTTATTTGTTATAGCAGCCACGAGAAACTAATACACTCAGTAAATATTAATTTTCCCTCCTTTCACAATCTTTCTGAGTTCCGTAAAACACACACTCATACACAAACATGTTGTATTAAGCCGTTCTTGCATTGCTACAAAGAAATACCTAAGACTGGGTAATTTACAAAGAAAAGGGGTTTAATTGGCTTATAGTTCTGCAGGCTGTATAGGAAGCTGGCATCTGCCTGGCTTCTAGTGAGACCTCAGGAAGCTTACAGTCATGACATAGGGCAAGGGGGAGCAGGCATATTGCACAGCAAAAACAGGAGCAAGCAAGAGAGTGGGGCGGGGTGCATACACTTATAAATAACCAGATCTTGCGAAAACTCACTCAACACCAAGAAGACAGCATTAAACCATGAAGAATCTGCCCCCATGACCCAAACACCTTCCATCAGGCCCCATCTCCAGCACTGGGGATTACAATTCAACATGAGATTTGGGTGGGGACAAATATCTAAACTCTATCACACGTTATATAACAAATAATATGTATTTCCATATATATTCCATTAATAATAGGAAAAACCTCTATGATGAGTTGA
Source organism: Homo sapiens (assembly GCF_000001405.40). Lineage (NCBI taxonomy): Eukaryota > Metazoa > Chordata > Mammalia > Primates > Hominidae > Homo > Homo sapiens. The sequence continues at coordinate 19,101,635 of NC_000011.10, forward strand.
AATGTTTTAAGTAGAAACAAATGCTTACTAAGAATGTGCTTAGATGCTTGCTACATGAAGCTGTTTACTCTATGTGGGTACTAATTAAGAATCAATCTGTCTGCTCCATTTCCTACAAGTACAGTTATTTGTCCGATGCTTTCTTCAGTCCATTTTCAAGCCCACAGATAGAATAGCAGCATCATGAACAAATGTGAGCCTTTCATTCTAAGAGAAAGGCTTTGCCTCCACAACCTGGAGGAGGTTTTTTGTTTGTTCATTTGCTTGTTTTCATTTTGAAGGTGTCAGGGCTGCAGTTTTCTTCCTCTAGGAAGAAGCTGGTAAATAAGCAGAAGTTTAGTGTGCCATAAAATTAGTACACAGGCAGAACAGTCCAAGGCCGACAAACTGAAAGCAATAAATCATGTAATCTCAGCTCATTACCTATGGAGCCTGAGTTAGAAAAGAAAATCCATTATGAAAATGACATTCTTAATAATGAAATCTTATTCATGGATGGATGGATGTTGGGGAAGCTGTGAAATGTGGCTTCGGAGAGGTTTGGAATGTTAATATCTGAGGATTCGGGAGATGGATGTTGTAGATAATCACAATGTAAATATTAGAATGTGAGTCACTGAGCCACTTGAAAAAAAATATTCTACATACACGTTACTCAGTAGAAAACACCTGTTGCAAGAAGTCACAGAAGACATGGAGCTGTCAGAAAAAAAATCATTGTCAGAAGAGCTTCAGTGAAGATTTTTACCAGTCTAGACATGCTTGGTAGCTGGTAGTTCTTGGTGCTCTATTTGGACTGGAGGAGATTTTGAAATCTATTTAACCCAACTCTTCCCCACCCCCCATGCCACTTCACAGATGAAGAGCCTGAGGCTCAGAGAACCTCAGTTCAGCAGTGTGTAATGAATTAGTGTGTGGTAGAAACTTTACTCCTGGGCCCATGCCTCTTCCCATTCACCATGTTGCCTCCTAGGACACCCCTCAACACACACACACACACACACACACAGACACGCACACACACACACACACACACACCTGCTCACCTTGTCAGAGCCAGTATGGGCCTTATCTCCAGCCTTCCTTGTGTACTTGCTGAATCAAGTTAATCTATAACAGGTGTTTATTGTGTGGAATTGAGAATCTAGCCACTTTACACTTGGCTGGATAAGAAAAAAGTGCCATTTAGAATGTGTTTATCTGGTTTATTAGACTCTACCCATTACTCTTGGGAAACAAGATTCAAGTTGAATTGGGGCACCAGAACATCTGGAAATGAGAGGACTTCAACAGTCCTTTGGTTGAACCAAGTCTTTTCTGGTCTAATGTAACTTCAAATCACTCTTGTCTTTATATACAGAAACCCTAAAGGAACCTCACTTGAACTGAAGCATCACACACCTTCATTACTACCTCAACCTCAACATGATCAAACTCCTCAATCCTAAGTAAATGCAATATTATATCCAACACGTGGGTGGGTATCCTGTTTTTGAGACAGGGTGACTTATTTCAGTAGCTGCAAAGTCCTGAAAACAATGATGGCTACTGTTTCAGTGTGGTTCTGGCAAGTCCTGGGGTAAGTACAGCTGATGAAGTCCCTCAGGTGGGTACAGAGCAAGTGCTTAGCAAGGATCTCATGTAATCAAATCAACAACTGGAGGGTCAGTATCTCAGCAAGTGGTCACCAGTGTCCTCCCTGCACTAGATGGTGGGCCTGGTGGTGATGCTTATAGTGGAGAGCCTCTACCTTGCTGCAGCTCCAGACTCCCCAGTAAATGATCAAATGGTAGAGGAAGAATGAGCAGCATTAATGAATATTTATTTGTTGATTCATTCATTCAACCAATCCTCCTGGGAATTCTCCTTTCTCCTGGCTTTGTGTTTTTTTGTGGAGGCAGTTTGAAGTAACACTTCTCTCCACTCTCTACTTCCCCCTCCCCCTCTCCACTCTCTACCTACCCCTCCCTCACCCCAAAAAGAGGAGAAAAGACTTATAAGAGAGTTTGGAAGACAAGCTTTCATACTCAAATGAGCCTGCTGTTTTTACCTCTGAGATCTGCCTACCTTTTGCTCCATTCCACGCACTCGGACACTCAGATGCTTACAGTGGTCCAAGACTGCCAGAAATTGTGATTGGGTAAGTCTCTAATTAAGGGGGTGAAGTATCAGAAGCCTATTGGCTAAAAGACCTAAGACCCTTCCCTGATATCAGTTTTCATCACTAATGAAGCTGGTATTTTTATCTCTTTGTGTCTGACTTTTGTGTGTGTGTATCCTAATGGGTTCTGAACTTGGATGGAGAAAAGAAGGTATTATTTATTGACCCCCACAACTCTGAAAACAATGAAGCATATACTTCATGTATGAACTGTGCAAGAACAAACATCAGATTGAGTAGGACAGGATCCCATATTTCCATCTCTCACTGGGGGACAAAGAAAAATAGGGTGACCATCTCGCTTTGGTTTTATCATTGAAAGTCTGGTGTCCCAGCCAGGTGTAGCAGCTCACGCCTGTAATCCTAGCACTCTGGGAAGTTGAGAGGAGTGGATTGTCTGAGCCCAGGAGTTTGACACCAGCCTGGCCAACATGGAGAAACCCCATCTCTACTAAAAATACAAAAAATTAGCTAAGCATGGTGGCGTGTGCCTATAATTCCAGCTACTCGGGAGGCTGAGGCACGAGAATTGCTTGAATCCAGGAGGTGGAGATTGTGCCACTGCACTCCAGCCTGGATGCCAGAGTGAGACTCTGTCTCGAACAAACAAACAAACAAGAACAACAACCAAAAAAAAAAAAAAAAAAAAATCAAGAAAGTTTGGTGTCCCAGGATACCCCTCAGTTTCAGGAAAACTGTGATAGTTGGCCACCTACAAGGTAAAGAGTTCATTACAGAAAAATGCAATAATGTAATAAAGGAGCATGCAGAACCCTAAAGGGGGAACAAAGAAGGAAGTCATGACTTCTTGGAGAGATCAGGGAAGCTTCCAGAGGAAGTGCTATTTGCCAGGGCAGGATGTGGGGGTGTAAGTGGGAGAACTGGATCGAGTAGAACTAGTTACTACCCTGGCTAGCTCTCTGGTATACCCAGGAGGTAAAGTTCAAAGAAGGTGGCCACTTTTTTTTAAGGTCACATGATGAGTTAGCCAACCTGGAAACGAAATCCACAGTGCTAATTCCTTAAGCCAAGCCCTGTAACTCTCAAGTTTTCTAATTAAAGAAATTCCTTCTAATTTGTCAGTGGATGATGAAGAAATCATACTTTATTCCTGTTATTCCTTCCAGGAGTATCTCTGACCCCCTGGAATTAAAATACCATAGCCTTGAAAAAACAGAAAAAAGAAATTCCCGATAGTCAAAGTATGTGTATAACCTGCCCAGGGACTGACTGGTACAGATGCATGAAGCTCACCTCCTTTGCCTCAAGAAATGGCAAACTCTATGGTGCAGTTTACAATCCAGAGCTTCCAGTGGCATCAGACTGAGAGGATTTGGCCTGAAATCACATCCCTTTTTTTTGGTTTTTCCCCCTTCCCTGTATTAGTCATGATTCTACAGAAAAACAGAACCAACAGGAAAGATAACAGATTTATTTTCAGAAATTTGTTCATGCAATTGTCAGGACTGGCAAGTCTGAAAGCCATAGGGTAAGTCAGTGGGCTGGAGGCTGAATGTTCGGGTAAGAGTTGATGTTGCAGTCTTGAATATGAATGCTGGAATTTCTATGGTGCCCTCTGAAGGCAGAATTCATTTTTCTCTGGGAAACCTCAGCCTTTGCTGTTAAGGCGGTTGGCTGATTGGATGAGGCCCATCCACACCATATAAAGTAATCTGCTTCACTTTAAGTCGACTGGTTTTAAACATTGACTAAGTCTCAACTAGTGTTTGACCAGGCAGCTGGTCACCATAATGTAGCCAAAGTGACATAAAATTAACCATCCCATTTCCTCACTTCCTAGCAGGTGTTCCTGAGAGCACTTCCTTAATAAGGCGTTTGCATAATAATCCTCATCTGGTGCTCAGCTTCTAGGGAGTCTGCACTGAGACAAATGGTGCTTGGTATCCTTGTTTGTACCTTGCTTGCCTATAGGCTTGCTTTTGTATTATCTCTCATTCTCTCCAGAAGCAAGCCATTGGGGAGTGGATTTTTGTCTGTCTTGCTTACTACTATTCCTCCAGTCCCTAGAATGAGACCTAGCACATTGCACACGGGCTGTCTTTTGCCTGATTGCTCTCAAATTTCATTTCCACTGCTTTGTTCTGCTATGGGTTTTAAGGAGGCTTGGACACTGGAATTACATTCCCTGGATTCTCTTGCCAATCGGCTTTCAGATAGAAAGCCAGTGAGGCCTTCTATAAGCCTAATAAGGCACTGGTGGGAAATTGGAAGACAAGAGGAAGAGAGAAGAGGCTCTTTTCCTGCTTCAGACTTCTGTTAGCAACCTTCCAACAGGCACGGAGAACAACGGGTGTTTTGGGCACTTCTAGCACCCACTAATGGAGCTACTTCCTCAGAGCCTAAGCAGCTCTCCAATCAGCGTGCACAGTGCCCACCATGGTCTTGGCACCAGCCACCTGTGGTCAAAGCACCAGCCCAGGCCTCCCCATCTCCTGGGTTCTAGATCTGGTAACAACACCTCTACTCTTTTGTTCCCACAACCTTAGGAATGGAAGCTTCTTTTGGCAGTTACTAAGCTCTGAGTCCATTTAAAATCGCTCTTTGCTCTCTCAACCCTTCCAACACTGTGTAAGCACTTTCTTATGTTAAATTCCCGCATTTAAAATATCTAGAGAGATATGTGTTCTCATGACTGGACCCTGTGAACCCTGGCTGATATTTAGGCTCTCAATAAATACTTGTTGAATACGCAGAATTTAGCCCCAAGTTTATATTCTTAGAATTCATAGTTCAAAAGAAAGAAACTTGGCTTTTACAGCATCAATAGATCAAATTATATGAAAGTACTCTTATTGGCCCTGTTTTGGGCACATGCTCCCCCCCACCTCACCCCGACAATCCCCCTGGGCAAAATGATGGTGTACCTTGATTGGTCAGGCCTGGCTCAGGGACTCAGCCCTATGGCTCATAGCAGGCAGGATACTGAAATTGACAATCCCACCTAAACCACTTAGGGTAAGGGAGAGGCACTTCCCCAGTGGAAGATGGGCAGACAAAAAAGAAATTTTCCTACCACAATGAACTTATAGTCTTGGGGGATATGATTTAAAAATTGTCCTAATATAATGTGGTAAAGCACCAGGTGTTCTGGGAGCAGGGGGGAGCATTTATTCTACAAAGTCCTTTCATATACATGAAACAATTTGTTCCTCACAATGCCAACCACTATGAAGTTGGCATCCTCATCCTCACTATATAGAATCTTTGGCCTCCTATGATCTGTCTCTTCTCTTTTTGACTTCAAGTCCCTCTTTGTCAAGCTCCCTTAGCCAGGCCACCCCACCCTCAGCTTTCTTTTCATTCCCAGATATCTCAACCTCATTCCTTTTTTTAATGTAGAATTCTTCTGACTTGATGGCAAATAAGTTGTCCTTGGTCCCATAACAATATTGGCACCTATCACTATACAAAACACCCACCCTAAGGCAAACACCATACCATATGCTTTACACACATTCTCTCATTTAGTCTTCTTAACAGCCTTACAAAATAGTAGTAGAATTGCAGAAAGATTGTGTGACTTAGCCAAGGCTACTTGGCAAGAGCTGGGATATAAAGCTAGCTCTGTCTGGCTCCCACAACAGCAGCATCTCCTCCACTTGGTTTCCACACCAACTGAGGGATGGTTGAAAGAGCTGGGGATGTTTAATCAGGGGGACAACACACTTAGGGGTACCATTATCCATTCAAGTATCTAATGGGCGGTGAAGTAGAAGAGAGAATTCACTGGAATTTTTGTGGCGCCATAACCAAGGAAAAAGGACCGATTATAAACATAAAAGTGAGGGATAGTTGGCCGGGCGCGGTGCCTCACGCCTGTAATCCCAGCACTTTGGGAGGCCGAGGCAGGCGGATCACGAGATCAGGAGATCGAGACCATCCTGGCTAACACGGTGAAATGCCGTCTCTACTAAAAATACAAAAAAATTTAGCCGGGGGTGGTGGCGGGCGCCTGTAGTCCCAGCTACTTGGGAGGCTGAGGCAGGAGAATGGCGTGAACCCGGGAGGCGGAGCTTGCAGTGAGCTGAAATCGCACCACTGTACTCCAGCCTGGGAGACAGCGAGACTCCGTCTCAAAAAAAAAAAAAAAAAAAAAAGTGAGGGATACTTCTGTCCAATGTAACCAGTATGATAGAAGGTAGTGAGTATCCCACCACTGTGGGTATTCAAGGAGATAGTGCCAACAGCTTTTAAGGGATGTGGGAGAGTGAGAGAACTCTGACTCAGGGAGCATATTGGGTAGAGGATTTCTAAAGATCCTACAACTATGAAATTACTCCTTGTTTTCTGCTAACCCCATTTCCTCAAGTTAGAATCCTTGCAAGTCTGACTCAAGATTCTGGATCAATTCCAGAGGGTAAACTGTTTTGTTTTTAAGTTAAGCCCTGTCACAGTGGCTCACACCTGTAATCCCAGCACTTTGGGAGGCTGATGTGGGAGGATTGCTTGAGCCCAGGAGTTTGAGACCAGCCTGGGCAACAAAGTGAGATCCCGTCTCTACAAAAAGTTGAAAAATTAGCCAGACATGGTGCCTGTGATCCCAGTTACTCAGGAGGCTAAGGCTGGAGGATCACCTGAGCCCAGGAGGTCAAGGCTACAGCGAGCTGAGACCATGCCACTGCACTCCAGCCTGGGCAACAGAGTGAGACCCTGTCTCAAAGAAAAAAAAAAGTTAAGCCAAAAGACACGTTCGTTGGAAACAAAACAAAACACGTTGATAATATGAACATACCATAGGGACACGTTGTACATTTTTATGCGTCTTTAAGCATTTTAATCTGTCTCAGACTTTTCCAGAGTTTTTAGTTTCATGTTTATCATTTTAAAAATACTCCATTTTTATCCAATTAAGATGACTGTGCTTGTTTGAAAATAGTTTTACTGATTTTAATATTCCGCCTCAGACTCTAAGAGAATTACAACAGGAGCTGAGCTTGTGTTCGGCACGTGGGATCAAGCCCTAACAGCACCACTTTGTTTGCCGTATGTGGCCTTGCCCTGCATGCAGCTCTGAGGCTGAGCTCTTAACATGAAATGGGAAATAGAGCCCTTCCTCCTTCCTCCGAGGTTGTCCTGGGAGAGCTTGGCTGGTGGGAGTGCTGCATGAAAGAAAGGACCCGGCTGGGGCATGAGGTGAAGGGCTGACAAATGGGCGGAGTGCCCACACTCTGAGAGGCATCTTGGAGGCATTTCCTTCTGTCTCCCTTTACCTCGCCCATGGGTCTATCACCCCAGGCTTTGTGCTAAGGGGAAGATGTGGGACTGTTTCTCTCGTCCTGAGGCAGGAGTCCAACTGTCCAACAGGACAATCTGCTATAAGTGTCCATAGATGTTTGGAATTGGGATCAAACTAACTTGGCCTTGGAGCTGAGGACTCATTTCTTTCTCATCTGTGGCATACGTGGAGCTACTGTTTCCCAAGCTCCATTTTGCAGGTGAGGAAACCAAGACCCAGAGAGGTTCCCTGTCTTGCCAGAGGTCAGGCAGCTGGTCACGCTGTGTAAAGACTTGAAAGCTGGGCCTCCTGATGCCCAGCCCGGTGCTCCTTTCACTGCTTGCACAGTTCTTCCTCCATGTGCAACTTCCCGTCAGGCTGGTAGAGGAAGAAGCTGAGCCAAGGAAGGGTGGGATCTTGCCATAGGCCTTCTGTGGGTCTGTAATGTGGCCCAGCTGTGATCACAGCTGGAGGCCTGGCCTCTAGTGCCCTGGATCCAGGTCCCTAGTGACACTGTGTCTTGAACCTCCTTTCTAATTTGCCCCATCCTGGGGACATGCCAGCCTGAGAGCTCTTCCTGTTGGGGTCAGGTGTGGCCCCCACAGCCTTAAGACACTTGAGTTTCTGATACGGCTGGTGTCAGCGCCTGTGCCATGAGCACCACCGTTGCTCCTCCAGCTTCCCACAGAAAGGGTAACTGGTGGGCCATCTTTCTCCTGAACCAACTCTGAGTGGGGGCAGGACGTGTGAAATTTGAAAATGAGTCATATGACTAACTGAAATTAGGAGGCACCATGCCCCGATTAACCTCAAATTTAGTGCTTCCTTCCCCGTTCCTACCCAACCATGTCCTAATAATGAGTTTCCTGACAATTTTTATCCCTCACTCAACAAGTATTTATAAAATACCTACCTGTGTATGTTCTGTACTAGGCTCTGGGGATGCAACGATGACAGAAAGAACCCTTAACTCACAGACAAGCTGGAGGCAGAGGCAGAGGCAGAGGAGTAAACAGGCAGTTACAATATAGCAAGACAAGCACCATGCCAGAATGCTGAGGGGCTGTAGAGGATATCAGTCACCACAGTCCCGGGGATAATGGGACGTTTTGTACAAGGGGTAACATCCGATTCTTCTCCTCCTCCTCTTCCTGCAGAATTCCAATCTATCATTTTATTCAGTGTTCTGCCTCTCCTGCCATCATGCCTATTGCCCTTGCTTGCAACAATCCACATGTCCAGAAATCAGATACATTAGCAACTCAGTAGCCTTGGGAATGATCCCAGCGCCTTCAGCTTGGGAAATCCTGATTTTGCCATGTTTCACCATCTATGCAAAGCACAATGCAGAATTATTTTATATAGAAACTGAGATGAAAGGTAACCATTTGGCCTCAGATGGTGCCACCTTCTGTATCTTGAACAACTTGCAACACAGCTGGCCAGCTTGGCCCATTACCAGGGACACCACTCTATCACTATAATTAGAGCAGCAGTCAACAAGAGATTAAACCAGCGCTTGTTCTTCCATGAAAGCAGAGCTGAGGGGAATGCAGCTTTTCTCATGAGCACAAGTAATTTAGTGTGTAGGGCAGGCTGGTGATGGAAGGAGAACAATTACTTGTTTAATGTCACCTGTTGAAACTAGAAATGAATTTTGGCGAGTGGATCCTTGGTCATTGTATTTCCTGTAAAGTCATGAATATTCCGGAGCTAGGCTCTGGATTAAATTGGTCATGAGGATCAATGTTAAGGCCAAGTCTTCCCTAAGATTTCAGTTTTTCTCAGCCGCCTTTATAATAGCCAACATTTGTAGAGCACTTACTGTACTGCATATCATATACATTTTTTTTTTTTTGTTTAACACTTTTATTGAATCCTCTATGAAGTGGGTACTATTACTATTCCCATTTTATAGATGAGAACATGAAAGCTCAAAGTGGTACAGTCTCTTCCTGGGAAGATGCAGAAAATGAGCCTCTAAAACCTATGACCCACCTTGATTTCCCCAAGTGGGCATATTTGAAAATATCTTTGAAAAAGTAGCTGTATGAAGTTTTGAAAGGCCCTGAACCTGTGGCTAGTTCCTGGGCTCTGAACTTAATTTTTGTCAGTGGTGATATTGACAAGGAAACATCGCTGCCCTTGTCATTGAATGTTTTTGGCCTCAGCTCTTCAGTATTCTCTAGCCTGATATTGTCAGCCAATTGCTTAAACTTCCTGAGCCATGTCTACAAAGTGGGATGCTAATCCCTGTTCTGACTACTTCACAAGGCTGTTACAAATCTCAATCTCAGCGGAAGCAAAAGTGTTTTGCAAACTGTATAGAGACAGAAATGAGATTTTTAAATGCAAGTCAACATTTTTGAGCACTTAGCTTGTGTTAGGAACTGTGCTAGGTGCTAGAAATGCAAATAAAAATGAATGACATATGTTTGTTTACTCATTCAACAACTGAATATTGAGCAGCTCCCATGGGCCACATACCGTGCCATGCACTGGCAATGCATCTGTGTCTGAGACAGGCCCAGGTTCTGTGTTCACGGCTTATGGTATGCAGAGAAGATAAATGTTCTCAACCTGAATGCAGCAAAGTAATAATGTTCCACAGGCGCTGTGATAGTAGCATTTCAAAGTGCTGTGGGGCACCTAACAGGGCATCCTAACCTGGTCTAGGAGTCCAGGAAGACCTTCCTTGGGAAGTAATACTTAAATGTCTGCTGTGAGCACAGAGACTATGGGGAGATGGGTATATAAACCAATAAATACAAACTATGATAGCAGGATATAGAAGGTGGAGAAGGGAGTCTTGCCACATCTGTATCAGAGTCAAGGTAGATTTATTACCCAATTCTGAGTGTTGCTGTGACAATTTGGACATAGCCATAAAAAATTTCCATAGATGTTTAAATGTATCACTGCAAGAAGATGACTAAGACTCAAAATAGTAACTACTGAAAGTAGTAGGAATACTTCCTGCTTCACCTTCTCCCTCTCTACACCTCCCTTGCATACACACACTGGCACACACAGACACACACACACCTCACCATATAAATCTGGTTAATCTGGCAAGTAAAATATACAATGCACACCATGGGCTCCTAACCCAGATAATAATTGTGGTTCTTAAAATATGTCATGACTAGATCTTGGTGATCTGTATATAAAATGAGTTTTTAACTTTTCATTGTTGAAGCTTTTTCATGAGTAGAAGACAAGAGATTGAGCAAGACTCGTAGGTAATCCCTGTCCATCTCCCAATCCCTAGCCTGGAGCATCTGTGAGTTGGGTTACAGTTAGAAAGCTGAGGCTGCCCAAGCGCTGGCAAGAGAGCCATACAGGGTCAGAAGAGTTGTCCTAACCCTATATTCACTGCTACTTTGGAAAGTGCATTGTTCAAGTCATTTTCCCTCCCTGAGCCTCAGTTTCTCCATGGGTGAATGAAGTTGGGAAAGTCCTTTTGAGCTGGTGTTATGACTTTCTGAAGAGGACTCTCTACCCCACCTATCGCCCCAGGCTAAAGTGGGTTCCTGTATTATATTCTTGGCACTTTTCCTGTTTAGCATTTGCCATTGTCTCTATTTCTTTTTATCTATTTATTTATCTCTATCAGTATTTGCCTCCCTTGGACTGAATTCCAGAAGAGCAGAGGCTGTGGTGTCCACCACTTTACTCATATGTTTAGCCTGGACCTGGTGTATGTTCAGAGCTCAACAAACGTTCACTACCTAAAGTACAGCAAGCACTCACCCCCCCCAGCCCCTCTGGCTTGGTACCACAGAGCATCAGGATTTCCTACCTGGTGTTTGTGAGAAGCCCTCTGCTGACAGATGTGTGGGGTTTTTGGACATTCCAAAGGGTCATTTTGTTGCAGCCATCAGAATGATTACAACCATAAGTCCCTGGTTCAAAAACCATCCCTGTCCTTTCCACAGGTATGGAAGAAGCGAGGCCAGAATCAAAAGTTTAGTCAGAACAAAGTCAGCTGATGCTCATATTGTGACAAGGAGGATTAGCAAACCTTAATATGGGACTTTTTAAATCCAATAGTGGTTAAACTTTGTGAAATCAGCACATCTTAGAGTGATTTATGGAATTGAGCTGCCTTTAATGTCGTCTTATAAACCATTTTTTTTTCAACTGGGCTCATTTGTTTCTTCATTTATTTAAAAAACACGTCTTTTTAGCCTTTAGCATGTGCCAGACCTTGTGCAAAACATAATGCAGACAAATGGATGTCAACCGGCAGCCAAGTGGAGGCTGAGTGGAGGAAAGAGGTGGCCAAGTGGAGGAAAGAGGATCTACTTAAGAACTACAAGGCTGACTATAAAAAGTAAATATTTGTGACCCCATTTGATTAAAGTCTGTCTCTTACTGCTAGACAGTAGAGTAAGTCCCAGGAAGCCACAAAACAGTTTTCTCTGTCTTTCTCAATACCGAATCCCCAATGCTGAACAGTGCCTGGTCCATAGAAGGAACTCAATATATGTTTGTAGAATGAGAGAAATAGTGTCACCTAAAAGAGACTTAAAAGTGCTGGGGGGACTGGAAAGGTAAAGCTTAGTCTCAGCTGGGAAATGACATGATCAGAGCTGAGAGAACTGTAGAGTTACTGCTTCCAGCCTCTGTTCTCATCCCTATTTTACAAACAAATGAACTGTCATTAGAGAGCGAAAGTGATTTGCCCAGGGTCACACAGTGTAATGAGCTGAATTTTGTCCCCCTTAAATTCATATGTTGAAGTTGTAACCCCCAGTACCTCAGAATGTAACTTTATTTGGAAATAGAGTCTTTAAAGAGGTAATAGTGTTAAAATGGGTCATCAGGGTGGGCTCTTATCCAATATAACTGGTATCTTTATAAAAAGAGGAAGTTAAGATATGGCTACACAAAGAAGGAGGCTATGTGAAGACACAGGGAGAAGATGGCCATCTACAAGCCAAGGAGAGAGGCCTCAGAAAAAACCAACCCTGTCAACACCTTCATCTCAGGCTTTTAGTCTCCAGAACTGTGGAACAAATTTCTTTTGTTTAGGCCACTCAGTCTGTGGTACTTTCTTATGGCGGTGCTACCAAACTAATACACACAGAAAGTGATGGCAAATCTTGAATTAGAAGTTGAGCCTGCTGAATCTCTATCGTTGGCCCTTGGCATGACAGTACCCATCTGGTACAGTCAATTGCCCTCCCCAACACCCACTCCCAAGGATGACAATGGCAATGATGAGAATAGTTAACATATACATTGTGCCTAGTATGTACCAGACCTTCCTCTAAGTACTTTACATACATTAGCTCACTTAATTCTCTTGACAGCACTGTGAAGTAAGTACTGTACTGTTATTATCTCATTTTTACAGATGAGGAAACCGAAGCACAAGTGACTTCGTAACTTGCCCAAGGGCATGCAGATACTAAGTGCTGGAGCTGGGCTCCAGGAGCCTGCTTCTTCTACCATCATACTATTCTAGTGGGCTATGTCTACCAGCAAAGGTATTTTCTTTTTTTTTTTTTTATTATACTTTAAGTTCTAGGGTACATGTGCACAACGTGCAGGTTTGTTACATATGTATACATGTGCCATGTTGGTGCTGCACCCATTAACTCATCATTTACATTAGGTATATCTCCTAATGCTATCCCTCCCCCAGCCCCCCACCCCACAACAGGCCCCAGTGTATGATGTCCCCCTTCCTGTGTCCAAGTGTTCTCATTGTTCAATTCCCACCTATGAGTGAGAACATGCGATGTTTGGTTTTTTGTCCTTGCGATAGTTTGCTGAGAATGATGGTTTCCAGCTTCATCCATGTCCTTACAAAGGACATGAACTCATATTTTTTATGGCTGCATAGTATTCCATGGTGTATATGTGCCACATTTTCTTAATCCAGTCTATCCCAGCAAAGGTATTTTCAAAGTTGAGAGGTATTGGGGGCAGTTAGAGGCTATCACTGCGTTTGGTTTCATATAGCCATTAGACATGGATATGCTTAATCTGAAATAGCTCACTGGAAGCATAAAACATGAGCAGAGGGAAACCAGGAGCCTGACTAAGGAGTGGGGTGTTCGGATTTAGTTGCTCCAAAATCTTCCAATGTGTTAGGATATTAGTGCAGACGCATTGAAACAGATTTTAAGCCTCCCTCAAGTTCAGCATCTTCTAAATCAGACTTTGAAAATGAAAGAAACAAACTACTTCAGCCAAAATGCTTGCAGTAAGAAACCTGGGTTTGAATACTCTCTTTACTACTTACTTGCTGAGTGACTTGGGGTTTATGGAATCAGCCTGAACCTCAGTTTCTCCTCCCAGGAGATGAGGAAAATACCACCCATCTCGTGGATGAGACATAATGTATGAAAACACTAGCACAGTGCCAACACATAGTAAGTGATGAATAAATAAACCTTTTTTTTTTTTTTTTTTTTTTGAAACAGAGTCTCGCTCTGTCACCCAGGCTGGAGTGTAGTGGCGCGATCTCGGCTCACTGCAAGCTCCGCCTCCCGGGTTCACGCCATTCTCCTGTCTCAGCCTCCCTAGTAGCTGGGACTACAGGCGCCCACAACCACGCCCGGCTATTTTTTTTTTTTTTTTGTATTTTTAGTAGAAACGGGGTTTCACCGTGTTAGCCAGGATGGTCTCGATCTCCTGACCTCGTGATCCACCTGCCTCGGCCTCCCAAAGTGCTGGGATTACAGGTGTGAGCCACCACGCCCGGCCAGAAAGCTCTTATTAGTTAAGCAAAATGACCAAACCCAAACATTCCTTCCTGTATGAATCCTCACCCAATGCCTCATCCTAACTTGTCGGAATTAATTGCTTTTTCCTCTGGCTTTCGGTGGGAGTTGCTTGCACTTCTACTTGTCACTCCATTTGTCCGTGTATTAATGACACGCCTGTACATCCATCCATCCATCATTCATTAAAATTGTGCTGAGCATTTTCCATGTCCCAGTGCTGTGTTAGACACTGGGAGTTCAGAGATGGATCTGACATGGTTCCTATCCTCAAAGGGTTTGGGCTTTTGGGGGCAAGCCAGGGCTGACGTGCCCAAAGGACACAGACACTAAAGCAATAGTAATACATCTACGATTTTATTGTATCATAGCAATATTTTCCATGGAAAACCCAGCACTTTGTTGGATTTCTATTTATTTATTTTATGATTTAGTATTATTTTTATAAAATAAGGAAGTCATAATGTTTTCAGATCGTTTTCAAATTAGCTTCTAAAGGTCTTAATCTGGTTCCACTTGGCAACAGACACATCTAAGGAACCATTACAAAGAACTGTGTTAAGTGCTGGGCTAGAAAAACCCCAGTGTTTACTCGGGGCTGAAGTAGGAGAGCCCCACTGCCCCACTGGAACGCCCCAAGGGAAGGAGCCATCCCTAATGCTTGCTTCATAGACCTTCAAGCTGGACAGGGCTTAAATGCCAGCTCCTCCAGTGCCCTCCACAAAGGGTCGTGGAGGTCAGGGGGGAGGTGCACTTCAAGTGGGAGGCTCTCGCCCACTCCCCCTCTAGCCTGCGCCGTAGAACTCATTTTTTGTTTCATTTGAGGAAACAGAACCTCAGGCGGTAGAGGTGACTTGCCCAAGATCACGCAAATGGAGTGGAAAACATTTAAATAGCTAACATCTATTGATTCCTTTTTATATGTAACGCACGGGCTGAGGGGCTTTACATGCGTTTTCTCATTTAATCCTCCTGATAATTCCATGAAGTAGGTACCCTTATTTTCCTCATTTCACAGATGAGAAAATTGAGGTAAAATAAGAGACTTTCACAAGGTCATTTAGCAATTAAGTAGCCAAGTCCAGATTTGCTCTCAATAGATGGTGGTTGACGTTGGAATAACAGTCTGATCCTGACCCTGGACGCACATCTGGGGCCCGTGGCACCTGGGGCAGGGAGGGGCGCTCGGTCCTGGGCTGGGGCTGGGGGAGCGACCGGCACGGGCGGGCCGGGGGTGGAGCCTCTGGCGAGCTGTTCACAGCGGGCTTCCCAGGAGGTGAGAAAGTCCCGCCCCTAGCCGATGGAGGGCTGGGATTGGTTCTCCGGGACCGATTGACGGCTCAGGGCACGAGCGGGGACCGCAGCGGCGGAGGTGAGGGCGCCAGCAGGAAGTGGGAGAAGAGGCGACCCAAGGCGGGCTGGCGGGCTGGCGGCAGTCGCTACTTGCCTAGTAGCCTCAGCCGCTGTGGGCTCCTGGGGAGATGGAGGGGCCGGGGCTGGGCTCGCAGGTGAGTGCGGCCGGGCGGTGGCTGTCCTGGGGGCCGGGAGAGCGGCTGCAGCTGTGGAGGAAAGGATGGTGTGGGTGAGAGGCCGCTCGATGAGGGGGTTTCGGGAGCGGCGGGGCCTAGGTCTGGGAAGCGGGAGCCTGGAAACACCACGAACGATGCTGGAAATTGTCTCTGAGGCGACTGGGAAGAAAAGGCGAGGACTGAGGGGTGAGGGCCCGAGCCGGCCCCTCCAGCCTCCATCCCTGGCCAGGGCGCCCCCTGGGGCCGGTACCCGGAGCCCGGCGGGGACCTCTGTGGGCCTGGGGAGGGGACGATGGCCCTTCCCGGGAGAGGTGTCAGGTGACACACCTGATTCGGACCCGCCCGTCTTGACGTTGGCCCGGAGTCGGAGCGGTTCTGTTGATTTCTTTTTCAGCCCTGGCGTCTTAGCACCCGCCTTCACCCCACCCAGTCCAGTTTTCGCTCCTGTTTCCGCATCCTTGCTTACTCCTTGAAATAATTAAGGCTGCTTGTTTAGGATGGAGGAAAGGGGCGTGGAGAGGGGAGGTACACCACAGCGATCTGCAGAATCTCAAAGGACAATATTCCGTGGAGGAGGTGTTATATAAAAGCCAGACGGAGGTCCAAAGAAGCCAGGCGGGCCAGTCGGAGAAGTTACAGGAGGTAGATGTTGTCTCCAAGAAAACAAGATTTTTGTGCTTTTTGCTTATGGCCCTTTCCTAGTGCCTAGAGTACTGACTAGTATATTGTAGACGTTCACTTAATATTTATTGAATAAATGCAGAATTTCCAGGTTCAGCCAGTTTTAGTGAGTGCATAACCCATGTCAGATGCTTTCATATGCATTATTTTATTCCAGAATTGAAGCATCCTTAAGAAGATATTATCCCCATATACAGATGAGAACGAACACTAAAGCTGTCTTCAGCTGGAATCAGTTAGGCGGTAGATTCTCAGTTTGGGATGATTGGATTACCTGATCTCTAAAAACGTTTTTCCAGTCCCGAGAGTGTTCCTCATGCTTTCCCTTTCCCTTCTTTCAGCACGATCTTGTGTAGGTTTAAGTGAGGGACAAGATGTCTGGGGAAATGTCAAGGTGTTCTTATTGGTTATTCTTGAATTTTAACAGAAAAAAAATAGTTCTCAGGCAGACTGGATTTTACCAAAGGGTGTTGAATCTTCACATGGAAACAGCGCCTCATTCTTTTTCTCAGAGAGGCTCAAAGAAAAGTTGGTAGGAGTAACTATTATGTCTTAATTACTGCCACTCATTTACAGAAGGCTTCAAGTGCTTAAAGTTCACTCTCTCATGCTGAAGGGAAGATTAGCCTTGTCCCAGTTCCATGGCCTATAGAGAGGGAGAGAATGATTTGGTGGTTGAATTTAGTAGGGAAAGGTAGAGAGATCATTGTCGTTGTTAATAATAATTGCTCTTGTTCACTTTTTCAGTAATGTGAAGACCTCACCTATATATACTGCTTTGCAGTTTGCAAAATACTTCCCCATTTTTGATCCTCACTATAATCCTCTGAGGTGGGGAGAAATGATTATTCTGATTTTAGAAATGAGAACAGAGGCTCAGAAAACTGGAATCACTTGCTACAAGTCAAATAGCTGCTAAGTGATAGAGCCAAGACTTCAGTCGTTCATTCAGCAAATGTGTTTTGAATGTCTGCCAGGCACCGTTTTAGGTGCTGTGATAAATTAGTGAACAAAACAGACAAAAACATTACTGCTCTCATTGAATTTGGTTCTTTTGATTCCAAGATCGGTGCTGTTGGATTTTTGCCAGGATTTGCCTATACAATCAGGTCTGCAGTTTCCTTTCTGACCTCATCTTTTTTTTCTTTTTTCAGACAGAGTCTTGCTCTGTTGCCAGGCTGGAGTGCAGTGGCGCGATCTCGGCTCACTGCAATCTCCGCCTCCCGGGTTCATATGATTCCCCTGCCTCAGCCTGCCGAGTAGCTGGAACTATAGGTGCGGACCACCACACCCTGCTAATTTTTTGTATAGTAAGATGGGGTTTCACCATGTTGGCCAGGATGGTCTCGATCTCCTGACCTTGTGATCCGCCCGCCTCGGCCTCCCAAAATGCTGGCATTACAGGCGTGAGCCACCGCTCCCAGCCTGACCTCATCTTTTACTGTCTTGCTTGCCCGGTCATCCCCAGCCACACCAGCCTCAGAGTCTTTCATACTTACTTCTGGAATGCTCTTTCCTTGTGTGCCCACTTGGCTTATTCCCCCACCTCTTTAAAGTCTTGACACAAATGTCACCTCTGTGTGGCATTCTGTGACCCCCGTATTTAAAATTGCAAGCCTTTTCCATCATCAGCACTACCAGCAACACTCCCTGGCCTCCTTCCTTGCTTTAGATTTCTCCTCAGCATTTAACACCATTTAACGTACTTATTGGTCTTGTTTATTGTTTCTTTCTCCTCCACTGAATGTTAGTACTATAGGGACAGTGATTTTTGTCTGTTATGTTCACTGCTGTGTGCCTGGCATCTGGAACAATGCCTAGCACTGGTGAGTACTCTGTAAATACTTGTCAATGAATGAACTTGGAAACTAAACTCTGGTACTTCTGTTAATGAGAACTTTAATGACATGAGAACTTTTAATGAGTGTCACATATTTCTCTCTCACTCGCTCCTTCTCTCTCACTCTCTTTTTATTCGATAATCTGGCAGGATAATGCCTGTCATTGGAGTTTAAGTGTGGTTTTCTAAATCTTGATTTTGGCTTAAATTAATGCCCACTGTAACTTTAACAATTCTTATATACAATTTAGAAAAATAATCTCATTCATGACATCTCTGTGTGAGAAGTATTACATGATCCCTCAGAGCTTAAAGATGCCCTAGTTATTTATTGTGTAAGAAACCACCTCAAAACATAGTGGTATAAAACATGGCTTTGTCATGCTCATGGACTCTGTGTGTCAGGGACTTGGAGAGACTGCAGCAGGGTTGGTTTGTTTCTGTTCCACCATGTCTAGAGCCTCAGCTGCAAAGACTCATAAGCTGGAGATGAATTGAGAGCTGGGGCCAGTATCTATGAGTGTCTTCACTTACATCTGGCAGTTAACTTTCAGTAGAGACACCTACACGTGACCTGGGCCTCTGCACAGTATAGTGGCTGAGTTCCATTAGTGACCATCTAATGAAAGAGCCAGGAAGAAGAAGCTGCCAGTTTCTAGGGCCTGAGCCTGCAAACTGGCACAGCATCACTTCTGAAATATATTATTTGTGAGGTAGTCACAAAGCTCAGAGTCAAGAGGAAGGGACATAGACCTTTACCTCTTGATGGAGAAGTAGCAAATAATTTTGAGGCTATGTTGTAAAAATTACCACACATGTATTCATATGTCTGTTAGATAATTTTCATAATATCTTGTTCTGCTTTTCACTCTTCTGTGGAGGACAGTGAGCTAGCTACATATTTCTTTCTTGGTATCTCTCTTTTTTCCCTCTTTAAATTTTTTTTCCCTTTGTATCTTAATTAAAACAAAAACAACAAAAAAACCATTTTATTCTAGTATCTTGAGGTGGTTGTAGACTGGAATCCTAGGAAGACGAGAGGAAGTAAAATGGAATAGAATCATAGAATACTTGGAGCTGGAAGGCTTTTCAGTGAATTACCTAGTTGAGAGATTCTTAAACTGGCATATAGGATAAGCTTCAGGGCGTTAGTGAACATCTTGAAATTAGTGAACATCTTGAAAAGTTAGTTTACATGTGCAGTTGTGCATTTCTCTTAAGTAGAGAGGCCTTAATTTTGGTAACATTTTCAAAAAGGTCCATGACATTTGGAAGGTTTGAGAACCATTTATCTAGTCTAGCCCTTTAACTTTTCCCATGAATTCAAGACGCAAAAATAATAACTTACTTTCCAAAGGTTCATGGCAAGTTAGCAGAGCCCAGGTGTCAGGGCTCCTGATGCAGTGCATTTTCATTGCTAGTCAGGTGGTCCAGTCATGATACGATCTTGTTTGATTGTTTGCTGCCACTTGGAGTCCACCCATTCTTTAGGTCAAGGTCTGAGGAGTAGTCTGTATTTTACTCTGCTCTGAAAATGGGGAAGGGAGTATATCCCTAACTAGAATATAAGTTCCTTGAAAACCAAGGACCTTGTCTGTTGTTCATTGCCATGTTGCTGTGTCTACAATAGTGCCCAGCACGTAGTAGGCATTCAGTAAATGTCTAGAATGAATGTATTATGGAAGGAACTGTGTCTTATTCATCTTTTATCCCTGATTACCTACTTCTGTGATTTGTATAGGTGTTCTTTATATTTCCCTGAATGAATAATTGATGAAAACTCTTGGGAGTTGGCTGGCATCATGAGAATTTGCTTAGTCTGTTCTGTTACCTTAACATTGTAGGCAGCCATGTAGCAGTTAAGCTTCTTTATCCATGTAGTGTGTTTGTTCATACAGTAAATTCTTTACCAGTTCACAAGTCAATAGTGACTATTGTAATAGCTCACCTTAGGACCATGCAACATGAGACTTAGAAGGAGCTTTATGGGTGTATTGATATGTCCCTTTCACTTTACCAACGTAGAAATGAGCCAAAAATAGAGTAGATGATTCACCACTATCATACAGTCAATGTGGCAGTACCAGGAATTTGGTTATTTGGCCCGTGTCATCAGTGCAATCAGGAGAGATTAGGCTGAGAGAATACTGTGGAAGCAGGGACTCAATGTGTCTTCTTCCCTATCTTTTGAGACTCAAGGTTACCTGTCTTCTTCTCTGTTGTGTCCTTGCCCTCCTTTTCCTGACCTTGCTTCACAGAAAACTTCACAGAAAATAAAAATTTCAGCTCTCTTCTGTTTGAACATGGGGATAGGAGCTGGCGGCCAATTTCATATTGTCGTGGGTCATGTTATTGTAGGATTTGACATGTATTTCTAAATTATATTCATTAACTAATAGCTCAGTATATGTTCATGGCAAGATTTGAATTAAAGATGGTGGTTATAAATCTGCCTCAATTTAGCCTCTTGACAATTTTGAATTTTTTCCAAGGGGGTACTGACTTGTCAGATTGGATTAGATCATCTTTGTTTATACTTCATGTGTCTGATAAAGAGTTCCTGATCTGCTATTTTCTTATTTGCTTGTGCTTATTATTATTATTATTATTACCTCAATTCATGGCTTCTTTGTAGAAATCAGCTTAAGCTACTTGCTCATTTTGGGAGAGGTAATTTAGTTAAAATTTAACAATATAATTTGAAAATAATCTAATATATATTGTAAAATGCTGAAGGTCCTACTGTCAACTCTCTGTTTGTGGAAGCTTTCTCTGCCCTTAGGTTACCTTGTAAACAGAGTATAAGGAGTGACCTGCTTGGCATATCAATAAATGAGACTGCCATCGTTAAAAATTAGTAAAGCTTTCCTGCCAGCAGAGGTGTGCTAAAAAGAAAAAATAAATTTGGTAAAGCTTTAAAAACTCAAATTTGTAAATTTTATTTTTCCTTTTTAAGTAAAAAGATAAAAAATTATTATAATAGAAGCTTTAACATTTTCTCACATTACCTAGTGGGTCACTGCATATATGGCTTTGAGTGTACTTTCCTCACTTTGTAGATGATTGACTTCAAACACAAGCTTTGAATATAGTCATTTTTAGGTTTTACTTTGATCTGCATGCGGGTAAACAATGATGACATGAACGGAAGATATCTTCTGTTTTCTAGTTTCTTAAAGTTGCCATTTAATCATATATAATCACATATTGCCTGCTATTATTATTTCACTCTGTCTCTGACATATCTCCCTTATTAGACTTAAATTCCTGGAGGATAGACACCCATGTCTTATATGCCCTTAGCGTAATTGTACATCATAAATACACAGTAATTAATTGCCGACTAAACAAATATTCTCAATTGTGGATATTCTTCACATTAAAACATGTAAACCTCCTCAACTTTATACATGAAAAATAAAGCTGATGTCCTTAATGCCTTAAAATAGTATAAGAAGCAACAAATTTGTATCTAGAATGAGTCAGTTTTCTGTGATGAAAAATCTGTGTATAAACAAAGGGTCAGGGTGGGGTGTGGTGGCTCATGCCTGTAACCCTAGTGCTTTGGGAGGCCAAGACGGAAGGATAACTTGAGGTCAGGAGTTTAAGACCAGTCTGGGCAACATAACGAGACCAGTCTGGGCAACATAACGAGACCTATCTACAGAAGAATAAAAAAATCAGCAGGGTGTGGTAGTGCTTGCTTATAGTCCTACCTACTACGGTGGGTCAGGTGGTAGAATCACTTGAGCCCAGCAGATAGGGCTGTAGTGAGATTTGATGGTGCCACTGCACTCCAGCCTGGGTGACGGAGTAATACCCCATCTCAAAAACAAAACAAAAAAGGCTTAATCTTTCTAACCTACAAAGAGAAACAGATATGTGCAATTCATTAGAAAAACAAGTAGACTATGAAAAGGCAATCCACAAAAGAGAAAATATGGAGAGCCAGTATACCTAACAACAACAACAACAACAAACAAAACACTCAGACTCATTAGCAACTAGGGGAGTACAGGTGAAAGATAGGATGCCATTTTTAGCCATCAAAGTGTCAAGGTTGTAAAAAGATTGATAATATTCAGTTCTGGGAAGGTTTGTAGGGAGAAAGAACACGTATATACTTTGCTATTGGGACTGTGAATTGGGGAGAGTATTTGGTCAGAATCTATTTATGTTTAAAATGCACGTTTTTTGACTCAACAGTCCTACTTTGAGGAATCAATCCTATAGAATTAGAATGCCCAGGGTGTTGATTGTGTATAGATATGAAAGGCTGAAATCAACCTGTGTCTCTAACCAAAGGGGAGTGTTGAATGAATTATACTAGATCTATATACAATGGAACAATAGTGAAATATTACTGAACTGCAGGACTGTACATGATATATTGTTACATGAGAAAAGCAAGTTGAAGAATAATGTATATAATGTGATACTATTCTTTGTTCAATAAGTATAAGAAGAAAATGATTAAAAATGTGGATGTATGTATGTATATAGCACAATATTATATATGTTAAAATATATATACATAATGAGGGAAGATGCACCCAATTGTTAATAATGGTTATCTCTGGTGGTACAGTATTGAAGAGGAAAGAGTCCGGATTGTTAACCCTGTATTCACTTCTGTATTGCTAGATCTTTAAAATTAATATGTTATCATTTTATGGTTTTAAAATTCTAGTAAAAATTTTTTATATAAAAATACACTGATTTTTTTTGTCAATCTTAGCTGCACTTTTTGTTATACCTGTTACTTATTGAGATTCTAGAAATTTTTAGTATAGTTCAACTCTTTTCCTCAACCCTTTGCCTTCTTCCAATTGAATATAATTACTGTGATATCAGGAAAAGCATCCTAAAGTAATGTTTTTATTTACATTTTAATCTAACTACCTACATGTTTATTTTTAGCTGTGTGTGATTCTGCGTGTGTGTGGGGGGGTACTGATTATTTACCAGATAAATCAGAATTTACCTATTCAGAAAAGCAGGTGGACTGAAGAAGAAAAAGACCGGAATTCAAAAACCACCAAATCAGTAGCTGATTTACCTTTTTTCTCTCTGATTTGCCCCCAGCCTTGACTTGAGCCCTGGAAATAAGCATCAGTGCAGACGAGTGCTCTATGAGAAGCTATCTAGTTAAAGCTCAAGGAGCCACAAAGGGATTTCCTGGCAGCACAGTCACCAGAAACACTGAGGGAGAACTCTCTGAACAGAGGAATTGTGACCCCAAGACAGTAGTTTTTAGACGTGACACCAAAAGCACAATCCATAAAAGAACAAATTGATAAATTGGACTTTTTTAAAATTTAAAACTTCTGCTCTATGAAACAGACTTTTAAGAGATGGGAAGGTAAGGTACAGACCAGGAGAAAATATCTGCAAATCACATATCTGACAAAAGACTTGTATCTAGAATATATAATATAAAGAACTCTCAAAACTTAACAGTAAGAAAACAAACAGCTCAATTAAAAAATGGACAAAAGACTTGAACAGACACTTCACCAGAGAAGATATACAGGTGGCAAATAAGCATGTGAAAAGATGCTCAACTTCATTAGCCGTTAAGGATATGCAAATTAAGACCATGATGAGATGCCCCTATACATCTATTAGACTGACAATCCCAAGTGCTGGTGAGAATGCAGAACAATTGTAACTCTCATAGTTGTTAGTGGCAATGCAAGGTGATATAGCCAGTCTGGAAAATAGTTTAGCAGTTTCTCATAAATTTAAATATACCTAACATATGGCCAAGCAGTCTTATTCTTAGAGAAATGAAAGGATGTTCACACAAAAGTTTGTCCACGAATATTTTTAGCAGCTCTGTTTATGATTGCCAAAAGCTGGAAAACAACCCACGCAGACTGTTTGGATAGATTATCTGTGACGCACCCATATAGTGGGATACTACACAGCAGTAAAAAAGAAGGAATTATTGATAACATACAACAACTTGGTTAAATCTCAGCACCATTGTGCTGAGTGGAGGAAGCCCCTCCTAAAAGATTGTGTACTGTATGATTCCATTATATGACATTCTGGGAAAGACAGAATTAATGACAACAGATCAGTGGTTGCCAAGAGTTGGTTGGGGTTACGGGAGGGTATGACTGCAAAGGATGATGGTGGCGGTTACGTGACTCCATACATACATGTGTTAAAATTCATACAGCTGTATACCAAAGTTAATTTTACTGTAAATTAACTTTTTAAAAACAGTGCCCCTTCAAAATAATCCCTTGAGGGATTATGGACTCATTTAAGTAAAACTGAAAATTTTAAAACTTTCTTTTAAAAACTTTTGTTTTAGGTTTGGGGATACATGTGCAGGTTTGTTATATACACAAACTTATGTCATGGGGGTTTGTTGTATAGATTATTTCCTTACCCAAGTATTAAGCCTAGTACCCAGTAGTGATTTTTTCTGCTCCTCTCTCTCCTCCCACCCTCCACCCTCAAGTATACCCCAGTGTCTGTTGTTCCCTTCTTCTTTTTTTCTTTTCTTTTTCTTTTTTTTTTTTGCAGTGGAGTCTTGCTCTGTCACCCAAGCTGGAGTGCAGTGGTGTGATCTCGGCTCACTGCAACCTCTGCCTCCCAGGTTCAAGTGATTCTCCTGCCTCAGCTTCCCAAGTAACTGGAACTATAGGCACATACCACCACCCTGGCTAATTTTTTTTTTTTTTTTTTTTTTTTTTTAGTAGAGACGGAGTTTCACCATGTTGACCAGGCTGTTCTTGAACTCCTTACCTCAAGTGATGCACCCACCTTGGCCTCCCAAAGTGCTGAGATTACAGGCATGAGCCACCATGCCCAGCCTGCTGTTCCTTTCTTTGTGTTCATGAGTTCTCATCATTTAGCTCCCACTTATAAGTGAGAACATGCAGTATTTGGTTTTCTGTTCCTGCATAGGGGTAATAGCCTCCAGCTCCATTCGTATTCCTGCAAAAGACATGATCTCATTCTTTTTTATGGCTGCATAGTATTCCATGGTTTATATGTACTACATTTTCTTTACCCAGTTTGTCATTGATGGGCATTTACATTGATTCCATGTCTTTGCTATTGTGAATAGTGCTACAGTCAACATTCACATACATGTGTCTTTATAGTAGAATGATTTATAGTCCTTTGGGTATATACCCAGTAATGGGATTGCTGGGTTGAATGGTAGTTCTGCTTTTAGCTCGTTGAGGAATCGCCATACTGCTTTCCACAATGAACTAATTTTCACTCCCATCAACAGTGTATAAGCATTCCTTTGTCTCTGTAACCTTGCCAGCATCTCTTATTTTTTGACGTTTGAATAATAGCATTCTGACTAGTGTGAAGTGGTATCTCATTGTGGTTTTGAGTAGCATTTCTCTAATGATCAGTGATGTTGAGCTTTTTTTCATATGCTTGCTGGCTGCATTTATGTCTTCTATTGAAAAGTGTCTGTTCATGTTCTTTACCTACATTTTAATGGGGTTTGTTTTTGTCCTGTAAATTTAAGTTCCTTATAGATGCTGGATATTAGAACTTTGTCAGATGCATAGTTTGCAAATATTGTCTCCCATTTTGTAGGATGTCTGTTTACTCTGTTGATAGTTTATTTTACTGTGCAGAAGCTCTTTAGTTTAATTAGATCCCACTTATCAATTTTTGCTTTTGTTGCCATTGCTTTTGGCATCTTTGTTATGAAATCTTTGCCCATTCCTATATCCAGGATGGTATGTCCTAGGTTTTTTTCTAGGGTTTTTATAGTTTTGGATTTTACATTTAAATCTTTGATCTATCTTGAGTTGATTTTTTATATGGTGTAAGGAAAGGGTCCAGCTTCGATTTTTCTGCATATGACTAGCCAGTAATCCCAGCACCATTTATTGAATAAGGAGGCTTTTCCCCATTGCTTGTTTTTATCAGCTTTGTTGAAGATCTGATAGTCATAGGCGTGCAGCCTTGTTTCTGGGCTTCCTATTCTATTCCATTCATCTATGTGTCTGTTTTTGTACTGACATCATGCTGTTTTGGTTATTGTAGTGCTATAGTATCGTTTGAAGTCAGGTAGTGTAATTCCTCCAGCTTTGTTCTTTTTGCTTAGGATTGCCTTGGCTATTCAGGCTCTTTTTTGGTTCCATATGAATTTTAAAATAGTTTTTTCCTAGTTCTGTGAAGAATGTCTTTGGTAATTTGATAGGGATAACATTAAATCTGTAAATTGCTTTGGGTAGTATGGCCATTTTCATGATATTGATTCTTCCTATCCGGGAGCATGGGATGTCTTTTCATTTGTTTGTGTCTTCTCTGATTTCTTTGAGCAGTATTTTGTAATTCTCATTGTAGAGGTCTTTCACCTCCCTGATTAGCTGTATTCCTAGGTGTTTTATTCTTTTTGTGGCAGTTGTGAATGGGGTTGCCTTCCTGATTTGGCTCTTGGCTTGATAGTTGTTGTATTGGAATGCTAACGATTTTTGTATGTTGATTTTGTATCCTGAAACTTTGCTGAAGTTGTTTATCTGCTGAAGGAGCTCTTGGGCCAATACTATAGGGTTTTCTAGATATAGAATCATGTTATCTGCAAACAGCGATAGTTTGACTTCCTCTCTTCCTATTTGGATGCCCTTTATTTCTTTCTCTTGCCTGATTGTTCTGGACAGTACTGCCAATACTGTGTTGAATAGAAGTGCTGAGAGCAGGCATCCTTGTCTTGTAAAAACTTTCTTTAAAATTAAAAATTTCTAAAAAATATTTAAAAACTGTCTTTTAAAAATGAAATTTAAGAAACTTTCATTCTTAAAACTTTTTGGAACTCTTGGAGAATTGACTTTGGCACATTATTTCAAATGTCTTCAATTTTTTATTCTCAATTGTGTATTCATCCTTAGAGAATGATTTTCTTTTTAAACTGAAAAGTTCATGGAAATAGGTTTGGTGATAAGGTAGGTGAAAGCTAGGTAACTTTATTGATGGTAAAAAGCAAGATGAGATTAAAAAATAATGTCAGTTTTCATTTATAGCAATTTTCTAGGGACAGTTATATATCCCACAATGTTTCGATCAACGCCAGACCACACATATGATGTTGATCAGAGCAGTAGTTTATATCATCTAGCCTAAGTGTGTAATATGCTATACTGCCCAGGTCTGTGTAAATACACATTGTGATGTTTGCACAAGAATGAAATAGCCTAATGATATGTTTCTCAGAATATATCCTCATTGTTAATGAAAGCATGGCTATATTTGATGTAACCCTCCCACTGAACACACCAAAAAATGCAGGGTACAGTATAAAAGCATTTGAAGTATTTTACCTTTTTGATGCTAGTGTAAACATTTTTTTAAAGATTCCTTAGGATTTTCTATGCATATGATCATGTTTTTGCAAGTAAAAATGGATTTACTTCTTTTCTAATCTGTATGCATTTTTATTCTTTTTCCTATTTTATTATGCTGTCTGGTACTTTAGTACAGTGTTAATTAGAAGTGGTGATAATGAGCATATTTGCTTTGTTTCCAGTCTTGGAGTAAAAATGGTCTTGTACCATTCAGTGTGATGGTAGCTGTAGATTTCTTGTAAATGTTCTTTATTCGATTGAGGAGGTTCCCTTCTTTTCCCTTGTGTTGAAAGATTTTACAAATTTTGTCATATGCTTTACATAAAGAATTTTCATATAAAGAATTTTGTTAAATGCTTTATTCTACTGTGATGAATATATATTTTTTACTGTTTTATATTTGAATATATATTTTATTCTGTTAATATGAATATTCACCTTATTTATTAATATGGTGGGTTACATTGATTTATTTTGAAATGTTTAAGCTGGGTTTGATGTATAGTCTTTTTTATATATTACTGGATTCACCTTACTAATATTTTGTTTAGGATTTTTGTATCTGTGTTCATGAGGGATACTGGGCCTATAGTTTTCTTTACTTGTAATGTCTTTGTTGGTTTTGGTATGTAGTGATTCTGCCTCATAAAATGAGCTGGGGGCCGGGTGCGGTCGCTCACACCTGTAATCCCAGCACTTTGGGAGGCCGAGGCGGGTGGATCATGAGGTCAGGAGATCGAGACCATCCTGGCTAACACGGTGAAACCCTGTCTCTACTAAAAATACAAAAAGCCGGATGTGGTGGCACGCATCTGTAGTCCCAGCTGCTCGGGAGGCTGAGGCAGGAGAAGGGTGTGAACCCAGGAGGCAGAGCTTGCAGTGAGCCGAGATCACGCCACTGCACTCCAGCCTGGGCAACAGAGTGAGACTCCGTCTTAAAAAAAAAAGAGCTGGGAAGCATTCTCTCTTCTGTTTTCTGAAGGAGTTAGTATCATTTCTTCCTTAGATATTTGATAGGGTTAACTAATTAAGTTATAGGGGTCTGAAATTTTTTATGAGAAAGATTTTCATTATGAATCAAATTTATTTAATAGATATTATGTTATTTATTACTTTTAAGATCCATTTTGATAATGTGTGTCTTTTAAGGTGTTTGTATATTTCACTTAAGTTGCTAATTTATTGACATAAAGTTGTTCAAAATATTCCCTTTTTATCCTTTCAAAATTTGTAGGCTTTTGGAGTGATGTCTCTTTTTTAAACCTGATATTCGTCATTGATACTTTTTCATTTTTCTTGATCAAACTGATCAAAGGTTTATCACTTTTATTGACTTATTCTTTCTAGAGAGCCAGATTTCGGCTTCAATGATTTTCTGTATTGTTTCTCTGTTTTATAGTTAACGAATTCCTTCTATTTTTATATTCTTCTTCTTGTATCCACTTCGAGTTTAATTTTCTTTCTCTAGGTTATTAACGTGAAAGCTTAGATAACTTACTGTAGGCCCCCTTTTTTTGGTAATATAAGCATTTAAAGCTACAAATTCCCTGTAAACACTGCTTAGGCTGCATACTAAGCTCTTTAAAACTGTTGTGCTGTTGCTTTCTGGCTTGCCTTATGTCTGATGAGAAGTCTGAGTGTATTCTTATCTTTGCTGCTTTGAACATATGTGTCTGATTTTTCCAGACTGGTTTTTTTTGTTTTTTTTTTTTTGAAAGGGAATTTCGCTCTGTCGCCCAGGCTGGAGTACAGTGGCGCGATATCGGCTCACTGCAACCTCCGCCTCCTGGGCCCAAGTGATTCTTCTGCCTCAGCCTCCCTAGTAGCTGGGACCACAGGTGCGTGCCACCATGCCCGGCTAATTTTTGTTTGTTTGTTTGTTTGTTTAGATGGAGTCTCGCTTTCTCACCCAGGCTGGAGTGCAGTGGCGCGATCTCGGCTCACTGCAAGCTCCGCCTCCCGGCTTCACGCCATTCTCCTGCCTCAGCCTCCCGAATAGCTGGGACTGCAGGCACCCGCCACCATGCCCGGCTAATTTTTTGTATTTTCAGTAGAGACGGGGTTTCACCATATTGGCCAGGCTGGTCTCGAACTCCTGTCCTCGTGAACTGCCCGCCTTGGCCTCCCAAAGCGTCCAGACTGATTTTAAGATCTCTTTATTACTGATTTTTAGTGATTTGATTATGATATGTCTTGGTGTAGGATTTCGGGGCTTATCCTACTTGGGATCCATTAAACTTGTAGTTACTGTGAGTTTATAATTTTCGCCAACTTTGGAAGATTTTTGGTATAATTTCTTCAAATATTAAAAAAAACTTTTTTCCTTGTCTTCTGGAACTGCAATTATACATCTTCAGTCGTCTTCTCTCTGTGCTGCATTTTGGATACTTTTCCTTGTTGTTTCTTCAATTTAAATGGTCTCTTCTTCTATACTGTTTAATCTGCTGTTAATCTAATCTGGTGTAATTTGTATTTTAGAGATTGATTTTTTTTTTTTCTCTTTTGAGACAGAGTCTCACTCTGGTGCCCAGGCTGGTGTGCAGTGGTGTGATCTTGGCTCACTGCAACTGCCTCCCAGGTTCAAGTGATTCTCCTGCCTCAGTCTCTCGAGCAGCTGAGATTACAGGCATGGGCCACCATGCCCAGCTAATTTTTGTATTTTTAGTAGAGACGGGGTTTCACCACATTGGTCAGGGTGGTCTTGAACTCCTGACCTCAGGTGATCTGCCTGCCTCGGCCTCCCAAAGTGCTGGGATTACAAGGAGATTGACTTTTATCCGCAGATACTCTAACCTGATCTTTTGTCATATCTTCAATTTCTTTGCTCATTTTGTTAATGTTTTCCTTTAAATACTTATACATACTTATATTAGCTGTTTTAATGTCTTTTTCAGCTAATTTTGTCATCTTTATAGTTTCAAGATCTGGTTCTTTTCTTCTGGCTATGGATCGCATTTTTCTTGCTTCTTGGCATGTTTAGTGAGTTTTGATTTGATAGTGGACTTTGTGAATGCACGTTGATGAGTATCTGGTATTTGTTGCCTGTCTTTAAAGACTATTGGATATTGTTTGGCAGGCGGTAAAGTTAATGTTGCTCAATTTGAGTCCTTTGAAGTCTGATTTTAGGCTTCTCTAGAGTGGTTCTGGTGTAGTCTTTATTCCAGATATAGTTCATCCCTACTTCTAAGGTGTGGCCCTCTGATATCTCCACTGAATAACCCAAGGGATCATCAAAGAGTCTCCGCTTTGGCTGATCAGAGTTTGAACATCTTCCTGCTACGTATAAACTCCAGTAATTGTTCAGTTTACAAATCTCCATTTTTTGCCTATCCTTGTCAAGTTTCCCTGTATACATTACTTGTCCTAGTACTCTGCAAAGACTCAGTGGGCCTCCTGTACAGATTTTTTGGAGCCCCCTTTTTTCTGGTTGGCTCACTTCTCTCTTGAAATGTGCCCACAACTGCCAGCTATCTCAGCCTCTCTGATCTCAAATTTCTGTCTCCTCAATTTAGCAAGGCTGCTGGGCTCTAAAACAAAGTGTTTTCCTCTCAGTGCCCATGATTGCAAAATTGCTGGGGTGATGGTGGGGCTCACCTTGTGTATTTGTTTTGTTTTGTTTTTTTCTCATATCTTGGCAATCACAGTCTTACTGTTCTCATTGTCCAAAGTCTGAGTACAGGTTACTTCATATATTTTGTTCACTTTTCTAGGTTTCTTTATTATAGCAAGAAAGCAAGAGGTTAAGTGCAATCCTACTTATCCCATCATGCACAGAAGTAGAAGGCTCTACTTCATTTTTAACTTAACATATAGCCAACAAGGAGTAACCAGAATTTATAAGGGCTACCATTCAAGAAGAAAAAGAGAGAAACCCAGTAAAAACACAAAAATGGACAAATTGCTTAAACATGTACTTTATAAAAGAAGAACTCAAAATGGCCAGTAAACATGAAGAAATACACAACTTGATAATTATAGGGAAATACAAATTATTATCACTACAAGATATGTTT
This sequence comes from Homo sapiens, assembly GCF_000001405.40. Taxonomy (NCBI): domain Eukaryota; kingdom Metazoa; phylum Chordata; class Mammalia; order Primates; family Hominidae; genus Homo; species Homo sapiens. Next base: position 19,133,164 of record NC_000011.10, read on the forward strand.
ACACATTCATCAGATTGGCAAAAGTTATGGAGTCTGATGATACCAAGTATTAGTAAGGATTAGAGCAACAGAAGCACTCATACCCTTCAGGGGAAAGTTTAACTGGTACAACCATTTTGAAGATGAGTTAAGCATATCTTCAAAGCCAACAGTTCCACTTCCAGATATATGCTTTTGAGAATTGTTTACATATATATATATATATACCCACACACATATATATACACACACACACACACACACATATATATATATATACCTAGAGACATGTACAAGAATACTCATAGCAATATGTTTTTTTATAATAGCCCCAAACTGGGAACAGTCCAAATATCCAGCCATAGTAAAATAGATAAATTAATTGTAGTATGTTACTGTATTGGAATGTTATACAGCAATGAAAATGAACCTGTTGTAGCTTTCATAACAACATGGATGAAGCTTGTAAGTCTAATGTTAAGCAAAACAAATGATAGAGAATACGTATGATAGATTCCATTTGTACAAAAATTAAAAAATGTAAAGCTGAACTGTACTTTTTAGGGTTGCATACATTAGAGATAAAACTATAAAGAAAAGCAAAAAGTAATTATAACTGAAGTCAGGAAACTGTTCTTTTAGTGTGGGGATGTGGTGGAGCATAGCATGTGTCCGGGCAGTCTTCTAAGGTGCTGGCTCAGTTCTATATCTTGACTTAGGTAGTGGTTTCATGGAGGTTCATTTTATATTTATTCTTTACTCTTTACGAAAGAAGTCCATATATATATATATATATATATACACGTATGTGTTTTATATACTTCAGTCTTTATAATAAATCATAATATTTTCAGATATTCAGAGGTTAAAAATATGAGTCTCTTTTATATGGCTCTGAGGACAGTTTCAGAAAGGAAATTCTGAAAACATTTCAAGGCAATGCTATTGGAATAACTAATAATCTCCTGAGGAGACTATTTTGAAGATATAATTTCTGATACATTTATTTAAAAATCAGCTTTTTAAAAATTGTAGATAGGTAACTAAATTTGCTTATTAAGCACTAATTCAGGTCAGGTGTGGTGGCTTACACCTGTAATCCCAGTACTTTGGGAAACAGAGGCAAGAGGATCGCTTGAGGCCAGGAGTTCAAGACCAGTCTGGGCAACATAGTAAGACTCTGTCTCTACAAAACTAAAAACTAAAAAATTAGCTGGGTATACCAAAGGATTATAAAACATTCTGCTATAAATATACATGTACACGTATGTTTATTGCAGCACCATTCACAATAGCAAAGACTTGGAACCAACTCAAATGCCCATCAATGACAGACTGGATAAAGAAAATGTGGCACATATTCACCATGGAATGCTATGCAGCCATAAAAAAGAATGAGTTCATTTCTTTTGTAGGGACATGGATGAAGCTGGAAACCATCATTCTCAGCAAAGTAACACAGGAACAGAAAACCAAACACTGCATGTTCTCACTCATAAGTGGGAGTTGAACAGTGAGAATATATGGACACAGGGAGGGGAACATTACACACTGCGGTCTGTCAGGGGGTGGGGGGCAAGGGGAGGGATAGCATTAGGAGGAATACGTAATGTAGATGACAGGTTGATGGGTGCAGCAAACCACCATGGCACATGTATACCTATGTAACAAACCTGCACGTTCTGCACATATATCCCAGAACTTAAAGCATAATAAAAAAAAATTAAAAAGAAAAAAATATTATCTGGGTATGGTGGCATGCGCCGGTAGTCTCAGCTACTTAGGAGGCTGAGGCAGGAGGATTGCCTGAGCCCTGGAATTCGAGGCTGCAGTGAGCTATGATCACACTGCTGCACTCCAGCGTGGGCAACAGAGGAAGACCCCCTCCCAATAAATAAATACATCTTTTAAAAAAAGTGGTAGGAGCCAAGATGGCCGAATAGGAACAGCTCTGGTCTACAGCTCCCAGCGCGAGCGACGCAGAAGACGGGTGATTTCTGCATCTCCATCTGAGGTACCGGGTTCATCTCACTAGGGAGTGCCAGACAGTGGGCACAGGTCAGTGGGTGCACGCACGGTGTGCGAGCCGAAGCAGGGCGAGGCGTTGCCTCACTTGGGAAGCACAAGGGGTCAGGGAGTTCCCTTTCCTAGTCAAAGAAAGGGATGACAGATGGCACCTGGAAAATCGGGTCACTCCCACCCGAATACTGCGCTTTTCCGACGGGCTTAAAAAACGGCGCACCAGGAGATTATATCCCGCACCTGGCTCGGAGGGGCCTACGCCCATGGAGTCTCGCTGGATTGCTAGCACAGCAGTCTGAGATCAAACTGCAAGGCGGCAGCGAGGCTGGGGAGGGGCGCCCGCCATTGCCCAGGCTTGCTGAGGTAAACAAAGCAGCCGGGAAGCTCGAACTGGGTGGAGCCCACCACAGCTCAAGGAGGCCTGCCTGCCTCTGTAGGCTCCACCTCTGGGGGCAGGGCACAGACAAACAAAAAGACAGCAGTAACCTCTGCAGAGTTAAATGTCCCTGTCTGACAGCTTTGAAGAGAGCAGTGGTTCTCCCAGCATGCAGCTGGAGATCTGAGAACGGGCAGACTGCCTCCTCAAGTGGGTCCCTGACCTCTGACCCTTGAGCAGCCTAACTGGGAGGCACCCCCCAGCAGGGGTAGACTGACACCTCACATGGCCGGGTACTCCAACAGACCTGCAGCTGAGGGTCCTGTCTGTTAGAAGGAAAACTAACAAACAGAAAGGACATCCACACCAAAAACCCATCTGTACATCACCATCATCAAAGACCAAAAGTAGATAAAACCACAAAGATGGGGAAAAAACAGAGCAGAAAAACTGGAAACTCTGAAAAGCAGAGCGCCTCTCCTCCTCCAAAGGAACGCAGTTCCTCACCAGCAACGGAACAAAGCTGGACAGAGAATGACTTTGACGAGCTGAGAGAAGAAGGCTTCAGACGATCAAATTACTCTGAGCTACGGGAGGAAATTCAAACCAAAGGCAAAGAAGTTGAAAACTTTGAAAAAAGTTTAGAAGAATGTATGACTAGAATAACCAATACAGAGGAGTGCTTAAAGGAGCTGATGGAGCTGAAAACCAAGGCTCGAGAACTACATGAAGAATGCAGAAGCCTCAGGAGCCGATGCGATCAACTGGAAGAAAGGGTATCAGTGATGGAAGATGAAGTGAATGAAATGAAGCGAGAAGGGAAGTTTAGAGAAAAAAGAATAAAAAGAAACGAGCAAAGCCTCCAAGAAATATGGGACTATGTGAAAAGACCAAATCTACGTCTGATTGGTGTACCTGAAAGTGACGGGGAGAATGGAACCAAGTTGGAAAACACTCTGCAGGCTATTATCCAGGAGAACTTCCCCAATGTAGCAAGGCCAACATTCAGATTCAGGAAATACAGAGAATGCCACAAAGATACTCCTCGAGAAGAGCAACTCCAAGACACATAATTGTCAGATTCACCAAAGTTGAAATGAAGGAAAAAATGTTAAGGGCAGCCAGAGAGAAAGGTCGGGTTACCCACAAAGGGAAGCCCATCAGACTAACAGCAGATCTCTCGGCAGAAACTCTACAAGCCAGAAGATAGTGGGGGCCAATATTCAACATTCTTAAAGAAAAGAATTTTCAACCCAGAATTTCATATCCAGCCAAACTAAGCTTCATAAGTGAAGGAGAAATAAAATACTTTACAGACAAGCAAATGCTGAGAGATTTTGTCACCACCAGGCCTGCCCTAAAAGAGCTCCTGAAAGCGCTAAACATGGAAAGGAACAACAGATACCAGCCGCTGCAAAATCATGCCAAAATGTAAAGACCATCGAGACTAGGAAGAAACTGCATGAACTAACGAGCAAAATAACCAGCTAACATCATAATGACAGGATCAAATTCACACATAACAGTATTAACTTTAAATGTAAATGGACTAAATGCTCCAATTAAAAGGCACAGACTGGCAAATTGGATAAAGAGTCCAGACCCATCAGTGTGCTGTATTCAGGAAACCCATCTCATGTGCAGAGACACACATAGGCTCAAAATAAAAGGATGGAGGAAGATCTACCAAGCAAATGGAAAACAAAAAAAGGCAGGGGTTGCAATCCTAGTCTCTGATAAAACAGACTTTGAACCAACAAAGATCAAAAGAGACAAAGAAGGCCATTACATAATGGTAAAGGGATCAATTCAACAAGAAGAGCTAACTGTCCTAAACATATATGCACCCAATACAGGAGCACCCAGATTCATAAAGCAAGTCCTGAGCGACCTACAAAGAGACTTAGACTCCCACACATTAATAATGGGAGACTTTAACACCCCACTGTCAACATTAGACAGATCAACGAGACAGAAAGTCAACAAGGATACCCAGGAATTGAACTCAGCTCTGCACCAAGCGGACCTAATAGACATCTACAGAACTCTCCACCCCAAATCAACAGAATATACATTTATTTCAGCACCACACCACACCTATTCCAAAATTGACCACATACTTGGAAGTAAAGCTCTCCTCAGCAAAAGAACAGAAATTATAACAAAGTATCTCTCAGACCACAGTGCAATCAAACTAGAACTCAGGATTAAGAATCTCACTCAAAACCGCTCAACTACATGGAAACTGAACAACCTGCTCCTGAATGACTATTGGGTACATAACAAAATGAAGGCAGAAATAAAGATGTTCTTTGAAACCAACGAGAACAAAGACACAACATACCAGAATCTCTGGGACGCATTCAAAGCAGTGTGTAGAGGGAAATTTATAGCACTAAATGCCCACAAGAGAAAGCAGGAAAGATCCAAAATTGACACCCTAACATCACAATTAAAAGAACTAGAAAAGCAAGAGCAAACACATTCAAAAGCTAGCAGAAGGCAAGAAATAACTAAAATCAGAGCAGAACTGAAGGAAATAGAGACACAAAAAAACCCTTCAAAAAATTAATGAATACAGGAGCTGGTTTTTTGAAAGGATCAACAAAATTGATAGACTGCTAGCAAGACTAATAAAGAAAAAAAGAGAGAAGAATCAAATAGATGCAATAAAAAATGATAAAGGGGATATCACCACCAATCCCACAGAAATACAAACTACCATCAGAGAATACTACAAACACCTCTACGCAAATAAACTAGAAAATCTAGAAGAAAGGGATAAATTCCTCAACACATACACTCTCCCAAGACTAAACCAGGAAGAAGTTGAATCTCTGAATAGACCAATAACAGGAGCTGAAATTGTGGCAATAATCAATAGCTTACCAACCAAAAAGAGTCCAGGACCAGATGGATTCACAGCCGAATTCTACCAGAGGTACAAGGAGGAACTGGTACCATTCCTTCTGAAACTATTCCAGTCAATAGAAAAAGAGGGAATCCTCCCTAACTCATTTTGTGAGGCCAGCATCATCCTGATACCAAAGCCGGGCAGAGACACAACCAAAAAAGAGAATTTTAGACCAATATCCTTGATGAACATTGATGCAAAAATCCTCAATAAAATACTGGCAAACCGAATCCAGCAGCACATCAAAAAGCTTATCCACCATGATCAAGTGGGCTTCATACCTGGGATGCAAGGCTGGTTCAATATACGCAAATCAATAAATGTAATCCAGCATATAAACAGAACCAAAGACAAAAACCACATGATTATCTCAATAGATGCAGAAAAGGCCTTTGAGAAAATTCAACAACCCTTCATGCTAAAAACTCTCAATAAATTAGGTATTGATGGGACGTATCTCAAAATAATAAGAGCTATCTATGACAAACCCACAGCCAATATCATACTGAATGGGCAAAAACTGGAAGCATTCCCTTTGAAAACTGGCACAAGACATGGATGCCCTCTCTCACCACTCCTATTCAACATAGTGTTGGAAGTTCTGGCCAGGGCAATTAGGTAGGAGAAGGAAATAAAGGGTATTCAATTAGGAAAAAAGGAAGTCAAATTGTCCCTGTTTGCAGACGACATGATTGTATATCTAGAAAACCCCATTGTCTCAGCCCAAAATCTCCTTAAGCTGATAAGCAACTTCAGCAAAGTCTCAGGATACAAAATCAACGTACAAAAATCACAAGGATTCTTATACACCAACAACAGACAAACAGAGAGCCAAATTATGAGTGAACTCCCATTCACAATTGCTTCAAAGAGAAGAAAATACCTAGCAATCCAACTTACAAGGGATGTGAAGGACCTCTTCAAGGAGAACTACAAACCACTGCTCAATGAAATAAAAGAGGATACAAACAAATGGAAGAACATTCCATGCTCATGGGTAGGAAGAATCAATATTGTGAAAATGGCCCTAATGCCCAAGGTAATTTACAGATTCAATGCCATCCCCATCAAGCTACCAATGACTTTCTTCACAGAATTGGAAAAAACTACTTTAAAGTTCATATGGAACCAAAAAAGAGCCCGCATCGCCAAGTCAATCCTAAGCCAAAAGAACAAAGCTGGAGGCATCACACTGCCTGACTTCAAACAATACTACAAGGCTACAGTAACCAAAACAGCATGGTACTGGTACCAAAACAGAGATATAGATCAATGGAACAGAACAGAGCCCTCAGAAATAACGCCGCATATCTACAACTATCTGATCTTTGACAAACCTGAGAAAAACAAGCAATGGGGAAAGGATTCCCTATTTAATAAATGGTGCTGGGAAAACTGGCTAGCCATATGTAGAAAGCTGAAACTGGATCCCTTCCTTACACCTTATACAAAAATCAATTCAAGATGGATTAAAGACTTAAACGTTAGACCTAAAACCATAAAAACCCTAGAAGAAAACCTAGGCATTACCATTCAGGACATAGGCATGGGAAAGGACTTCATGTCTAAAACACCAAAAGCAATGGCAACAAAAGCCAAAATTGACAAATGGGATCTAATTAAACTAAAGAGCTTCTGCACAGCAAAAGAAACTACCATCAGAGTGAACAGGCAACCTACAACATGGGAGAAAATTTTCGCAACCTACTCATCTGACAAAGGGCTAATATCCAGAATCTACAATGAACTCCAACAAATTTACAAGAAAAAAACAAACAACCCCATCAAAAAGTGGGCAAAGGACATGAACAGACACTTCTCAAAAGAAGACATTTATGCAGTCAAAAGACATATGAAAAAATGCTCACCATCACTGGCCATCAGAGAAATGCAAATCAAAACCACAATGAGATACCATCTCACACCAGTTAGAATGGCAATCCTTAAAAAGTCAGGAAACAACAGGTGCTGGAGAGGATGTGGAGAAATAGGAACACTTTTCAACTTTTGGTGGGACTGTAAACTAGTTCAACCATTGTGGAAGTCAGTGTGGCGATTCCTCAGGGATCTAGAACTAGAAATACCATTTGACCCAGCCATCCCATTACTGGGTATATGCCCAAAGGACTATAAATCATGCTGCTATAAAGACACATGCACACGTATGTTTATTGCGGCATTATTCACAATAGTGAAGACTTGGAACCAACCCAAATGTCCAACAATGATAGACTGGATTAAGAAAATGTGGCACATATACACCATGGAATACTATGCAGCCATAAAAAATGATGAGTTCACGTCCTTTGTGGGGACATGGATGAAATCGGAAATCATCATTCTCAGTAAACTATTGCAAGAACAAAAAACCAAACACTGCATATTCTCACTCATAGGTGGGAATTGAACAATGAGAACACATGGACACAGGAAGGGGAACATCATACTCTGGGGACTGTTGTGGGGTGGGGGGAGGGGGGAGGGATAGCATTGGGAGATATACCTAATGTAGATGATGAGTTAGTGGGTGCAGCGCACCGGCATGGCACATGTATACATATGTAACTAACCTGCACATTGTGCACATGTACCCTAAAACTTTAAAGTAGTATAATAATAAAAAAAAAAAAGAAAAAAAAGTACTGATTCAGGGAGGTTTCTCTTTAAGGTATCATTTCTTTAGAGAATGCAATATACTATGTTTTATTAAAGTTGATTACTTTAACAGGAATCTATTTCTACTTGGAAATCTGAATAGCCTATGAGATTAGAGGATTGGTTATTATGTAAATGAGTAGTCAAAGATATCACTGTGATTAGGGTCACACTGTAGAGTCTTTTTAAAATGTATTTAGAATATATGTAAATAATATGTACATTTGGTGTATTTGTGCTTTTAGGAAACAGAAACTTTGATCATCCCACATCTTTAGCTGAAGGAGTCCTTCTCTCAAGTAAAACTAAGTCTTTGTTTAGGGGTATTAAAGTGATTTAGTGAGCATCATTTGTGCTAAAGATTTTAACTCCCTCTGCCTGCCTGCTTGTCCACCAAATATTTTAGCAAAGTTGTCAACAAGTGTCAAAATTGCTCATCTTAATTGATCATCTACCCATCTGCCCTAGAAGTGATAATGAACCCAAAAGGCTGTAGTAATGGAAAGGAGAAATAAAATGTATTCATAATCCACAGAACGGATAATTGATCTTAGATTTTTGTGGGCTTTTTTTTTTTTTTTAACATTAGCGAACCCCGTATTGGTTTTCTGCTAAGGTCTAAGCTCAGTGTTTGAGATTAGAAACACTCAAATTAGTTTGAATGACAAATCTAAGATAATTGTTTAAAGAAAAATTTTTTAGCTTGCCATGTGCTGCTGCTTCTAATAGGTGATCCGAATGTAACATTTGTTGATTCAGCTAGTGGGACTATCTTGGCAGTCATTCTTTTTACCCTCCCAAATTATGCAGTCACTTCTGTATTAGTTACCCATTACTGTATAACAAATTACCACGCATTTAGTGGGTTAAAACAACACCTACTTATTAGCACTATGCTTTAACCAACTGAGCTAGCACGCCACCCGTAACACCTATTTATTATGTCATAGTTTCTGTTTGTCAGGAGTCTAGGCATGGCTTAGCTGGATCCTCTGCTAAGGGTCTCTCACAGTTGACATCAAGGCTGAGCTTGGGGTCCTCTTTCTAGTTCATTTGGTTATTAGCAGAATTCAGTTTCTTGCTGTTGTATGATCAAAGTCTCATTTTCTTACTGGTTGTCAGCAAGGACTGTTTTCACTCCTGAAGACTGCCCACAGTTCCTTGTTATGTGGCTCTCTCACAGGCCCTCGCATATCATGGCAGCTTACTTTTTCAAGGCCAGCAGAAGAATCTCTTGCTTCAGTTGGCTAAGACAGAGTCTGATATAACATGACCATGGGAGTAATTGTCTCATCACCTTTGCCATATTCCATTGCCTAGAAACAAGTCACAAGTTCTGCCTGTGCTCAAGAGGAAGGAATTATATGAGAACTTGATTAATTGGGGGGTTCGAGGATATTCTTAGGGTATGTCCACCACAACTCCAAAAAGTAGAGGCCTGGCAAACTTCTTACCAAGTCAGTAGCAATGGTCCTCTGCCCACTACAAGTAACAAGGTCCATTTGTGCCTTTTCAGATGACCTTTGTTTTATGAACAAAATATGTAATTTGGATTTTTTGTAATAGTAAGCATCTTTTCTACTGAACAGAATTAAGATAAAGAAAATCTTCCTTAGGATACACTTTTTTTTTCTTTTTTTTTTGAGACAGAGTCTCACTCTGTCACCCAGGCTGGAATGCAATGGTGTGATCTCAGCTTACTACAACCTCCGCCTCCTGGGTTCAAGTCATTCTCAGGATACACTTCTAAAACTCCAAAAAATGTAATTTATTAATATAGATATTGTTGATAGTAGCAAATGCTTCATTATGTAATTGAGTGTGACATTAATTCTCTCATGCTTTGTCAAATGACTCTTACTCTTCAGTGCAGGAATCACAGCCATGGCCCCCACCCTCCAGGATTTGGTCGATATGGCATCTGTGCACATGAAAACAAAGAACTTGCCAATGCAAGAGAAGCTCTTCCTCTTATAGAGGACTCTAGTAACTGTGACATTGTCAAAGCTACTCAGTAAGTCTTCCAAATGCTTTGGTTTATCCTTATGTTCTCTAGAATTAATAGTAATATATGTGTAGTTCATGGAGCTTCATATGTTTACCTCTCTTAACTTCATAATAGTAGTTAACACCAGCACCAGTATATTTGTCATACCAACACCACAGTACTTAGTACAGTGTACCTGAGCTGTTTATGTACCAGGACGTCCCATTAGATTGTAGGCAGGTTCTTAGCAAAAGCATGTCTTCATCTTTGTAGCTCCAGTGCTTTTGCACAGTTCCTTCTTGTGTAAGGTACCCAATAAATGTTCCTTGAATGAATGGATGATTTTAAATGACACTAAGCCAAACTCTTTATTTGAAACACAAATCTAAGTCTTTTAAAATATACTACAACCTGAATAGGTAGATGGAATGAAAAATACTGACTTACACATTTATAGATATTTTTAAAAATCATTTATTTCTTGAGTACTTTCCATGTGCTTGTTGTGCTGGACTAACTAGAAGAAATACGGTAAGGTAAGGTGGAAATATGTTCTCTGACCACTTGAAACACATAGTGTGTTGTTTTGCTTGCACTGGATATGGAAGTACATTTTGAAAGTTTCCCCTTAAGATCTCCATATGTGGGTATTTGCATTAAGTCAATTATTTCCAACATTTTCACCTTCATGGATCTTGTTGATTATTAACATCTATCACACCTCTTGACATTGAGCAAATTTTGAAGTATTTTGTACATCAGACTACATCAAGTATTAATCCATTTTTGTAGTAATCAAACATAAATCTGCCCAGCAGATTGCCCATCAAATAAAAATCATGCCAATCTAATCAGCCTGAGGGGAACTAATGTTACCATACTAACTTGATATAATTTCTATCAGAAGCAAAGATGTTTGGAGATTAATTAGCCTGTTTGGCCTTGATATGGACTAATGTATTGTCTATGTTAATTAAAAAATATATTGACAATTATTTGAGTATTCTAATTACCAATTTATATTAACTCTAGAGGCCTTGGGAACCACTCTTTTAGTTGAATATTATTTGATATTGTTTATATTTTATTTGTACAAAGATGAGCATATTCTTAAGGTAAATATTTGCTTTAATTAGGATGCAAACATTTAAATCTTTCCCTGTTGCCCATAAAACTCTTAAGATAAATGTCAGAAATTAGGCTCTTTTTAGAGGGAATCTCAGTAAAAACTCGCATTTTATGTCTTTCCTAAAATTTTCTTCAGGTCCTGGACCTTCTCAAGTGGTTGTCGGGGGACCTGTAGGTAGTATCTGGGAAGGGCATAGAGAGCTATGGAGTGTGTGTGTGTGTGTGTGTGTGTGTGTGTGTGTTTTCTAAACCAGCAAAACCTGAATGTATATTCTTATTATGTTTCTAAAATAAAGGGAGTATTTATTTTCCAGTAAAATGTTAAAGTTGACATTTAAAAGATGGAGAGTGTAAATGTATGTGTGTCATTTTCAAAAATTTACTCTTTTAAAAATGCCAAAAAGACACACACACGCACACACACACGCGTGTATTTTGGTAAGGCAGAAATTATTCTAATTTACAGTGTGAGAAACAGACAATTCTGCCATTTGGTTTGATTTTTGATCCTTGCGGGCTTATTGGAACTTTCAGGTAGTTTTAAGTAGAAATAAGTTTTAAAGAAAGTGCTAAAGGGTCAGTTGGGACTTCATAGAAATATTGCTAATAGGCCGGGTGTGGTGGCTCACGCCTGTAAGCCCAGCACTTTGGCAGGCCGAGGTGGGCAGATTACCTGAGGTCAGGACTTCGAGACCAGCCTGGCTAACGTGGTGAAACCTATTAAAAATACAAAAATTAGCCTGGTGTCGTGGCACACGCCTGTAATCCCAGCTACCTGGGAGGCTGAGGCAGGAGAATCGCTTCAACCTGGGAGACAGAGGTTGAAGTGAGCTGAGATTGCGCCACTGCACTCCAGCCTGGGCGACAAAGCAAGACTCCATCTCAAAAAAAAAAAAATATTGCTAATAAATGATTTGCCTCTTTATTCTCTATGAAATATGTCTTTTTAATGCTATAATTTCTCTATGAAATACCTCTTTTTAATGCTATACTATTTAACTGATTAACTAGTAGTTAAATCTCTCTCAAGCCCATCATTCCTTTTCTGTTCCTATTGCTTCACTCTTACTTTAGGCTCTCATTGTCTCTCACCTGTATTTATTGCAATAATCTCTAAATTCGTATTTCACTCTCTGTCCTCACCCTGCTCTAAGCAGCTTCCATACTGCCTCCAATGCGATCTTTCTTAAAACTCAAAGTCTGAGTGCTTTCCTCTTTAAAACCCTTTATTGGTTTCCCATTGAACTGTACATAAAGCTAAACTTCATAGCATAGCACAGAAGGCCCATGTGATCTTTGCCTATTGCGTCTGACCTCATGTCTCACCATTCCCTCTCATGCTTTATGCTTTAGCAATGTTAAATTGCTTTTATTTCTCTGAACATCCATGTAGTTTCACATTGCTGATTTTTGTACATGCTGCTTCCTCTGCCTGAAATGCCTTTTGTCAACCTATAAAATATAGCTTAGTTTCATCTCCTTCAGGAAGGGCTAATCATTTGTTCCTCTGCTATACCTATATTCTTTCCATATTTCGTTGTGGAATTTATCCCATTCTAAGTTTGCTTTTAGTCTTTATCCCTTATTGTGAGATTATTGCATGGGCTTGGTTTGATTCAGGGGTAAGATTATTGTCAGGAATTGGCACCAGGTGTTTCTGGCACATAGTGGAGATCAGATGAAACTTATTGAAGGAAGGCAATGTAAGTTTAAAGTTTACTTAAGAAAGTCAAGTTCAACTCCAAAGAGATTAATCTGATCAGTACATAAACCAGGTTTCCTTTTGCTGTTTGGCTTTATACTGTGTCCTCTCTATGCATGTCTTTGTTAATTATTATATTTCTGTATTGACTGAAAGGCAGTTTGGATAGTGAAAAGATATAGTAAAGTGAAGAAATTTTGATATTTGAAATGATTTTAATTGTATCAATTATGCTTTTTTTTTTCTTCTTTGAGATACGGAATTTTTGAACGATGTAAAGAGTTGGTAGAAGCAGGATATGATGTCAGGCAACCAGATAAAGAAAATGTGTCGCTTCTTCATTGGGCTGCTATTAACAACAGACTGGATCTTGTAAAGTAAGATGGGATATGTGTGTTAATTGTGTATTTATAATTTTAGACCTCTCCTTCATTTATCTTTTTCTTTAAGTATGGGTATTGAACCATGTGTAATCCTCGTGTAAAAGAACACCCGAAACTTTTTCTGCCACACACGTTGGTTATTATAAAGTTGAAAGGGACCTTAGAGACCATGCCTGGTTGATCCAAAAGGGAAAATTAGAGATAAAGCCAAGGGGGCCAATCATAAAGTTTAGAAAGTAAAAGTGAACATTTTTTAAAAAAGGAAAAGTATAATAAACTTTTTCAGAAGAGAATGGGAAGTCTCATCTAGTTTAGAAGAAGCATTGAAATATTTTACATTTTAATACCACGAAGAATAGATAGGTAGGAGATTTAACCTTTTAAAAAAACTAAATATGGAATATACTTTTAAGTGGGCATGTATTGGATTGTATAAAATATTTCCCCTTCATAAAGCACTACTGCCTACCCATTGTTTCTTTTAAACAGCTTAACATGTAAAATGTACATGTGTATGTGAATGTGTATATATTTTGTGTTATAGGATTAGATATTTAAAATCCTCAAAGTTTAAGAAATTTATTAAGGTTTAAAATGTTCTAACACACATGAATACTCACAGGCAAACTCCTCTTCTGTGGAAATAAACTGGCATGGTATTTAGATAATATGATGTATGAAGCTCAACTTTGAAGTAATGAGACTAATTCCTATAAACCATAGAAGAAAATCAGTCTTATTACCTTATATGTCCACCTTATACAGTGCCTCTCATCTCCGTACCCTAAATACAGGGCAAAACACTCAAAATGTCTAACTTTTCCAAAAGGATTTTAAATTAATTCTTTACTACTTACTTTTAAAATTCATTCCCACATAGTAATTCTACTTTTAAACTGTTGAAGGTGACATAACTTTACCTTTCTCCTTCCAGTCAAGTAAGAATATCTGTCTGATCCTAAACCTTTTGAATATAAACAATTTCAAGAGTGCTGCGGTAGTTAGACTATGCAGAGAGTAGTTATGATGTATTTGATATGTAAGTTATAATGGAATGCTAATTACAGCAGGACTAATTACTTACATCCTAAGGATGTTTCATCAGGGATTTGTCTGATTCTGCCATGTGAACCTTTCATATTTCTATAGATCTGGGTGTTTTAGGGATTATTACTATCATAATTTGTTCTCCAACATATTTATTACTATGAAAAAATTAGTATTTTCTTTCTCAATATGAAGCTTAAGTTTCAAATCTTACTTTCATTTGTGTCTGCTTTTAACAGGTTTTATATTTCAAAAGGTGCTGTTGTAGATCAGTTGGGTGGAGATTTAAATTCAACTCCTCTTCACTGGGCCATCCGGTAAGGTTTCTTTGAACACTGAAATTAAATAGCCACATATAGCTAGTGGTCACCATATAAAAAATCAGTTATAGACGATTTGAAAGGCTGTCTTTTCTTCCCCCCCCCCCTTTATTTAAAAATAAATTTCAGCTTTAAAGAGTTTGCAGAAAGGATGTTTTCGATATTTAATTTAGGGCTTCATTATGATTATCCAACTCAAATATGTGTTTTATAGTTTCTTTTTTGTAATTAGAATAAATAATTTTCATACTTGGTAACATAAATAAAAATAGTAGTTCAGTGAAGTGCAAACTCATTCAGTTCAGGCTTATGACAGATGTCTATTTAGAAATTTACGATTTTATTTCAGAGGTGAGTTTCCTCTTAAATGTGAAGTATATCTCTATATCTTAGGGCCAATTGAGTCAACTCTTTTAAAAGTTGTTGCAGGATTAACAAGAAATTTTGAGTATATCAACTTAGAACATTTATATTGTGTGGTCACTCTCCTTTTTTCTCTGTTGTATATTGGCCATCTGAAACTGAAGTTAGTAAGTCTTGAATACTTATCAGTTTCTTTTATTAATTTAAACTCCACTCTCGGTGGTTGGTGGGGTTGACAGGAATCTGAAACTGAAGTGAATAATTGTTCATGTAAGTCAAGGAGTTGAATCTTTTCTCCATAGCTAAGAGTTTTGAAACTCTAGGGTTACTTCATGCCCTTTAAGCTACTGAGGTACAGTACTTTACATGAAAAATGAACCATAGTCAAGCATAAGAAAAGCATATGAATATATAGCTCTTAATATTATCACAGTAAACCCATAGTTTATGAATATTATATTTCTGTATATCTGGCTTATGATTTTTTGATTTTAAAATGACAGTGACATCTAAGTGGTCTTAGAATCTTCATTGTTACCATGTCATAAAGAATTATTATTCACGTATGGTAATGTGTGAAGGTCAGGTTTAGGGTAGATTGGGAAGTTATCAAGTTTATCACTTGCACTCAAGAATGATTATCCAGGCCGGGTGCAGTGGCTCATGCCTGTAATCCCAGCACTTTGGGAGGCCCAGGCAGGCAGATCATGAGGTCAGGAGATCGAGACCATCCTGGCTAACACAATGAAACCCCATCTCTACTAAAAATACAAAAAATTAGGTGGGCATGGTGGCATGCGCCTGTAGTCCCCGCTGAGGCAGGAGAACCGCTTGAACCTGGGAGGCAGATGTTGCAGTGAGCTGAGATCGTGCCACTGCACTCCAGCCTGGGTCACAGAGCGAGACTCCATCTCAAAAACAAAAAACAAAAAACAAAAAAAAACGAGAATGATTATCCATATAGTTCTAAGTTTGCAGCATCTAAGTTAAAAACGTTTGGACAATCACCATTGTTTCAAAAATCTTACTGTTAGGAAATATTTTTTATATGTAACCAAAATCCCTCATGTCTTAGGAATATCAGTCTCTCCCTGACTTTTTGCTTTTTCTGCATGCTACAGAATGGCTTTTTGTCTTCTATTTGCAGACAAGGACATTTACCTATGGTCATATTATTACTCCAGCATGGTGCAGACCCCACTCTTATTGATGGAGAGGGATTCAGCAGCATCCACCTGGCAGTATTGTTTCAACACATGCCTATTATAGCATATCTCATCTCAAAGGGACAGGTATGTTCTGAAATGTGTCTTATACTCCAGTTTTTATCATCTGAAGAGGTTGGGGAAATTATTAGTAGTAGTCTCTTCTCATTTTTAAAGTGGAGGTTAATGGATATCCAGATATTCAGATATTAGCCTCAGTACGTTTAGCCATTGAATACTGCTTTTCAGCTTCATTGGAGGGAAAAGGACAGGTCATTTAGCTCAGTAACGTATAATAGATGTTTCTGAAACTTGTAAGCTGGTAATAGTTTTTCTTATGAACCCAGTAATTTGCAGAGTTTCTCAAAAACATGACTTCAAAGCCTGTATTTTTCTTCTAGTTGAATATAAAAATGGTAGTCAAATCACTAAATTAACCCATCATTTGCTTTCATTATTTGAGCCCAAATGGGAGGCCAATTTGAATATATGTTTCTTATTGTTCTCTAAAGTAATTCCATGAAAATTGACTTGCCTTGAGAGGCACAGGTTAAATTATAGGTTATTGTAAGTTTCACTGTCAATTATACTTGCCTGGAATATGTTTTCTGGTAGCAAAGTAGTTTATGTATTAGCAGACTTGCCTGTAAAAGGCATGAAAACGTGTTTGCACAAATGCTGTTGGAATGATTGTGCTCCCTTTAAATAAGCACTTTCTCTCAGACTTAGCTGATTGAAGTAGAATTATAACCTCCTAGGTTTCATTGTTGGAAAAATATAAATATATGAGGAAGAGTCCTGTCTGCTTCTCTTTGGGTGCCTTCCCAAGTCCTGTTCCTCCAAGGCCCATAAGAATCTTCAGAAGCTGAAACTGTTTTTCTTTGGCTTAGCTGAAACCATTGCTGTATACCTTAAACCTAGACCTGTCTTATTAAAAGGACTGTATCCTCATGGAAATATGATTTCCTTTTTTTTTCTGTGTTCCAGAAAATAGAAAGGAAATTTTCATATTTTACTATTTAAAACTTAATATGATAAGTCCAGAAAGACAAGTTGCCTCAGAAGATAGGGAGTTCACTATTTACTGGAAGTGTTTGAGTAGGTACTGAATGACTTTGTATAAGAAATGATAATGCGAATTAATGTGTCAACTAAGGTCTCAACTAGGTGACTTTTAAGGTCTCTACCATCTCTTGTATTTGATGGTAGCTATCAACATTTTACTCTTTCCCTTAACTGTGTTCACATCATATAACACTTTACATTATATATTCAGATTTTCTTTTTAAAAATATTCTGTGGAAATCCATGGATTTTTACCCTATGGAAGTGAGCAAAACATTCTTTTTATCAAATGATATTTGAGCCCTTTATGTAGAAATAATGGTAGTATTGAATGTATTAAAGAGATATTTCTATTAAGAGAACAAATAGACTTTTGAGTGTATTTACAGTTATGCTAATTGTCTTCTTTTTGAATAGAGTGTGAATATGACAGATGTAAATGGGCAGACACCTCTCATGTTATCAGCTCACAAAGTAATTGGGTGAGTTTAATTTAGTCCACTCAATCTCATTCTTGGTTCCAACTATTTCTTTTCTGTGTATGTAATTTTAAGTATCTGTGTCTATGTGAGATGATAGTACATTGAAGAAAATAAGATTTTTCACACAGAGACTGTGATAATTGACTTTTAAGGTAGTTATAGTTAGAAAAGCAGCCTTGAAATACATTTTCTCTTTTCTGATAGCTTTGGCAAAAAGTTTGAAAGCTACTAATAAGAAAAAAATTTCCTTACCTATCAAGTAGATATACCTTGAAATATACTTGTTAACATGACTTGTATTTCTTCCTTTGGCTTTAAAAAAATGGCTATAATTTTAAATGTTCTCATAATTTGAAATCTAAGTGATAAATCTGCTTTCTGGAAAATATTAAATTTTGAGATTCTCTGACATCATTCTTGACTACTTTGAAAATATCATTAACTGAAAAGAGTCTGTATGTTCAGATCAGGCACTTACATATTCAAGTTTTTCTGTGTATTTATTTCTATAAACACATGATTAATGACCACTGTATAGTTCAACTTCTGGTATTTATCTAGGCAGATACTTACGACAGTTCTCACTTTAGCAGTTTGTTTCTATGTTGTATTGAATCTCTGATTTTGCTTGTACTTAGGACTTCTAGGAACTGTGTTAGTTCTAATGCTATTTCCTTTTTGTTCATGGAATGGTAGGACTGGAGGTAGAATTTTATTAAAAAGCATTTTCTCTTCTGTGCTGGTAAATCTGAAGTCAGGTATAATCTCTATAAAGATATTGATAGAATAAATAAAGTAGAATATTGTTTTATTAAAAGAATCTCTTCAGTGGTCATGAAGGAAGGAAAGGTATTGGTAAAGTAAAAATATTTTACTGAATTCTGTCTTCTAGTCCGTAACTTTCTAAGATATACAAATATTTTAGGGCATAATTTATACCTGCTTTATTTAACAGTTGATTTGATGGAGAGTATGAAGTTAGCTCCTCAACTAAGACATACATTTAGTCTTTAATTGAATAAATAGCATAGCATTTAATATTGGCTAAAGTTAAATCTATATTCAAAGAAAAGTGTTAGCCAATAGAACAACAATATGAAAGGAAAAGTTTGAAAAACAAAAGCAGTTATTCCACTGCATTGTTAAAATTATCTATCTGTATAGCAGTCGTCATTTAATAGATGTCTTTTTTTTTAATCTCCTATTAGTACCTAGAATAGAACTCAGTACAAAGAAGTTTCTCAGTTCTGAATACTTAACTGAATGGTTAATTGATGGCATTATCTTAAAAGATTCATAATTTGCATTTACTCCTTAAGTCATCATCTCTGTTAATGCCTCTTGGTATTTTATTATTTTGAGACAGGCCAGAACCAACTGGATTTCTTTTAAAGTTTAATCCTTCTCTCAATGTGGTTGATAAAATACACCAAAACACTCCACTTCACTGGGCAGTTGCAGCAGGAAATGTTAATGCAGTTGATAAGCTTTTGGAAGCTGGTTCTAGCCTGGATATCCAGAATGTTAAGGTATGGCCAGATATTTATCTCCCTTAGTTTATTATATCTTGAGTTAGAAGATTGATAAATTAACGTAAAGATAAGCTATATAATTGTTTTCAGTTACCCCAAGATAGATATAAATGATAATAGCTGGCTATCCTTGGAATAATGTGTTGAGTCTATGATTCTGGTGTTTTTAAAAAAAGTTTAGCACTCATAATATATTAAAAATACTTTTAAACTTTTTACCCTACTCTTTTTTAAGGGAGAAACACCTCTTGATATGGCTCTACAAAACAAAAATCAGCTCATTATTCATATGCTAAAAACAGAAGCCAAAATGAGAGCCAACCAAAAGTTCAGACTTTGGAGGTGGCTGCAGAAATGCGAGGTATTTTCATATGGGGTCTTTTCTATGGGATAGATGACTTTTTTTGTTCATTTGGTTTTGTTTATTAAGGCATCAGAGGAAACCAGAGAGTTGGCTTTTTGCTGCATTATATCTGCTGACTATATCTTTCCCCCGCATCCTATTACCCAAAGTTGGAAATTTGGCACTTTCATTGGCTATTTATTGTTGGTCCTCAACTAGATGCTCTAAAAGTGCTTGTTACCTTATGAATATCATTGTGTACTTCCACATTTATTTAATGAATGTATTGAAATGCAAAAGGTTTTGATTTTTAGAGACACAATGGGAAAAACACCTTGTTGCAAGGAGTTTTATAGAAGCTTGTAGGAATAGTTTATTCCTTACTAAAATTTTATTTCTTGAAAAGAAAATAATAACATTTACAATGTTTCCTTAGAATCATAAGGACTTTAAAAATGATAGTGTTGAAAATTTTAGGCATATGATGTCACTTCATAAAAGAAAACACTGGAATTTTGAGAGATTAAATCCAAATTTTATTCATTTTTTTTAGCTTAGCAATTCTGTGTGGTGTTCCTCTAAACTTTAAAATGAACTGAATAATGGAAAACTTTAGAAACTTCAGGTTATTCTCATGAATGTCTAAGAAAATCTAAGTCATAGAAGTGAATACTATTTAAATTGTTAAAATGGAATATTGGATTGATTCCACTGTTTCTAGTGTTTTCAAATATGATACCATCATCTTATTAATAATAATTAGTAATTGTACTTTCAGAGTGATTCTAAATTAACAGACACTGTATTCTTATGTAGAGGATCATCATGAATGCTACACTGCTTTTGCATTAGGCATGTGGAGTGGGGAGAGAAAGAAATAGTGGTTATTCCTCAGTCTCCTTTGCCAGCTCCTCCACTTCTCCCCCATCTCTTGTTGGTAGGGTGCCCCAGGATTTTGTTATTGAGCTTCCTTGCTATCTATTCATTCCCTAAATGCCATCTATATGTTGATAACTCCCATATTTGTCTCTCTAGTCTAGACCTTTCCATGCTCATATATCCAATTACCTACTTTACTCATCCGCTTTGATGTCTAATAGGCATCTCCTGATACCCTCCCCACCCTTCCCCTGACTAAGCCAAGCCTTCCCCATCTCAGTAGCTGGTAACTCCAGCATTCCTCTGTCTTCGCCTTTTTTTTTTTTGTCATACCACATATGCAGTCCATTAGAAAGACGGGTTAACTAGTTCAGCCTTCAGTTTATGTCCAGAATCTGACCCCTTCTTACCACTCTACCACTGCCATGTTGGTTCAGCAGATGAATCTTCTAAAATGTAAGTCGGGTCATGTCACTTATCAGCTCACATTCCTATGATGTCTCCTCATTTCTCCCAGAGTAAAAGCAAAGTCTTTATGATGGCCTATAGGGCCCTTTGTCATCCAGGTTTTTATATACTATAAAATTCACTTAGTATATTTATTTGTCTATCTTCCCCAGCTAGAATTTAAGTGAGAAAAAGATCTTAAGTTCATTGATGTGTCCCAAGTGCCTAGAATAGTACCTTGCATATAATATGCCCTCAAGTATTTGTTGAATGAATAGGGCAGCTTGTCTGTAAGAGTGTTATATCTAGGATTTAGAATTTTGAGATCCATATTTAATTCTTATCTCTGTTCTGAGATTATGTTGCTAGGAGATTCTAAATTTACATTAAAAAAAATCTAAACTAGCCCATTTTGTGTCATCATGCCAATTGGAATAGGAAACATTTTAAAGACTTAATGTCATTTGAAATTATCCACTCCTAGATATGGCGTAGAGAGGTGAAAATGGAGGAAGAAAGAAGGAAGCCCTGCTTACTTTCAAGGTCTCATATCTTGTCATTAAAGACTGCATTGCACAAACATGGGGCCCAGCTTCAATTCAGTCAGACCATTGTTTCATAGAAGTTTCATTCTTTTAACTTTGCCAAAATAAACCTGAATTAGTAGCATCATGAGGACATATTTCAGTCTTTGATCTCCATGTGACATTTGACACTGAGAACATCCCCCTTCTCGAAACTCTCTTCCCTGGATTCCCTGAAACCTTTCTTTCTGCCGGTTCTCATCCTGCCTTTCTGGTCAGTTGTTCTTGGTTATTTTTGGTGACTTTGCTTTTTTCCCCTTAAGTGTTTGTTTTGGCTAAGATTCTGCCCCCTTTCTACCTGCACACAGTCTTTGGGATGTTATTCACTCACGGCTTTACCACCTATGTACTGATAAATTTCAAGTCTTCCAGAATGCTAGACCTACTTTTGACTGCCAGCTGGTTGTCTCCTAGATGTCCATAGGCATTTAAAATTCTACGTTCTCCAAACATAGCTCATCTTTTCTGCAGACCTATTGCATCTGACCTTCTGCATTAGGGATGGCATGGTGCAGTGCCCAGGTTGGAGCTCTTATAGTTCCCTCATTGAGTCTTTTGTATTAATTTCTATGTAGTCCCTTGAGCTTGCTTTATGCTTTCCAATATAGAATACTGTTTGCAAGAAGTAATTTTGAAAAATCTTAGCTCTCATTAACAGTTTTCTAAAAGACCACCATTTCTTGTAGAGAAGAAAACAAAACAAAATATGTTTAAGTAACATTTTATAAAATGTAGGGTTTTTAAAAGGTTGTTTCCCACTTTGGGAGGCCGAGGCAGGTGGATCGCCTGAGGTCAGAAGTTCAAGACCAGCCTCGTCAACACAGTGAAACCCCGTCTCTACTAAATATACAAAAATTAGCCAGGCATGGTGGTGGGTGCCTGTAATCCCAGCTACTTGGGAGGCTGAGCCAAGAGAATCGCTTGAACCCAGGAGACAGAGGTTGCAGTGAGCCGAGATCGCACCATTGTGCTCCAGCCTGGGCAACAAGAATGAAACTTCATCTCAAAAAAAAAAAAAAAAAAAAAGATTGTTTCCAAGATGTACAATCTCTCAAACCTCAAATTTATCAATCAGCAATTTTAGAGGAAAACTTTGTGTTAGCTTTGTTGTTGTATTAATTGTTATTATATACTTTGGAAGTAGTTCTTATATTGCACTATTATTAGATACTTAAGAGGTAAAATCCATAAAGTTCTAAAATTCTGAATCTCTTAATAGCTCTTCCTGCTGCTGATGCTTTCTGTGATTACCATGTGGGCTATTGGATACATATTGGACTTCAATTCAGATTCTTGGCTTTTAAAAGGATGTCTTCTAGTAACACTGTTTTTTCTGACATCTTTGTTTCCAAGGTGTGTATGTTAATTTTTGCAAGGCTGGTTATTGTGTTTCTGATTTTATTTCTTATTTCTGTTGTTGGTTAGCTGGAGTCACAGATTTTTATCATGCTGTAAATATTACTTACCATATAACAGCATCCTGCGGGTGGATGGGAGGAAAGGGCTCTGGTAGCATATTATTTGGCTGAAAGCAAGTTGCTCAACCCAGTAACTTGGTTGACTTGACAACTGGTGGAAAATAAATATCCTGGGTCACGTTTTAATTGTTATTTTTGGTGAATGATGGGGAGATTTTTGTAATCATTTCATAATTATTCAAGATTTTGTAATCATCTTGAAGCATTTTTGCTCATTTTTCAGAAATTTTTTCCTTTTTCTAAATTTATTTTAAGCTAGTTATTTTTGCTGTCAGTCATTTTTAGTTGAGTTAAATTGTGAGAGATTATAAAATAGTAAATATGGTATGGTTTTATTTTTAGGACAGTATTTATACATGATTATATATAGTTAATGGTTAAGAGTCAGACTGCTTGAATTCAAGTCAAGCTTTACCACATGACAGTCTGACATTGAACAAGTTGCTATAAAATGAGGGTTAACTTGTGATAATGCCTGCCTCATGGTTAACACATATAAACACATAGAACTATAGCTGACACATAGTACTCAATAATCATATCACCCCCCATCTCTTCTTCTCTCTTACCTTTCTCAGTCAAATGGCATCCAGTTCCTCAAATGAATATGGGTGTCATGCTTGGATTACTGTCATCCTCTCCTCACCTCCCACGTCCAACCCATTACCAAGTGTTCCCTACCTGCCTGTCTCCATCTCCACAACTCGCATCCTAGACCAAGTCTCCTCACTGGTCTCCTGACTTCTTATCCCCCTGGAGTTTACCCCCACTTAGCAATCAAGGGAGTCTTTTAAAAAGCAGATAAGTTCTTTCTTTTCTCCCTGCTTAAAGTGCTTTAGTAACTTTTTCTTGTACTCAGAACAAAATCCAGACTCCTTGCCTATGGGGTATGATGTGATTCATTCCCTCCCCAGCGACTTCCTCTCTTTCCCTTCTCCTCATTGCACTGTACCTTCTTTCTCACACATCAGGCTCATTCCCACCTGGGGCCTTGGCCCTTGCTTGGGTCTTTGTCTGAAGTGTTGTGACACCTTATCTTTTCATAGTTGGATATGTCATTCAGGCCTCAGTTCAGCTGTCACCTGCTTAGTGAGGCCGTTCCTGACTGATGCTGCTGCATCCCTGTTTTATTTTCTTGTAGCACTTAATCACTTTCCTGCAACGTAAAGCCCATAAAAGCAGGAAACTTGTCTCTGCTGTTAAACATTTTCATTCACTGAATGAAAGAAAAATGTAATGATGATGATCCATAGAAAAGAATCTAAAGGGAAATACAGGGTTGCTCTTTGCAGATTATGATTATGAGTATTCCTCTGTCTTTCTGTCGCTTGCCAGCATTCTCTGGCATAAGCATGCCCTGCTTTTGTCATAAGAGCAAATGAAGTATTAGAGGAATCTTACTACTGTATCACCCAAGAGCAGGACAATTGGCTGGAAATGAATTAGAATTTAAATGTAATGTGAAAACTCAAATTTCTGAAAAATAGCAAAATGCCTAAAATTGTCTGCTATTCAGACAACTTGTGACTTAGAGATATTTATTCACTTTCCACTAATTGGATTAACTTGGGCTCTAAATAAATTTTAAGCCAAATCACCAGGGATCAGAGTCATCACTCCTTTTTCAGAGAGGAAGCAAGGGCTGGTAATATCTACTCCCCTAGGATAGGAACATTTGAGATTATGTTTGGTTGTTCGTTTATTGTAGTTGAAGCCTACATTATAAAAATGGACGCAATTCAAATGTGAGTCAAATGCATATGACAACTTTATTCATACATCCCTTATTTCTCATATTCCTCTATAGGGTCCCAATTTCATGGAGGAAAGCAACTGTAAACTACTATTATTACAGGGCAGTTGCTTATTGATCTGGGCTGTTAACCTGACACCTGTCAGGAGTGGACATGTAGTGGTAGCAGGCTCTTGTAAATTAGTAGTTCATTGCATTACCTAATTGGTCAAATGCATTTTTTGCTGCAAGATCTCCGACAGACCATACCCTGGAGGTTGCAAGGGTTTCATTTGGCCTATTTTGGCAGCATGTTGAGCATCTAAAGTTTGGATTCTTTAGTTCTTCTCAAATATGAACTTACCATTATTATGGTTATGATCCTGGTAGCTAATTTTTTTTAACCCTTCATACCTACTGTTAATCATTGTTTTTTCCTGGAATAAATTTTAAAATATATTCAGGTAAACTATATTCATGCATAAGATGACTGTGGTGAGTATTTAGTGTAAAAGACATTTTCTTTTGAAACTGCAGTATTTTGGATAAATTACATGTGAACCTCAAATCGCCTGTGACCCAAGTGAGATTGTTAGTGTTCTGAATACTAGTATCATTTTTAGCCTTTGTGTATCTTTTTATATGAAGTGTCTACTTCTCAAGCTGATTATAGGATGAATGTGCTTAAGGTTGTGTGCATCAGTATGCTTAACAAATATCATTTTAGTCTCTGGAAGAAAGCTTGCTAAATGTAAAGGTGAATCTCAAGTATATAAATTTTTGCATTATAGTGTATTTAAAAATATATGCCAAAAAAGAAATAAAAATATATATCTCATTAGAAATACAAAAGATCCATTGAAAACATATATTAAATCGTTGTGAATTAAATATTGTATGAGTTGGTTAGAAGAACTAGAACATACACTTCTTGAGAGTCGTTGTGCTTTAGTTTTCTCCTGTGTAAAATGGGGGGATGATGTTGCATAACTCTATTACCACATGGAAAGTGACACATAGTAAGCACTCAGTATGTGAAAGCTATTACTGTTGCTGCTGGTATTATTATTACTACCATTATTATTTAGGGAAATTTAGAACTAAAATTAATACAAGTCATACTAATAACTTATATTTATCTTTTTTCTTTTAGGTTCTTGGTTGGGTATAAGAACCTTGTATACTTACCAACAGCCTTTCTGCTAAGTTCTGTTTTTTGGATATTTATGACTTGGTTCATCTTATTTTTTCCTGATATCCTTTAAGCATCAATTTTGATGTGTATCTCATTTTGCCTTTAAAAGAGTAATGTTATTGTTAGGAATTTAGGTATTGGAAAAGGCCCAGGGAATGCAACTTATATTTGCATTCATTTAATGGTTCTGGATGAAGACGTTTAATGTTGAAAATCTACTTGATTCTAAAAGTAGTCTCAGAGTACATTATGGAAACAGTAAGTATCTAGTATTTATTACTCATAGGAGGGGAACAGTAGAATGTATTATTGTTTTACTTGTACCATAATTTGTTGGATTGTCTTGAGATTCCTTCAAGGTCAGATGGTTCTCATAATTTGGTCAGCAGTTACAGTTAATTAATACATTTTCTGAGTACTAAGACGGACTGCATGAAAGGGATATTGGGGAAAATATGGCTTCCTCAGTAACGGTAAGTGTTAGTGATATTATCTAAGGCAATGATTCTCAATCCACGGTGAAAATAAATTTACTTTGCCACTCAACATATATGTAAAACAAAGACTGTACTCCTAATATATGCTTTACTCTATGGTGTTATTTCATCCCATTTCCTTTTTAAAAAATTTTAATCATGGCCCATTTAATTCTTTCATGACTCACTAATGAATAGCAGCCTGAGATTAAAACAAAAACAAACAAACAAAAAAACTCATCCAAGGAATAGGTTTATTACTTAAGGATCAGGGCCCAGGACCAAGTCCAGCTTAGGGGTGTGTTGTTCTCTTAGTGTTGGCCAAGTCCTGTCACCTAGAAATGGGGAGAGGGGTTACTTGGGCTCTAACCATTTGTGACTTCAGGTAGGTGGAAGGCATTTTCAATCTTCCCACCTCTTGCCAGACTCCCTTCTCCCCTTCCAAGGACCCTGGGAAGCCCTGATGGCCTTGCTTTGCTTATGGAGTAGGAGAAGAAGGAATGTTGTAGATAGAAATATACCTTTCAGTGTGTTCATTTAAACTTCCACATTACTTCTCTTTCTGGTAATAGCATTTCCGAAAAGAAAGAACAGAATGTTTATGGGAGACATGCATAAACTGAATTCAAGAATATTTTTTCCATAGGAATAAATGTGAAATGAGATGGCCATAGGAGTTCTCAAAGTACATATGTCCACATCCATTATAGCATGTTTTTCCTTTATGCTCCTTTTTATTTCTGAGCATTATCTCTAATTTAATTTTTCAGATTTCTTTAAATGAATGGCACAGCATACATTGGGGCCATTTGGCTTTTTTCAAAAGATTTTATTATCTCTTCTTTGTCTCATAATTACTGATTTGGTGGCAGTTTTTTAAGCACTAGCCTTATTACCACCACTTAATGAAGGCTTGGATGATATTATTATTATGATAGAAAAATACATGATTTTATAAGTAGTCATGAGTGCATCAAATAACAGCACAGGATACAACAAAATCACTTGCAGAAGACCTAACGCTCATAAATTCTAGGGTAATTGACATGACACTGAGGAAGGAAAGTTAGCTGATATTTTTGTTTACCAATCCATATGGCAGTGGAATAAAACAGTTTTAAAAATGTGTTTTTTGATAAATTTTTAAAATTTGAGAAACATGTCAGATTTTGCACAAATATTGAATTATTTCAAATTTGTAGAATCAAAGTCATAAATGGTTACAACCCAAGTAACCCCTCTCCCCATTTCTAGGTGACAGGACTCGGCCAACACTAAGAGAATAACACACCCCTAAGCTGGACTTGGTCCTGGGCCCTGATCCTTAAGTAATAAACCTATTTCTTGGATGAGTTTTTTTTGTTTGTTTTTGTTTTAATCTCAGACTGCTATTCGTTAGTGGGTCGTGGAAGAATTAAATGGGCCGTGATTAAAATTAACAAAAGAGAACTGATTTCCATAGCTAGACAGAATCTTAAGATGTTGGAATCAACAAGATGGATGATTTTATTTGCTTGTACAACCTAAAGCCCTTTGTTCTAGGCAACCATATGAACCTGCTACTTGTGAGGGCATATAAGTCAGTAGGTGGCATACTTCACCATCAGAATAATGTTCTTCAAACTAAATTTTAAATCTTGGAACTGCCTTGTGGATGAACTGAGATGCCGCCCTGGGTTTTAGGCTAGCTTTGTCTCAGGCTGCCGTCTGGATTGAATAAGGGCATCTGCTTCCGCAGATACTGGCCTATTAGGGGAAGACATTCTGGGGCACTATGGAAGAAGACAAAACGATTTTGAGTTTTAGCTCTTTTCAGACTAGTTATGCACCATTGGGGCAAGGTACATAATTTCACCAAGCCTTAGTTTTTCTGTAAATTGGAGATAACAGAAACAAGCTCATGGTGTGGCTGCAAGGATTACTATAAAGTGCTCACCACAGTCCCCATGGCAAAATTGGCATTCTATAAATATACCTAATATTTTATTATTAATTATTCTTATGAATAAAATTGATGTGGAAGGCTGCATGTTTAAACTAATTTCAAGGGCAATTCTAGGTTGGCTTCTCAGATGATCAGTTTCTTTTGGTACCTTTTATAAGTTCAGCAAGTAATGTCTGGCTTGTGCGAGGGGGGATTGAATACAATAAAATGGAACCTTATTGATGAGTTTGAAGGTAAAATTCAAACTCAGGAGAGAAATGGTGAATCACTGAATATTACATTTGTGATATTGGCTGTAACTAACTGAGTTAAGTTTAAGAGGGATAAATACATGTAAAGTCCCATACTGAGTTTCAGAAAATCAGTTATACAAGTGCATGTTATGGTGAGCTATGACATAGCTTCTGGTCAAGTGCAAAGGAACGAGGCGCTGTGACTAAATGCTCAGTGTGGCTAGTGATGCAGCTGTCAAGAAAGCAAGTATATTCTCACATAGTATTACAAGGATTTGAGTGTCCAAGCAAAAGACAACAGCAGCTTCTCTGTCCTCTACACTGGTGTTTGCTCTGTTTTGAATTATATCCTTTTAAAAGAGAGAATGACAAATGGGAGCATGAACAGAGGAACATGACCAGGAAAATGTTATATAAGGACAGTGTTGCTGTTTATCTTGGAGGTATGATCACTGTCTTCCAATTTCAAGTGTTTGGAAGTCTATCATTTGGAAGCCAATGCACTATGTAGAATGGGCACTCAGTAAAAATGTATTGAACCAATGAGGGGATAAGCTTATGTAGGTTAGATCTAAAAGACAGCTACTGTGCAGATCTAAAGGATCTAATGAATGAAAATCAGTTGGTTGAAGTTATAGAAAGGCAAATTTTAGCTCCATATTGAGAGACTTAACTGCAAAAGTGTTACCAGCTTACTGGGAAGGCTGTGTGTCTATAAACTATAGTCCACATCTGAGTGCCTTAGATAAAGCATTCTTAAATTCAGGGAAGGGAGAGTATGATTCTCTCCAGGGAATCAGAAAAGATTGCAAGGAAGGAGGGAAAATATAAGTTAGGTTTTAATCGCAGTTAAGACTTGGATACCCTAAAAGTGTGGTTTTAGAAGAAAATGAGAGGAAGTAGGGGACATTTTAGGTCAGTGAACCACACAGGCAAGAGCACCAAAGCAAGGAGTGTCTTCAGCTTCTATGTGAGGTGATAGGGTGTAATTCACTTTACTTGGAGAGTGGTGATCCAATGATTCCCCTGCCATTTGTTTTGTAAGTTAATCAAAATAGGAGCCGAAAATTCAGTCAGCTCAGCGTGCAGGATCATTGCATTATGAAACTGAACGTATTTTTGAGAACTGAACGTATATATTTTGAGTCGTGTGTCGATCAGGATTTCATAAAGAAATTATGATGTGATTCTTTCACAAAGGATCTTGCCCTATGTACCTTTAATAGTGTCTTTCTGCAAACATGTATCTAATATATAGGGAAATACTTTTATTTGGAATCTCTGAATCAAGAGGGTTGTTTCTTTGAATGATTTTGTTAAAATGATCAAAGAATATTTTTCTAGATGCTCACAGGAGAGCCACAATTACACCATTAGAGATAAATTTATTTGGTCTTGAGTGTCACTTTTCAGGATGTTCCTCATAAGTTGCAACTATTCCTATCAAGTATTTAATATGAGCTTCAACTAATAAGGAAACATTAATTATTAGCCAAGTGGGAACAAATTCCAGTAGGATTAGAACATAGGATGGGAAGAGATTTAGGGGCAGGGACATGTGTGCATAAGGAAGGTGAGATTCTTAGGTGCCAATGATGAAATTTGCTTACATCATAATTACATTATTTTTAAAGGAAGTTTGGTGTATTCCTTAACTTGGCTTTAACATTTAGCAGGAGCCCCTTTCTATTTCAGTTTCATTTTCAGCATAGTAGCCTTTCTATACTTTTTCTATAAGACTTGGGCAACTGATCCAGGCTTCACTAAGGCTTCTGAAGAAGAAAAGAAAGTGGTGAGATTTCTTCGTTACTGATATTTTTAATAGGAGGGTTTGTAAACTTTAGAAAGTTTATATGCACATATGCAGATGTGTTGCTTTTTGTTACGGCTGCATGACATGTGGGGTGATATAGCAAAAATTAGATTTCCACTCTTACAGTTTTTTCATTTATGTATATGAAAGTTTTAACACATATTTTTATTTTCTGTTGAAATAATACCCCACCAAGACTTTTTCAGATGTGATTCCTTTTAGGAATATGATCTCCTACTTCCTTGTAATAACATTTTCATAATGGTCATTTAGCTTACATTTCCCCACTAAATAAATGGAGAGTAACTAGTCAGTGACCAGGGAGAGTCCTTCTGCTTATTGGCTGAGGAGATGCCCCTCCTCCTCCTCAAATGTGAAGTTGTCAGATGACATGGCATGTTTTCCGTTGCTCATGAATGTTTAGAAGTTGGAGAATGTTGTCTTTGTTACCTAAAGCCAGTGTTCCTGAAAGACCCAGCCCTTGGTGCTTGTAACTTTCAGTTTTGATGTATACTGGTGGGTTTTTCTTTTTTAATGTGTGTGTATATTTGCATATTTATTTTTCTCTAGCAGATCATAACTGGGAGATGATTGCCATTCACAGAGATGAGGTGATAGGTGGGAGTGGTGGGGTGGTATAATTTTTATGCATCCTAATTTATTAGCTGTTGGTTGAAAATGCAACCTTGAAGAGTCACATCATTTCAAGCACAGAATGATTTGGTGGCAAGTATTCCAAATTGCTTTTCTAACTACTTCAGTTTGGAGCGAGAACTGTGAGAATGGTGTATAACCATGCATAATACATTTTCCAATAAAATGTGGTAATAGGTCAAACTTCATGTCTTTCAGAATATCATCACCCTTGCAGAAACTGGCTCTCTGGACTTCAGAACATTTTGTACATCATGTCTTGTGAGTTTTTTCATATAATTTTTTTCCGTAGTGAAAGCAAAGTCTTGGTAACGTTGCTGATGTAAGCATTTGTCAGATCTTCATGGTATATTTATACACCTTTGTTTTTACCCATTTCTAATTTTACATTCCTGTCTGAACAGCTTTCTGTCTTGAACATATGGCAGAATGATGTTTATAATCTCTTGAAGTTGTCTCTGGTTACATCTCTCCGTGAATTATCCATTGTGTGTTTTATTTGCTTTTCTCTGTCATGAAGCATATATTAGAACTAACGTCAAATCAGAGGCTCATAATGACCTTAGAAACCACTTAGTGAAACCTCTCATTTTGCAATTGAGGAATCAAGGGAGGAAGTAAATTCTCCCAAATTATTGGTGGTGCTAAAAATGGAACTTGGGTTTCCTTCCCTTGGTTGAGTGCTTATTTTGCTCTGTGGTACTGCCTCATTTCTGCTTAGCCAGTGTGAACAGGCTCTGGAATTCAGATCCCACTTAGTGATGTCCTAATCAAAGTAGACATATGGAAGTAAATACTAATAAGGCATTCCACAGCCTCTGTGTGAATTGATGGTCTGTTTAGGATTTGTGCCAATGCCTCTGTGACCTAAAGTTAAAATTTTGCTTGTGATTTGTTACCACTTTGAGACACTGGTTTTTGCTTAGGCCTCTCTTAATTGCCCACTTAGATAAGGAAGCCATTAAGGTCACTCCACTGCCATGTATGCAACTGCTGTGTGGCTCGATATGATCAACACTGCCTGTGGACTGGACGGTGCATAGGTGAGAGATTTAATTTTTCAATTACTACTGTGAAGTTAAGCATATGTTTAGTTATGACTCACAGAAAAAGTGGAAGGGCATCCTAGGGCTCCATTTTCAATATTCTAGTATTCCAATAGCAATGGGCCCATGCATCGTTATTATGCTACAGGTAACATAATATTTGCACATGCATCATTCTGTTTGGTAGCCACAGGCCTGTGAAGTAGACAGAAAAAATATTATCTCCATATTACTTGTAAAAACGCTAGATCAGAGAAGTTAAAACACTTAACTTACAGTGACACAACTAGTAATACATAAGCCTAGGTCTCCTGATTCCAATGGGTGTTGTTCCTTCTGCCGGGTTTTGCTGCTCCAGGAGAAGGTCGGACCATGATGTAGTAGCTGAGGAGTATTTGTGTCATTAGCATTGAAATGCTCCCATCTCCAGCATTGAGAAGGCAGCGTGTGCAAGAGAAGACTTAGCTGCCTTGCCCTTCCCGCTTTCTTCCCTTCTGTAGAAGTTTCTCAGATTGTGGGTTGCCACTCTTTGCATGTCCAGTAGCAACATGTAAATTTGTTGCTGCTCCTCAGTTTCGTTTTCTGTGTTCCCCCTGATTAAGTCAA
Source organism: Homo sapiens (assembly GCF_000001405.40). Lineage (NCBI taxonomy): Eukaryota > Metazoa > Chordata > Mammalia > Primates > Hominidae > Homo > Homo sapiens. The sequence goes on from NC_000011.10 coordinate 19,165,755, forward strand.
TCCTTGATATTCAGAGGTGGTGCTTTTACAAACATGTTACATGGAAGGAGGAAAGATACTGGGTATGATTTGTCCAAAATCCCGCCTGGTTCCCTTACTTCTGTCACAGGATAGGACAGCCTAGCTAGAAAAGTGTTTGCTTAGTTAACTTTATTCTATTCCAGAAGTTGCACTTTTACAAACATGTTGCATGGAAGGAAGAAAGAGACAGGGTATGATTTGTCCAAATTCCTGCCTGCTTCTCTTCCTTCCATCACAGAATAGGCCAGCCTAGAGCAGTGTTTGCTTAGTTAACTTTATTCTAGTCCAAAAAAGTATCTTCTTTTAAGTAAGCAATGAATAAATATTAGTTCAGTTAACATGGACAATTGACTGTGACATATCAGAAATGTGTGGTTTGATTTAATGGTACTTAAAAGCAAAGCAACAGCTTTATTTCTGTTTTACTTTGGTGAAGACTTTTGACAGGAAAGTGGTTAAGGAGGTCTTATGTTGAAAATCAGAAGAAACGAAAATATTAAGTATGTTTTTTTTCTTTTTTCTTGAGGTTTTGGCAACCATCACTATTACATATTCTTCTTGTTTTTCCTTTCCATGGTATGTGGCTGGATTATATATGGATCTTTCATCTGTAAGTGTAAATTTTTCTTACAACAAGCACATACATCTACACCCATTTCTACTTTTCCTTGTAAACCCTTGTATATCACATTCTGGCTGGGTGACTATAAACCATACTCCTAATAAAAACAAAGCAAATGCCTCTAAGACTCCCTCAGCATTGGGAAGCTGCAAGAAATACAAGATGAGGTTAGTTCTCAGTACTTTAGGAAAAAAATGTGATAAATTTGAAAAGTAGTCAAAAATAGAAATTCATTTAAGGCAAGTGCAGATTTGCTCCCCAGTGAAGAAGGAAAGTCAGCTGCTGAAGTACAAAGCTGGAGGTGGTAACTGAATAAAACAGGAAAAAAAAAAAAAAAAGGTCAGTGGTAGAGAGGTTGGGGGATAGTTGTCCAGTCATTAAGGAACAAACCTCTGAAAGCCCATGCCATTTGGTAAGTATCAAGTTGAAACTGAGAACTGATGGGAATACTAACAGTTAAAAGGTTGGAAATAGTAACTTGGAAGAAAACATTAGATCACTTATTCTGCGGCCCTGAGGAAGGAAAAAAGCTTTCAGTAGCGGTTTAAAAAAGTATATAGGGGTCTCACATAGGGAATGACAGCCAGCTGTTCTGAGGTGGTTGACTAAGAAGGACAGGGTTTAAATTGAACCAAGAAAGATTTTGGCTATGTCTTAAGAATTGCATTATTATGTTTTTCAGACCTTGGAAATAGGTTACCTAACTGGAAAAACCTATAGTGCTTGTAGTTTATTTATTTGGACTTTAACTGTTTATTATTTATTTATTTTAAGGCTTTTGGAGAATTGGGCTCTAAACACAGAGGCTTCACTTCCATCCACCCTCTTGTTACATTCTTGGTCAAATCTTAGACTTTACCAGTAGGGTACTAGTTTGTTGCTTGAGCTGAAGTCTGGAGTAATTCCGAAAGACATTAAGAATGTTATTTTCCCCTTAGCATCATAAGCCCAATACACATACACATTTTTCCTCTCTTTCTCTCTTCTGTGTCTCTCTGTCTCTTTAGTTTAAAATTTTTGTTAGTTTTCGAAAGGCAATTCTTTGTACACTTGCCCCCCAGGCTCCCAGTTTCCCTCCCTAGAAATATCAAGTATTACAAATTTTGTTTTGTTTGGGGTTTCATTTTTAGAGATTATTAACTAGTATCTATGTGTAATGAGTTATTTTTTGCCCTGCCATAGGCATGGAGGGCTTCAGTTACCTTGTCAGACCCTTTCCTACCTGACGCCTTGGGTGTCTTTGATCACTAGGCAATGCTTTTGTAGCTAAATGTGACTGTCACCATTTTAAATAGGTCTAATAGTCAGAAGGTTGTAATCTCTGAGCTCAGTTCTTGTCAAAAAGGCCACCAGTAACCCTGAGCATTCTATTTTTATTTTAATTAATTTTAATTTTATTTGTTTGTTTTTTGCTTATTTATTAATGTATTTTTTGAGACAGGGTCTCACTCTGTCGCCCAGACTGGAATGCAGCGGCACCATCATGGCTCACTGCAGCCGTAGCTTTTTGTGCTCAAGTGATCCTCCTGCCTTGGCCTCCCAAATAGCTGAGACTACAGGTGCCTGTCACCGTGCCCAGTTAATTTTTAAATTTTTTGTAGAGATGGCATCTTCACCATGTTGCCCAGGCTGGTTTCAAGCTCCAGGCCTCAAGTGATTCTCCTGCCTCAGCTTCCCAAAGTGAAGTACTGCACCTGGCCAGCATTCGATTTTTAAAACTTCTTAGATTATGTCTTATGGTGTAAAAAGTAAAAGAGTTTTTGACAGCGCTTGGTTCTATTGAGAAAGCTGCCTTTCAAGGCCTGACAGTAAAGCATATTCCTGGAAAACCTTTGTAAGTTGGCACATAGACCAACTTGTCTCTTGGACTGGATCCTATGGGAGAGGAGCCAGAGTTTACACCACTCCTGCCTCTCTTCTCTTCTCTCTCTTCACTAAAAATAGTCACCTTTGTTTGGCATCTATGACCAGCATAAGACTGTATTGATAAGGACAGAAGTGATTTTCCATCACATTCAGTCTTTCCAAGTTAGTTTTTTTATTACACATGTTGATTCTTCCCTTCTCTTTGTCTTTTTTCTCTGGCTCTGAACCAATTTTCATATTACATTTTGTTTCATAAGAACAGTCCCACCTTATATTCACTTACAACTGTATAAACTAGCTGAGTGTATTTTGTTACCTTTATTCCATTTATATTCCAGCAATATTTCTTTACACTGAATGAGGGCCTTGTGTCATTTATTATTATTTCACAGACAAAACATGAACTTGTGCTCCATTTCTCTAATGAGGCCTCACTGTCATCCCACCTCCCTTGTTTACCATTAATGCTGTATTACTAGAGCCCTGCTCTATACTCTCCTTCTCATGTGATCCAATAGCTGCTACTTCTGTACAGCCTCCATCCATTTCATCTTTTGTAAGGTCTGTTTACAAGGTGGATAGTAAGTGACTCCAAAAGTGTCAGCATCCTACAAGTTACAGAAAGAAAGATTGTAGATTACCATCAGGAAGAACTCTGTAACTGTCAGAGCCATCTAAAGATGAAAACGTTTGACCTGGAATGATGTGAGTTCCCTACCATTAGCCACTGGCCAGCTGATAAGAATGTATTAGCACAAATTAAAGTGTTACATTGCATAAGATAATGTACGTGACAACTTGCTGTTGTATCTTTGATATTAAATCTGAAAACCAGTATTCTGAAAACTTCAGTGTGAGATCATGCTGTATTATCAAAAGAATTCCCAGAAGGGAGCAGTAGAAATCCATAAACTGAAAGAAAATAGATATTCTTTCCCAATCAACAGCTGTTTTCTCCACCTACTGTTGGAAATTATATTCTTTTTTGTGATATCAGGTGCATGGGATGCATCTTTCTTTGCCATCCTAATGAGATGCTCTAGAGAGAGTGTAATTTGCCTTAACTTGAACCTTGATTGCTACTCTGTGATGATTGCTCTTAGAATGCTTCTGGCATATATTCATGAAAGATGGTTGGGAATCAGAGACTTAAAGAGAAAAGAAAAGTAGATTTTTAGGATTTAAATGGACAGTTGACAGGAAAGTCATAGACTCATTTTCTTCCTGTCCCTGGAGTTCTTCAGAGCAGCATTGGGAAAATGTCCAAAACTGTTTATCAAATTGTCAGAGGCATTTATGAAACCTCAAGGTGCAAATCGACAGAATTATCTTTTAAAAATAATTCACCCTTTATGCATGGGCAGGGTGCCTGTAAAAGTCATTGGATTTACATAACCTTGAAGATCCGTTCCCTTGTTTCTGCTGCTTCCTGTGTGTATTTCTCCTTACTGCTGCTCCTAGCTACATGGGTTAGGAGGTTGATATGAAAGGCCATAGTAAAGTTCTTTAATTGGCACACCTGGGGAGAAACTGAGCTGTGACCATCTGAATCTTGCTCTATATTCTTTTCCCAGGTGTATCTGTCTTGTGAGTCCCTTCATCTGGCCTTTCTTCCTCTGCAGATTTAGTTATGGTGTCAGTGCAGAAGTATACCCATGCCCAGCTCCCTGCATGCTATTAGATTGTATTCTGATGATATCTAGGTGCTTGTGGGATATCTTGTGCCCACAGCAATGGCCTGTTCATCTGAATGCTTAATAAGAGTTTATATTCAGTCCTGTAATAGACCCATAGTTGCTATAAACATGAATAAGGTAGGGAGTGTTCTAAACAAATAATTAACTTCAGGCTAGTATATCTTATGCTGAATGCTGATTTTAGTAAAGATTTTACGGACCCTTTTTCTTTATTCCTTCACTGTTAACTACTTATACAGTGTTATCATAGCCTCAATTAACATTGAGCCACCATTTTGTCATCTTTAGTTTTTGAACTGTCATGTGGAAAATGAAATCCTAAAATTGAATCATGATCTGTGCCATACTTTCTCTTCTCCCTATATAGAACTGCAGTGATTTTATCTTCTTGGAGACTGATAAGTAGTTTATTGCCTTTTTTTTTTTTTTTTTTTTTTGGTGAATTCACAGATTTGTCCAGTCATTGTGCCACAACATTCAAAGAAGATGGATTATGGACTTACCTCAATCAGATTGTGGCCTGTTCCCCTTGGGTTTTATATATCTTGATGCTAGCAACTTTCCATTTCTCATGGTCAACATTTTTATTATTAAATCAACTCTTTCAGGTATTTATTTCTCTTCTTATAATGGCTTTGAGTAAAATTTCTAAAACTTGTAGTGAGACAGCCTTGAATTTAAAATCAGAAGATGCACATTCTGTTTTTACCTCTGTCACTGACTCTGTGGGTCTAGCCATGTCATTTAACCACACTTGAATTTCAGGTATTTTGTCTGTAAAATGAGGATAATAACGCCTGTCTACTACATTAAACCACAAGATGGTTTAAAGGTTAGCATAATAAATTATTAGAGTATGACCTAGGAGTTACCTAATCTGACCTCTTTATTTTACAGATAGAAGTACAGAAAGGTAAATTGAATTGCTCAAGGTCACCCAGTGTGTGGCAAAATCAGAACTGGAAACTTAGGTCTTCTGCCAGTCCCATTCAAGGGCTTTTTCCATTGTACAGTTAAATTATATGTTGTGTGTAAGCATAGTATAAACTGTAAACCATCATGCAAATGTCAGATGATTGTTTTCCCTCAGTTTTTCCAGCGCTGTTTGTTACCCTTATTACTATGCAGTGTTTAAATGGATGAGAGTGGTAAGAAATGAAAAATACATCACTAACCAGTGGTCATAGTAATTACATTTTCAGAGAAGGCCATGGCCATTAGAAAGTTCAAGCTCCAGGGCAGTAGTCACCTTCAGCTTTCTCCAAAGCTTTAGTCCCTTCCCTGCTGGCTTCCATCCCCTATGAGCCTAACCTAATTCTCATTATTGCTGTGTCCTGCCCATGTGGAATGGGCAGCAGGTGGTCATCAGTCTGAATCAATTACTGTAAGACCTCAGATAATTAGAGCATTACTCAACCAAAGCAAAGTATATTCCACTTTTATGGGAAAGTAATCAATCTCAAAATAATAATAATGATAATAATAACAAGAAGAGAAGGAGGAAGGGAGGGAAAAAGAAAGAAAGAGAAAAAAGAAAATGTTTAGGGATGAAACTGAGTTAATAATATTGACTAAACTGAGGTTTCCGAACATTCCTCTCACTCTCCTATCACTCTGACTTCAATAGACTCCAGCAGCAAGAATAGATACTAGCATCTGTGATTATTAGTATTATCATTTATAATACCTAGTATTTATAATGCTTTGAGACATTGTTTCTAATTATCTTTCTTTTTTTCTGGAATCTTAGAATAAGTACAAGTATATGAGATGATAATATCCTTAATTTTTTAGAAAAAGGTCAATAAGGCAAAAAATGGACTCAAAGTTTCAGATAATTTTCAAAAGGAAGAATTCAGAACAAAGCTGTTTTCTTAATGAACAAAACAATCCAGTTCTTCGGAAACGTTCATTTCCTGAGCGCTCTGGGTAGTCGTGGCTTTGACTGTAGCAAGTCAAGATGAGTGTCTAGGTTGTTGGTTAGGAGCATGGCTTTATTCTCACACTGACCAAGGAGTCAGTCCCAGCTCTCCCACTCTAAGCTGTGTGGCTTTGAATCAGTTACTTCATCTCTCTAATCCTCTGCATTAGGTATTTGATTTTATTTACTTATTTATTTATTTATTTTTTGAGACAGAGTTTCGCTCTTTCACCCATGCTGGAGTGCAGTGGCGGGATCTCGGCTCACTGCAACCTCCGCCTTCCCGTGTCAAGTGATTCTCCTGCCTCAGCCTCCCAAGTAGCTGGGATTACAGGTGCCCACCACTACGCCCAGCTAATTTTTGTATTTTTAGTGGAGACGGGGTTTCACCACGTTGGCCAGGCTGCTCTCGAACTCCTGACCTCGTGATCCACCCGCCTCGGCCTGCCAAAGTGCTGGGATTACAGGCGTGAGCCACCGTGCCCTGCCGCAGTTAGGTATTTTAAATAGACTATCTCAAATCCTTAAAATAATATGATGAGAGTGGTATGATGAGCTGCTTTACAGATAAGGAATTTGAGGTTTAAATGAGATAACTCTGTGAGTAGTTATGGTTTTTAATGATTTAAGAATTTTTAAGTTACCTTAATTCTCAGTCTTCCCCATGTTTTTGGAATTAAATGTTCTTTACTTCTGATTAACTTTTTCTTTGTCCCTTTTCAAGGAGATACTAAGGAGAACACACAAATTGAGATAATTGCACTGATACTGATCTTATATTGTTTTATTTATCTAAAAGTTGCACACTGAATGTGTGCAACCTTCCACCCTTCTTTTTCAGATTGCCTTTCTGGGCCTGACCTCCCATGAGAGAATCAGCCTGCAGAAGCAGAGCAAGCATATGAAACAGACGTTGTCCCTCAGGAAGACACCATACAAGTAAGCGAGACCTGTTTTGGATGCTGAGTCCTGTGGAAGATCCCTAGTCACTGGTTTCCTAAGCTGGTGCCACTACCCATGGCCATGCTGCTGTTCTGTAATTTGCCATCTAGTACAGTTGACCCCCCTTTTCTTAGAGAAGCTTTAGTGATGGGGTGAGTGGTAAAGTCGTGAGCCCCACGGTGGTAAGAATTCGAGAGTTAGTTTACTGGACACAGCACAAATAGTAAGTGACTTTGAAGTTTTGCCAAGGTGGGGAATCTCTCCAGTCAAGCCACATGGTCACAAGGTTGTTTGTTGCTGGCGTGGAGTTGATGTGAGATAATTAAGTGTATGGCTGAGAGAGCCAGCCACAGGGTGCTCTGTAGAGAGCGTTCACTTGTGTGCTTTGCCAGGATTTTCAGCCTGGCTTTCTATCACCACTAATTCTTCTAGCCCTATGTTGAATGTGCCCTCTTGTACCAGGGAGAAGCCAATTTTTCAGATTTGGATTTGTTCCCCCTGGAGCATTTGGTTGTATAAAACACGTTTTCAGTTGAAAATGAGAGTATGTATAGAAAGACCTTCGTCTTACGATATGAAAGATTGGGCTTTGAAGCTTATCTCCCTGCCACTTATGGCAGGGTCTTGGAAACTGGGAGTGCTGCAGAGGTGACCCAGAGCCCTCTGGGGATTTGAATGCTCGCTGCATATCTCATGAGCAGTCTATTTTAAAGCATGCTGTTGGTACAAGATGAAACTGTTAGGCTGTTAGACAAGGGGATCAGAGACTGGGATATAACTACAATGTGTATTTAGGAGAGGAGAGAAATTGACTTAACTGGGAAGAGGTGGCTAAAGCAATGGCGAGTGGAAAGGAGCGTAAACTTGTGATGATTGTTTCACATTGACAGTGATAATAAAATCCCTTTCTTTGTAGCTAAACCAGAGGAATAAATGTTTACTCCACTAAACTATGGAAGCCTGTGATAGAGTTGGAATTTGAAGCTGAGCCTTGAGAGATGTGGGGCAGGGCACAATGGAGTTGGGAGGGAGGAAGGGCATTCCAAGCCCTAGAGAAGAGTCTGAATAGAGGGACACATGAGAGCACTAGAGCACGTTTGCTGAATGATGGCAGCATCAACTAGAGGAACTCAAGGGAAAACCTGAGTCCCGCCCAAACCAAAGATTTTACTTGTTTTCCTCCCCTAAGTTACTTTTACTCAGTACAGTAGTCACCCTTTCTCCATGAGGGATATGTTCTAAGAACCCCAATGGATGCCTGAAACTGCAGATAGTACTGAACTCGGTATATACCATGTTATTTCAGTCTGATAACCCAACAGGCAGGTAGTGTAGACAGAGTGGAAACACCAGACAAAGGGATGATTTATGTCTCAGGCAGACAGAGCTGGATGGCGTGAGATTTCATCATGCTCCGCAGAACGGCATGCAAGTTAAAGCTTACTAATTGTTTATTTCTGGAATTTTTCATTTTAATATTTTTGGGCTGCTGTTGACCACAGGTAACTGAAACTGAAACCAAGGGGAAGGGGACACTACTCTAACTAGCTTTTGAACCAGGCCCTATACATTTCTAGCATGCATCCCCACTGCCAACCCATCAACTCCACATAGCCTTCTTCCCAGGAAGTTGCCCTCTGAGTAGTGTTGGTCCTTTACTGGCAGCAATGCCATCATCCCCATGCAGAACACAATCTTCTAAACAGCAACGCAGTCATCCTCATGGACAGGTGTGTTTTGTTGTGTGTAAGGGATTGGGTTAGGCACTTAAAAGATAGAGCATATGCGTAAAAATGAGCATTTCTCATAACTGGAATAGATAGTGGTACTTCCGAAATTTAATGGAGAAAAAATGATGCCTAAGACAGTGCAGTCAGGAAAGCTCCAGTGGAAATGTGGGTATTGGCCTGGGCCTTGAGAACTGGTAGGACTTGAAAGGATAAGGGGGTTCCTGAGCTAAGTGTAGAGCAGTGTGCGTTCCAGGCCCACGCATCTATGATCATGGGAAAAATAGAGCCAGAGTAGCTGGAGCAGGAGATTTATAAAGATGCACAGAGGAGCTAGAACTAGAGGGATACCTTATATAGAGCCTTGAATACAAAGAGGAGGAATGTTTATTTGAGCCTCTAGGCAGAGGAGTATCTTTAAAGGGTTTTGATTGGGAGGTGAGGGGCTATGACTATATCAGGGTTTTTGGAGGACAACAGTCTGCAATATGCAAGATGAATTAAAAGGAATTGAGACAGAGAATTCATTTAGAGAGTTACTTATAAGGTTTAGGGAGGCCGGGTGCGGTGGCTCATGCCTGTAATCCCAGCACTTTGGGAGGCTGAGGTGGGCGGATCACGAGGTCAGGAGATTGAGACCATCCTGGCTAACACGGTGAAACCCCGTCTCTACTAAAAAAATACAAAAAATTAGCCGGGTGTGGTGGTGGGCGCCTATAGTCCCAGCTACTCAGGAGGCTGAGGCAGGAGAATGGCGTGAACCTGGGAGGTAGAGCTTGCAGTGAGCCGAGATCACGCCACTGCACTCCAGCCTGGGTGACAGAGCGAGACTCCGTCTCAAAAAAAAAAAAAAAAAAAAAAAAAAAAGGTTTAGGGAAAATCCCATCTTGTTGATTACAGTTGTTCTGGCCTATGTGGCCTTTGAGGTAATCAAGGTCTGAATTAGGGAAGTAGGAATAGAAAGAAAGAAACTTATTGATGTCAGTGGCCAGTCCATTAAGTGGGGAATCCAAAATGAAGTGATGATGAAAAACCCAATTAAGTGGCTGAGCGAGCAGAAGCCAGGAAATCTCCAAATATAGATTCAGGTCCAGAAATAGGCTTCAGTTTTAAGGTACCAGAAGCCCAGGAACTATCTGATCTACCCCATCTACCCCTGGATTTCTGCAAGATGTTCAAAGGACATTGCATATTATAGATTCTCCATAAATGTTTGTCAAGCTACACAGGAAATATAGTAAGACATGTTCTCTTTTTTTTTTTCTTGGCAGTCTTGGATTCATGCAGAACCTGGCAGATTTCTTTCAGTGTGGCTGCTTTGGCTTGGTGAAGCCCTGTGTGGTAGATTGGACATCACAGTACACCATGGTCTTTCACCCAGCCAGGGAGAAGGTTCTTCGCTCAGTATGAAGAAAAGCAACCCAAAACTCTCAATCTGATTTGTTTTTGTTTATGTCGATGCCCTGTAGTTTGAAAGTGAAGTAAAGATTTAGAATTCACCTAAGTCCAAAGGAAAACACGTGGTTTTTAAAGCCATTAGGTAAAAAAAGTTCTCAATAAAGGCATTACAATTTTTTAGGTTTAGAAAGATGGACTTTTCTGATAAATCTTGGCAGACATCTAAAAAAAAAACCATATTTTTCACAAGAAAATGCAAGTTACTTTTTTTGGAAATAATACTCACTGATTATGGATAAAATGGAATATTTTCAGATACTATATTGGCTGTTTCAAAATAGTACTATTCTTTAAACTTGTAATTTTTGCTAAGTTATTTGTCTTTGTTGTATCTATAAATATGTAAAAAATATTTAAATAGATGTACCTGTTTTGCTTTCACACTTAATAAAAAATTTTTTTTTGTAGTTGAGACTTGGTTTCTGACACTTAACACTTCTAGAGTCTTAAATTAAGATGTACATAGGACACAAATTAGTTCACAATTCCAGGAATGAGTTGAGATTATGATTAATACCAGTAAGCAAGATTTAATTTGGTTTTTCATCTTACTTAGAAAATAGAACATAGAAAGTCTTAAATATTAATTACAACTTTACTTAGTACCCTCAAAATATTAGACTGATATGACTGTAATTACTAATTTCCCTTGTTCTACAGGAAATGCTAATTCAACTTTAGTATAGTATTTATACACCCCTGGGCATGGCACCTTCCTGCTGAATAACCTCCCTTGGGTTCCTGTTGCTCTTGGGGTAAAAGCAAAAATTCTCATTGTGACCTACAAAGCCTTGAAGCATATAATCCTGTTTTGTTTAGCAGTGTCAGTGGAGCATGTTGTACTCTAATCATGTGGCCTTTCATTGCAAGGATCCGTTCTCTCTTCTACCAGAGATAAGAGATGCAGATAAGGAAACTAAAGCCAAAGAAGTTTTTATCTTCTCCAGGGTCACAGAGATACCAAATGGGGCTGCCACTGTACAGTCACAGTCACCTAGAATATCACGTGACACATAGTATTTGTTCAAAAAATATTAGAATTTGTTGAACCAATTTCAGGGTTTTAAGCAAGAGATGATGCTATCAGAATTGTGTTTGAAGACTGTGCTTCTCAATTGGAGTACAGAAGAGCTTTTTCAAGGTATATTCTCTTTCTCCCTTCTTCTCTCACCAACTCCTACCAAGTTAGTATTGTGGTCCAAATGGTCCAGAGACATTAGATCAGAGTCACAGGGCCAGGGTGGGTGTCTAGGGCTCACAGTTTAAAATTCAGTTTCTCCATCTCAGACCTTTCAAATCAGTCTCTAGGGAGAGAGTGCTGGAATCCTAATGATTCTTACATATGCATACTACTGTTTGAGAATCATTTACTTAAGGAACCTTACCTTCTCCATTCTATACATTGTGAAAAGTTTAAGCTTGAGAATCACTGCTTAATAGGTATGCAGTTGTAGTGGTAAAGAGACCAGATTCTAGGGACCCTGGGTTTGAATCTATGACCTATTAATTACCACATAAGTTACTTTTAATCCCTTTGGGCAAATGACATAAATCTCTAGAAACTCAGTTTCCTCATTTGGATTATGTAGATAATAATAGTAAACAATTTGAAATGTCATTATGAGAATTAAATGTGTTAATGTTTAAAAGTGCTTAGAATTGTACTTGGCATATAGTAAATGTTCAATAAATGCTGGCTATTAATTGAGAAGTCTAACAGAAAACTGATTACCAGAAAGATAAGCTAGAGGTAGAGAAATGCACCAAATCCAGTCTTCCGTGCTCTGTGTTGTATGTTCTAGGGCTAGAATTCTGCAAGCTACAGTCTCCCTGCCAGATGACTTCCTGTTAAAGTCGGTAGTAGACTGCAAGGAGGAGCAGAAAAGGGACTTATTCCATTCTTCTTGCCCGCTCTTCCTCTCAGTGTTGCTCCAACGATGGCCCTTTGCCCTGCAATGACATTTTGGAACCAATGTCTAACTTTTCTTCTTCCCAAAACCTACTTCATTGTGCCCCATTAGAAGTACTAGCAATAACCAGGCAGGGCTCTCTCCTTTGACATCTGACTTCTGCCCCGGGATACTTCTTCTCTGGGCATCTGAATTATGATAACCCATCTCTTCTCTTAGTTTCCCTATTCCCAGGAGTGATAGCTGCCTCTAGCAATTACTATCTCTATGTTAAATCAGTGTGTTCCCTTGTTACTTTTTCAAAAATAATAGCACCTGTTTAGCTAATTCCCTTTACTATATTCTCTTTATTAAAATAACTAGTGTGGTTTCTGTTTTTCTGGTGAAACTTGACAGATACAGAATATTAGAAATAAGCTGTTAATGATGGTCTAGGCAAGAGGTAATGAAGGCCTGAAGCAAGATGATGACAGTGGCACAGAGGAGACCCAGCAGGCCCAGATCACAGAGTGGATGCGGGGAGAAAAAGAGGAGTCAAAGATGGCTTTGAAATGTTGAACCCAATGAATGAGAGGTTGAAGATGCTACTCTGAGAAATAAGGAACACAGTGTGGGGAGACTAGGTGATGAGTTTGGTGGCTGGGATCTACTGAGTTTGAGATACTTGCAGGCTATCCAGTGGGAAAGTCTAGAAGGCAACTGGAAAGAGGCCAGGGCATGGATGGGAATCATCTGCATAGATGGATAAGATTGTCACAGGGGAGAGGTAGGAAATAGATGAAAATGGAGAGTCACCTTCCTCAAATGGAAAGATGAATGCTAAAAAGATACCAAAGATGACATCTAATGCGAACAAACAGACTAAAAAGTGTGAGAGGAAGGAGAAGGGCAGGAGCAAAAGCTTATGGAATATGGATTTAGGGAGCTGGAGAAGGAAGAAGTAACTAAAAGGAGATCGAGTAGGAGGACAAGAAAGTAGTGTCAGCCAGACACAGTGCCACTCCTGTAATCCTAGCACTTTGGGAGGCCGAGGTGGGCAGATCACCTGAGGTCGGGAGTTTGAGACCAGCCTGACCAACATGGAGAAACCCCATCTCTACTAAAAATACAAAATGAGCTGGGTGTGGTGGCACATTCCCGTAATCCCTGCTACTCGGGAGGCTGAGGCAGGAGAATCGCTTGAACCTGGGAGGTGGAGGTTGCGGTGAGCTGAGATTGTGTCACTGCACTCCAGCCTGGGCAACAAGAGGGAAACTCCACCTCAAAATAATAATAATAATAATAATAATAGTGTCATAGAATCAAGAGAGGATTCATTTCAGAGAGGAAGCAGTCAGTTGGCAGGAACTAAGGAGCAGCTTGAGCAGAAGTTGAGAATAGCTGATGAAAGACAAAAGAGTTTGTGATTAAGAGGTTATTAGTAGGGCCGGGCGCGGTGGGGATTGGCAAATCACTTTAGGCCAGGAGTTCGAGACCAGGCTGGCCAACATGGTGGAAACCCCATCTCTACTAAAAATACAAAAATTAGCCAGGCATGGTGGTACACACCTGTAATCCCAGCTACTCAGGAAGCTGAGGCAAGAGAATCGCTTGAACCCAGGAGGCAGAGGTTGCAGTGAGCTGAGATAGTGCCATTGCACTCTAGCCTGTGCAACAGAGAGAGACTCCATCTCAAAAAAAAAAAAAAAAAGAGGTTATTAGTGGCCTCAGTTATTAGTGGTGGTTGAGGATGGAGAGTAGAGGCAAGGAAGACTAAAGAGTCTAAAAGACTAAGGACTAAGTGGAATCTAGTCTTACAGCTTGGCTCTGAAAGGAGAGAGGAGACGGCAGTAGCTTGTGGCATAATAGCAAGGTTTAGTCTTTGTTTTATTTTAAATCCAAGACAAACCCAATCATGTTTTTCAGGGCCAGGGGAATGTGACTGTTATGCTATTTTGCCATAACTTTATTCCTTTCTTCAAATATGTATATAGCCACATTGGAGACAACAAATTTGAATCTCTTTCACAAATATCAGGCAAAATCTTGATCATGCCCCCTGTGACTTAGGATGGACGCTGGCACCATGAGTGGAATCACTTGGATGTAGCACAGTCTATATTTCAGGTGTGTAGTAGTCATGGGAGCTCATGCAATAATAAATATCCTCCCAATCTCAGTGGCTTCACACAATGTTTCTTTCTCATGTCATGGTCTGTTTAGCTGTTAGCAGGTGTTCTTCCATGCAGTGACTCAAGCTGCTTCCCATCTAGTGGCTCCACCATTCCTAGGGCCTCAGTATCCACTGGACTTCTGCATCCAGACATATGGAAAGAATGGAGACTCTCCTGAAAGGTCATGGAGGCCAGGACTTCATTGGGCAAACTCACTCATGTGTCTCAGTGAACAGCAAGGGAGCCTGGGAAATGTAGTGGAACAGCATACCCAAGAAGTGGAAGGGAAATACAACTATTGCTGAACCACAATAAGCTTCTTCCTTTGTTTTGTTTTTTTCTAAACTCATTCAGTCCACTATGTAATAAACTTTTAGATTCTAGCAGAATTTGCATTTAGCCTGGCCTATACTCTCCCCTATTTCATTCACTCAACAAATGTTTATTAGGTGTCTTCTATGTGTCAAGCACTGTGAATGGCTTGACATGTCACATTCTTACAAGGAGGCAAATAGGAATTCAAAATTTCAATACGATGACATAAGTACTATGCTAATTACATACCGGCTATGGGAGTACAGAGGTAGATTAATTCTGCCCAGGTAGTTCAGGAACAATTTCCAGAGGAGATGGCATTTGACCTGTGACTTGCTTAATAGGAGTTCACCAGGCTAAGAAGTTGGATTAGTGGGTAGAGATGGGGGGAGGTTCCCATCTTCCAGGAATTCTAGGCAGAAGGAACAGCATTAGCAAAGACATGATGGGGTGAGGGTTCTGGGCATGTTTGGAAAGCTCCGAGTCTTTGAGTGTAGCTGGAACTTGTCTGGAAGAGATTGTCTAAAGCTAAGTTGAAGGGGTAAGGCCAAGGCCAATTTGTGAAAGTCTTTATGTGATACACTGTTATGGGCTGAACTGTGTCTCTGCAAAATTTATTTGTTGAAGTCCTAACCCCCAGTACCTCAGAATGTGATGGCTGCATGTGTAGATAAGGGCCTTGAAAAAGGTAATTAAGTTACAGTGAGGTCATTCAGGTGGTCCCTAATCCAATATGACTGGTGTCCTTCCAAGAAGTGGAGATTAGACCACAGACACCCACAGAGCAAAAACCATGTGAAGACAAAGGGAGAAGACACCCATCTCCAAGCCAATGAGAGTGGTGTCAGAAGAAACTAACACTGCTGACACCTTGATCTCAGACTTCAGCCTCCAGAAATGTGAGACGATACGTTTCTATTAAGTCACTCAGCCTGTGGTACTTTCTTATGGCAACCCTAACAGACTATTACACATCCTAAAAAGAGGGATGGAGGGGATGTATTCTAGAGACATTTGGAGTCAGAATCCAGGAGACTTGAGAAGTGAGGCAAGGTCAGGTGAGGAAGAGAGCAAAGCTAAGGATGGCTAAAGTTTTTAGCTTCAGATTTCCTGGGTAGCTGGACGGTGGGGCGAGTCACTGTGAAATGCAGCAGAGGAGGAGGAGGTTGCATTGTCCTGTGGTCATTTCTCAAATATGTGTTACCCCTCAGCAAACCTGGAAATCCCATGCATAGTGCCAAGATCGTGTACTGCTTTTAAAGCTCATGTAGGGCCTTGTCCAAGACACTACATAAACAGCACTGAATAGATGCTCATTTCAAAGAAAGCCTTTCCCAGGGGACTTGGAGGGTGGAGAAACCCATGGTTTAGCCAAGTATTTTATAGTTCTTATCACTAGATTTTCACTTGTTTCATGTATTCCAGATAATTCAGAATTGCACAGTGCTGGGGGAAGTGCTGTGGTTGTTAAAAGCAGAAGCCCAAGAAGTGCTTGAGCTGCTGAAACTTGCTGAAGAGGCAGAGAAAGACATTTCTAATTGGCTGCATTTCATTTGCAAGGCTGGCAAATTTGACGTAGAAGTCTTAAGAAAATTGCTAAACCCCAGGGAATTGTCCTAGAATAAAAGAAAATCATCCTCATGTCATTTATAATACAGAGGCAAATGCCACGCTTTATTGTCATTTCTGAGTTTTCACGAGATGTGTAACATTACAAAGCCCCACGATAGGACAAAGGGATCAACTCTTCAGCAATTTTATTAGTTTTGATTTTCCTTTTAGATTTTGCTATCATGTTCTCTATTTTCTCCCAGACCCCCTGTTTTCTTCTCCATTAGCAGTAACTAGAAAGACACTTGGCTGACAGATTCTGAAAGACTGCTTTCCTTTGCGCATTGTTTCTTCCTTCTCACTCCTTTCTCAGTTGACATCCAAATTTATTATATGCTCTGCAACTCGTTTTTTGAACTAGCTTTATGTTTTTGAAAATTTCTATCTCAAAGAAAAGATCTAGAGCCATACAAGATAGCACTAAAACATTTATTTATTGCCTCTCCCATTCCAAGCATTATAAATAATAAAGCATTTGTTATAGATTAAACTTTACATAATTTTCTTCCAAAGGCCTCTTCTAACATTCAGTAAAGACCTGATCACTTCTGAGGAGAAACACATAATGTACGACTACAAAGGAGAGGCTATTTGGGGAAAGGTATCGATCTGTGCAGGATTACTTGGCAAGTGTTTTAGGCTCGCAAAAAATCTGAGAAACGGCGCACCTCTTCATTCTTTCTTTTCCACTTGTTGTGTAAGGCCTCCAAACCCAATACCCGTGGGGCCAAAATTTTTGGCATAGCAAACTGTGAATGAGAAGAGGATGAAGGGAGAGACAATGCATTGGTTAGTGCCATTTTTTTCAGGGCTTTCTGTCTGAGCACAGTCCTTTTAATTATTAGAGACATCCTTTTGATAGATTTATGCATAAGTTCGCCAGGCACGGTGGCTCATGCCTGTAATCCCAGCACTTTGGGAGGCTGAGGCAGGCAGATCACCTGAGGTCGGGAGTTTGAGACCAGCCTGGCCAACATAGAGAAACCCTGTCTCTACTAAAAATACAAGAAATTAGCTGGGCATGGTGGCATGTACTTCTGATCCCAGCTACTGGGGAGGCTGAGGCAGGAGAATTGCTTGAGCCCGGGAGGCTGAAGTTGCAGTGAGCCAAGATCACACCACTGCACTCCAGCTTGGATGACAGAGCAAGACTCCGTCTCAAGAATAAAAATAATAAAAAGGTTTATGCATGAGCTAACTTTTTAAAATAAATTTAACAATACTTATCTTAGATCTGTTAATAAAAATTGTTTACACTTCTTGCCACTTTACTAAATGTGTTTGCAGATATTTTCTCATTTGAGGATTGCCTGCCCAACCTCGTCCCCTGTTGCCTCCCGCCTCTGCCTCCCTTCCTACATTCCAGGCACACAGAACCACTTGCAGTACCTGGAATGAACCATGATGTCCCAGCTTAAGTGTCTTTGTAATCAATGATCCCTCTTCCTGGAATGCCCCCTCCCAAACCCACATTCACCCATCAAGCCTCAGAGGAAGCCTGTCTTGTGAGAAGCTTTCCCCATTACCCCAAGCTGGTTCCTCTCCTCTTTTTAGGTGACTGCATTGTGAATGTTTCTCTACTATAGACTTTTTTTTTCACTTTGCAATGCAATTATTCATTTACATGTTAATTTCCCTACTGACTTCGGCAATATTTTAGGGCATTATGAGCTATGAAGGCTGAGGACCCCGTAGGTCTTCTACTGCCAGGAGACGGCAATCATCTGTCAGATAGTGAGCTAGTTCCCATCCTGTGTCATCACAGGAAAAGCTTTGGCAGCTGATATGGTTTGGCTGTATCCCCACCTAAATCTCATCTTGATTAGCTCACATAATCCCCACATGTTGTGGGAGGGACCCAGCGGGAGATAATTGAATCACTGGGCGTGCTGTTCTCGTGATAGTAAGCCTCACGAGATCTGATGGTTTTATAAAGGGCAGTTCTCCTGCACTTGCTCTCTTGCTTGCTGCTATGTAAGGTGTGACTTTGCTCCTCCTTTGACTTCTGCCATGATTGCGAGGCCTCCCCAGCCATGTGGAACTGTGAGTCCATTAAACCTCTTTTTCTTTATAAATTACCCAGTCTTGAGTATGTCTTTATTAGCAGCATGAGAACAGACTAATACAGCAAAGTACAGTTATGACTTATAAAGTCTTCTCTCTTAACTCCCTTTCCATTGCTCCTCTCACTTCATTCCAACATACTCCTTTGGAGATTCTTGAGACACCATCATTAAGTGATGAAACTCCACTGAGCAACAGAATAGGCCTAGGCTCAGGGGTGGAGGACGCATTGCCTTGGCCCTAGTGCATTCCTTCCTTTGATAGTGTCAAGAAGGAGCTAAGCCTCTACTATTTCTCCACAAGACCAAGGGATTATGGAGGCAGCGAGGGTCAGAGCTGCAAGGACCAGGAGGAAAACCAGATCTGTCCCTATGATCACTAAGTAACGTGCAACATCGACAACAGAACTGTTAGTGCGGGGTAGGCAGGAGGGAGATAGACATGTCATGATAAACTCCAGTGAGGCCAAACTGAGTTCACCCTCCTCCAGTCACCCCCTCTGCCACTCAGGTGAACAGATGGTGTTTCGATTTTTGGAAGGGGGTGTGGTGTTAGTTGTCCTGGCCTGAGGCCTCTTCCAAGACCAGAGGCAGGGCACTGTTTCCTCCTCTTCCCTTCCTCTCTCCCCCAGGTGCCTAACTTCCCGAACCACTGAGCATCTGAAAGCATCTGGTCTCTGCCAGGTGCTCCAGTGGAGAGGACCAGAGCTGGGTCAGGTGGGAGATTCCCTCCCCTTAGGTGGTTTTGCTCCTGAGAACCCAACGCTGCCCAGGCTGAGCAGCCATACCTCCTGGAAGACACGGGAAGACCTCCAGGCATGAACGTAATTTCCTCTCCCAAGGGCCCTTTTAGGGAAAACATATTTCAAGAAAGTCTCCAGAATCACTCACCTTTGCAATAAAGTTCCCCATCTTTGTCAGTGACATTTGTGGACTCCAGACTCTTCCCACAGATGGCACAGCGGAAACAGGTCTTGTGCCAAGGCTGAGGGGCACAGAAAAGTTGCATATTTAATGAGGTAGGCAACACATTCTGTTTCCATTTCAAGTCCCTGACCAGCAGCATCCAGAGGAGTGACACGTCTTAACCATTTGCTTACCTAATGGGCCCCATAATTTCTCCAGGGGTTTGGAGAAAATGAGATGCTATGGCCTTAGCCAGCACTTCTCAGAAGCCTGAAAATGGATTTGTCATGGTGATTTGCATATGTTTTCCTTCAGAATAGACTAAACGGGAAAGGGCTTCCCCAGGCCAAAAAGATCCAAGGAACAAACTGGTCAGAGAAGGACTTGGGCTGGGGGCACTGGGTGATGTTTATGTTGAGTATAAAGTTACAGAAGGAAAAAAAATAAAGAAATCAGGCAATTGTTCAGGGAATTCAACCTTGTTTTAACTCTCTGGTTTAATTCCTCTGTGTAATTCTGAGGCAGAGTTGCATAATTTCGATGTTCTAGATCTCCATCCTCCTGCACATCTGCGTGTCTACCAGGTACAGCCCAGGGCTTCTCCTATGTCTTCAAATGGCCAGTTTTAGGGTGGAGCCTGCCCTTGTGTTTGAAGTTAGATGCTCCCCACGGCCCTTCCTCCCACCATGTGGTATAAACATAATTTTTCTCTTTCCTCAGGTCTGACTCCTTTGGTGAGTACCCAGGCTTTGGGCCTGAAACTGGAACTTGCAGAGCACATATGCATGAGTGTCTCGGACATCTGATGACTTTCCTGAGAGCCAGGAAGTTCGTAAGTGAGGATGCTTCTCACTACTGTGAGGCGTCTGCTATATCCATTGGTCATGGTGGCAGCAACAGGTTGAGTTAGGCAGTGGTTGGTCTGGGGCTGACATCTTTTGGGGGGATTGTGGACACTGGAGGGTAGACGGGCTTTTGCTTTGTATCCCAGAACTTTCAGCTGGGTGCCTTCCATCTAGTAGAATAATGCTTGCTGCTTCAAACTGCACCAGTTCCAGCTTTCAAAGGGCAATGCTAGATGACAGACAGCCCCAGCCTGGGAAAGTGGCTGAGGATGTGTGGTTTCTAAAGTTGTTCTGGGAGCTAGAGAGAATGACAGCTGCTTGCAGCTCCCAATTTTTCTCTCATTCCTCCCAAATGGCCTGGTGGAGATGAGCAAATTCTGTCTGGCTCATACAGAAGGTCTTACCTTGCCACCTCCCATAACCTTCTCAGCAGCATAGACTGACTTGCCACATCGAGGGCACTTCTCGGACTCTCCAAACTTCGCAGTGAATTTGGAAGGGTTGCTGGTGGTAACTGAGCGTGCCGGCTTTGGGGACCTGTTGGAAATAGACGAATGAATGAAACGTAGATTTCCCTTGGCAAAGAGTAGAAGAGCTGTGTGGCCTTGAGAAAGTGACCTCACTTCCGTGTGTCTCAGACTCCTCATCTGGAAAATGGGGATAATGATGGTGTCTTTCTCATAGCGTTGTTGAGAGGGTTAAATGAGGCGACATTTGTAAAGCACTTAGAACAGTGCCCGCCTGGCATGTAGTAAGGGCTAATAAATGTTTGCTAAAATGGGTTTAGAGCTTTCCTTTTTGTTGTGAAGCACTTAGCAAATGTTCTAGTTATGTTAGCTTGTGTTATTGTTGTTGTTGTGTTGTTATTACTACTGTGCTTATTTGTGTTTTTCTGGACCATTTGCAAGGCCACTTCTTTCCTTTCTAAAGAGAGTTGTGAAAATTACAGAGCAAGGTGGGATTTTGACAATGGGTGCTAATCAGTTCCTGATGAACCACAGTCCATGAGCTGATGCATTCCTTATCACAAGCCAGGCTGTCGTCCTGCCTCCAAGGGTCACCTGTCCCAGGAGAACAATGTCCAAAATAGAGACATAATAATAGCCTCTCATGTGTTGGTATCTTTTGGTGTTTGCTTGTATATTATATCACTTGAGCTGTACCACAACCCTATAAGGTAGGCAGGGCTGGTTGGAGGAGAGTGAGGATCAGAGTGTGACTGCCCAAGGCCAGGCAGCTCATGAATGATGGACCTAGGAGGAAATCCTAGGTCTTCAGACCTTGTTACTCTTTGTGCAGCATCACTAGGAAGCCCTAATGTTGAAAAGTGAACTTCAGTCAATGTGAGGCAGAGAATGCAGTGGTATGTTTTCTTCCTTAACAAGAGTCTCCATTTGAGATTGAGTAATAAGACAAACTAACAAAAAGAAGTCTTCTCTCTAAGATGACTAATCACACATCTCTCCACGTTTCCATGCTCTCCTGTGGCTTACTCTCTTTTGAAGGGATCAGCTGATTCCTCAGATGGCTGAAGTGCTCTCTGGGGGAGGCCCTCCATGGGACACTTCCTTGGTTGGGCTGGGCCTTTCTGGCCAGTCGCAGTGCAGAGCTCAGCCTGGAGGCCAGCTGGCCAGAGAGTAGTGTCAGGCCAGTGGCCATCAGACTTTCCTCAATTCTGGGCTGGAGGTCAATGTGGTTATCAAGAAAGTGGACCCAGGGGACCAGACTGGTGGATGGAGGTGGCCAGAGTGATGTCCCAGCTTCCCTAGGATAATGTGGCGGGAACTCTAGCACTGTATTGGCAACAGGCAGCCAGGGAACCCCCAGAAAAATCATGATTGATTGTTTACTCTGAGGCACAGCCCATCCTTGCAGACACACTCCCCCTGCCATGTGGACGTTTGTCATCTTACAATCCAAGGGAAGAAATCTTTTCATGACAGGCACACAAAGAATGGCCATTGCTGCCCTGCCATATTTGTGTGATTTACACAGAAACTCTCAACGGGGAAGAAAGGAGACTCCATGCAGTTTTGCAAAGGTCAAACAATGGAACATCTGTACATCCTGGGTTTTCTCTTGACATGCAAACCAAGAGCCATGGTGTAAAAGTAATTGCCCTTTAGAATGGCAAATAATTTAAAGAGAGTCTTTGGAGAGATGACACATTGTTCAAACTTGGTCAGACTGAGTATTCCTATTGTTGGCAAGTCAACAATAGAGTCCATTCTCCCACTTCCAGAAAACGTTGCTATGGGAACGAAATGAACTGTCCTGATAATTGGAGACTTTAACAGGCAAGGGGGAGCAGGGCAGTAACTCACTGTTGGAACTGCAGGCCGAGATGCTCGCCCGTGTCTGTGCTGAGACAGCCAGCGCCTTGTCCATACCCGATCCCTTTGGGGCCATATCTGCGCCCATAGCACACCTTGCAGTAGATCTCCGACTCATGAGCCGCGACTGTCGTGCTGTCAAGAGCCTTCCTGCAGGCCACTGCCAGGAAAAGGAAGGGTCATGGGATTGGAATTGAAATCCTTCTCCCCTTCTTTGCACTCCCAATGCCATGCTCGGGGCCAGAGACCCAGCATGAGGGGCCCCTGAGCCAAGAATACAATGTTGATTCCTGACCAGAGTATCTGCCCTGAGTTGTGCACTCCAAGACAGTCCCGATCTCACAGATGACAAAATTGGGTTCAGTGGTTCCCAGCTGGAAAAGGGTGGAAGCTAGCATTAGAACGAGATATATAGTCTCAGACCTGCTAAGGACTGCATCCCTGAGTCTTCCCAAATGACATCAGGGAAGTGTGTGTGTGTGTGTGTGTGTGTGTGTGTGTGTGTGTTTGTGGGCGCGCGCGTTGGCAGGGGGTGGGTTAAGGCAGGAGAGAAACTTACTTTTTTCTTAATCATAAAAGAATCAGGATTGAGCACTTTCTGTACTTACCACAGCCTTTGAAGGACACTGTGATATTCAAGCAGACAATTGCCATTGAGGCTAATTTTGGTCAAATTCTGGAAGCAGAGGAGGTGGGGAAGGGGGTAGACCTGCCTTATTAACTCCTTAGGCTTCTATTGGCTCAAGCCCCCTGGTTACTGTATATTACCTAATGTAAAGTATCCTCCAGTATAAGGCAATCAAGCCCTCATTTTTCCAAAGAGAGGATTTATAGAAAGATTTATTTTGCAAATTTAAAAGGAAACTTTTAAAGATATAAATAAAAATGTCAAATATCTACTTATAATTTTAATTTAGTAATATAAATCAACAATATATTGATTTGGAAAGGTTACTTTTTTCTAATCCCACATAAATTTGGGGAATAATTATCTCCAATTCTGTCTTTGCATCTTCAACATCGGCATCTCCCTCACCACCAGAATCATTTCTGGGGGCAGCTGGCCCAGCTTTTCTGAGCAGCTCACTTTCACTTCTATCTGTACGTTTAAAGAGGCAGCCCTGTTTTATACCTGAGTAGGAGGTTGTCACCTAGAAATTGCATCTCAACAAGAAGGACCTATTAGCATAGCATTAGGGCAGATTTTTTAAAAGATATAGAATTTCCACCATGTAATGACTTGCTACATTGCTTTGCAACAATGATTCTTAAAGGTTGTTTATAGTGATGCTCAGTGCTTATAATAGGGAGATAATATCCCCAGGAATAATAATATGTGTGCATTAAATGTATTTGCCTTTTAAAAAAACATTTCCATCAAATGATCCCTATAAGCAATCCAGCATTGAATGAGGTTATTTCAGGCTAATATGCCTTCTTCAAATGATATTATCTTTTTTAAAAGATAAAGTAATTGAATATGGGAGTGGAGGAAGAAGATAAGGTTGTAGATGAGGTAGGATTAGCCAGGGGCTGATGAGTGTGGGGCAAGGGAGTTTATTCTGGGACTTTATTTGACTATTCTGTCAACATTGTATGTGTTAAAAAATATCTGTACCAAAAAAAAGTTTAAATCAGTAAATAAAATAATTGGAAGAATGTCTTACAGCAGGAGAGACTTTATAAGGCTTTAAACACAAGGCATATCTTTTTTATGAAGATGAATTTGGGGGGAGAATGCCTTATATTGAGACATAGAAGGTGTGTACACTTGTCTCTACCCTTCTTGTTACTGTCAGTTACCAACCTCCACAACAACTGCTTGCATATTTGCTGATGGTCTAGACTCTGAGTTCCTTGAGGGCAAGCCTGTTTTGTCTTAATATTCCGAGAATTTAGCACAAGGCCTGGGCCAGAATTAGTCCTCTGTAAACATTTATTGAGTACATGAATGAATGAATGAATGAATGTGTCAATGTAAATCAGTGAGTTGTTCACAATTATACAATAGTAAGTTGCAGAGCCACGGCTTACCTCAGCTCTTTTGACTCCTAGTCCAGTGCTCATTCCCATCACTCCAAGACTGCCTATACCCTAAGGTGCCCTGGCCAATTCTGTAGCCACTCCCTGGCTTCTGATGAGCTTTTGTGAACAGACAAAGGAGAACTGTGCTGTCCAGTGCTGTGGCCACAGCCACATGCTGTGCTGTAAGCACAAAATGCACATCAGATTTCAAACACTCAGTACAAACGCAAAAATCATGTAAAATATCCCACTGATCATTTGTATATTGAAGTATACATTGAAATTATAATGTTTTGGATATATTGAGTTAAATAAAATGTTTTAAGATTAATTTCATCTGTTTATTTGTACCATTTTTAAACTATGGTTACTAGAACATTTAAATTTACATATGTTGCTGCATTATATTTATTTCTTTTGGACAGCAAACTTACTTTCTAGATTTCATGATTAGTCTAGAGATTTAATTGTGAAGATTTATCTAGAAGTCAGGGGAACACTGGCCTGGGCACAATGTAAGGTAGACCCTGCGTCTCTGAACGCCTTTTCCAGCAGCTACAGAGTTGCCTGCGGACAGACAGGTGATTATCTTGTGGTAATAATATAGAAAAGTGTGCTCCTCTCTGGGGCTCTTCTACCCATCGTTCCTGAAATGTATGCTGCTCAAATCCTCATCCCATCAAAGGGTTCTCAGGAAATATCAAAGGGTTAAAAGGGATGTACCAAAAAATGCTCAAATCTCTTCTACTATAACTCCTTTGAACAGGGCATCTTCCTCCTACCTGGGAAAGACAAGACACCCTCTACTAAGGAAAGCTTCCCTACAATTTCCTGTTCCCACGCAGTTACCAAAGTTGATCAAAGGAGAATACAGGCCTAGAAGGCTGGATTTCCATATCAAGACCCCCCAGTTTTCTCCTTGTAACAACCTGTGCAGTAGGTATAATCATCTTTGTTTTATAAGTGGAGAAATTGAGGTTCACCATGGTGAAATGACCTGCCCAAAATCTCAGTGAGTACATGGCAGAGCCCAGACTCAAACCCGAATCCCTTTTACTCTAATTCTAGAATTCTTTCTAATATTCCTAATCCTGTTTTTTAAAGAATGCTAGCTCTCTTTGGACAAAAGCCCCAACAGATGGAGTCCAGCCCTTGGAGTTCTTTTCAATTGCATGGATGCCTTGCAGCTACCGGGCTGAAGCATGGGGGTGCTGGCATGGCTGTGGGGACTAGTCGGGGAGGGGGCTCGCCAAATATCCAGCAGAGCTAGCCCTTAAGCCAGACCTCCTGGACAGAAGCAGAGAAGATAAGTGGCCATTTTAAAACCAAGGCCAATTTTCTCCCAAACAGGACTAGCTGCCAGGAAACAGTATAGAATGCAGTCATGTCAAAGAGCACTGGACATGGAGTCTAAAGGTAGAGGTTCATGTATAAGACTCTATCGCAGATGCACATGACCCGGGCTTAGATGTGAGAAATGACTTATCGAAAGTCACGTGAGTCAGGCAGGACCAGACTCACAAGGTCTCAAGGTTCTCAAGGTTCTCAAGGTTCAAGCCACAAGGTCTCAAGGTTCTCCCTATTTTTGACATGTGTGAGTCAGTGTCTGGCGGGTAATGGTCAGGATTTCTTTCATGCAGTTACTGGTGCCCAGGCCCTGAAATGCTTCCCTCTCTGACTCTTACATACAGAGTTGGCATGTGTTGCCCCCCTGCCTGACATAGGTTCTCTCTCAGACAAGACCAGTCACAGCTGGCTTCAGTCACAGCTGACCAGAAGGGGCAACATAGACAGCCAAATCCATCCTGGCTTCAGATAAGTGCTGGCTTCCTTTCTCTGCCAAGTCACATGTTGTCAATGTCGCCATGGGGTCAAAGTTTTCCCTACAGAGAGCAGTGACAGGCTAGCTTGTTCTGACGTTGAGCTACAGGAAAATGAATGGCCTCTGAGCTGGGCAAGCAGTTGAAGCAAGGGTATTCAGGAGAGCACCATCTTTTCTTGGTGGAGCCCAAGAGTTAAATTTCTAACCAGTTCCCAGGTAATGCTGATGCTGCTTGTCCCAGGACCACACTATGAGAACCACTGGCATACAGTGTTTGTGATTCAATGTGAATTTTGTGATGCTGTCCGGATGCTGAGGGGCCCCCAGGGTGTCCACCCAACTCACTGCAGTGGAAACACGTCTTGTGGAAACTCCTTCCATTGCACTGGATTTCTTCTGCATGGTAGACGGTCTTTTCACAGGCTCCACATTTTGCGCCTCCGCCCCAGTTTGGCATCTTGAAGACTATCTGGTCAAGGTCAAGTCTAAGGGGACATAAAGCAAATACCCTACATTGAAGTGGCCCCAGGAGTGAACCAATCTCTAAGAGTGCAGTGGTCTGAAGACCAGGATCCAGCCCAATTTTTTTTTAGTGTTTCATTTATTCATTCATTTAGCAAACAGCTACTGTGTGCTAGTCATTAAATAAGCTCAGACACTTAGATGGCTTTGGGTAATCACTTTACCACTTGGGAACTCAGTTTCTTCTCCTGTTAAATTTCAGTAACATCTATTCCTATGTATCTCACAGGGCTCCCGGAAGGAATGAATAGGCTAATTTCATGTACATAAAAGTATATACAAAGATCGTTTTTTTTTTCATCTCAAGTTTAAAAAATTATCCCATCAGAACTGGGAATCATCTGTGAAGATGGTATTTTCTTCTTGTCTAGCTAAGAGCTTCTCAAATCACCTTAGACCTTGCTAAATGCAGATTCTGGTTTGGTAGATCTGGGGAGAGGCAGGAAATTCTGCATTTCTAACAGACTCCAGGCAATATTGATGCTGCTGGCAGTGGACTACATTTTGGGTAGCAAAATCTTAGCTTATCTTGCTGATAGAAAAGCATATTAATAATATATAAAATCTCCTATTCCAAGTTATTCCTCATATCCATACATTCCTTTTTAAGAATATAATCACCTAGGCTATAAGATATATTGGCACTACACTAGGTCAGTAGTTGGAAACTTGCTTTCTGCTTTCAGGGCTACCCTCTACCTGCTGTTCATATCAGGATGAACTACATAGCTTAACTTTATACCTGTTTTCCCACCTATACAGTTATTCTTTTCCCTGCTGCTTTAGTGTCCTTTAGAAAATCAAACGACATGATGTGCAGGAAGGTCCCACAGAGTTCACAGTGCTCAACAGGAGCCAGACCATGGTGCTGACATGTCCTCCTGCACCATTGGAGACATTCAGCTACAAGGAGCTGCTAATAGCCACAGCCCCAGGACTGTCATTGTCTCCTCACCACAGGATTACATTTAAGAGATATTAACCAAAGAAAATTATTTAAAAAAATAATTGTCCTCTGTATTTTTAGTAGAGACGGGGTTTCACCATGTTGGCCAGGCTGGTCTCAAACTCCTGACCTCAAGTGATCTGCCCGCCTTGGCCTTCCAAAGTGCTGGAATTACAGGCTTGAGCCACCGTGCCCGGCCTAAACAAAAATTAGCCAGGTGTGGTGGTGGGCACCTGTAATCCCAGCTGCTTGAGAGGCTGAGGAAAGAGAATCACTTGAACCCAGGAGGCGGAGGTTGCAGGGAACCAAGATTGTACCACTGCACTCCAGCCTGGGCAACAGAGCGAGACTCCGTCTCAAAAAATAAATAAATAAATAAAATAGTAATAATAATTGTCCTCATCTGCATATGTTTTTAGTATGAATCCAAGTTTTCAGTTTCCTCAAAGCAGAACTAAAATAAGCCATTGATGTTAAATGAAACTTCTGAAATTCAGCTGCCCAGGGGAGCTGCATTTTCACTGGGATCCTCTGGTTTCTAAGAAGCCTAGTGTGTCATGACATGGAGCACTATCCAGCCATTCTGAGTGGCTGCTTGTGACCTTCACTTTCCCTTCTGGGAAGCCAGTCACCTTCTTATAATAGTTGGCGATTAACACTAAGCCCTCCTGGGTCAACTGGTCCGGATTGTATCTCACAGTCTCATAACAAAGGCAGTTTTTTGCTAAGAAACAGAAAGTAAATAGCAAACAGACCACTGAACCTGATACTAGGTCTAGAAGGAATGTTTCTATCTAAATATTCCCCCAAAGAGCTTTTCCTGCTTAGAAAAACTGTGAGGTTAGCCAGGAACATCCTATCCTTCCTCTCACAGAAGTAGGATCTTCTGCTAATTCAGTAAAATTTTAGAAAAGAACTTTAAAAAAGGAAACATTGGGCTGGGCATGGTGGCTCACACTTACAATCCCAGGACTTTGGGAGGCCAAGGCAGGAGGATCACTAGCCCAGGAGTTTGAGACCAGCCTGGGCAACATAGTGAGGCCCCTGTCTCTACCCCACCCCCCAAAAAATTACCCTGGTGTGGTGGCATGCTCCTGTAGTCAGTCCTAGCTACTCAGCAGGTTGAGGCAGGAGAATCACTTGAACTCAGGAGTTCTAGGCTTCAATGAGCTATGATCACACCACTCTACTTCAGCCTAAGTGACAGAGTGAGGCCCTGCCTCTAAAATAAATAAATAAGAATTTCTTAAAAAATGGAAGCATGTGGTTTTTCTATTTCTGTAGTTCGGGTTGTTTAGGAAACTAGAAAGAGTAATGGATTTTGAGTTGAAAGACTTAGAATTAAAACTCACATTCATTCGTTCATTCATTCATTCACCCTGCATTTACTACCTGCCTATCATGTGTCAAGTACTGCACTAAGTACTCAGTGACAAAAGGGGGAAAACTTATAAAAATGAGTAGTTTGTGACCCCTGGCATTGAGAAGCCCATGTTGTAGTGAGAAAAATAGACAAGATTCAGAATGCTCTGTACCAGAGAAGAGTCTTGTGAGACATGCTACAGAAACTCAAATGACGGACTGGCTCCCCACATTTAGTCTGGGGATAAAGGCAGTGAACTGTTGGAGGGTCACAGAAGAGATCACATTCAAATGGGGGTTTGAAGGGTGAATAGGAGTTCACCAGATACAGAAAAGTGGGAAGGAATAATGCTAATGAAGTCATGCAGAGAAAAGAGCAAGCAGAAAGGCGTAGAGGCCTAAATAGCCTCTAAAATAGCCCAAATTTGTTTATTTTGGACTCCATTTAAACTACAGACTTTCAGGGCTGGAATAGATTTTTAAGATTGCTGGACCCTCTCATTTATAACCAAGGTGTATTTAAAAGTAAGCATTTAGGGATATTTTTCTTAGCCAACTTCTTTTTATACAATCCATTCTTCTCTCATTAAAGATGTTACATTTTCTAGAAAAGAATAGACTCACATAATTTTGCTCATGTTCATTTTGATCCTGAGTTTCAGCATGATACAAAATAGAGGAGAAATATAATAAATTTCCTCCAGGAACATGGCAGCGACACTTGTAAAATTAATGATATAGAAATTTTCAATGAAAACAACCTTAGGTCAAATTTCTCATTTCAGATTTGCAGTGGAGATTTCATTGGCATGTCTTGCAAGTTAATAGGAGACAGAGATACCTCTTGGGGGATAAAAATACATATATATCTGTGTGTGTGTGTGTGTGTGTGGATTCATTGCCTAGGCATACTTTTCAAAATGAGAATAGGATTACAGATAATACCTCCTTCACAAACTAATGTATCCTAGCACTGGTTGTTTTTAAGCGATCATAAATATCTGACATATATCATCAGGACTTGAAATTTAAAATATAAATCTGTAAGTACTCTATTAATGATGCTCAGTTCCATTTCTGAAGATGGGAATGTAACCATGGAGGCTAAACAGAAGATGTCTCACAGGCCAAAAGGTAGAGGATATTTTAAAGCATCCTGAATCCAGGCCAGGCATGGTGGCTCACGCCTGTAATCCCAGGACTGAGGCCGAGGCGAATGGATCATGAGGTCAAGAGATCAAGAACATCCTGGCCAGCATGGTGAAACCCCATCTCTACTAAAAATACAAAAATCAGCTGGGCGTGGTGGCATGCACCTGTAGTCCCAGCTACTCAGGAGACTGAGGCAGGAGAATCACTTGAACCCAGGAGGTGGAAGTTGCAGTGAGCTGAGATTGCGCCACTGCACTCCAGCCTGGCGACAGAGTGAGACTCCATCTGAAAAAATAAGTAAATAAATAAATAAAAAGGCATTCGGAATCCAGAGACATGGATTCTAATCTCGACCTTGAACTCGGGTAAAAAATGTTGATAATAGTATCTCCTGGGCAGGACCATTGTGAAGGTCATGGAAATATGATGGAATTTAAAGCAGTATTGAGAAATTATTTTTTCCCACTTCACTTTAGGTTACTCAAATGGCACCAATGTGCTAATTAAGGAGCTATGATTTGAAATCCCAGTTAGGTCCTGGCTTATGAACATAACCTTTTCAGCTTCCCGCATTGCTTTGGAATTCTTGTGTCCCAACACTCCCCTAGACACTCCCAGAATGTGAGCTTACCCTGGCAAGGTACCAAGGGATGGGCCATTTGTTTATCAGCGTTGCCTGGTACTGGCAAGGGTCATTGAAGGTGGGATACAATTATAGGCTTGCCCGTCACTCGGCCCTGTTTGTAACCTGGGTCACAATCTCCATCATACCACCTGGCACGACTCTCTGGGCCAGTCCCTGAGATGACTATGTTGTCAAAGACAAATCGTGGGTCAAGATTGAAATGGGGGACAGTCTGGAATTTACGAGGATGAGATAGAATGGACAGCCCTGTGACATCAACTTGGAAGAGGTTGGACTCCAGATTTGGATACTCAGATCCCGGTGAGAGACTACCTTGTGCCCACTTTTAAACTAAGATGTAACTAATACCATAGAAGAGATTATACTAGGAATGTGCTTCAGTGGGGCAGTGGGAAAAACACTGGATCAGGTGCCAGAGGCTGGAGTTCTAGTTCCATTTTGCCTCTTCGAAGCTGTGTGATCTGGGAAAACCGTTCAATCTCTCTGAACTTCAGTGTCTTCACTAGAATGAGGGCAATAATCCTTTTGATTTCACTATTGCTGAGAGGACCCTATTAGTTCAAGTACTGTCATATCATTCTGTAAATTGTAGAGTAATATAAAATGTGAGAACCAATTAGGTTCTCCCACAATTTTAAGTTGTTATTCATCAATCTGAATTTTCAAAAGAATAACTAAACTGTGTATTTTGGGCACATTCTTCCTAATCCAACTATTTCTCCCTCCCTCCCTCCCTCCCTCCCTCCCTCCCTCCCTCCCTCCCTCCCTCCCTTCCTTCCTTCCTTCCTTCCTTCCTTCCTTCCTTCCTTCCCTCCTTCTTTCCATCCTTTTTCCTTTCCTTCCCTCCCTTCCTCTCTCCATCTCTTTCTCTCCCTCTTTTCCTCTTTCTTTCTTTCTTTCTTTCTTTCTTTCTTTCTTTCTTTCTTTCTTTCTTTCTTTCTTTCTTTCTTTCTTTCTTCTTTCACTACCAACTATAAAGCTGAGCAATGATGAGTTAGGGCAAAAGTGGTGGGTACATAAAATGAGCACCCAGGAGGGAACTTTAGGCCATGACTTTGGGCAGAGACCTCAAGCCACAGTGCCACAATGCCACCGTTTTCAGCTCAGTGCTAGCTCAGTTGGTCATCCTACTAGATGCCTGATTTCCTGCAGTGAGTTCAATTGTCTACACTGGCTGAAGCAAAGATTTTGGATCATAGGAACATATATATATATATATATGGAATCTAAGCGATAGTAATAGTCATTTCTAACTTTATTATTGAAGTTAACATGCCTGGAGCACTGCCCTTGGGTATCGTTTAATCTTCACAACAACCCTTCAAGGTAGGTGCTATTATAACATTTACTTTACAGATGAGGAAATGGAGGCTTTGGGAAATTACATTAGTCCAAGTTCATGGGACTGATATGTGTCACATGAATAGATTGGAACTTACGTTTCTCTGACTCCAAAGCTTTACATATATTATTTTATGTCAGTTGCTTTACATATATTATTTTTTAATACTTACAACAGCTGCCCAGAGCAAATTTTATTTCCATTTTTATGGATAAGAGAACTGAAGAGCTTAAGTAGCTTTTCCAAGGTCACACAGCTAGTAATTGGAAGAGCTGCCATTTAACCCCCCGTTAAGCTGGTTCTGTATCTCATGCTCCTGTTTATAACACTGGAGAGAGGACAAGGGTCAGCACCTCCATCACCCAGACTTCCCAGTTGATGGGAATTGAGACGTGACCAATCCATTGTCTCTCCATGGGACACAGAGGGTATTCAAGGGTGGGACTAACAGGGAAACTGAATTCATTCACTGAAATCAATGACTTTCTGAGTTACGGCTGTTCAACATGGAAAGGGCTTCCTTGGAACTGGAGATTTCTTCTGCACTATTGATTTTCAGCTGAGGTGGGGACGGATGTCCAAGTGGCTGCTATACAGTGAAGTCCCTTCAAGGGTCCTTTAAGCCCTGAGACAGATTTAAGGATCTGAAAAGTGATTGAAACCTCACTTTGCAGAAAAGCTGCCCAATGGGGTGCCCTCTCAAACCCTCTCCTTTATTCACTCTTAATTTGGGTAAGAAAGATGACATAGCCACAGTGAAAACCATGGGCTTTGGAAGAACCAAGCTTAAGTTCAGAAACACTAACTGTTGAACACTGGGCAAGTTGCTCAAATTCTCTGACCCAGTGTCCTCAATGCATGTCCTCATGTAAAGACAATATGAGAAGGCTTGTCTGGGAAGGTTGTTTTCAGGTTAAAGAAGATAATAATAGCTAAGACACCATATAGAATTACTTAATACATAGCAGGAATTGAATAATTGTAGTTACTTGCATCATGACTATTATTGTTGTTATTACATTATCTCCAGTTTTCAAGTCTGTTCTTTTAGAACAAACAACTCACTCCCTGCTTGTTTTCCATGGCCCTTCTGGTTCAGACTGTGAATCAGCTTTGTTTTTCAGCCTTTGGAGTGTGCGGTGCCCCAGGACAGGTGTGCCCAGGTCGGGGTGAGAGTCGGTCCCCTTGCGTTGTTGGATTGGGTTGGAGGCAGCATGCCTAGCCAGGGGCCCTGTAGTCTGGGGAGCTCATGCCCTTCAGTTCTCGGTGTAGGACATTCAAGGTCAGTGGCTGCTTCCTCCTGAGCTTCTGAACCCAGATATATGACGTCCTCCGGCCAGAGGCCCTTTCACAGAGCCCAGGAAGAACAGGTTGCTCATTGCCAGCATGGAAATAAACCTGAGTGTTGGCTCTCAGCCCCTTTTAAACTCAGACATGGTAGACATACATTAAATGAAGGCTGTAGAACATGGGCATCTTACACCTTTTGTGAAATTATATCTGAAGCGTGGCCAGCTTTTACTTCCCAAAACTCACTCTTTGTTCTATTTTGACCTCTACAATTTATTTCTAAAGACCACATCATATCCCAGTTTACCTCCTGGCTCTGCCGCTTTCTCAGCCATGTGATGCTGGGCAATTCCTAAGCTTTCTAGAACTTTAGTTTCTTCCTCTGAAAAATGAGTTTTGCATAACTTTTTGTGACCCTTAAATAAGCTAGTACTCGTTCCATGCCTGCCTAGGCCATAAACGACCATCAAATCATGATCAACCCTTTCCCACAGTAAAGCTCAGAAAAGGCTCCATCCTCAATGCCCTTTAAGACCATTACTGTCTCCCTTCCTGCCATTCTTCACTGGGATGAATAACTGCAGTTTTTCACATTTGCAGGCATCACATTTCTCTTTGTGCATGAAGCCCAACCCTCTATACAGTATTTATTCACAGATATCTGAACAGCACACTTGTAACTGGAAATCTGTCTGCCTCAAGACTTGTATTTCCTGTGTGTTATATTCCTAGCCCTGGGTCTTTCCTCTTGTAAAACAAATTAATTATCTTCTAACTCCTGGTCAGCTTCTTACCCACTCTGACCTCTGGACTTTTATCAGCACGCTTGTACTTAGCAGGAAACCCCCCCAAAACCCACTGGGTTTGGCTGTATGCCTTTTCTCAACGTTCTCACATATTTGTACGGTTATATTAAACTTTACAAAAGTACTTTCCTATACTTTATCTCATTCAATTCTCACAAGTCCCTTTGATAGAGGTAGGCTACCCTTAGTTTTATTGTTCAGAAAATGGAAACTCAGATAAGTTAAGTGATATTCAGAGCTATAATTTGAACGGGCTCTATAACTGATTATCTTTATTTTCTTCTTGAATATCCCAGGATTTCTGAGTTTCTATTCTATCAAGATTCTGTCTCCACTTCCTCCAAGGGAATTTTGGCTATTTGCTGGCTGAATGCTGCTGCAGCTCCCTCTTCCTTCATTCCTCTCTTCCTCCCTTCCTCCCTCCCTCCTTCTCTCTTTCCTTCCCCCCTTCTCTCCTTCGAAGGAGGAGGCCCCTTGCCCTGTGTCTCCTGTTTCTGATGGATGACACGTGTGTCTGGGCTGCAGAGCACCTGTCTGCCTGAACCCCAGGGAGGACACAAAGCCCTGGGGCTCAGCTACACCTCCTGCCCAATAGCCTGGGCTCATTGCCACTGACCACAAACGACTGAGTTGTTCAGAAAGGGAACAAAGCCAAGTCATAAGACTCCCTCACATTTTCTGGATCATAAAGCAGTTCTACATGCATTGTGATGAATTGTATGTACCCAGCATTGAGATTTAATCCCAGATGTAAACTGAGGACACAGGCCATCCCCAATTTCCCACTCTTCGTGCTGTTCACTTATACCCTTCCCTGCATAGAGCTGCCTCTACCTCCCTCCAGCCCTGACATAGGAGATGGTCCATACATGCTTATTAAATTACATTGAATCGTATTGCAGAGACAAGGTTCCTCAGACCAGTAACTCAACTCCTCCTTCTTGGAGGAGTCACCACCTTGGCTCAGGAACAGGGCAGAAATTAGAGTCGGCAGCTTGGATCTTTCAGCAGCATTTCCACTCAGACCATTGCTTAAAACCTCTTCTTATTCTCAATCACACCTATGTCTGTCATTCACTGGGATATTTTAAAAAGTCCTTGACTAAAACCTAGAGGAAACAGTGGGAATCCTAACCACTGGATAAATTATCCTCCCATTTAATAGAGCTTTTAATATATTTCAACATAGCAATGTCTTTTTGGGGTCCAGTTTTGATTAATTTCAAAAGATTAAAAGCAAACTTGTTGCTGAATATCTTTGGGATACAAAAGTCTATTTAAAATCAACAAGCCCAAAATCTCAGTCATTCACCACGACCTTTTGAATAACACCATTCCAGGTAAATTGAGCATGGGAAAGCTGTCTTATATATTGCATCTAGTACAATCGCTTATCGCTTTGTATCTGTGCAGTACTTTACAGTTTGGAAAAAATGTCGCCAATTTGTATTGATCCTTGCAGAAGAGGAGACCAAGCCCCTGAGGGCAGGAACCTTCTCAAAGTCTGTCATCCATGAATTATATGGTGGTTGTAAGACGAGAAGGTCAGCAGACTTTCCATTATTTCCTCCCGCTTTCCAGTTGTTCCAACTAAGATGACAGGAAATGTAATTCCACCACGTAAGTAGTTTTATAATGAGGATAATTCTTTACTCATTTATCTGCCTATGAGGTCCCTTAAGCCCCCTAAATATTAACCATCCTTGCAGGAATTTTTTAATACCTGCTAGATCCACACCAGAGTCAAGTACAACTTGAGCCTCCTTGCACAGAACCAGAGAGGGTGCTGGCACTTGAGACGTAAAATGTGCTCTTACTCTATGGGACCCTTTATAGTCCAAACCAGCCACAGAACCAACCCACCTCCAGCTCAAATGTCTGCCTTGCTCCACTCACCTGCCTGTGTGGACTCCGTTCAGCTCAACTGAGTCTGAGGGGCTCTTGTCCTCTTTAAATATATGAAGGCTGTCACCAGCCTTGGCCTGCTGGGGGAAGGGCAGGAGGGAGGCCAAGGGAGAGGGTGAATGAGACGTGAGTAACACAACTGCTATCAGGGGCTGAAAATAGACTGTGACCAAAGCCCTGAGTTTTGTCTCCCCCAACCCCCCAGCCAGCTGTGAGCCTCTTGGAGAACCGAATCACTTGGGTTCTATTTGCACTGCCAATTGCTTATGGCACCAAGGGATCAATTTATGAAGTGTGTCATTTCTGATCAAGTGGTTGGAACAGGAACAAGAGCTAAGGGTTTAACATCAAAAATCATTTCTCCAGGCCCCCACCCCACTGACCTTCCTGGAAATCATTGCAGGGTACCTGCAAATGAGTCATGTGCCATATCTGGGAGCCTCTGGAACTTAGAGCCACAGGTCACCACACTCGTGAAGAGAACTCAGAGCTAAAAATAAGGGTGATGGGTGTCTGAAACGATACTTAGATAATCTCTTCAAAGAAGCTTGGGAGAAAAAAGGTTGGCACATCACTTGGGACCTGTCACTCCATCTATCCTAGGAAACGAAGTTTTCTCTAAAAAGTTTTGATTTACTTTGTTATTATCCTTTTCTATTTAAGAATTTGATACAGCAGTGCATATTTATCATCATCACATTATATTTATAACATCTTGATATGTCTCTGTAGACCCATATTTTCTTTGGAGGTCTAATTTTTCTTTGTCTGGAATTCACACCGTTTAAATTTGATCAAGCACCAGGGACTGATATAAATTATGGCATTGAAAAGCTGACAAGAGGTTCAGAGATGTGAAGACCAATTCTTCATGTTATAGATGAGGAAACTGAGGCACCAAGCCCCTTCCACTCATGTTGACCCGGATGTTGAGGTAAGGTACATGTAGAACCCAACCGGGAGGTTCATGATCCAGCCTTCACATCAGATATTAGCCCTTTGGTTACCTGCCCACAAAGCAATTGTTGAAGGATAGAATATTTCACTGTCAAGAAGGTTGCAGTAATTTCACAAAGACGGCCGTGGCATAGCCTCCTATGAGATATCCGTGGTCTGTGTTTTCACTAAATGGCATCTTCATCATAAAGACGAGGCAATCACGAGGATTTTAGAAAGTTAAAGCTAGAAAGGACTTTAGAAATCGTCTAGGATAGTGGCTTTTGTTTGTTTGTTTGTTTGTTTGTTTAGAGAAATGGTCCCGTTCTGTTGCCTAAGCTGGAGTACAGTGGCATGATCACAGCTCACTGCAGCCTCGATCTTTTGGGCTCAAGCAATCCTCCTGTCTCAGCCTCCTGAGTAGCTGGGACTATAGGCGCACACCAGCACGCCTGGCTAATTTTTTTGTAGGGATGTGGTTTCACCATTTTGCCTAGGCTGGTCTCAAACTTTGGGGTCAAGTGATCTGCCCACCTCGGCCTCTCAATGTGCTGAGATTACAGGCTTGAGTCACTGAAACTGGTCAACCAATAGTAGCTTTAAAATTTTTTTTGTGTGTGTGTTTGCATCAGAATACTTTTTTCTGTAGATAAGAGGAAAATCAGTATATAAAGCAGATAAAAGAGGAGCTTCCAGTGATGATGAGCATTTTTTCATGTGTCTTTTGGCTGCATAAATGTCTTCTTTTGAGAAGTGTCTGTTCCTATCCTTCGCCCACTTGTTGATGGGGTTGTCTGTTTTTTTTTCTTGTAAATTTGTTTGAGTTCATTGTAGATTCTGGATATTAGCCCTTTGTCAGATGAGTAGATTGCAAAAATTTTCTCCCATTTTTGTAGGTTGCCTGTTCACTCTGATGGTAGTTTCTTTTGCTGTGCAGAAGCTCTTTAGTTTAATTAGATCCCATTTGTCAATTTTGGTTTTGTTGCCATTGCTTTTGGTGTTTTAGACATGAAGTCCTTGCCCATGCCTATGTCCTGAATGGTATTGCCTAGGTTTTCTTCTAGGGTTTTTATGGTTTTAGGTCTGAGAAATGCAAATCAAAACCACGATGAGATACCATCTCACACCAGTTAGAATGGCGATCATTAAAAAGTCAGGAAACAGTTGCTGGAGAGGATGTGGAGAAATAGGAACACTTTTACACTGTTGGTGGGACTGTAAACTAGTTCAACCATTGTGGAAGTCAGTGTGGTGATTCCTCAGGGATCTAGAACTAGAAATACCATTTGACCCAGCCATCCCATTACTGGGTATATACCCAAAGGATTATAAATCATGCTGCTATAAAGACACATGCACACTTATGTTTACTGTGGCACTATTCACAATAGCAAAGACTTGGAACCAACCCAAATGCCCAACAATGATAGACTGGATTAAGAAAATGTGGCACATATACACCATGGAATACTATGCAGCCATAAAAAATGATGAGTTCATGTCCTTTATAGGGACATGGATGAAGCTGGAAACCATCATTCTCAGCAAACTATCACAAGGACAAAAAACCAAACACCGCATGTTCTCACTCATAGGTGGGAATTGAACAATGACAACACATGGACAAGGAAGTGGAACTCACACACCGGGGCCTGTTGTGGGGTGGGGGGGGGGGGGTAGGGATAGCATTAGGAGATATACCTAATGCTAAATGACGAGTTAATGGGTGCAGCACACCAACATGGCACATGCATACATATGTAGCTAACCTGCACATTGTGCACATGTGCCCTAAAACTTAAAGCATAATAAATAAATAAATAAATAAATAAATAAATAAATAAAGAGGAGCTTCCATGCATAAGTTGGAGTTGAACAATGAGAACACATGGACACAGAGAGGGGAACAACACACCCCAGGGCCTGCTGTGGGGTGGGGGATGGGTGAGGAGAGGGAACTTAGAGGATGGATCAATAGGTGCAGAAACCACCGTGGCACACGTATGCCTATGTAACAAACCTGCACACTCTGCACATGTATCCCGTTTTATTTTTTTAGGAGAACAAAGGAAAAAATAAAGTTATAATTAAGCATTAAAAAATAAAAGGAGCTTCCTTGCTTGAAATGAATGCTGCACTTTGACCGTCACGTCTTGCCCTCTTTGCACATTCTGAACTTGCCTTTACACACCTCCCCACAACATGATGTGTAGTTTCAGTTTTGGATTGTAATTAGTTTTGTTCATTATGGGTTAGTACTTACTTAAACCTAATGATAAATTTTAGTGCTTTCTTCACTCAATTACTGTTTTGTTATTGTTGTTGTTTGTTTTTTGAGATGGAGTTTTGCTCTTGTCACCCAGGCTGGAGTGCAGTGGCGCAGTCTCAGCTCACTGCAACCTCTGCCTCCTGGGTTCAAGTGATTCTCCTGCCTCAGCCTCCCAAGTAGCTGGGGTTACAGGTGCCCACCACCATGCCTGGCTAATTTTTGTATTTTTAGTAGAAACGGGGTTTCACCGTGTTGGCCAGGCTGATGTCGAACTCCTGACCTCAGGTGATCCAACCAACTCAGCCTCCCAATTACTGTTCTTTATTTACTTTTTGTACCTTACATTTTTAATTCTGTGTGTGTGCATGTGTGTGTGTGTGTGTGTGTGTGTGTGTGTGTGAGGTAAATCATTCTCGATGAATTCATTGAGAGAGTCTGCTGTAAACTTACTGAATTATCACATAATGTAACAAATGCCATAGACAGGCTGGTTTAAACAACAGAAACTTATTTTTGCACAATTCCAGCAACTGGAAGTTCAAGACCAACGTGCTGGCAGGGTTGGTTTCTTCTGAATGTAGATGGCTGTTTTCTCTCTGTATCTGCACACGGTCTTCCTTGTGTATCTGGGTCCTAATTTCCTCTTCTTACAAGGACAGCAGTCATATTGGATTAGGAGCCACCCATATGATTTCATTTTAACTTAATTACCTCTTTAAGAACCCTATCTCTAAATACAGTCCCGTTCTGAGCTACTGGGAGTTAGGACTTCAACATACGAATTTTGGAGGGACACTATCCCGCCCCTCATAGTCTTCATTTTGCTTTCACTTGAATGCTAGTTTGGTTAAATTTAGGAATCTCTATCCAAAATAATTTTCAGTCAGACCTTTGAAAACTGTCTTCAATTATTTTTAGTAACGTACATGACAGTTTGGTGCCAGTCATATTCATGTTCCTTTATTGACTTGTCTTGTTTCCTCTAGAAACTTTCAGGATCTTCTCTTGAATTTTATGACAATTTCCTGTGTTACGGCCTTTTAAATTTTATTTTGCTTGAAATTTAGTGGATGAGTTCAACTTGAAAACTCACTTTTTTTCCTTTAGGAAATTTCCTTTTATTATTTCTCTCATTAATCCCTCCCTATATGTAATGTTTCCTCTTGCTGAAACTCTCATTAGAAGTTAGAATTTCTTTGTCCTTTTATGTTTATTAAGGGAGAATTCCTTAGCTCAATCTTACATGGAACTAATTTGCATTTCCTCCATGTACATTCTGCTCAGCTCATCTACTGATTTTAAAATAATTACATTTATAATTTTTAAGATACCTAATTTTTTCATATAGCCCATCCTTGCTTTATAAATGACATATCATCTTGCATCTCTCTGGGGATATTCATTATACTAACTTGGGGGAAGTCTTCTTTGTTTGCTCTATCAATTATGTTTTCTTGGATATTTGTTCTTTTGTGTGTTGAGTTTGGTGTTTCATCTTCATAGTGCTGGTTTTTCAACTATATTTGGGATTTTTGGATATGTGTTTACCATGTCATTTGAGAATTTCTGTTTTCCTTTTGGTGGATACCACCTCTGATTAAAGGAGCTTTCCCGCAGGGACTGTGGGACAGGGATGGAGCCTGCTACCAGGTGTGTGCAGTGGCGGTGTGTTTCCTGGGTGTGAGCTGTCCCACTCTCTCTGGAGGTCACTGGTTCTATGGGGAGTTCCCTGGGATTTCTGGCCCCTTAGTCTGGAGCCACACTGGAAAGTGAGGAAAGCTCCTAGCCCTGGACCCATCTTCTTATCCATCACCCTTGTGATAGCCCAGGGTGCCTTCCACTCTGCATGTCCCAGGACATGCAAGTTTGGGATGTCCCAGGACAGCTCCTGCCTCGCCACACGCTGCTACACTGCTGTGGCCAGGACTTCTCGCTCTGTTAATCCACAGCCTTCTGCTTTCTCTCTGGAATTCTTTGAAATTTCTCACTTGTTAGTGGACACTTCTTTTTATGGTGTTGTTTTCAGTGTTCTCTCTAATTTATTTTCTTTTAAATCACTTTCTGGAGTTCTAGGGTCTGTCAGCATTCTCCAGCACTGTGCTGTCCAACACAGTAGCCATAACTGCACGTGGCTATATAAGTTGAAATTATTTAAGATACGTAGAATGTAAAAGTCAGTTTCTCAGTCACAGAAGCCACATTCCAAGTGCTTAACAGCCACATGTGACTAGTGCCTCCACAGTGAAGAGGATAGCTACAGAATGCTTCCATCACTGCAGAAAGGTCTCTTGGACAGCACTGCTCTACATCTTCTGAATCTGAAAAGTGAA
Organism: Homo sapiens; assembly: GCF_000001405.40. Lineage (NCBI taxonomy): Eukaryota > Metazoa > Chordata > Mammalia > Primates > Hominidae > Homo > Homo sapiens. Next base: position 19,207,498 of record NC_000011.10, read on the forward strand.
GAAATTCCTAAATCCCTTTTGAGATGCTATGAGGAATAGGTGACAGTAAGCCCGTGTTGTGCACACAGCAGGGTGCTCAATCAGTACAAGCTGAACGTCCACTCAATGGCAAGTGAATTGGTGGTGCTGGGACTGGAACCTGCTGTTTCTGCCTCATTGTTCCCAGAATTACCATAAACAGGTGAACCATTGAGAAACAGAGGGCATGAAGGAGACCAGGCAAAAGCGTGAACCAGGACAGTGAGGGCGACCTGAAATCACATGCCTTAAAACACTGCCTTTATACCCCAAATCAGAAAAAGAGAGCTCAATTAGAAACAGTGATTTATTTAATCCTCACAAGAACTTTGTCAAGAAGGCATTATTATTCTTCCCCTGGTATGAATGAGGAATGAAATAAATGCAGTCCATGAAAATGAACTAAATCTCTTACGCCACACAGTTAGGTCAACGGGAAATTCACGGCGATGTTAGGACCAGTATCCATTGCTTCCTCATTCGTATTCCTTAGGATAACTAAAAATTAGTAAGTCAGGGGGAAACACACATCACAAAGGTGATGAGGAAATTCAAACCCAGATCTAACCCAAAACCCTTCCACAACATGGTTCCAAAATGTGTTTGATTATGGTCCCCTCATAAAACATTTTTGAGCAATACACACGTGCACAAACACACACACAGTATAAAACATATTCACAATGATGCACTAAAAAGATATTAAATAGAATACAAGTCTCAATCTTTTGTCTCATACTCTAGCATTATTTCTCATGTTTCCTAGGGGGCTCCCCACCTCCTACTTTGAGAATCACTGATCTAAACCATGCCACATAAAAGAGGGAACATTTTGTGAGAGGGACTTGCAGGCTTGGGAATCTCAGCTTCCATCTGCTCATCTAAACCGCTCTGAAAAGAAACATAATTGGACCATAATGTATTCAATGTCAGCCACATTCTTTGAGTAACTAGGGCTTTTCACTATTTCTGTGCACCAGTGGTCTGATATTTGTCACTGGCTCTTATTTCAAAAAGAGAATTAACTCTAACCTACCATTCAGAGGTTGCTCCTGACCATGCGTTGCGTCTGTGAAAAGCATGGAAATGGGCAAAGCAACACATAAGTGCATCAAGATGGTTCTTTTTTTCCAAGAAATAATAACAAATGTCATCTTTACTGAAATGAAATGAGACTTGATGAAACAAATGGCTCATTTATTTACATCATCCAGATTTTTAAAAACGGGCCTCCTTATTTTCATGGCCATTCACTGCTTGCTGTGATAACAGTGTTTTCAGCTTAAAAGCACTATGATGTGTTTGATTCTCTCTTGGGTGCAATTTCTCTCCTCTGTGTCCCTTTATCTCTGTTTCTGCCTCTCTCTGAATCAAAGGGAAGATATAGGTGTTATTATCCCCTTTTTATAGATGAAGAACTTTGTTTGAGAAGTTAGGTTACACAGCTAGTATATGGTAAAGTCAAACCTTGAACTCAGATTCTCTGTTCCAGAGCCAATGCTCTGATGGAAATTTTAACTAGTAGAATTGCTTTAGTCAGAATTTGATCTAGTTGGCATTATGTAGTTGGGAGAGAGGACAGGGTGGGGCTGAGCACCCACATAGCCAACGTACCAGCTTAACTTTATCTTGCACTGAGAGATTAGCAGGGTTTTACAGAAACAGTCCGACAGATTCAGAAGAGGCTGTGCCTACATTTGCTATTCAGCTGGTACAAAGCCTTTAGGAGAAGCCTGGAGCAGCACAAGTCCCCAAAGTGGGTATCACATGGCCAGCAAATCGACAGAAGTAAATCAAATTGCAGAGGTTCAGAGTGGATCAGTGGGATTGTCTTAGGAGGTGTTTCCATGGGCTGTGTAGTCTTTATGACTCTTCACCTGTGTCAACAACAGGCACTTCAATGTCTTTTGAATTTAGCCCTTCCTTTGTGCCTCCTCTTCTTATTGCCCCAGTTCAGATGTATTGCCTAGACTTTTTCAGAAGCCCCCCACCCAGGTTTCCCACTTCCCTTCCATTTGTTACACCACCACCAGAGTCATCTTTCAAAACCTGGATCTGATGATGGCACCCTTCAGCTCGCAGACTTCTGTTAGTGCCCCCTTACTATAAGATCATGTTAAAAATTTTGACATCATTTTCAAATTTCTTCATCTTGCTCCAGATTAACTTTCCCACTTCTTCTCCCACCATCCCACTTTCCTTTATCCTATCTACCAACCTCTTCAGTCTAATCACTGTTCTCCAAAAATAGCCAGTACTTTCATGCCTCTACGCTTTGCTCATGCTCCCTCCTCTGCCTGGAATGTCCTCCGCCTCCTTCACCTCCTCCCTCTGGTGGAATCTTCCTCATCCTTCAATAAACAGCCCAAATGGCCTCTTCAGGGGAAGCCTCCATCCCTAACCTTTCCAGGTAGGATGTGATACTCTGCACTGGGACCTTAAAACATGCTCTCATTATGGGGAACTTTGTCTGGTTGTATGCGTGTCTTTTTGGATCATTAGATGGTGAACTCCTCTGTAAAAAAGAGAGCATCTTATTTGTCTTTGGGTCCTCAATGCTAGCACCTCGTAGGCATTTAGAAGTTGAAGTTGAATTTATTCATGTAGCTGAATAATTTTGAGAGGTCTTGAAAGGGCTACATTCCTACCATATCTGAGATAAGCTGCAAGAGATAAAGCACAAATTCAGCAAAAAACATTTACTTACTTAAGTCTATAGCCACTCCATCTAAACATAAAGATTGGATGCATTTTTATAATAGCTGGGAGCCTTTTTTTTTTTTTTTTTTGGCTTTCCCAATAAGTTTGTGCTGTGTCTATAGTGTAATAACACTGGATTGGAATGAATAGTTATGGGTTTCTAGTCTTAACTTTTCTATTAATTAGCTGTGTGCCCTCTGACAAGTCAGTTCTCCTTTCTAGTTCCTTACTTACAGAATATTCGTGTGAGGCAGATGATTCCTAAGGTGCTCTCTCTCTTTTTTTTTTTTTTTTTTTGAGACGGAGTCTGGCTCTGTCGCCCAGTCTGGAGTGTAGTGGCGCGATCTCGGCTCACTGCAAGCTCCGCCCCCCAGGTTCACGCCATTCTCCTGCCTCAGCCTCCCGAGTAGCTGGGACTACAGGCACACGCCGCCACGCCCGGCTAATTTTTAGTAGAGACGGGGTTTCACCGTGTTAGCTAGGATGGTCTCGATCTCCTGACCTCGTGATCCGCCCGCCTCGGCCTCCCAAAGTGCTGGGATTACAGGTGTGAGCGACCGCGCCCGGCCGGTGCTAATTCTATAATTTGATAATTCTTATTTTCCAGTTAGGAAAACTAAGTCTTTACTTCCCTTGGAGCATGATGGAGCTTAACCAACAAAGGGTAAACTTTCTACATTGTCATAAAAACATCTTTGTCCTACTATGACCCTATTACCAAAAAATGTGGGTATTAGAAATGGTACACGGTATTTTATGAAGTGAGAACTCCTGATATGGGGAAAAACAAAAACAGAAAAAGGCAGACGCAGCTAACAACCAAAAAAACTCCTTATTGCTAAAACATCAGAGTTCTGCTCCTTTAAAGTTGGAAGGCCTCACATCAGGAGAAGAAAAAGACCTCAGAAAGATTAGTTGATCTTTTGTGTTCACAAAGACGAAGGAGTTAAGTCGTCAAGCCCCCCCGAAAGATGGTTTGGAGTAAAAGGAGAAGATGCTTGCATGTCGAGTTTAAAACTCGGGTCCTCGGGGAATGCATTCTACAAAGTGACACAGGTCCAAAGAGAATCAGAATCTTCAAGGTGGTGTGTGCAGCGGTGTCACTGCCCCTTAATGGATGCTGTGACAATTACCCTTTATATAAGAAGAGATCTGAGAGTCCCCCAATATTCTGAAGTGCTGTATTCCAATTTCTTAAAGATAGTCTTGGTCGGGCGCGGTGTCTCACGCAGGTAATCCCAGCACTTTGGGAGGCCGAGGCGGGTGGATCACCTGAGGTGGGGAGTTTGAGACCAGCCTGACCAACATGGAGAAACCCGGTCTCTACTAAAAATACAAAATTAGCCGGGCATGGTGGCGCATGCCTGTAATCCTAGCTACTCAGGAGGCTGACGCAGGAGAATCGCTTGAACCCAGGAGGCGGAGGCTGCAGTGAGCAGAGATCATGCCATTGCACTCCAGCCTCGGTGAAAAGAGTGAAAGTCCATCTCAAAAAACAAAACAAAACAAAAACAAAAATATAGTCTTTATATTTTAGAGCAATTTTAGGTTCACAGCAAAACTGAGTGGAAAATACAGAGTTTCCATACATCCCCTGCTCCCACACATGCATTGCCCCGCCCACTATCAACACTCTGCACTGGAGTGGTACATTTGTTGCAATCAATGAGCCTACAATGTTACATCATTATCTCCCAAAGTCTATAGTTGACATCAGAGTTCACTCCTATGGTTGTTCATTCTGTGGGCTTGGACAAATGTATAATGACACGTATCCACTATTATATCATCATACAGAATAATTTCACTGCCTTAAAAATCCTTTATGCTCCATCTATTCATCTCTTCTCCACTAGCCTCTGTCAACTACTGATCTTTTTACAGTCTCCATAGTTTTGCCTTTTCCAGACTATCATATAGTTGAAACCACATAGGATTGTAGCCGTCTCATATTGGCTTCTTTCACTTACCAATGTGCATTTAAGGTTCTTCCATGTCTTTTCATGGCTTGAGAGTGCATTTCTTTTTAGCATTGAATAATATTCCCCTGCCTGGATGTGCCACAGTTTATCTATGTATTCAACTACTGATGACCATCTTGGTTGCTTCCAAGTTTTGGCAATTATGAATAAAGCTGCCATAAACATTTGTGTGCAGATTTTCATGAGGACATAGTTCTTGTGCAGACATTACTCATTTGGGTAAATACCAAATAGTTTGATTGCTGGATTATATGATAAAAGTAAATTTAGTTTTCTAAGAAACTGCCAAACTGTCTTCCAATGTGCCTGTGCCATTTTGCATTTCCATCAGCAATAAATGAAAGCCCTCGTTGCACCGCATCCTCACCAGCGTTTGGTGTTGTCAGTGTTTTGAATTTTGGCCATTCTAATACACGTGTAGTGGTATCTCATTGTTGTTCTAATTTGCAATTTCCTAATCACATATGATATTGAGCATGTTTTCATTTTCTTATTTGCTCCCTGTATATGTTTGGTGAGGTGTCTGTTCAGGTCTTTTGACCATTTTTTAAATTGGGTTGTTCATTTTCTTATTCTTCAGTTTTAAGAGTTCTTTTTATATTTTGGATAACAGTCCTTTATCAGATGTGCCTTTTGCATATTTTCATATTTTATTCCAGTCTGTGGCTTGTCTTCCCATTCTCTTGACAGCATCTCTTGCAGGTTTTTTTTTTTTTTTTGCAGAACACTGCAAAAATGTTCTTCCTTTTTAAAATATACCTTTTCAAGCTAAATTCCACTTTTAAATTGCTTTAGCAGAAATATTAACTATCCAGAAATGTCTTCCCAGTCCACAGAAATAGGATTTATTTTATTTGTATTTCCTGAACTTATGAATTAGTAGAAATAGAAGTTAGAAAAATCACCTGTGTTCAAATTTGAGTTATAACTTTGAATGTGCATTTCAAATATTCATTGAGGGAATGTCCTGGGGTGGCAGACTTCAACCCTGTTTCCTAAATTTTGCTATATCTCATGCCATAGGTTAAGGGACTTCAACTAATATCCCACAAGTGCATAGGATATGACATTTATTTCTCACCGAGTATACCTACTGTCACGGCAACCTTCGCCAGCGGAATGTAGACTAAGTAGATGGTGAGGTGTTTAGTCTGGGGAACTAAGTGTATGTGTGTGAGTGAGGAACACTTTCCTGAGAAGATTAGCTGGAACCTAAGAAAGGTTTCCTGTCTCCTAGAAGATGGGAGGATTTTGCCTCATGAGTATTTGCGAGAAAGTGGTTAAGGCAATAAGGAGCTCTGGTCACAGGATGACATGGTGCTAGGAAGGGGCCAAGTATAGAGTATGACAACTGTGGATCTTTTTATATATGTGGTCCCTTTTACAGAGGCTGAGATATGGTGCTGGAGGCTGTGTTATAGTTATTGTTGACTTGTTTGGTGATGTTTCTCTATGAGTTTCTTCTAGTGAGTTGTCTCCAAATGCTAGAATTTGAAAGTGCAATAAGAAGTTCCAGAAGCTATAGGGCCAGTACAGGTAGACCACAAAACCTAACAACCATCAGACCCTATAATATTTTCAGTCTGTAAAGAAAGACTGCATTATGCATACTCTCCTAGACCTGTGAAAGGAGAAATCATGAAATAACCTTCATTAAAAAATTTTCCTGGCATAGGCTAAGAAAATCGAGTATCATGTTCTATTATGGCAATTGGCATAAATATTGGAAATGAAGATCATGTTCCAGGGATTGATAATCTTAAATACATGCCATGTGAGAAATAGTCCAAGGGACCAGGCACATTTATTCAAAGATGAATTGGTGATGGTAGGAATATGAAAACTTATAGCAAACTTTCAAATATCTAATGAACTGTCATATATATTAGGAGGGAAGAAATTTGTTCCAAGAAAGGGAAAAACTAGGACCAATAGACATTGCAGATAGATAGACTGATATTGTTTCAATGTAAAGGAAAATTAGTGTCTGAGAAGGTAGTGCATCCTTTTTCAATTTACAGCAATTGGAAAATGAAATAATGTTTACAGCCCATGGTGAAAAAGAGTAGCACAGCGGTTCCCACCTGCCTAAGGGCTGAGATGATTAATATCTTGCCAACCTGTAACCCAGTCCCAGCACAGTGATTGGGAAGCTCTGCATTGATGGGATTGCTGGTCTCTGAAAATAGTAAATTCCCCACCTTAGGAACCCTTCAAGTAGAGCCTGGAAACAACCTGGATGGCGGTGTTGTAATGGCAATTTTAAAATGCTTTTAAATGTATGTACTTTTTATTACAGTTTCATAAGTTCTGACAAATGCACAGATTCACATAATCACCACTGTGATCAACACACAGAACAGTTCTACCATCACCCCAAAATTATTTTGAGCTACTCTTTTGTAGTCACACCTATTCCCATTCCTAAGCTCTTGCAACCACTGATCTGCTCTCTATCCCTATAGTTTTGCCTTTTCCAGAAGGTCATATAAGTGAAATCACACAGTAGCTAGCCTTTTGAATAAGGTTCCTTTCACTTAGCTTAGTGCATTTGAGATTCATCCACACTGTTGACTCATCCATGGTTTGTTCCTTTTTATTGCTGAGTAGTAGTTGATTGTATGGTTGTGCCACCATGCCCATTCATTCACCAGCTGAAGAATACTCGGGGGACTTCTGGCTTCTAGCCCAACATTTTAGGAGATTAGAAGTCATCACTTTAGGCCAGGTGTGGTAGCTCATGCCTGCAATCCCAGCACTTTGGGAGGCCGAGGTGGGCAGATCACAAGGTCAGGAGATCGAGACCATCTTGGCTAACACGGTGAAACCCCGTCTGTACTGGGAAAAAAAAAAAAAAAAAAGCTGGGCGTGGTGGCAAGCAACTGTAGTCCCAGATACTTGGGAGGCTGAGGCAGGAGGATGGCGTGAACCCGGAAGGTGGAGCTTGCAGTGAGTTGAGCTCCCGCCACTGCACTCCAGCCAGGGCGACAGAGCAAAACTGTCAAAAAAAAAAAAAAAAAAAAAAAAGTCATCACTTTATCCTAACAAGTAAAAAGCTGAACAAACTGAAAACTAACAGCTCTTCTTAGCTCCATGAAATAATTGAAATCACAGGACAAACCGCTCTCCCCAATTTGGGCAGAGAATGGATCAAAGAACCCACAATTTACTGGAGCAGAAATCTCAGTGGGAACTAGTGTTGAGTTAATTTAACCAGTACATTATAGCTGGCTTTAAACAAAAAATTACAAGAACATGCTAATAAGCAAGAAACAGAGTTTGAAGAGACAGAGCAAGCATCAGTATCAGACTCAGAAATGACAGGGATGTTTGAATTATTAGAACAGGAATTTTAAACAATTATGATTAATATATTAAGGAGTCTAGTGGAAAAAGTACACACTATGCAAGAACAGATAGGTCATGTAAGCAGAGAGATGAAAATATTAAGAAAGAATATAAAATAAATGTTAGAAATCAACTCTGTAATCAAAATGAAGGACTTTGATGGGCTTACTAGCCAACTGGACACAGCTGATGAAAGGATCAGTGAGCTTGAGGCTATGTCAATAGAAACTTCCCAAACTGAAAAGCAAAGGAAAAAAAGACTTATGATAAGTGGAACATAATATCCAAGAACTGTAGGACAATTATAAAAGATTTAAAGAACATACAATGAGAACACCAGATGAAGAGAGAAAAAGAAACAGAGGAAATTCTTGAAGCAGTAAAGACTGAAAAGTTCCCAAAATTAATGTCAGACACCAAACTACAAATACAGGAAGCTCAGAGAACACCAAGCAGGATAAAGGGCTGTTATTTGGTTTGTTTCCAGTTTGGGGGCAATTATGAATAAATATGCTACAAATATTAATATACAGCATTGTTTTTTGTACACATAACTCTTCATTTTTGAAGGTAAATATCTGAGTGGAATTTCTGGGTCATATGGTAAGTCTATGTGCAAGTTCATAAGAAACTCCCGAATCATGTTTCAAAGTGCCTGTGGGTTCCCACTAACCACGTCCAGTTGCTCTGCATCTTCACCAGCGTTTGCTGTGATCAATCTCATTTTGCTGTTTCTTAAGTTTTAGCCATTTTAACAGATGTGTAGTGGTATTTCAGTGTGATGTTAATTTGCATTTCTCTAATAAATAAATAATGATGGTGAGCTTTTTTTTTTTTTTTTTTTTTTTAGACGGAGTCTCTCTGTCACCAGGCTGGAGTGCAGTGGCGCTATCCCAGCTCACTGCAACCTCTGACTCCCTGGTTCAAGTGATTCTTCTGCCTCAGCCTCCCAAGTAGCTGGGATTACAGGCATACACCACCACGTACAGCTAATTTTTGTATTTTTAGTAGAGACAGGGTTTCACCGTGTTAGCCAGGATGGTCTTGATCTCCTGAACTTGTGATCGGCCTGCTTCAGCCTCCAAAGTGCTAGGATTACCGGCGTGAGCCACAGCGCCCGGCTGATGTTGAGCATTTTTTAACGTGCTTTTTTGCTAACTATACATCTTGTTCAGTGAAGTGACTATTCAAATCTTTTATCCATCTAAAAATTGGATTGTTTTCTTATTGTAGAGTTTTGAGAGTTTGTTGTATGTTCTGGAAACAAGTCAAAGGTGCTGTTAAAATAATCCGGAGAATGTTGACTTTTGTTTATTTTGGTAGGCAACCAGGCTGGTTAAGTTCATACCACAAGTTGTGTCTTGCCTTCTGAGGGTGGTGGTTCCAATGTCAAAGCCAAGAGGTAAAGAAGGAAAGAAAAACCCAGTAAGCTCCCTGGCATACAAGCTATTCTTCTCTCAGGTAATAGTGTTTGTATTCTGCCCAGAGATTTTAGTTATAATCAGTGGAGGAGATAGGCTGTAATGGGCTTACTTTGTCGTGTTTAGCACTAGTTCTGTAATGGCAATTTAAATACTGGACAGTGATTTTCCCAGATCATTAGTCATCAAACCTAGCAACAAATCAGAATTACCAGAGACACTTTGTTTGTTTATTTACATAATTTTTTTGAGACAGGATCTTACTCTGTCACCCAGGCTGGAGTGCCGTGGTATAATCATGGCTCACAGTATCCTCTACCTTCTAGGTTTAAGTGATCCTCCCACCTCAGCCTTCTGAGTAGTTGGGATTACAGGCATGCACCACCATGACCAGGTAATTTTTAAAATATTTTTTGTAGAAATGGGTCTCACTATGTTGCTCAGGCTGGTCTCAAATTCCTGGGCTCAAGTGATCTTCCTGCCTCGGACACACAAAATGCTGGCATTACAGGTGTAAGCTACCATGGCTGGCTTCCTGGGAAGCTTGAAATAATATAGATTTAAGGGTTCTACCCTAGACCCATCTCCATTAGAAGCCCAAGAATCTGTCAAAGATGCTTTCTGGTGTTTCTAATACAGCCAACCTGGGACTGATTTGGGGGCCCAAAGTCAGGGTTAAGCTTGGAAGTTTGTGAAGCCCTGGATAAGACGATCTCCAGGGTCCTTTCCAGCCCTGAGATCCTTAGGCTCTATATTATTCAGAATATCCCATTCACAAAGATGCTTGTTAATGAGGTGCCATTCTATTCATTTCTCTCAAAATTTCAGCTGAAGCTGTAGATCACATAGGTCATCTTGACAAAGGTCCCAGAGAAGATTAAAAATATGTAACTGATAGCAAGGTCAAGATATTAAAACCAAAAGGAGAACGGATGGTCTCCCAATCTGTAAGATTAGTTTCATGGAAATAACAACTTCTTGCAATAATAGCGGCAATAAAATTTAAATCTGCCTTATATAGTGTTTGCCAAGAGGAATATCATGTGTGCTCAAGTCCGAAGATTAGTGGTTTCATTAAGAGCCTCCTTTCCTCCCTAGGATCAGCTCTTTCCCATACATTTGATAAAACTCTTTTGGTTGAGCGCAGGTTCTGCTTATGTGCTAGGAATCGCCAGAGAGTTTGAATTTGCTTTTCATAAAAATTTATTTCTAAGGACCTCAGAAATCATCTCCTTGGGATCACTTCTATAAGGATGCAAGAGGAAACCAGCCCTGACAGGTTAAGTGCCTTATTAGCGAGTCTGAACTGGGGCTTGAAGCCAGATTTTGGCTCCTAGGTTGTGCATGTCTTACTTCTCTGAGTTGAGTCAAGTGAGATGTTGGATGCAGAGCCTCTGAGCATGTTAACAACAACAGGTCAGATAGCTGCAGTTGGCAGTGGCTGAGCTCCATGCAAGGCATTTGTAAAGGGTGCTTTGACCTAAAATGTTTCAGCTCCTGGATTTGCAGCTATGAAAATACTGGCAACTAAAATGGCTCAGAACTTGCAAAGTGCCAACTTGCTGGCACATCGTATTCTCTGGGCACTGGGAAGTGGATGGCCCTTGGCTCTCTCTGGAAATTTTTTCGCCCCATTTCCTCTCAAAAGTGCCACATGGTATTGTATAGCCAGGGCTTAATCAGGTGAAGCGGAATCTCTATGAGTTATGAAGTAAATGATTTCTTACAGAAATCAGATCTTACACAATTGTGAGAGAAACTGGGGGAATAAAGGTTGGAAAGGGCTCGTTGGAAGATCGGAGTCGCAAACCGGACAATCTGAGAAGCTGAGCATGTCCAGCCACCACAGAGGGACTGTGCGGGAGGAGCTGGTGGTAGAGGAATATATAGGGGGTTGGTGCCTCTGTGGGTCTGCATGGAAGCTTCTGGTGACAGGGCTGGAGCAGCTGCTCTTCAGCAGGACCCGCCCTCAGGAGGAGGCTGTGGACAAAACCTGGAGGACAGCCAGGCAGCTGGAGTCAGGGACACTTTTGTGTCGTCATTGCATCACATTGCCCTGGCCTTCTGAGAGGAATGGTGGTTGTTTCCTTTCTCCCTCCAACATGGTGTGCAAACTCCTCTTTGGTGCTCAAAATCACAACCATAACATGAAGGGGTTTTCGTGAAATGTTCTGGCTTAAGCAACTTGATACGGAATAAATCACCTCAAGTTTAGAGCCTGAAATAGCAACAGCGGCCACGCCTTGGGACTAATGCCATGGAAGCACTGTTCTCATTTGCCATGAACAATCTGGAATCAGCCTGCCTCACCACAGTCTGAACACGCATGACGATGCCAGGCGGCCCAAGCTCTGGAGTGCGGGCCTCAGCTCCAGGCACAGCTGCACGCACACGCTGGCGCTGCACAGGGTCTGTCCCTCAAGCTTTCTGAAATTAACTTCCTCAAAATGGGGCCAATAATAACTACCTCGCAATACTCTTTGGAAGTAGATATAATAGTAGATGCTCAATAAAAATTATTCCTTTTCTCTCCCAAGTGCCACTTGTTCCCCTGGGTCATATAGGACCTGTCCTCTTTCTCAGAATGTCTCCAGGTAGAAATGACTTTATCAAACTCCAACTTGTTCAACCCGCCTTATTTTGCTGTTGTTCTGTTTTGTTTAGTTTTAGGCTTTGAGCAGCCTGAAGCTATGGTTTTTAGTTTCTGTCTCTAGTGATAAGCAGAAAAGAGGGGTGAGAAAGGGGCTTTACTGGTTCAACTAGAAATAGAAACTAAGAGCCCATGAGTGTATTCTCTCCCTTGGACGCCGCTGGAAGTGTTGAATTTTGATAATGAATATAGGTATGTAATTTATATTTAGCATTCCTGGCATTTCATCGTGGTCCTAGTTGCAAGTATTGACAAGTTCCAGTTTGTTGGATAGTGATAAAAAACACTGATTGGCATGGGAAACATCTGCCATCAATTCATAGCCTTTTCCTGCAGGAGAGGGATGGAGCCCTTCTTAGGCAGTTAGACCAAAATCTATTGACTTGGACATGCAAGATCTATTGGTTTAGAAAAGTGAGTTTGGTAACATGAGTTCCCTGGGGATCCTTCAATTTTCCTGGGTCAGAAGAGATAAATTACAATTCCATAAAGGTATTTTGCCATATAGGAGGGAAGCAAACATATATATGTACTCATGAATCTTTACATATAAATACATATCTGTACATATTCATATAAAGCAAAAGAGATGCTACATATAATATTTTTAGATATATGTACTTAAAGTCATATAAAAACATATATACATATACATGTCTATCTGAGATATAAATAATACATAAGGTAGGATAGAGGGGCAAGACAAGTAGAAGCTGATATCAAAGTTGGAGACAGACAACCACAAAAAAAAAAAAAGAACTTGAAAAGGAAAATATTCTGGAGCCATTAATTTGAAAAAGATGTGGACCTATACATTTATTAGCCCCTGAAGGCATTACGGTATCATAGGTGGCTTAAACTGTGTTTGTTGAATTTGAATTTAACAAAGCAACAGTGCTCATGAATTTCTGAAATGTGAAGAAAAGTTTAAATTATAGTCAAAGTACAGTGCTCTATTTAGGAAATGGGGAGCTATATTATCATTTTAGAAAGATTTTAATTCATAGTAACAAAATTGTTCTTATTCACGATGAACTTCTAGAAGATTCACACATAGAGGATATTTTTATGAAACAAAATAGGATAATATAGGCATTGTTTTGCATGACACAGTGCTGAGCATATGGTAAAAACTAGTAAATACTTGAAAAAGAATTCAGTATATACAGGGCCTTTTAAAAATGCACTTGATTACTTGACTGCTGGAGGACACGATAATATATTCCTTACCTACATTTTTCTACAAAATGTTGACAATCATAACAAGTCCTCATTTAGCCGCTGATTTGATTGAGCAAGTCACTGGCCTGTGTTCACTCAAATGGGAGACTAAAATGTAAAACTACTTCCTAAAAAGTTGACTAAGAAATTGATACCTTTTGTCAACCTAAAATAATAACACATTTCCTTTGAGCTTATCTCTTATTTTAAGCCCTCAAGATATGAAAACTACTACTGATAAGTACTGTAAAGAATCTGCAGTCAACTCACATTCTTTTATATAATTAGTAGGATTGCTCAGGCAGCTTATCTGCTTTAAGTTCTGAAAATCTCTTTATCCTTTATCTTCAGAAACACTAATCACTTGGGAAGGACAAGACTGAGAGAACTTGCTTTAAAGTCGATTAACAAATTTTTTTTTCATCAAATTCTATTGCTTGAGTTTCCTGGGTTTCTTGAATCTATTAGTTCAACTACTTCCCTTTCTGGTATCTGAAATTGTACTTTACATCCACTTGAGCATAGGTGAGTTGCTTGCATTTCCTGGCGAGATAAGCATTTCTGAAGGCCTTTTCTATTCATTCTTTGGCTGACTTTTGCCAGGCCCAGGGAACAGGGAACAACTAGTCTGAGAACTAGGAAGCCTTTGCTCTGGGTTTCCTTCTGTGATCTGGTAAGAGCCCTTTGGCTACCAGCCACAGAAATGACTGGCAACATTAAGCAAAAGAAACTCTTGGAAGGATAGCAAAGGCCCAGACTCAGCGGATGGCTGAAAATCTGGTTTGAAGATGGGCTGGTGCCATGGCCACTTCAGAGGCTGGGAAGCAGGAGCCTCAGCAACAGTTGCAGCAGGGACAGACAGCAAGAACAACACTGCTAGGATGAGATGGAACATCCAATCCCGGGGGGCTGGCCCAGGCTGGATGTTACATTTACAGTCCACTGGGCTCCATCCAACATGGAAAATGTCATTCCTTAGAGGAAATAAGGAGGCAGTTTGGGAAAAGAAACTTTTCCCATTGCATGCTGGCCAGATAACTTTGTCCACTACTGTGCTACTACCTAGTATCTTTAAAGTTGCTTCCAGCTTTGAAAACAAATGGAGAGTGCTTCTCCCATTAAAGCCGTTGGAATTACCACGTCTTAGCGATGTTTCCTTCTATGAATGCCTGTGAAACCAATGAACAATAATAGGACAAACCTGGAAGACTTTTGTGAACAATGGGGGTTTATGTGGCTATAATAGTTATCTATTGCTGTATAACAGTATTAGCACAAACTTATATCTTAAAATACATGTTTATTGTCTCATAGTTTCTGTGTGTCAGGAATCCATACATGGCTCAGTTTGGGTCCTCTGTAGGGTCTTATAAGGCTGCGATCAAAGTGGAACTGGGAGCTGTGGTCTCATCTGAGGCTTGACTGGGGAAAGAGCCACTCTGAGCTCATTCAGGTTGTTTGCAGAATTTGTGGCCATATGCAGGACTGATTTGTTTTTTGCTGGTTGTTGGCTACGGCCTGCCTTTTGCTGAAAGGCTGCCCACAGGCCCTTGCCACTTTGGGCCCACCGACATGGCTGCTTTGATTCCTAAAAGCCAGCAAGGGAGAGAGACTACAGCAAGATGGGCACCACAGTCTTATGACATGTGACCACATAACCACACACACAGTCACACGCCCCGTCACCTTTACTGTATCCTATTGGTTAGAAGTAAGTTACAGGTCCCAGCCACACTCAAGGGGAGGGGAGAACACAAGGGTGTAAACACCAGGAGGTGGGGATCAAGGGGCAACCTCACAAACCTGTCAGAGAAGCAGTACTGGGTGGGACAGTGTCCAGAGCTGCCTGGAAATCTAACACCTCCCTTCTTCCTATGCGTCTAATTTCCCCAGGAAGGTAATTCTTTATGTGGAGAATTGATGAGGGGAACAAAACAAAACCTTGGCTTCCAATCTCTCTAGCTCAACCACAGAGGAGAAGTGGGAGGGAGACGTAAGAACCTCCTCAGAGACACAGCAGCTGTCTGTCTTGGTGTTTCTCTCATAGTTCCGTGTAACCAATTAAATCTAGTAGCCTCTACAGAACTATATATTTTGTCTTTATCTACCACTGGGCAACTTATCTTTTCTCTTTATTGCATGGAAATGCTTTATTTATTCATGTGTACATACTATCTTTCTCAACTATAAGCACCTTGAAGGCAGGGGCCATTTCTTAAATCAGAGACCATTCACCTGTTCTCTAAGAAGGATAAAAACAAAGGTACTTTGGAGGAAATAGTTCATATTGGTTCTCTAGTGGTGGAGGAAGAGGGGTTTCTAGGTCAAGGTGCAAATCTGCCCTCTTCTAGCTGTACTTGGTTGTGCAAACAAAACATGTGTATTTGAAAGGGCTGACTTTATTAATGCTCAGATTACCCTGAATCAATGTGCTTGATTCCTACTAGAGCTGCTAGGCATGTCTCTAGAAGTAAATGGGCAATGGATAATGAGGTCCAATAGACATGAGCTGAGACTTGCATACACTAGCAGTGTGACCATGGACTTGTTGCTTTAATCCCTGTGAGCCTCAGTTGTAGCTCACAGATATGATACATTTAAAACGTATAACCCTGTCTACATATAGTAAACATGTAGGAAATAGATACTATGATGCTCCTTTAAGACCCTAACCAGGGAAAGCACTTGTCAATTCTCAAGGTGCAGTTCTTCCCATAACAAACGGGTCAAAGAGATGCACACTTAACACACTGGAACTTGTCCCTTCTCTTGGAGCTCCTGGGGGTTCTCCAGGTGTGGAGGACATTAGAATCCTTACTGCCGTTTTCCTGTCCCTGGAGCTGGGCCATCCAAGAAGTATGTTAAGAGAGCTGGTACAGACCCACCTCTGAGTAGAGCAGGAAGCGTGGGACAGATGCTGGTCACACCAGGGCCCCTAGGCGCCTACCTTTCATTTCTAATCTCGTGGAGTGTGGTAGGAAGCACATGGGACTTAGCTAGGTGTTCTTGGCCAAGCAACAACCTCTCCAAAGCCAATTTTACTTCTGCAAAAGTGGAGCAATCTCAAGGGTCAAAATGGGGGACAGAATGTAGAAACATTCTATAAACTTTGCATATCTAATGGAACCCAGCATGGATACTCTTTACTAAGAATTTGCCTCTGTGATTAGGTAAATTTTAATTTTCTCCCAACAGTGCCCTAACCGGCGAAATGAAAATGCTAACTATATTTTAGAAAAGTTTTAATTTGAACAACTTATGATTAAAAATACATTTTATAAATAATTTTTCCATAGACTTGATTGAGGATTGTTGCAAACTTTACAAAAAGATACACTGCAACAACAGATTAAAGAAATTACAAAAAATATAGCTATACCCCTATTTAAAAATACAACATTATACATCACACAGCATTTTCTTTGTGCAAAATGTTTAAGGGAATGCTGTGTTAGGCATGTCAAGCATATTTGCTTAGAGGGAAGTAAACTTTAATACAGTTACTTTGCATAATAGTATAGGCATAGCTAAAATAATGGATTTTTCCCCCTAGAAGTTAATATATCTTAGAGTTCAACATTTTACTTTTATTTTGTAGGATTGAAAGCTAAACTTAGCTTTATACAAATATATGTGTGTGTGTGTGTGTGTGTGTGTGTGTATATATATATATGTATGAAAACAACTATCTGATTTCACATTGAACAAATCCCCAACGTATTTACAGTATTTTCAGAGAATGTGTTCTCCAAATCAGTCTGTGTACATTTTCTCTATTAAACAACTCTTTAGAAAATTAAACTAAGCCAACATCTGTTGATTAATGGACATCCTCTGTTGAGACTTCCAGTTTTCGCTGTGGGACAAAGAGAGTTCCTAAGGAGGTTTTATTAGCACCCTCAAAATCCATGCAGGATGAGCTGGTTGGCTTGGTGGGTCCACCTGGGGTACGGAAGAAACTTTCGGCCACTAATTGTGACCCTTTGGGTGTCACAGGAACAGGCTGATTGGAAAGAGAAGAATGGACAAAAGAAGTCAACCACACACAGGTACATAGTCTTACCAGACTTGGAAGATTGGGCTGGATGAATGTATTGCACATTGGGAAACTGGCGTATCTTGAAATTGGCGAGGGAAGCTTTGGTGAGTTTTACATTCTCAATTATTTTTGTTAGGGGAGAGACAAAAATCTCATGATAACCCAACAATATGGATGCCTTGGACACTCTTCCTGGGTTCTGGAAGAAACATAGGCCTTCAATCTCCTGACTTTCCCATCCTTTCCCTCTCCAAAGAGGAAAAGCAAAAGCCAATCTCTTATGACACAGATACTTGGGGCTTAGTAATTCCAGGAAAAATTAAATTAAGTAGAAAGCCTCTCACCTGTTGTGCCCCTGTCACAGCAACTGATTGTCCATTTGGCTGGCTCTGGCCTGGGACTGGTGAGTCATAGTTGGTGGCCCTTCCTTGCTGAGTGCCTGCATTTTCTGGTGCGACATTAACAGACTCTATTCTTGGAGACACAGGAACGATTCCAGACCCAGGGCTGGCAGACAACTGCACATTGGGTGAGATGAGTCCCAGGTGCTGCAGGGTGAAGTTTACAATGGCTGAGCTTGGGTTCTGGATGGGAACAGGGTGGCTTGAAGCGAGAGCCGGGCTGTTCCCGACAGGTACGGCTGCCACGGAAGTTGGTGAGACCATTAGCTTCAACGGTGTTACATGAAAAGAGGGAAAATTAACAGCAGTGAGTTCAGATGATGTCACTGGAATAACACCTGGAAGGAAAAGGGGGAAGATATCTTAAAAGCACAGGCATTTATCCAAGAAGTTGACAAGGCTTAAGTGAACTTGAGACCGGCCCACATCTGGTTAGTGTTTTATGTGCACTCACCTGCAATTGGGGAGCTGTAAATCCTGTGGTTTGGGGAAAGAGCACTTGAGTTTTCTTTACCAGACAAAATGGACTCTGCCCCCAGGGATGAGCACTGCGTGAGAGGGATTAGGTATCCTGATGGGAACAAGGTCTAGAAAACAAGGAGGAAGGGTTTATTTTACACACAAATACAGGAAGAAAAATGGCCACGTGCCTCTTTCAGGACTAATATCCCTTGGTGGTTGCCTCATTGGACCAAAGCCTCCAGCGGAGTGGGCTGCAGGCAGGCTGGTCACCTGGCTCCTAGAGGAGAATACCCTCCCACCCTTCCCAATGCTTGCCCCGAATAATGCAGAACATGTTTCTTAAATGCCACCTGTGGTCTTAGGACACCTTTGGATGATGGCACTGACCCTGCTTAGGGGTAAGGATTCATCCAGCACACCACTCTTAAACTGATAACTTAACTCTTGCTACTGGACTCCTTGGTATGATGTAGTAGTAATTGATTGTTCTTGAATTATGTAGAACGGTATTTCCCAAAGGGCATTCTGAGGGACCTGAGGTCCATGGGTTGCAAACAGGCATTACCTGATTCTTGGTCAAATATAATTGGAAAATACTGAATTAAACAAAGTCAAATGGTGTCTTTATTAGAGAATTTCCAAGAGATTTTAATGGTGGCATGCCTTAAAATTCTCCAAGTGGGGCACACAGCAGGTAGCATTTCCCAAACTATTTGGCAACTATATTTTCAGTAGGCAATTAAGGAGGACTAGTATTCTAAGGAAACACTTTAAATGACATTGATTTAGAGAAAGGGGGCTAAACTATTGGCCATGTGCCAATTCCCACTCCCTGCCTGTTTTTATAAATAAAGTTTCATTGGAACACAATCATACTCATTCATTTATGTACTGCCTATAGCAACTTTCCTGCTACAATGGCAGAGTTGACTAGGTGCAACAGAGCCCATATGGCCTTAAAACCCAAAAAATGTCTACTATCTGGCCCTTTAAAGAACGTTTGCTGGCCCCTGATTTAAAACAGAAATTATATAAGTAAAGATTTCTTTCTAGTACTGCTTGCTCTAATGATAACAAGCAGTCTTAAAATACGCAAAGTACACCAGAGTTAAAAAAATTACAAATAAGAGAACTGATTAATTCATATTAGAGACGCACATGCCATTGAGCAAAAGCTTTAGGCAATAAAGTTATATTGCAACTAGAAAAGGCCCAAGGGTAGGGTTGCATGTACCTCCCAACATGCCTATTAGATCACTGTACTTTCCCAAACAGAAAAAGTTTACACGGGTGCCTGAACTGCATGAAAAGTCTGCTTTAGCCTTACCATGAGCGGGACTGGCAAAAGCTAAAAACCGCTCTTATAAACTAGGGACCTCCTTTTTTCTTCCTTCAGACCTTTCTTCTCTCCATTGTCAAAACAAGTTTAATCTAGTTGTTAATAGGTCTTTTCCTTGGGAACCAGGAAATTCAGAATCCACAAAGCTAAAAGTATACTACAAGCTTTTAATTTTGTTTCTTAAGTACTTGGTCCCACTCAAAATCTCTACTAGTAGGTGCCTTGAAAACTGCAGGAAGAGAGAATTTTTAAGGGGCAAATTTAGGTGCTTTATGAAGACCTGCGCTCTATTAGCTTTAGTTATATTCTCTCATGGTACAAATTATTCTGACTGCTGGTTTAACTCTTTCAAGTCTTCAGTAAAACCCACAATAATAGAATAATAATTTTTAAATTTCCAACAAACTATATTCATTATAGAATCTTTTAACCTATGCCAATTCCCTTTTTTATAAAATAATTAGAACTATTAAATTGCCGAATGAATCTGACATATTTGAACTTGAACTCTTCTAGCCTACAGTAGCCCTTCCACCCCTTCCTCCTATCATGTCATCTTCATTCCTATCATTCACTACCTGATATGTTTGTGTTTACTTGCATACTTATCTTCTTTCCACCCCTAGAAGTATAAATTCTCAGTAAAAATTTGTTGAATGAATTAACACATGACTCTCTCATTGTCTTTGTTTTGCTCAGGCCATACTAAAACGAAATGGTTAAAGTGGGCTGGGCATGACGGCAAATGCCTGTGATCTCAGCACTTTGGGAAGCCAAGGCAGGCAGACTGCTTGAGCTCAGGAGTTCGAGACCAGGCTGAGCAACATGGTGAAACCCCGTCTCCACAAAAAATAAAAAATTAGCCGGGCATGGCAGCACACCTGTAGTCTAAGTTACTTGGGAGACTGAGGTGGGAGGATCACTTAAGCCTTGGAGGTCGAGGCTGCAGTGAGCTAAAATCATGCCACTGCACTCCATTCTGGGTGACAGAGTAAGACCCTGTCTCAAAAGAAAAAAGAAATGGTTAGAGTTGCAGAGATATAAAAAAGAAGCAGGAGTATATGGAAAATCTATCCACTGAAAATCCTAATCCTGAATAACTATGTAAGCAACAGGAGACCATTATTAAATCATACCCATTGGCCAAAAGAAGTTATGGACCTTCCAGAATATTGAAACCTTATGATTTCCCACTTGGCATATACATTAAATACAAAAGGATACTATGTAAGATAATAGATGTTTTGAATGGTTACCATGAGGCCATCCTCAGGGAAGATTTGACAAACTCTAAGCTTCCTCTTTAATAACAACGTAACAGATAATACCTTTCAGCTTATAACACGTCTTAAAAGGATCAAACCCTTTTATGTGTATCATCATGGAATAAATTCACTTAACCCCACAAAAACTATCATATGCCCACAGGCAAGTACCCAAAAGCAATTGCCACCAAAGGCAGGTGCTGGGTTAGATTTGATCCAGAGCACAGTGCTTTATATCCAGTAGGTGATGAGGAAAAACTGGTGGAATAAATTCTTTACCGATGCGGAAAAATAAGACAGAGAGAAGTAAAATAGCTTGTATTAAGAGCAGGGGCAAAATGAGAGATTAACTTTTACTTGCACATTTAGTGGTATTTATCGGATGATACAGTAATGTCTCTCATATATAATTGTCCTAAGGGAGGAAAATGAGATACTGTATGTAAAAGTGACTAATATCTATTATGTCTGCTATATGTGGGTAGGCATCCAATAAATATTAATTCCCTCCGGAACTAATCTCCACTTAGGAAAAAAATTTGTCTAGCATGTCAAAATCTCTAGAAACCAATACATGAACTATATCTACAATTTGCCAAGATCAGTTTGATTTTTCTATTTACATGAAATAGAAATTTTGATTTAAATTTTAGGTAGAAAGTAAAAACGGGGAGCAATTTATCTTCTAGGCAACAGATGCCAGTTACATGACAACAAACAAACATTAGGTAATGACTCAGAAAGCAGGAGTTACAGGAACCCTATGCATCCACACGTTCATTTGGGGTTACGTCTGCTTGTAAATTATTTAAGACTTTCATGACAGCTGTTTGCATTCCAGTGTGTGATGGAGAAATGGACTTAAGGACAACCACCCATGGTACTTTAAAAAGACAGCAAATAATCCCTTCCTCCAAAGGTTAAAAATGTCCCTGCCTTCATCCCAGCCAGGGGATTAGCTGTTGAGGGCCTCACTTGGATTATGGGATGCTAAGGAACAGTTCCTTGTCTTCTGAGAGAATGCTCTTCGGTAAATTTCACAAGCCACCAATCTTCCTGTAATAGACTAGGGAATTCCTAAAGCTTTGTGCAGTTCAAGGCTGTACTTACTGCGGAGACATTTTCAAGTCCTTTTAGGTCCTCTTTAAATTTCTTTTTGGAACCACTGTCCTCGAGCATGCTTGCCCTCTTTGAGCCTCTTTCTCCAGCTGGCTCCCTGGTTCGGCTCTTTGCCCCTTGCCTCTCTGGTGCTGGCAGCAAGCTTCCAGGCCTGGTAGAGGCACTGGCCTTTGAGGTATCATTGGCTGCCTTCTCAGTGGTGGCATCTGTGGAGTCTTTTGAGCCAGTAGCTTTAGAAGAGTGGGTGGTGCACACCGTTGGGCTCAGGCCTTGGGGTGGCGTCACACTTTGGTGGGCTTGAGTGGGCTGCAGGTAGATGGCATAGGATGGGCCTGAAGGGGCCTGAGGTAGGATCAGGGGCACTGCTGATGACAAGGGGCTGGGGATCAGGGGAACCATTCCCAGGGGCTGGATGAGGGACGGTGCTGTCAGCTCCATCTCAGCATTCACTGGGGGGTCCAGAGGGGCTACTGGTTTGCAGGGTCCAGATCTTGCCAGCTGTACTTTCACTTTCTGTCTGGATTCACTGAAAGACAAGATTTAATACACGACATGATGGATATACATTTTTTCTGAACTGTTCTACCGCTTTAAGCCTCATATTGAAGCCACGCTTTTATGGAACATGCAGATAATTTCTGTAATGAGTGAGTATGAGATACAGAAAAGATTAGCTCTCCAGTTCAAGGCTAGGGCTTCTTCTCACATAAAATAAGTAATCCTAACAATGTAATGTAAAAGTAATTCATCCTGTTATTAAAGAGGATTGCCAACCTACCTTGATTGCTCTTCTAACTGCATTTTACAAATAGCTGCGAGCTGAGCCATTTTACTTGGGAAGGGTGCAGAATTCTGAGAACTCTCAGCTGGTAAAATAGAAAGGAAGAGAGCACCGGTCAAAGCTAAAGAACAAATGTTCACACAGATGAAACCTCACTGAAGTCAGAGGAACAGAAAGTGTGCACCTCCCCTCAAAGTTGCATAGCGATTAAACAATAAACCCCACAAATGACTTTTTAAATTTATACATTAGTTAGGCTTCAAGAGGGTTTGGGTATATAGATATTGAAATAATTCTCTGACAACTATTGCAAGGATCAAGTAAGCTGAAAAAATGAGATAAAAGGGAATTCTTCCTAGCAGATCCCTGACATTCCTGAAAACATACCTTTGTTGGTCTTGATAGGGCTACTGGGCGCAGAATTTATCTTTCTCCGATCACTTTCTATACTCTTTACCAATTTGATAAGAGATGGGTGTCGAGTAAAGTTTGGTTTCCCACGTGTGGAAAAGAGGTTTTTGGCACAGTTCTCTTTTGAAGACCGTCTCACCTCCAAATCAGAGGGAGTAAAATGAATGACTGGGCTGGAGCCTGAAACAGAAAACGTCTGTGTATTAAAACCTGGATGGCTCAGTTGGCTTTTGGGATATGAAATAAAACAATTTTAGGAATAAAAGTGGCAAGTTACAGAGCACCGACCATGTGCCTGTCACTGTTCTAAGGGCTTTACAGAGAAAGCCTTGTTTATCTTATTAAATGGATTCTGAGACACAATATTTCCTACATTAGCATTTCTGAAACTGCACTATATCTTATAACCAGTGGTGTGCTAGAGTGTAGTTATTAGTGATTTTTCTTTCTTAGTGATATAGAAAGAATTGTGCATCTTACAATCAGTGAAGTCTTAGATCTGATGAAATATGGGTGATCCTCACAGCTCCATGAGGTAACTGTTCCTCAAGAAATGCAGCCCTGTGTCGGAGATGAGAGCTCTGACCCACACAGACATTAACCTACTGGCTCAAGGTCTCTCAACTGGGAGCATGTGGGCCTGGGATATGAACCTGGTCAATATGGCCCCGGAATTTTCACTCCAAATTCCTGCACGAAAGGACCTCTCTCTGAGATTATACCAAAATCACAGTAACTCCACTGAGGTGCCATTGTTCTTCCCATTTCACCAAGGAGAAAACTAATCCTCGAAGAAGTAGCTTGTCTCAGGCCGCAAAGCCAGAGTGGCAGGGCTTGGAATGGAACCTAAGTTTCCCTCTGTCTTCATGGCCCACGTTCTTGTCATTTTCAATGATTCTGGGTGGGGATCTTTGGTAGAATGCAAAATGTCAGCATCGCAGAGTTAAGATGAAGGCTAGAAATATCTACTTTGATACCAGAGTGAACTCATTTCATATTCTCAATGGGCACAGGTTCTGTTGTGGTCACTGTGCCGCATAGCAGCAATAGTGTTTTATGCTTTGTGGTGCTTTCAACTTTCCGAATGCTTTCACATACAGATTGTACTTCTTGAACACAGGGTGGGAGGTTGTTATGGATCTTGGTTAGCTGATGGAGCCAGTAGCCAAACTTTCTATATTGCCATTCATCTTGAATCATCTTTTCAATCATATATATCTTTTCCATGTGGGGCGGTGAGTAGGAAGGGGAAGGGAAAATATCTCCCAATGTGCATTAATTCAAAATAATAAAGCAGGATAAAGAAAATGTGGTACATATACACCATGGAATACTATGCAGCCATAAAAAGAAATGAGATCATGTCCTCTGTGGGACACGGATGGAGCTGGAAGCCATCATCCTCAGCAAACTAACATAGGAATAGAAAATCAAACACTGCATGTTCTCACTCGTAAGTGGGAGTTGAACAATGAGAACACATGGACACAGGGAGGGGAACAACACACACTGGAAATTAAAAATTAGAAAAACACACACACAAATAATAAAGCAGAGGGTGAAAGAAAAAAATACATACCACTGGTATTTGGACTGATTTCTGGGCCGGTCCATTTGAAAGCTGGTTTTCGGCCTCTTTCCTCTGTAACATGAACTTTCTTGATAAGATCCAGGCTACTCAGAACATTAGCTATATCATACAACCTCCTAATTTTTGCTGGGAAAAAAAGTATATATACCACTTAATGGAATAATGAAAAGATCAAAGAATTTTCCTTCAGAAGGACTTCATGTATATTCTAAGAGCTGTCTTAACCATCAATGTCAGACAGAGAAACATCTGCCTCCTTTTAAGTTCTTCTGGTGATACAACTTTAATTAAGATAAAAAAGTTTTAAATATTTAAAAGACTCAATTACTGCTAGTACTCAATGTTGAAATGACAATAGCATACGTTGACAAAGGAAAAACGACTTGATGAGATCACCCTATCTGAAACTATGTTACAGACTGTTTCAAAAATAAAGTCACCATTCCTGGGTATCTTCTAATGAGGATTCAGAAGAATTTTATGAGCAGAGAAGTAAAAGTATCTGTGATAAATGTCTTGCTTTTCTGCTTGTAATAGCTTATAACAAAATTTATTTACTATGGCAGCATGGAAAATTCTGTACTCCATCAACATGTGTAATTTTTTAATACTGTCTATGTAACATGCAAAACATAGATCTGTGAACTTGACAAACCTCACATATCTTAAAGAGTTTTGTTACAAAAAGTCTGTTTTTTACTGCCATCTTGATAGTACAAATTACAAATCGAGTCTCCTTCCTAGCCATATCAGAAGGTTCTGAATTCCCTGGGGATTCAGTAACTTACACCTCTGCAGTTCCTGGAATAGTTTTCAAGGCTATGACTAACCAGTGAAACAAAGATGAAAACTATCCGGTGACTCACAAAAGGCAAGTAACCCCTCAGTAGTATCAGGACGTGTTTTCTGAAATTGCAGATCTCCCGATCTCCCGAGCCAAGTGCTCCTCCCCATCCGCTGAGCACTTCTTTCCACACCCTTCCTGCAAAGTCTGGTGTAATGGTGAGGGCATAGCTCTTTTGTTAGGAATCCAATCTACAGTCCCTTCCCAATTTTGAGCAGGTAATCTAGCTAAAACCATTCTTTCAAAATGGCAGACTACCTGTGCTGCAGGTCACTTCTGGGGACAATTTTATGAGTCATTTATAAACCCTCTGTAATCAGCATCAGTGGAAGGAGACCAGGGTGCAGACCCACTTTACAATTTACTCTCATTTAGAGCTCACACAGAACAGATTCTTCTAGTGTTTCCTTTTTTTTGAGACAGAGTCTTGCTCTGTCCCCCAGGCTGGAGTGCAGTGGCGCGATCTCGGCTCACTGCAAGCGCCGCCTCCCAGGTTCACGCCATTCTCCTGCCTCAGCCTCCTGAGTAACTGGGACTACAGGTGCACGCCACCACGCCCGGCTAATTTTTTTGTATTTTTAGTAGAGACGGGGTTTCACTGTGTTAGCCAGGTTGGTCTGGATCTCCTGACCTCATGATCCGCCCTCCTCGGCCTCCCAAAGTGCTGAGATTACAGGCTTCAGCCACCGCGCCTGGCCGTGTTTACTTTTGAGAACAATGTTACAATATCAAATGAAGCAATGTGTCAAATAAGAGTAGTGATACTTGGCCAGGCGCAGTGGCTCAGGCCTGTAATTTTGGGAGGCCTCCCAAAATTTGGGAGGCCGAGGTGGGTGGATCACGAGGTCAAGAGATCGAGATCCTCCTGGCCAACATGGTGAAACCCCGTCTCCACTAAAAATATAAAAATTAGCCGGGTGTGGTGGCGCGCAACTGTAATCCCAGCTACTCCGGAGACTGAGGCAGGAGAATTGCTGGAACCCGGGAGGCAGATGTTGCAGTGAGCCTAGATCTCGCCACTGCACTCCAGCCTAGCAAAAGAGCTAGACTCCGTCTAAAAAAAAAAAAAAAAAAAAAGAGTAGTGATACTTATGTATCATAACAAGTTAGCTAAATCAATATTATCATGGCTTCTGGGGAGAAGATATAAAAACATAATTAGAGAAGATCTGTTTATGCACCTATGTTTCCTAATTTGGAAATGAGTTTACGACTGAGATTTTATTGTTTAAGAATAGGTTCAAAAATCCATGGCAGTCATGACACTTACTTTTAAACTTGCTTTTATCCAAATCTTCCACATGGTCCTCCCCAATTAAAATCTTGGCAGCAACTTCTAGGCTTACTATCTGAGGCGTTGACACCAAAAACAGCATCACAAATTTCTGGCTCATTACCCTTAAAGACTTGTCTTTGCGGCTGTTTACAGAAGCTTTAGAGAAGGATGAGGATTAGAGAATTAAAATTCATAAAGGGACAAGTGACTTCTAAAGTAACAAGGCTAAAAATACTACCACCTGATCATACAGCTGACAACTGTGGCATCTGAACATTAAAGGCAGCAGTAGCTTTAGAGCTGTGTTCTCCACAGAACCTTTTCCTTAGACAGAGGACAAATGCCATGCCGCCTGGAGTTTTCACTACCATCTCTCACCTGCCCGAAATTCCACTCCAGGGAGTTCCACAAAACACATGTCTGGGTGTCCATTTGGGCCAGTGTTTGATTTGATGATATGATCCTCTATACTGTAACTCTTAATAAAGTCAAACTCTTGCTCATATTCTTTCTTTTTGATCATCATAATCTGCTCGGCGTACTTATTCTCCTCCCCGATGCTCTTCAAGGTGCCAAGGGTTTTGTTGAGATTGTGTCGCCCGTGCCAAGTGTACCTGTTTTTGGCGAGGCGGCTCACCATATGTAAACTCTCTAGGACGTTCACGATATCGTAAATGCGTCGACGTTCAACATCTACAAAGAATGTGCAATTGTGTGTTACAGATTTTTGTAACGTGTTTAGAATTGAATAGCTTTTTCTTCCATTGGTTTATTAGTCAGTAGGTCTTGGATAATATCACTTTCCTAACTGTAAGTGAACATACTCAACAAATACTGTGAAGGTGAGAAAGACATGTGCTTGCTT
The DNA here is from genome assembly GCF_000001405.40 of Homo sapiens. Taxonomy (NCBI): domain Eukaryota; kingdom Metazoa; phylum Chordata; class Mammalia; order Primates; family Hominidae; genus Homo; species Homo sapiens. Next base: position 19,235,231 of record NC_000011.10, read on the forward strand.
TCCAAGGGCACAAATCATATGAATTAGAAAGGCAACATTTAATGAGGGCCTAAGTTGTGCTACACAGCTTTAGGAAGTTTTCACCCTAAACTTGTGAAGTAGGTATTATGATCTGCACTTTAAAAAGGATGAGAAAGGCCGGGTGCGGTGGCTCACACCTGTAATCCCAGCACCTTGGGAGGCCGAGGAGGGCGGATCACGAGGTCAGGAGATGGAGACCATCCTGGCTAACATGGTGAAACCCAGTCTCTACTAAAAATACAAAAAAATTAGCCGGGTGTGGTGGCGGGTGCCTGTAGTCCCAGCTACTCAGGAGGCTGAGGCAGGAGAATGGTGTGAACCCGGGAGGCGGAGCTTGCAGTGAGCCTAGATCGCGCCACAGCACTCCAGCCTGGGCGAAAGAGCGAGACTCCGTCTCAAAAACAAACAAACAAACAAAAAAAAAAAACGATGAGAAAACAGAGGCTCAGACCAGCTAAGTAGCTCACCCCAAAAGAGCTAGCAAGTAGCAAACCAAGTCTTTAAAACTCTACATCTCACACCTTCCAACCGCTTCCAATACAAACACGTACACACACGCCCATCTGTAATGATCATAAGATAGAAACAAAATGCTGAGATTTCAGAAAAGTACAAAAACCATGATGTAGTTTTTAAAAACTTACATAAAAATAAAATATGCCTTTTTGGGTCTAATTTTGCTTACTTTCTAGCTATCATTAACAATATGATATTAGTAATTCTGTGACTCTATCTATTTAAATTGGGTTTTCAATATTCTGTAATGTTAGAATTCTCTTCGTTCAAGAAACTTAATTTCAATTTAAATATTTGATGAGATCAGCCTTTCTGGAAAAGTGATCAATAAAACACTATTTTAATAAGGGTGCATCCTACCGACCTCTTGCTGTCCCTGGAACCTGCCAGATATGCACTTGCTTTGTACCGGCTGTTCCTTCTGCCTGGAACCCTTCTCCCTGATGTCCTTACAGCTCCCTACCTTGCTTCTTTCAAGTCCTTGCCCAGATGTCACCTTCTCAACGAAGCCTGATCTGACCACTTATGGCAAAGCACCTCCCCAGCACTCCTGATCCCTTGATCCTGATCTACAATTTATTTTTTCCACTATGCATGTTACCTTCTAGCATGTATTATCCTTACTTACTTCCTATATCCTTTACTCAGTATCTATTGCCCCACTAGAATATAGGTTCTAAGAGAGAAGAGATTTTGCCCTTTTTGTTTACGGATGTATCCCAGGCTCCTACAACATTGCCTGACACATAGTAGTAGAAGATTAATAGATATTTGCTGAATATCCTACCCAGCTACCATTAAGCATATATGAAAAGTAGATGAATCTAAACGGTATATTCTTAAAATGTGAAATAAAGTTGATATTTACAAACATGTATTAGAAGGGCAACTTTTCTTCACGGGGTGATTGCTTTGTATTAAAATGTATTATCTTGCACAGCACATCACTTCACAGGTTTAAATTAAGATACCCACATGACTCCAAAGGTACCCCAAATTCACCACGGGCCCCTTTTTAGCTCCAAATAGATTCAGGTCTTTGAACAGAGTAAAAAGGGGCAGGAGGAATAACTTGTGCCCAACACAAAACATTCAGAAAACTAGTCCTCAGAATAGTGCTGAAGGTCCAGGAGTGCACAGGTCCTGTTCCCACTCACAGAAGCTGATCCTCAGCGTCAACTAGGAAGATAACCATTTATCAGCCTGATTCTTCAAGAACAGCAAGGGAGAGCAATGAAGCAAAAGTTCACAGTTGTAACTTTGTGAAACAAGTCATGAGACAATATTGCCTTTCTTTAAAGCTTCAGAGACAACTGTAGTCAGAAGCAACCTCCATTGTGACTTTTCTGCCTCCAAGATTTGCTGAAATTTGCAACTACTTACCTTCATTCTTATATTAGAAGAGGGCTTTAGAGATAGAAAATTTCCATGCCGGCTTATTTGTGTCATTTACAAACACTGGCTAGATGAGCGGGGGTCTGAAGGAGTTAAGTCCATAAAGCCACTTTAATTATTAATTCTTTCAGTGAGTTCTTTGCATACTTACTAAGTTCCTCTGCCACTTCGTCAAGGCAGATGTCATTATTCACAGCAGGGTTGGGATAATTAGGATATCGTGCTAAGAACTTATGACACAATAATCCTAAACTTTTCTCTTTTCGACTTGGTTGGGATTTCTCAAATTCATCTCCAGATAAGTGTTCCTACAAAGGAAAAGGTAAACAATGTCTTATTCTAAAATAAAGTCTGACAGATTTATTAGGGGCATCTGTGCTCGATGACTGACACCAACTTACACACGCTTAGCTTCAACAGCTGCAAAGTCTGGATGGGAGAAAAGGTTAGGGGGGCCAGTACAAAATGCTTGGCAAACCTGAAAGGAAAGCCTGAAACGAAAATAACGCAAAGGTTCAGAATTCCCAGAGCTATATTTCTTGGGGTCCAAACCTTTCTGGTGCTCCGAAGGAAGTTAATAACAGCCTTCGGGTGGTGATGCTTTAAATTGCTGGCACTTCTCTAATAGCTACAACCTCCCCCCTCCCCCCAACAAATTCCCCAGCCTCCAACCAGTCCTCTGAAAACCTACGTGTATACAGTCTTTGGCCTCAGGTAATCCACTTCTGTTGTCAAACAAACCCCTTTTCTGATCTCTGTTGCGGATCTCAGGGCTCACAGCACTGATGAGCATTTTCAGGTTGGCTGTCGGTGTCCACGGCTCTCCCTGAGAGCCTTCCTTGGGCTTGGTAGGTGTGGTTAAAGGGCCAAAGTCAGGCTGGATCTCTGCCAACACGATATTTGCTGTGGTGGATTCTTTCAGAGGTGTTTTCATTAGTCCCCTTTTATGTGGCTCACAAAAGAGATTTTCCTGGTTTAAAAAATGTAAATAATTAAATCCATGGTAAAACAGGATTTATCAGACAGCTTGGATTCTAGAAATTGCATAACGAATAGAATCATGCCAAGGAAAAAATGTCTAATGAGATTGTAGAGTTGAGGAAATTAATAACTGTATTCTAATGGTCATGTGATGTGTATTGTCAATTCTAATAATTACATTTCCCATTTTTAATTTTGCAATAAGCCATAAATGTTTTCACCTTATGTTTCAACCACTGAAAAAACAACTTTAGTTAGGACTTATAATTTTAATTGTATTTTGAAATAGTTTTAGATTTAGAGAAGAGAAGCAAAGACAGTATAGAGTTCCCAAATGCCCTTCACTCAGCTTCCCCTAATTGGACTGACAATGTTAAATGATCAAACTTCTAGAAATGACTTTTGTTTACTCATGGCACTGTAATAAGTAAAGGCCTACAGGGCAGAAATTCTTATCCACCTAGCATAATGGCTGCATGCAGTGGGTGCTAAATAAAATACCACTGAAGAGTCAGAGAGACAAGGAGACAAGAGTGAGGGATAGCATATGGTCAGATTTATCAGGGAAATCTAGAGTGTCCAACAGCAGGATTTCTGACCAGAAAAGTCTGCTCTTTGAACATCCACTCCCTCATTTTACAGATAGAGAAAATGGGGCCCAGAGAAGTAAAATGATTAGGTTGGTGCAAAAGTAATTGTGGCTTTTGCTACTGAAAGTAATGGCAAAAACAGCAATTATGTTTGCATCAACCTAACAGCTACCTAAGACCACAAAGCTAGATCCTGGCAGAAGCAGGATAGCCACTGAGACAAAAGGGTAAATTAACAGCAGTTCATAAATAAGGCTAATGGAGACTATGTTCCTTCCAGTTTTGGACACCAGGGACTTCACACACTACTCCCATCTTTATCTATTTTAAAGAAAATGCTTGGAACAGCAATAAGTAAAATAATAGGCAGACCAAATAACTTTAAGAACATGGACAAATGGGACATGTTGTGACATCTTGGGTTTATCAAGTGCATTTCCGTTTGTATGTTCATGGAATCCTGCATTCTTAGCTCGCAGAAGAGAAGATGCAGGCTGAGAGAGGTCACGTAGGAGTGGAACACAGATATTTTCACTCCAAGTATGGTGCTCTTCTTACATGGAAGTCAGTATGGTGGACCCAACAGGAGCTCCTTGCCAGTGTGTGCATCTGAGATGTACTGATCTGACAATAGGCTTTTTCTTTGCCTCAGATTATCAGAAGCAATAGTAATTCTCTTATTTGACTAACATCTAAAACTATTAGGAAATATGCATGTAAGTTCACTTTTTTAAACCTATTAGTAGTTGGACACCCCCCACAGACAATTCTTTTGTAATTTTACAAAATGTTTGCCCCCTAAACAGAGCATTTTGCAGACCCCATAAATAAGCTGCCAATTTGGTAAAAAATTATCTTAAAAAGAAATTCAGTCTCCAAACATGTCAAATGCCCTTTCTGAATTCCAAGTTGTTCAAGAATCCTCAGAAATGTTGTAATGAAACTAACGAATTTTTGAAGAGGGGTAGGTTTGCCCCTTTACACTCTTTCTAGTTTTTAATGATTTGGTAGCTGTCTCAGACATAAAGAGAGAAAAGGTATTTTTAAGAATAATAAAATTTGTTAGTTTCATTACAACATTTCTGAGGATTCTTGAACAACTGGAATTCAGAAAGGGCATTTGACATGATTGGAGACTGAATTTCTTTTTAAGATAATTTTCATTTTTTAAACTATATTAATTAAATTAGTATATATTTTAAACTATATATTTTTGAAACTATAAGATAAGGTTCATTTTTTCCAGGTCTTTACAGAGGCTAACCAAGGTTGTGGCATTAAGAAAACACATTGGATAGGGAAAAATTATGGAGTTAAATCAGGATGATACTGAATTTAAAATTGCAATGATGAATACTGAAGTTATAAAGTACCTTTTCGTTCTCCATTCTGTAAATTCCTCATACATTTAGAGTTTAAAAATGAAAAATCTGGAGTTCCTCCCCAAATCCCGATGGTTCAAGTAGTCCAATCAATTGTACTAAAAGTTTTAATATCCTTAAAGAAAAAAGGAAATAGAAAAAGTTAGAGAAAAACAAGAACCAAAAGATCTGTTGAAAATTCCTTCACGGACAAGAGGCTACGGAAACAAAGCCTAACGAAAAATGACAAACTAGATTTACATTTTATTCTCGACCAGAGATCGCCCCACTGAGCGGAGAACGCCAACAAATGCCAGTAAATTCCTTCAGCAAACGGATCGGCGGTCCTAAGACTTCAAGCAACCCACGGAATTTCTAGTGACAGCCCTCTCCCATCTGTAGAAAAGGCGAGCCATTCTCCGGACCCCAGCGAATACTTTAGGAAGCACCCACCTGTTCGCAGATCAGGGCTCCGGACTAAGCGCACGAGCCCAGGTCCCAGCTGAGCGCACGCGACCCCAAGTAACTGGGTACAAGTCTGCATCTAGATGCCTGGATTTCTCCCCTTACACACACGTGCACAGGCTCAGCAGTAAAGTCGTGGGAGGTCGCTTGACAGGAAAGTTCCAAATTCAGTCCCAAAGCTCCAAGTATGCAGTTGGGCATTTAAAGAGTCTTATAATTAAGACTTTTTTTTTAAATTTAAAAAAGGGCTTCCTTAAAGATACAAAGCACTATTTACTCCCTGTTCGGGTGGCCAGTTCACACCACGGCGTTAGACTCCACCTTGGAAGGCTGTATTTGCCCAATAAGGCAAGCAGGTACTGTCCCCCGGCCGCCACTCGCTCAGTGCACTTCCCCCAACTTTCGGCCAAAGGCCCCTCCCCCAGGCCCTGTCCGCCCGCCGCAGTCCCGACAGTTCCCGGACAGCATCATCGTGGTTTCCAGGACAACAATTCCCGACCAATCAGAGGGCCGGAAGCGGGCCTGCGATTGGCCGACGGCGCCAGGGGCGGGGCCGGACCTTCCGCCTTCGATTTAAAAATTTGGCGCGGAAAGTCGGACCGTGGCCGGCGCCTCCCCTTAGCTGCGCGGGGCCTGAGCGCGGGCAAACCCGCGCCCGGAACCACGGCAACCCCGCCCCTCCCCCTCGTTCGCCCCCGCCCCTCTGCGCGGGAGCTCAGCTCCTCCCTCACGGCCCCCGGCGAAGCGGGAGGCGGGAAACGGCCGCCGCCGCCGCCGCCGCCACCCTCCCGAGCCCTCTCCCGGTGCCGTGTCGCCCGGGCGCCGCGCCCCTCTGCGTCCCGCTGACCTGTCAGTCCACCTCACGGCGGGAGCCGGCGGGGGCTGAGCCGGGACTCGTCAGCACCGCTGCCCCTCTCAGGCCCGGGAGCCCGCGTACCTGGCAGTCAGTCTTTCCGCAGCGCCGAGGTGGGTGCCGGAGAGAGACGCCGGGACCGGGACTGGCGGGCCGGCTGGCGGGCAGAGGGAGCGTGACCGTCCAGGAGCAGCCAAGCCCCCGATTTGAAATTAACCCGCTCCCGGCGCGAGCCGATACCGCGGGCGGGGAGGGCCGCTCCCCTCCCCCACGCCCGCTCGCCCCGGCCCCGGCCCCCGAGCGCCAATCCGAGCCTCCCGACCGTAGCCGCCGGCGAATCGGTGCAGGCACCGCCCTCCACTCCCGCCTCTACGGCAGAGTTGGGGGAAAAGTTCAGCAACTTTTTTTTCCTTTTTTTTTTTTTTTGCATACACCCCCTCCCCTTGCTCAAAGTTGGGGAATAAAATTTGGCCCGTCCGGGGCTCGCGGGCTGGGCCGCAGGCGCCCTGCGATTCCCCGCTTGGGGCTATCTCACCCCTGCCCAGCCCCAGGCCGGCTCACCTGCCCTCGGACTCCAGCCGGACCTCTCCCCCTTGCACCCCTGGCATGCATGATTGTGCTGCCCACCGTCTGCCCCGTGCCTCGCAGAAACTGGCGCGAGGAGGGAGAAGCTTGGCTACTGGTGCCTAAGCTCCGTGGGCTCTGGGCCTTGGCCCAGCGGTGAGAACTCAGGTGTAGGAGGAAGAGGAGGAAGGCGGAAAACCCTCCAACCCTGTCCTCGCCGTCTTTCCTCAGGGTCTCCCACCCACTCCTCCCTTTCTCTTCCCTGTTGTCTTTCCCTCTTTTTCCGGTCTCCGAGCCTCAGGCAGCTTTAGCCTGGTTCCCTGTAGAGCCCTAGCAGGGTCGGGGAGACACTTCGATCCTTCGTCCTCACTTTGCAGAACGGGACACCGAGGCCCGGGGCGGCGGCGCTGCCTCGGCTGCACCTGGATCATTTGCGCCCGCGTTGGCTCCCTTTGCTCTCCTCTGCCTTAGACTTTTCTGCGGACTGGTGCTGAGTGTTGCCCAACCGCGCCGAGATCTGGGCGCCGGTCTCTCGATCTGGACTCGGTTTGGCTCGTCCTCCTCTGTAATCGCGTGTCTTTAGGCTCCAGCAGGGCCCGGGGCCACACTTCCCCACTCCCACCGCTAACTTGGGGATCAGTGACTCTCCCATTGCTGACTAGCAGGGCGAGGCATTTTTATTTTCTGCGAAACGCGATGAGGGCGGGGATGCTATGATATTGAGGCTGGGGTCGCAGCGCAGCAGCTGCCGGCCATAGGGCCAGGGGTCTCCGTGGCGAGCGAAGGCTCATCTCCCCGCGGAACGCGACCGCAGGCTTGCGGTGTGGCCGCCCTGGAATGTTGGCGCCGTCGTGTCCCTGTCCCCCTTTCGTCGCCAGCTGAGGTGCAGGTCTTGCTCAAGAAGGCGCTTCGACCTGAAAGCAGGCCTTTCAGGTACTGTGCAGAGGGGCCACTGCCTGTGGCTCGCAGATTTGAAATAAAGCAGAGGTCACTATATAGGGTTCCACCGTTGCTAGCACTGAGCGGCTGGTTCTTACTAAGCCCAGGTACCCCTTTTTTGGAGCAAGACTGGGTTCTAAATGTATCAACAAAAAGTGGGGAGTTGGTGCTTCTGCTTTAGCCACTAGCTGTTGGCCAGATTGTCATCTCCCCCAACCCCCTGAATGGTCAGCGCTCCCAAGAGTGCATAGATTCAGCTATGCCTAATGTACCCGAAGTTATTACAGCCCCGGAGTCCTGTGGGCCATAAATCCCTTTTAAAGTTCTTTAGAAGCAGTCTGCCTCATGCACCTGTGTTCAGAGATAGTGACTAATTCGTTCAAATCTGTGATCTACAGGGCCATTCATGCTGCAGATGTCTGAGTGACAGTTACCTGTAAGGCACATCATGCAGGGAGCAGCCACCTCTGGTGACACTTGACAGATGGCCTCTCATTTCATACTCAGCACAGGTGTGAAAGCATGGGTTATGACTCTGAGAGGGAAGCAGCATTTTAAAGTGACAAACCCAAGGTCTAACTGTAAGGGACAGGACTGGGATTTGAAGCCAAGGGTGTTTAACGTCTCAGGGCTTTCCACTGAAAGCTGTGTTCACCACTGTGCGGCGTGCTCATCCTTACTTGCTTCATAGGATAGTTGTGTCCCATTTTATAGAGAAGAAAACTGAGGCACAAAAGGGTTAAACTGATGGCCAAGTTAGCTACAGAGCCAGAATTAGAATCCAGGTCTACCTGCTCCAAGTTCATACATCCCATTCCACTGCCTCTGAAAGTTCCTGTGAGAGCAATGTTAGTGCCAACTCAGGCTAGCCCTTAACCATTTCAACCCCTCCCTAAACACACAAAAAAACAGGAAGGTGAGAGTGTAATTCTTGCTTACTGATAGTTGTCATGTCTTACTGAAGGAAGTGAAATTATAGTCAAACTCATTGAATATGTTGAAAAGTGGTTTTATTAAGAGTGAAGTGATACAGTTTTGAAGTCTTAACAACACTTTCATGTAATGAAAGGTAATAAAGAAAGAAAGGTTCTACTCATCACTGTGTAGAGTATCAATTTGAAATGCAGCATGAGTGTAAAGGAGGGAAAAGACTACTGAAAACTTTTATGTTTACTGCATAACCAAGAAGGAAGGATCAGGGCATAAGCTTGAAACTTTTTTTTTTTTTTAATTTTCCCATCAAATATGTTTTCCACTTATTAGTTACATAATCCAAGGGAATATTTGTGTATTTGTTTCTGGTCTTTTGTTCATCATGTTGTGTAATCTGTGTCTCACTGAAGTTAGACCAGTTTTTCTACTCTGTGCTGTCGCCCTTCTGGATTGCACAACTTGGAGGGCTGATACGTTGTGTAACACGTTCAGCATTAAATAAAGTATTATGAAAAAAGATATCAAAGGTAAGGAGGAAAGATAGGCATCACCGGGGCGCCTACATTCAAAGGTAACATTTGGGATTTCTGAAGCGTGTCCCTTTTCATCATCACCAAAAAGACAGGCAAGACCTTCCCCTGCTGAGCAGGGAAGGATGAAGGGCTAAGGAAGGAGTTCTAGCTAATGGGTTTCTTGACCTTTTCTGTCTGTCTTGCTGCCCCACCTCCTAGGTGCTTATATCACCAACTCTGCTTCCTGACCTAGTGGGGCAATTTGGGTTTGTGCTTTATCTGCAGTACGTGTTGGCATAGATACCACGAAACAGCTCTCTGGAGCTTAAAACTGCACAAATCCCTATGTGCTGGGTTGGATTGTGGCTGCTCACAGCTAGATCTCAGCTATTCCTGGTCCTTGTACTAAGCCTACAAATGAATCATGCTGGGTCTAGTCTGGGCAGGGTTAAAGAGGATGGATACAAGCAAGGGACCCAGGAAGTGGGCATGCCTGGAGCTGGCTTGTGCTGACTGTGGAGCTAGACTAGGTCAGAGTAAGTCCCAGGCAGCAGCAGGGCTGTGTGTGAAATCCCTTCAGACTCTCCTGTGACCTCCTGTGGGAAATTCCTGATAGGCCCTGATGTATCCTGATGAGCCCCATATAGACATTTGCAGCCCTGGACTCAGCTGCAGCAGCAACAGTTGCTGCCATTTATTGAGCAATTACTGCTTCTAATTTCTTTTTTTGTTGTTTTTTTTTGAGACAGAGTCTTGTTCTGTCACCCAGGCTGGAGTGCAGTGGTGTGATCTCGGCTCACTGCAACCTCTGCCTCCTGGGTTCAAGCAATTCTCCTGCCTCAGTCTCTCAAGTAACTGGGACTACAGGTGCGCGCCACCACGCCCAGCTAATTTTTGTATTTTTAGTAGAGATGGGGTTTCACCATATTGGCCAGGCTGGTCGCGAACTCCTGACCTCATGATCTGGCCACCTCAGCCTCCCAAAGTGCTAGGATTACAGGCATGAGCCACTGCGCCCAGCCAGCTTCTAAATTTTAAAAATACTTTGGGGATAATAGAACACAAATTTTTCTGAGAGTCCTCATGCGAAGCTGGAGTCTGAGTTCTGTTCTCATTTTATTATTGCGCATGGAATCTTAAAATTGTCATAATGTCATGTAATCCAGTGCTTATCAGTGGGTTGGAAAAACCTGCTTTTCCAGGTTCTAGGACATTAAAGAAGTATATGTAGAGATTCCTAGGAGTAGGGTTCAGGAATTTATTACCTAAAATATAGTCCTACTGGAGCCAGGCGCTGTGGCTCATGCTTATAATCCCAGCCCTTTGGGAGGCCAAGGCGGGTGGATCACTTGAGGTCAAGAGTTTGAGACCAGCCTGGCCACATGGTGAAACACCGTCTGTACTAAAAATACAAAAATTAGCTGGGCGTGCTGGTGGGGCCTGTAATTCCGGCTACTTGGGAGGCTGAGGCAGGAGAATTGCTTGAACCCGGGTGGTGGAGGTTGCAGTGAGCCAAGATTGCACCACTGCACTCCAGCATGGGCCATTAAGCAAGACTCTGTCTTAAAAAAAAAAAAAAAACAAAAGTCCCATTCAATGCAGGAATCCTATAACCTTCCTGATCAATCAATGATTGCTGCTCTTTGCTTAAAGCTGGTAGTGAAAGGTAACTGTGCTGATCCCCTCCAGGCAGATTTATTCACATCCTGTTCTTGATCATACCCCTATATAGGCACCTCTGTTATGGATGCTTCCCACCTACACCACTGTGCGCTCCTTAAGGCAGGGAGAGGGACTTCTTCATCTCTTGGTCTTTCCAGTGCCCAGCAAAGTGCCGGACCCAGAGCAGGGGCTTGATAGGTGTTGGTTGATGGAGTAAAATTCTACTCTGGAATGTTATCCCACCAACCTCAGATGATACCTTGTCTTTTAATCTCTTTATCTTCAGTACTGAGTTCAATGCCTGGCACACACTTGGTGTTCCATAATGCTAGGAAAATGAGCTCGTAATTACCACTCCCTTTTAAATGTCAGGTTTTTTACTTTAGCTAGGTTCTTCGGTTTTATTTATTTACTCACTGAAAAATAGTATACTGAGTGCTATACTATGCCCCTAAACCCTGAATTAGGTGCTAGGTATACACAGTGAGTGAAAGAGATAAAGTCCTTGCCCTTTTGGAGTTTATATTCAAGCAGTAGAAAGTGTCTGGTGCAAAGTGTTAGCTTTTATTGTATTTTTTTTTTCCTGTGTGAGATTTCTCGCCATTCCTCAATTCAACAAATATGCCTTTTTTATTTTTTTTTTAAAAATAAATGTTCTATCTCTATAGTACTTTTTAAAAGTTTCTGTAGATATTTTTCTTCCCTAGGAACCCAAGTTTTCTTCTCTTCTCCTTTCATCCCATATGTATGGATCACTTGCTCCAAGCCTAGGGACTCAGCTAGGCACCAGCTACAGGACATGTTGGCTGCCCTTGGGATCCCAGCAACAAAGCCAACTCTTCACTTACTCCCACTCCCCCTCTCTCTTTCTCCCTCTTCTGCAGAGATGTGGACTGCATCTGGACAAATTGTCTGCTTCTCTGAGTTCTTCAAGATTGTGGCCTCTTAGTCACGGGAGGATGCCCTGTTTCTCTTGGAATGATACTGAAGTTGGCATAAGTGGGTTCCTTACACCTCAGTGGCCCTCAGTCATTGTGAATTCAGGCACTGAGAAGACAGAGCAGGCTCTTGATCAGCTGTGTCAGGCTGGGGGCATCCCCCATATAAGGTTCTAAACAGTCACCAAACATTCTAATAATCCACTCCTCCCTGAAATCTGAAATCTGCCTGATTTCTTCCAACTTCTTGGCACTAATGAATACCCCTTAAAGTTACGGTTTTCAGGATATGATTTGACCTAATATGCTTCATGATATCCAGATATATTATGGTAGAGTTTTATTGCTCATTGAACTGCTTTATTGTACAATACAGAGACAGAATAGGACCTACACAGATTAATTTTGTTGACAAAACAACTTATTTTCCAAAAGAATTAGATAGCTCTCCTCTAAGCCTTAATCAAAAATGTTTAGACTGGGTGTAGTGGCTCACGCCTGTAATCCCAGCACTTTGGGAAGCAGAGGTGGGCAGATCACGAGGTCAGGAGATTGAGACCATCCTGGCTAACACGGTGAAACCCCGTCTCCACTAAAAACACAAAAAATTAGCAGGGCGTGGTGGTGGGTGCCTGTAGTCCCAGCTACTTGGGAGGCTGAGGCAGGAGAATGGTGTGAACCTGGGAGGCAGAGGTTGCAGTGAGCCAAGATTGTGCCACTGCACTCCAGCCTGGGCGACAGAGTGAGACTCCATCTCAAAAAAAAAAAAAAAAAGCTTAATAAAAGCTCACAACAGTTATCAATATGGAAATTGACTAGAGTATATTAATCCACGTGTGGTTATAGTTATTAATGAATTGCATTTGAGTTTGCCCGCAAAATATATAGTTCTATATACTCTTTTACGATAGTGCTAACATGGAACATAGTCCATGATTGATTATATGCTCGGCCATAAAGCGAGTCTCCATAAATTAAAAAAAAAAAAATCAAAACCATACCAGCCATACTCTCAGCCACAGCAGAATAAAAATAAAAATCAATACCAAGATGATCTTTCAGAAACCACACAATAACATGGAAATTAAACGACTTAGTCCTGAATGAGTTTTGGGTAAACAACGAAATTATGGCAGAAATTTAAAAATCTCTTGGAAATACATGAAAACAGAGATACAACATACCAAAATCTCTGGGTTGCAGCAAAAGCACTGTTAAGAAGAAAGGTTACAGCACTGAGTGCCTACCTCAAAAAGTTAGAAAGATCTCAAATTAATGATCTAATGTCACACCTAGAAGAACCAGAAAAATAAGAACAAATGAATCTCAAAGTTAGCAGAAGAAGAGAAATAATTAAAATCAAAGTGGAACTGAATGAAATTGAGGCCCCAAATCCATACAAAGAATTAACAAAAACCAAGTTGGTTATTTGAAAGGATAAACAAGATCAGTAGACCACTAGCTAGATTAACAAAGAAAGAAGATCCAAATAAGCACAATCAGAAACAACAAAGGTGACGCTATGCCTGATCTCACATAAATACAAAAGATCCTCAGAGACTACTGTGAATATACCTCTATGCACACAAACTAGAAAATCTACAGGAAATGGATAAATTCCTGGAAATACACAGTCTCCCAAGGTTGAATCAGGAAGGAATTGAAACACTGACCAGATCAATATTTAGTTCCAAAATTGAATTAGTAATAAAAAATCCTACCAATCATAAAAATCCTGGACCAGATGGATTCACAGCCTAATTCTACCAGACATACAAAGAAGAGTTGGTACCAGTTCTACTGAAACTATTCCTAAAATCAAGGTGGAGGGACTCTTCCCTAACTCATTCTACAAAGCCAGCATCACTCTGATACCAAAACCTGGTAAAGATACAACAAAAAAAGAGAACTACAGGCAAATATCCCTGATGAACATAGATGCAAAAATTCTCAACAAAATACTAGCAAACTGAATTCAACAGCACAGCAAAAAGTTGATTCACCATGAACAAGTAGACTTCATTCCTGGGATGCAAGATTGGTTCAACATATACAAATCAATAAATGTGACTCACCACATACGAAGAATTAAAAGCAAAAGTCATGTGATTATCTCAATAGACACAGAAAAAGCTTTTGATAAATCCAACATCCCTTCATGATAAAAACCATCAAGAAGCTAGGCCTCGAAGGAACATACATAAAAATAATAAGAGCCATCTATGACAAACCCATAGCCAACATCATGAAAACTGGAAGCATTCTTCTTGAGAACTGGAACAAGACAAGGATGCCATGCCCACTCTCACCACTCCTATTCAACATAGTACTAGAAGTGCTCGCCAGAACAATCAGGCAAGAGAAAGAAATAAAAGGCATCTGAATAGGAAAATAATAACTCAAACCATCTCTTCGTGGACTATATGATTCTATACCTAGAAAACCCTAAAGACTCTGCCAAAAGGCTCCTGGAACTGTAAACAGTAAAGTTTTAGGATACAAAATCAATGTACAAAAATCAGTAGCATTTCTATATACCAATAGCATTCAAGCTGAGAGCGAAATAAAGAACTCAATCCCATTTACAATAGACACACACACACACCCCTAGGAATACATCTAACCAAGGAGGTGAAAGAATCCCTATAAGGAGAACTACAAAACACTGCTCAAGAAATCAGAGATGACACAAACAAATGAAAACATTCCATGTTCATGACTTGGAAGAATAAGTATCATTAAAATGGCCATACTGCCCCAAGCAATCTACAGATTCAATGATATTCATATCAAACTACCAACATCATTTTTCACAGAATTGGAAAAAAATTCTACAATTCATACAGAACCAATAAAGACCCCAAATAGCCAAAGCGATCTTAAGAAAAAAGAACAAAGCCAGAGACATCACATTACCCAACTTCAAACTATGTTATAAAGCTACAGTAACCCAAACAGCATGATACTGGTACAAAAACATACACATAGACCAATAGAACAGAATAGAGAACCCAGAAGTAAAGCCACACACCTACAGGCATCTAATCTTTAACAAAGTTGACAAAAATAAGCAATGAGGAAAGGACTCCCTATTCAATAAATGGTGCTGGGATAGCTGGATAGCCATATGCAGAAGGATGAAACTGAATCCCTGCCTTTCAAGATATATAAAAATTAACTCAAGTTGGATTAAAGATTTAAATGTAAGACCTCAAACTAAGAATCCTAGAAGAAAACCTAGGGAACACCACTCTGGACATCAGCCTTAGGAAAGAATTTATGACTAAGTCCTCAAAAGCAATTGCAATAAAAACATTGACAAGTGAGACCTAATTAAACTAAAGAGCTCCTGCACAACAACAGAAACTATCAACAGAGTAAACAGACAACCTAGAGAATGGGAAAAAAATGGTAAATTATGCATCCAGCAAAGGTCTAATACCCAGAATCTATAAAGAACTTAAATAATTGAACAAGCAAAAATCAACCCCATTAAAAAATGGACAAAAGACATGAACACATCTCAAAAGAAGACATACAAGCAGCCAACAAACATATGAAAAAATGCTCCACATCACTAAATGGAGAAATGCAAATCAAAACCACGATAAGATACCATCTCACACCAGTCTGAATGGCTGTTATTAAAACGTTAAAAAACAACAGATGTTGTTGAGGCTGTGGAGGAAAGGGAATGCTTATACATTGTTGGTGGGAATGTAAATTAGTTCAGTCACTGCGGATATCAGTTTGGAGATTTCTCAAAGAACTCAGAACTACCATTCGACCTAGAAATCCCATTACCGGGTATATATCCAAGAGAAAACAAATTGTTCTACCAAAAAGACACATGTACTTTCATGTTCATCAAAGCACTATTCAGAATAGCAAAGACATGGAATCAACCTAGGTGCCCATCAGCGGTAGATTGGATAAAGAAAATGTGGTACATACATACCATGGAATACTACACAGCCATAAGAAAGAATGAAATCATGTCCTTTGAAGCAACATGGGTGCAGCTGTAGGCCACTGTCCTAAGTGAATTACGGTAGGAACAGAAAACTAAATACCACATGTTCTCGCTTACAAGTGGGAGCTAAACTTTGGGTATTCATGGACATAAACATGGCAACAGTAGAAACTGGGGACTACTAATGGGAGGAGGGAGGAAGGGGGACAAAGGCTGAAGGCTGAAAAATAAACAGTTGGGTACTATACCCACTACCTGGGTGATGGGGTCATTCATACTCCAAACCTCGGCATCCTGCAATATACCCAGGTAACACACTTGCACATGTATCCCCTGAATCTAAAATGAAAGTTGAAAAAAAAATTAAAAATTGGAACAAGCATTTTTATTTAAAAAAATAGATAAAATAGTGTTAAGCTTTGTTACAGATTCAATCTTTGAGATGACAATTTAAAATTGTTTTAAAGTTGATTTGAAGAATACAAAATGGCATTACTTTTAAATTATTTCTCCTTTTTTTTATTTTTAGAGACAAGGTCTTGCCCTTTTACCCAGGCTGGAGTGCAGTGGCGTGATTATAGCTCACTGCAGCCTTGAACTCCTGGTCTCAAGCAGTTCTCCTGCCTGGGCCTCCTAAAGTGCTGGGATTACAGGTGTGAGCTACCACTCCTGGCCTAAGATGGCTGCTTTTAAAGAAATCAGGGTCTGGAGGACAGAGAAGTATCTTCTAGTCTGTAATCTTTCCTTGAGATAGGATAAGATGTGGATGAAAATTAGGACTTTGTGGTGAAACAGACCTTGGTTGGTTCAAAGGCCATCTCATTATAGCTGTGCATCCTTAGGCAAATGACTTAACCTCTCTGAACCTCCTTTCCCCCCACTCCCTAAAATTGGGATTAAAATATACATCTTCATGGGCTGTCATGAGGATTACATGAGATAATAGATGCAAAGTACTTGCACAATGTTTAGCACATGGCAAGTACTTAATAGCTATTATTATCATATGTTATATATAATATAATCCAAACCAATCCAGAGAAATGCGTATCTGCCTTTGTGTTTATTTTTGCTTTCTCAATCACTTCGTAGAGATTTCCAATAGTTAGATTGTGTGTAAGAACCTTTCGCGAGGAAATTGTTTCTTCTAAGCAGCAGAATCTGTGTCCTCCACCCCCTTCCCCGACCTCCCACTGCCCCTACTGCAGGTGCAGCTATGTTCAGTACTCAGCTCAGCAAATGCCCCAGTGTCTTTGGAATCCTTACAACTAGAAGCCTGCTTTATCTTTTTTTTTTTTTTTTTTTTTAAAGGAGAAATGGCTTGAGAAAGACATGTTGAAGAGGAAAAATACGTTAAGGTAACATGTTCTTATCTATTACTAGAATTAGTCAATGCATCATAATTTAAGGTTTTGTATCTAGTTTATTGGCTCTATTAGTAAATATCACCTCTCTTGTGCTTCACTTTCCTGTCTCTTTGCTCCCAGCACAGAGATTTCTTAATTGCTTGAAGTACAGGCCCAGGCATAGAATTGGATTTGGTTACCACTTGCCAACTGTCTTAGAATCTGAAGACTCCAGCTCTAGTTCCCGACTCTGACACCTACTAGCTCTGCAACTTTACGGAAACCACTTACCTCTCTGAGCCTCAGTTTCCTCCTCTGTGAAATGGGCTGGTAATATCTATGGCATAAACACTTCATTGATGGTATGGGACCAGCTGAGGCTACAAGTGTAAAAATATTGTTTGAAAATGTTAATTGCTATTTGATTATAAGGACATAGTCTTATTAATATGATCAAATCTCTTGCTAGCTTATTGGTTTTCATAGTAGGAGATGTCACTTGCTGTGCGATCTTGGACAAGTCACTGAACTCCTCTGAGCTGCACTCGTCTCCCCTGTAACATGGGGAGTGTAGACTTGATTACTTAAATCTCCCGACATCGTACAAGTCTATGCTGATGCCGAGCTTTCCTTGAAAACTGGAAAAAGCACAGGCTTTGAAGTGTGATGGACTGGGGTTAATCCCCTGCTTCACAGCTTGCTTTCTTTTTGTCTCTCTGTACCCATAAGGATTATCTCAGAATGATCTGGGTATTTTTGAAAAGTAACAGCAGCTTGGCTGAAAGACAATTTTGTCCATAATAAGACATCAGCTGTGAGCAGAGTTCTGCAGTGGCAGAAAACGGATCAGGCAGAGATTCAGGTTATAATTTCCAAACTCCAGTGGCCCACTTGGTAGAACCAGTTTGCATTTGTATGTTGAATTTTTGTTGACTAAATAACAGTGATCCAAGAGCTGAGATGGTTTATTGGTCCTCTTGGGGAGGGCTGTATTGCTGTCAAGGTGTGGATAAAGCATTTCAGGCAGGCCTGCCGCTGGCCCCTGGCCCAGTGGTGTACAGCTGTGTCAATAGGCCTTTGAAGTCCACGCACACCAGCTGACTGGTCAGCAGCCCCTGGGATGGTCTCTACAACCTTCGTCACAGGAAATTGGGAAAGGCATGTGGAAGCTAGCATTGCTGGAAGGGGAGGAGAAGAAAACTGTTGGGATCTTTGATGAAAACATGGGAGAAATTTACCAAAATTCACAGGCTGAGCCCATCAGCAGGATCTGGGATTGTTGATCACTGCTCTCCTTCTTTCTGGCTCCAGATCAATGTGATGAGCTGGTTTATCTTTATTCTGACTCGAATATGTGCCAGCTAGCGCTTCTGTGAGGCCTCAGTATAGTGATAGTATGCTGGAGGCGCTGGTGGTGCTGCAAGATTCACAGAGAGCTTCTGAATCATTAAAACGTGAACAACCCCTGTTCAGAAGAATTTTAATGCAAAATATTTTTCATTTTTATTTTTTCGTCTTTTCTGATATTCTACATTCTGGGGCACTGGCCTCTTCCCTGCCCCAGGATTTTCCCCATGTGCAGGTGCTTCATCATCACATGATCTCATTTAATCTTCACAACATCCCTGAGGTATGTTGTCTTCAATCCCCCTTTGGCAAAAGAGGAAATGGAAGCTCTGGTTAAAACTTGGTGAAGATAACACAGCTTAGCAGGAAACCCTGAGCTGTCTGACTCTCAAGCCTGTGTTGGGAAATCCTGCCCTGTGCTGCCTCTTGTTGCAGAGATCCTATCTGGATAAAGTGCTGGGTAACCAGGAATCAGAACCTCTGGAGGACGAGTATGACTTCTTTTCTGTCCCTGCTGCTCGAGTTCAAACCCTCACCATCCTCTCCTCCTCTTCCCTGTTCTTGCTCTGTACCTCCACTCCGTCACTGAGTCTTGACACTTTGGCCCAGTGTCCCCCCTTGCACCCCTGCCTTTTCATTCTTACCCTTGTTGCCACACACCTGGGGCACTGCCGTAGCTGGCAGCTCCCTTTCTCACCAGTCTTTCCCTTTTCCATCTTTTCCACTAACCCTGCCAGACTCATCTTCCTTTAACACTGCTTTGTCCTATTTCATTAAAAATATCCCAGGGACTCATGAGATAAAGTCAAGACTCAGTGCTTGACCTGACACAGCCCCCAGTCCCCCCAGGTAGACCTCAAAGCTTCTACATTCGTTCTTTTTCACGCTGCTGATAAAGACAGACTTGAGACTGGGCAATTTACGAAAGAAAGAGGTTTGTTGGACTTATGGTTCCATATGGCTGGGGAGACCTCACAATCACAGTGGAAGGCAAGGAGGAGCAAGTCATGTCTTACATGGATGGCAGCAGGCAAAACAGTTTGTGCAGAGAAACTCCCATTTTTAAAACCATCAGATCTTGTGAGACCCATTCACTATCATGAGAACAGCATGGGAAAGACCCATCCCCATGATTCAATCACCTCCCACCAGTTCCTCCCATGACATATGGGAATTATAGGAATTGTGGGAGTTACAATTCAAGATGAGATTTGGGTGGGGACACAGTCAAAACATATCAACTCCTTTCCAGCCTTGCCCATCACTTCCTGCAATAACTTGATGTTGCCTGGGATTTTCTGACTTCAGCATCTTTGCTCATGAGGTATCTTCTACCTAGAATGTGACCTTCCCACCCAACCTCCCCTCTGCTAAAAATCTCATCATGGTCTGCCTGAAGTGGCCTGTCTTTAATGAAGCTTTCTCCAGTCACCTTGCAGGAATGATCCCCCCACCTTGAACACTTTGAAACACTTAAACAGTACTTCTCATATGTTGCTTCACTGTAATTATTTGAGTGCCAACATTTCCTCCCTATATACCAATGTGATGATGGAACCCATGTGTGTGTATCCCCCACTGTGGTCATTAGCATAGTGCCTTATATGTAGTGGTCCCTTTGTTGCATGTAAACTAATGAACAGTGAAAAGCAAATAATAAGAAATAAATCATTTATTGTTTCCCATGTGTCAGACAGTATTCTTAGTGCTATTCAAAGTAATAATTTAATTCTCGCAATAACCCTAAGAGGTAGATGATATTGTGTCTCCATTATAGAGATGAAGAAGCGAAGGCATGGTGAGCTGAGCTGGTCAAAGAATTAGTGATTGACCCAGGATTCAAATCTGAGCAATCTGCCTCCAGGACCTAGACTCCCGCTGTAGGTAGCTTTCCAGCACTCTTTTTCCTCTACCTAGAAGGTCCTGGCAGGCTAATAGGTTTACTCCTATAAGAGCTGCCTTGTGGGCTTATGGATTTCTCATTCGTGTCAGGTTCCTGAGGGCCTGAGAATGGTTAGCATCCAGCATTTCTTCCCTAAGCCAGTACACGAAGTCTTGCTCACCTCGGCAATGTGCATCAGGCAAACTGGTGAGAGAATGGAAACACCTCAAAGTGCTGAGATTCCCCAGATGACAGGTGCTGTGTAAAAATGAAGCAAGTTTTTCATGTTCTATAAAACATGATAACTTCATTACACAATAGTCAGAGTATGGGCCCATGACTCCTATAACACTCCACCTTTGGCATGAGGTGATTACTTGGTTAATAATCCTAATCGGCCTAGCGCGCATACCCTGTGTTTATCACTCCCATCTTATAATTAACTTTTATATTTTTCTTAACTTTAAAACTCAATCTGTGCACCAGAGTGCCTGCAAACCTATATTTATCTAATTTAGCAAACATTTGCATGCACTGCAATTAGACTCACATGTTGTGTGATCAACGTCCTTTGCTAATTGCATAATTCCTTTTGAGTTTAATCATCAAATGGCATTCTTTTTTTTTTAATGTCTATGTGGTTTGCTGTTGGTTGTGATCTGCATGTGAAATCTCAGGCTGAGGCACCTGCAATCACAGAACCAAAGATATTCGAGAGCCAAAGACAAGGGAGGAACTGTGTTCCTTGTTGACAGGTGAAGAAATGGAGGCTCAAGGAAGCTAACGGATTGCCTATCTAAACAGCTCATTATTAAGAGTTCCTGAAGATGGGAAAGGATAAATACATCTGCAAATAATATCTCCCAAACCATCCCAGTGTGGAAATTCCATGAATAATTTAAGTCAGTCCTGACTTAGCATGGAGCTTGAGTCTGGACACAATTAGTCTGGCCTTAAAAGAAATCAGGTTATGGGCAAGGACAAATCTGAGGATATTCTGGAATTATAACCCTTAGCAATTGTTTTTCAGCTTTGGGCTGCACATTGCCAGCAGATATTTTGGTATAAGGAAGGCTGGGTAAACTCTTTTCCCTTTCTTCTGCCTCGTAAAATTGTTTGTTTGTTTGTTTTACTGTAAATCTAGATTAGAATAGAATAGAGGGTTCAACCAGGAATTAGGGATTGGCCTAGAAAGAATCACAATATTGGAGCTGAAAGTCTATTTAGCTTGTTTTATAATAAAGTTCAGAAGGGCATATCCCAAATCACAGAGTTGGTTGCTCGCAGGTCTGGGACTTGAGCCCCTGTCTCTTCAGTTGATGTCCAGGTTTTTCTTACTGCAGTGCTCTACTAATCAAGAGACTAAGTGGACAGAGTGCTCCTTGTCCTCTCCTTCCCTCATGCAGCACCTTTACACAGTGGCTTGGATGCCTGGTGCTAAGCAAGGGTGTATGGATGCAGATGCCCAGACCTTGATCTAAGCTAGGATGCAAAAGCAAAGGATGCAAAGGAGAAGGGGACCCACCAGGATGGGGAAGGCACCACTCCCCAGTGTGGAGATTTTGAGCTCAGAGAGGATTTAAGAGAATGCGATGGCCTGGCCCATTGTGGGAACTCTACTGATAATTTGCCAAACGGACATGTGTACTAGCAAGGGGATGAATATAAGGTTATGAGGTCAGAAAGATAAGGACAGACTACTGCCACCTGCAGATTTTTTTTTTTTGCTTGGAAGGCAGAGGAAATCATGAAAGGATTACCACAGTGGAATTTCATCTGTTTATCTGCCTGGGAAGAAAGACCTGGTCATTAATGTGGAAGCACAAAGAATCATTGGGGGCTGGGAAATACAGCCCAGCAGTATGCTCAGAAAGAAAAGGAGACTGGGTCTTGGCTTCTGCCATGTTTCATAAACTGGGAAACCTTTCCATTGCTGCTGGCAGCAATAGAGATTCCCTGCTCTCTGAACCCATGGCTTGCTTCTACAGAAGTACTTGCCACCCTCTGTCAGATACATCCTCTGCATCTTTGGCTCCTACGTAACATCTAGAGAGTAGTAAGTGCTCAGTTAATGTAGGTTGAATGGATGAATGGATTGGACACTGTTGAAATGTTTAACTCTCGCCAAGTCAACAGGGCAAGGTAATGTATGGAATGGCCAAAGTAGTAATAAAAATATTTTAATAGCCTAGATGGATGGACCAAAGCAATAATATTAAATTTATCTAGAGGAAATGTAACACAAAGTCTATATTTAGCTTTAAAAATGTCAATTACCCAATCAAAGAGTGGGTGAAATACGAAGGATTGTAGTCCATATTTTAAAAAAGCCATCAGGGGTAGGTCTTAGTGGACCATAAGCTTAACATGAAAAAGTTTGTTATGTAGCTGCTGAAATAGTGTTGAAGTTCATCAGTAGAAGTCTGATCCAGATCAGTGCAAATGACACTACCTGCAGTTTTGCTTATTAAAATAAAAAATTTTTAGAGATGGAGTCTCACTAAGTTGTCCAGGCTGGAGTACAGTGGCCATTCACAGGTGCGATAATTGTATACTGCATCATTGAACTCCTGGCCTCAAGCAATTCTCCTGCTTCAGCCTCTTGAGTAGCTGGGGCTGTGGTTTTTCAGCTGGGTCAGGCCCCTCTGGGGCAGAAGTTCACTTGGGGTTCCCTTTTTTTTTTTTTTTTTTGAGATGGAATTTCGCTCTTGTTGCATAGGCTGGAGAGCAATGGTGTGATCTTGGCTCACCGCAACCTCTGCCTCCTGTGTTCAAGCGATTCTCCTACCTCAGCCTCTCAAGTAGCTGGGATTACAGGCATGCACCACCACGCCCAGCTAATTTTGTATCTTTAGTAGAGACAGGGTTTCTCCATGTTGGTCAGGCTGGTCTCGAACTCCCAACCTCAGGTGATCCGCCCACCTTGGCCTCCCAAAGTGCTGGGATTACAGGTGTGAGTGACCGCACCTGGCCCACTTGGGATTCTATTAATAGCCACACCTTACCCTGGGTCCAGTGCTTTAATTTACAAAGTGTTTTCTCAGGCATTATCTTGTTACATGGTTCTAATGAGGTGGTTTATATACTGGCAAAAGGCAAGCTGACTTGCTCAAGGTCACACAGCCAGTGAGTGGCAAATCCTAATCCTCCTAATTATTGTCTGTATTCTTTCTGCCACATCATGCAGCCTTTATGCAGAACAGAGCCCCCACTGTGCAGCCTCTAGAAGTGAGGCCCGCACGATGCTTGTCAAATGCTGTCAACAGTGGACACGCTCAGATGGGCACCTTGCAATCAGCCAGACTGACAGTGATGATTCACAAACCACTTTTCCTAACTGAAAGGGGCTTTGATGGGCCAGCTCACATTACAAGCACAGTGATCTTGGCCTCTTTCAAAACTGACAACAGGCAAACATTGAACATCACTTTACCTCTGAATGAGCCCAGGAAAGGACAGATCTCTTTTTGAGACAGGGTTTTGCTCTGTTGCCCAGGCTGGAGTGCAGTGGCATGGTCATGGCTCATTGCAGCCTCGACCTCCCAGGTAGCTGGGACTGCAGGCATGCATCACCATGCCTAGCAATTTTTTTTAATTTTATTTTTTTTGTAGAGATGAAGTCTCACTATGTTATCCAGGCTGGTCTCAAACTCCTGGGCTTAAGCAATCCCCCTGCCTCAGCCTCCCAAAGTGCTGGGATTACAGGTAGTGAGCCACTGCACCCAGTCAGATCTTCATTCTTAACTCCTCATATACTACAGAAAGGATTTGTGAGCTGGGGCTGTAAATGGGGACAGAAGAAAGGGAAAAGAGCTAACATTTTTCAGGTTCCTATTAAGTCCCTGGCTCAAGACATTTTCACATTTATTTAGGTTTCCTGTTTTTAATGCTCTGTCTCTAGCCTCACTGCTTACCCTGGTCACCATTTGACCCCTACAGTCTCCTGGCATTGGCTGTCATAATATTCACTCATATCCCTATGGTCTTTACCAGTGGTTATCTATTCTTCGAAAAAAGACTATGAAGTGGGTAGGATAGGGATTATTCTCTTATTTTACAATGAGGTGCAAGAATGTCTGTCTGTCTATCTTTTATCTATCTATCTGTCTGTCTATCTATCTATCTATCTATCTATCTATCTATCTATCTATCTATCTATCTATCTATCTATCTATCCATCCACCCATCTAACTCATCCATCCATCCATCCACCCATCCATGCATTTATTCATTGAGCAAATATTTATTAAGATAATTCTATGTTATAGGACGTATACAATGCACTGTAGAAACAGATGTCTGGAAAGCTCTTGGAGGAGATGTATAAACTTATGAGAAAAGGAGGCATCATAGTTGGGGCTTTTAATTAAGGAGGGTGACACAGATGTTGGGATGTGTCATGGCAGGCCGTGACCAGTAGGTGGCACTCCTGGTCCCAGAAGGCTCATGAGTTCTCCAAAGCCAAGCTTTCATTTCCTATTCATTACTGTGCTTAAAATTAAATTTTAAGACATGTCATTGAAAAGCTGTATTCAATTTGATTTAAATTCCATTTATTTGCTGTTAATTGTTCCATGCTTTTCTAAAAATGGTCAAATTAAATCTAGTTGTGTCAGGGCTTCCTGGATAAGTGAAAGTCACGTCCAGGAAATTCAGACTCCTAAGTAAGTTAGCACCTCCACTGATTGGCATTAGGTCCCGAATTCCTCTCTTAGGAAATACTCATGAAAAGTTAATGCTATTGGAAAAAGATCTGGAAGGAGACACTCTAAAATGTTAGTTGCGATATCTCCCAGTGGTGGTAGTACAGATGATTTTTAAATTATTTATTTATTTATTTTTTTGAGACGGAGTCTCACTCTGTTGCCCAGGCTGTAGTGCAGTGGCACAATCTCGGCTCACTGCAAGCTCCGCCTTCCGGGTTCACGCCATTCTCCTGCCTCAGCCTCCCAGGTAGCTGACACTACAGGCGCCAGCCACCACTCCCGGCTAATTTTTTTTTGTATTTTCAGTGGAGATGGGGTTTCACCGTGTTAGCCAGGATGGTCTCGATCTCCTGACCTTGTGATCTGCCCGCCTTGGCCTCCCAAAGTGCTGGGATTACAGGCGTCAGCTCACGCCCGGCCTAATTTTTAAAAAATACTTGACTACTTTGGCCGGGCGCGGTGGCTCACGCCTGTAATCCCAGCACTTTGGGAGGCCGAGGCGGGCGGATCACGAGGTCAGGAGATCGAGACCATCCTGGCTAACACGGTGAAACCCCATCTCTACTGAAAATACAAAAAAAAATTAGCCGGGCGTAGTGGCCTGTGCCTGTAGTCCCAACTACTCGGGAGGCTGAGGCAGGAGAACGGCGTGAACCTGGGAGGCAGAGCTTGCAGTGAACCGAGGTTGCACAACTGTACTCCAGCCTGGACGACAGAGTGAGACTCCATCTCAAAAAAATAAATAAATAGGCCGGGCGCGGTGGCTCACGCCTGTAATCCCAGCACTTTGGGAGGCCGAGGCGGGTGGATCATGAGGTCAGGAGATCGAGACCATCCTGGCTAACAAGGTGAAACCCCGTCTCTACTAAAAATACAAAAAATTAGCCGGGCGCGGTGGCGGGCGCCTGTAGTCCCAGCTACTCGGGAGGCTGAGGCAGGAGAATGGCGTGAACCCGGGAAGCGGAGCTTGCAGTGAGCCGAGATTGCGCCACTGCAGTCCGCAGTCCGGCCTGGGCGACAGAGCGAGACTCCGTCTCAAAAAAAAAAAAAATAAATAAAATAAAATAAATAAAATTAAATAATAAATAAATAAATACTTGTCTACTTTAGGCATTTTTTTACAGTCAGCATGTATTGTTTATTTTAAATTTTTCTTTTAAGTGTAATCTACAACTGGAAAAGTACACAAATCTTAAGTGAACATGTAAGTTTTAAGATATGTTTATATATACATATAGCCATCACCCAGCTTAAGATACAGAACATTATGAAAACCCCAGAAAGTTCCCTCATGTCCCTTCCCAATGACCCCCACCCCTCAGAAACCACTGTTCTGACTTCTACGGCCACAAATTAATTGTGACTATTTTTGAACTTCATATATACGGAGTCATACCAGATGTTTTCTTTTTTCGTGTCGAGACTTTTACTCAGTGCTATTTCTTTAGGTCGATGTGTATAAATATATAAAAACTTACCAAGCTGTTCTGTTGTATGTAGCAGCATCTGTTCCTTTTTCATTGATGTGTAGTGTTCCATTGTGTAAATACATTACAAAGGTATTTTTATCATCAGAAGAAAAATTTACTAAAAGTGGTTAAACATAGACATGGCAACTGCTTCTTTGCTGGAGGCCAGGAAGACATTTCAATGGCAAGATAATCCTCAGGGGATATGGATTTGGACAGCCATGCTGGAATTGGCCTGGGCTCAGAAGCACTGGGTCCTTAAGAAAGAAGTAAAAGGAGCTGTGGGGGGTCAGGTTTTCTGACTCAAGAAACATTGAGTTCATTGTTCTATGGTGGATAGGGCTAGCTCTTGCTCTCTGGCTGGGTGTTGGTGTCTGCCTTTAGGGCCAAGTTACTGGAGTTCTCTGTCCTCCCTGAGCCCCAGTTTTCTAATCAGTAAAATGTGTAGGCTTGCCATATTTACGGGCAAAAAAATGAAAGAAAAAAATCAAGAGAGCCAGTTAAATTTGAGTTTCAGATAAACAACGAACAATTTCTCAGTATAAGTATTTCCTGAGCATTGCATGGAACATATTCATACTAAAGAATTATTCATTGTTTATTTGCAATTTAAATGTAACACATTTTATCTGGCAGTGCTAAAAGTGAGTGTAATATAATGTCCTGCTTACACAATAACACGATTGTTTGTGAGAAAGTGTTTGAAAGCAGAATAGTATGTACAGATGAAAGAACATGGAGAGGGCCAGAAAGGCGGGGAGGAGAACTGCTGTGCTTGGGATTGAGTCCTGTGGGCCCCAATCAAGACAGGAGTCTTCCCTCTCTCATCCACCACCAAGACCCCAGTGCCCAGCTCCATGCCCATGCTGGAGAAAGAGACACTGAAACATTCTCTGTTGAACAACTGAGTGGATGTGATTTCCATCTCAGGCCTTTACCTGCTTTTGACCTTAGGTAAGCTATTTAATCATTCTGTGTTTCTTTTTTCTTACTGCATTATTCAGTTAATACTTCAAGGGACCAAATTCTTTGCTGGGTAGAGGGACTGATGAGCTGAGGTTTCCACCCTCCTGGAGTTTGTGTTATTAATATAAAGAGTGATGAGAGAATGCAAATATGTAAACAAGGAAAAAGAAAATTTCTGATGGTAAAAAATGCTGTGATGGAAATTAGACTGTGTGATAAGAGAGGGTCAGCAATGCTATTTGCATGGTTGGTTGGGGAGGGTCACTCTAAGGAGGTGACCCCCTGCAGAGCCCAGAGGAGGGGCATTCTAGGCAGAGGAAAAACAGGTTTTCTTACCTGAAAATTGAGGGTGAGAGGACCCACTTCTAACAACTGTAAGGGGTCAAATGAAGGAAACTTGACTTGAGACATTTTCAAGTTTCCTACAAGTAAAAGAGATCATGGACTTTTCTTCTGGAGTCTCAACCTCAGTCCCCAGATGACCTAGAAACTCAGAACGACAGTATTTGATTCCTTGGGTGTAATGCAGAGCTCAATATACTCAAAAACTGCACTGTAGACCAAACTGTTTCTACCTGTCAGTGGGGAGATAAGTACAAATATTGAAGGTGTTTAAAAACTTGGATAGTGCCATGACATTCAAGCACATATTGTATTTTGTAGATTTCCCCCATTTCATTTTTCTGTTAATCAATCTATGATAGACTGGGAAGAAGAAGAAGAAAAAAACCAACTGGTTCCTTAACCACAGAAAGTTTGAAAATTGGTATAGTGACTTTCGAGTCAGAAAAAGCTGAGATTTATTACAGTTCAATCTTTTACTGGCTGGTTGACCTTAATTAAGTTGCATAATCTCCCTGTGCCTTGGTTCCTTCTGCAAAATAAGCATAACAGTGCTCACGTGTTAAGGCTTTGGAATTTCAATGCAGTAACCTGTGTAAAGCACCCGACACAGTAACTGATGCAAAAATGTTAACTCCCACTATCATTATTACTAGTATATTACATCCATTAATTCAGTTAACAAATAGTACCATTTACTGAGTGCCTACTATGTGCTAGGCCTTCCCCTAGGAATAGGGGTACTATAAGAACCATAAAATCCCCCTCTCCCCAGTTTACATGGGGGAGAGATAATAAATGAGCAAGCAAAACAAATGATCTATCAGATGGTGGTAATTCCTATGGAGACAAAACAGGGAAGGCAGAGAGGGGAGAGAAAGCCTCACTGAGCAGAGAGGAAAGACGTAGGGAGGGAGCCCATCAAATGTCTAGAGAGTGTTCTAGGTGGGCAGACAGAAAGTGCAAAGGCCCTGAGGTGGGACCATATCCTGCCTGGTGTGTTCAGGGAACAGCAGGGAGGCCAGTGTACCACAAACAGATCAGAGAGGTGAAGAGGGGCAGAGATAAGTCAGAACAGGAGAAGGGGCTTTGTCCTCCTGGCTATCCCTAGAACCGTGGGTTCAGCAGACACTTGAGAAGGGCTTGGTTTCTTGGTGGGAGCTTTCTCTGTGGAGGCCAGGGCCTTGAGTCTGTGAGGGGCAGGGGAGCCTGTGCCTGGTTTTGTGATGCTTCCCATCCCCAAATCCAAGCTTGGGGCCTTTAACTCTCCTTGCTGCAATGCTAAGCCTGAACTGAACAGTAGTTCTTACCAGTTGAGCCCACACTGTAGTCTCAGATGGATCTTTTTCAGCGGAAATAAGATCAGTTCAAAAGCTGCTTGTGAAATCAAATCCAGATTTCTGTCACCCATGCTTTTCAATGTGCACAAGCTTGTTAGTTTCTTAATATATACAGTTGGTCCTCATTTTTCACAGATTCTGAGTTCGTGAGTTCATCTGCATGCTAACAGTTATTTGTAACTCCCAAATCAATGCTGGCCGTGCTTTCATGGTCATTCTTGGACATGCACGTTGTGAGAGCAAGTGAGACACCTGTCATGCACATTCGCAACTGAGGTCCAGCAAAGTGACACTTGCCTTCCTGATTCAGTTATAAATGAATGTCCTCTTCACGGTCTAGTTAGTGCTATGGCTTTTGCATTTTTGTGCTTTATATGGGCGATTTTGCTGTTTAAAATGACCCCCATCATAGTATTGATGTGCTGTCTTGTGTTTCTAAGTGGAAGAAGGCTGTGATGTGCCTTATAGAGAAAATATGTGTGTTTGAGCATCGTTCAGGCCTGAGTTGTAGTGCTGTTGGCTGTGAGTTCAGTGTTAATCAACAGTATATAGTATATTAAATAACGTGTCTTTAAACAGAAACACACATAAAACAAGGTTATGCATTGATTGGTTGATGAAGATGTGACCAGAGGATCACAGGAGCCTAACCCCATGACTCCCCTAGAAGCAATGGTTCAGGATTCGTTAGTTCAGTGTTAGTGGTGACGTTATGGAATATAACCACTGTGAATAACAAGAGTCAACTATATGCGGCTAAACTGTTTTCATGTGAAGTACAATTTATACTGTTATAACAGGGTCTAGGAATATCGGTTTTACCGCACATCTGCCAGCATTAAAGCATTAAATGTTATCATTAATTTTTTTTTCTAATTTGATAGGTGAAAAGAGTATATAGGGTTTTGTTTGTTTTTTGAGACAGGGTCTTGCTCTGTCACTCAGGCTGGAGCGCAGTGGCGCAATCATGGCTCACTGCAGTCTCGACCTCCTGGGCTCAAGCGGTCCTCTTACGTCAGCCTTCTGAGTAGTTGGGACCACAGGTATGTGCCACCACACCTAGGTAATTGTATTTTTTTGTGGAGACAGGGTTTCACCATGTTTCCCAGGCTGGTTTTCAACTCCTGGGCTCAAGCAATCCACCCGCCTCAGCCTCCCAAAGTGCTGGGATTACAGGTGTGAGCCACTGCACTCAGCCTAAAAGTATGTAATTCTAATGTGTGTTTTTTGACTGGCAGCAAGGTTGAATGTTTCTCCTTGTTGGTTAAAGTCCAGGCCCAGTGCATTTAAGACAAATTTTCTTGAGTCCTATGTGACAGGCAGAAAGGATTGAAGTACTTCTGGGTCATCCTGATGGCAAGAAGCCAGCACCAGGGCTGCACATGGCAAGTTATTTTATTTCAGGACTTCCATGAAATAAAGGGAAACAACAATTGATTGAGTCCCTAGTGTGTACAAGTCCTGTGCCAGTCTTCTACATCCAAGCAGGTTACTTTACCCCTGGGATAACACAGCCAGCTCCGACATCAGTGCTTCTCCTCATAGTGGTTAGAGCAGAGCTTTTGGGTCAGACTGCCTTGATTTGAAAATAAATATAACCAACTTACTGGCGGTGTGATCTTGGGCACTTTCTTAACCAGTGCTCAGTTTCCTCATCTGTAATGTTGGAGTTGATGATAATAATACTATCTTACCTCATAGATTTGACATGTGGATAAAATGAGTTAGCACATGAAAATCACCTAGAACAAAGCCCAGCACACTGTAAAGCCTCCATGCATGTTGGCTGTTGTTATTAAGTACGAAGCACCATTGTGGGGCATGGCGAATACATAATCCTTGTCCCACAGAAGCTTGCCTAGGAGACAAGATTTGCACCCTTGAAATGAAACTCTTTCCATGTTGGCAGGTGTGGCTTAGCAGAAAGAACACCACCTGAGGTGTCAGGAATTCTAGCTCTGCATCCCATTTGCTGATTTCTTGGGCTTAAATCACTTTACCTCTTAGAACCGCGGTATATTCACAGGTTAAAAATATACCTAACCCTTAGGATGCATTCTCACATGTCTTATTTAGTCTTCACAACATTCAAATGACATCAGTCTTAATGTTCCCATTTTACTGATGAGGAAATTGCAGCTTACAGGCTGAGATGTCTTGTCTGAGATCCTGTAGCTAGTGAGAGGAAGGACTTTTGATCACAGTCCATTGATCTGCTTACCACCCCTGATGCCTCTAGTATAAAATAAAGGATTTGGTCTGGAGGCCTCTCTAGCCCCTGCCAGCTACTAGTCTGTGACCATTTAAGAGGAAGAGTGGTGGGTTAGGGGACTTAGCTTACTTAAGAGGTACATCTTCATGGTTGGTTAAATCTACAAATTCATCTTGATGCTGTCACTTGATGCTTTACTTTTTTTTTTTTTTTTTGAGACAGAGTCTTGCTCTGTCACCCAGGCTGGAGTGCAGTGGTGCCATCTTGGCTCACTACAACCTCCGCCTCCCTGGTTCAAGCGATTCTCCTGCCTCAGCATCCCGAGTAGCTGGGATTACAGTCATATGCCACCACACCCGTCTAATTTTTTTGTATTTTTAGTAGAGATGGAGTTTCACCAGGTTGGTAGAGACGGGGTTTCACCAGGTTGGTCTCGATTTCCTGACCTTGTGATCTGCCCACCTCAGCTCCCAAAGTGTTGGGATTACAGCCTTGAGCCAGCTTTACATTTTTTGAATGTCACTTCTCTCTTAATTTCCCCAGAATGAGTGACTTTCAGCCAGTGTTTCTGCATTGACTTGTTTTCTGGCTGGTGGCTCTTTTGCCTGCCAGTGTGAGCAGGATCAACACATGTGTTCCTCTTCCCTCCTCCTTGTTCCTTCTCTCTGCTGTTGTTTCTGAAGCTGCAGTCAATAAGCCTTCCTCGGGAGTTGTTCTGCAGCTTGAACAGTTAAGCAAGTCTAATCTTTTTGTTTGCAGCCACCTTGGGCAATTGGCTACTGAATATGCTGCCTCTGCTAGCCTTGCCTGCTTGCTGGGAGAATTAAGTTCTCTCTTCCCCAGCTCCTCTGATACTGAGTAGCAGAGTGCACGGTGGCTAACACATCCTCATGACATAATCCCTACCCTTTGGCAAGGTCAAACATTGCTTTGCTCTTTGATACCTGCAGACCAAATGCCATAATTACCTTTTTGTCTTGATAGTAACTGGTATTAGGTTTTGACTTCTTGCTTTTTCCTCAAAGTCAAGGCTATTTGGCTGTCACGGGGCTACCCATCCTAAGCCAGTAGAATCTGAAATGAACTTTCTTTCCTTATTTGCTATCACTGCAAGTGGCAGCTCTATGAGAATGGCCTTTCCAGCTTGTAACTGTCACCTCAGCCCTTCCCAGGGCCTTGGCTTGTCAGGGGAAGAAGGTTTATGTGTGGTATTGTATTAGGCCGTTCTTGTGTTGCTATAAATACCTGAGACTGGGTAGTTTATAAAAAGAGGTTTAATTGGCTCACTGTTCTACAGGCTGTACATAGTGCCGACATTGCTAGGCTTCTGGGTAGGTCTCAGGGAGCTTTTACTCATGGCAGAACGTGAAGTGGAAGCAGGCACATCACATGGCGAAATCAGGAGCAAGAGAGAGAATAGGTGGGGGCGGTGGGGGGGAGGTTAGGTGCCACACACTATTAAATGACCATATCTCATGAGAACACTATCACAAAGACATCACCAAGCCATAAGGGATCCGCCCCCCAACCCAAACATCTCCCACCAGGCCCCACCTCCAGCACTGGGGATTACAATTCAACTTGAGATTTGGGTGGGAACAAATATCCAAACTATATCAGGTATCAATGGTCCTTTTCTTGCTGAGTTTTTCTCACTGGTTAGCAATGAAGAAGACAAAGTTAATGGCGTGTGTGTGTGTGTGTGTGTATGCACGTGCAGAAATAAATACACCCATTCACTGGTAAACAAATAAGAATCAGAATGCAGTGTCATTTATTTGGTGAACTTCTCATCTTTTGAGGTCCAGACCAGGGGCCACCTCCTCTATGAATCATGAACTGATGCTTAGACTTTTTTTCCTTGTCCTGCTCCTGGTGTGGGCATTGACTATAACTGTTAACATCCCTATATAGTAATATATCTCTCTACAGGCTTGTTTTTTACTCAACTATGGACTCCTTGAGATCAGAGACTAAATCTTCAGTATCTTCATTTTCTGATTGTTTGGAAGAGAGCCTAGCACAATAGGAGTTTAATAAATGTTTGTTGAATGAATGAATGAAGGGTGGGTAGATGCCTCCTGTGTGTCTGGGTAAGCCACTGTGCCAGCTTATTCTCTTAGTGGTTACAGCCAAAGCTGAATGTCATCCATCAAATGGATTCTGACTTGCAAACACTAAAAAAGCACATTATGATGAATGTCACTTGCTCAGCCAAACCCCATTACAAAAGGCCAGTGGACCGCAAATGTAACAGCCTCTAAACCCAAACTGGGCAAACAACCCTCCTGCTTGGAACCTAAACTGAACCGAGTATCTGTCATCTATTGAAATTTCCAACTGAGCTAAAGTTGTTCCCTGCCTCCCTGAACCATCCCCTCCGATGCCTCCTGGCCAAATTTTACTTGGTAAACTAGTTGCAATGGGAATCAAACCTATATTTTATTCCAGAACAAAATAAGGAGTTTAAAAATATTTCCATTTCTGCATAAACCAATGCTTCATTTCATTGGCATTCTGCCCTCCTGTGAGTCTGGTTATCTTTTGGATCAAATATTGCATCATTTGACAAGTTATGATGGCCATGGAAGTGGGCAGGACTACACCCTTGTTTACAGAGGACAGATCTAAAACCAACTGCCCTTGTCCCTGACACCAGGTTTGGTGTCACCAGGTGAGGGTGGTTAATTCCTCATCATCTCAAATGCCCCCATCCACAGGGAGCTTCACTGTTTCCAGGGCATGTACAGAGCCACTCTTTCACTCAGTACCAAAAATGGTCCTGTAAGCTGGGTGGCCCAGGATATCATCCCCATTTTAGAGATGAGGACATAGAGACCAAGAGAGGAGGTCACACACACACTTGCCCAAGTGCTAGAGACAAGAATCAAACTTTATTTTGGGGGATTCCAGCTCGATTTCTCTTACCTCAATGACTCAACCATGCCCTCTGAGCACCCAGCCTGCTGCTCAATGGTACATGTATGATTTGGTTCCCCAAACATCTTCCCCAAGTGAATGTGTGCTCCAAGTTAAAGAAAACTGTTTAATGGAAGACTGTTTTGTCTTGTGCCAATTCCTCACTTTTCCTCCTTCCACTGCCAATGCAAGTAAAACCTTGGTTATTTAAAAGTCAGGTTTATTAAAGTGTAATTTACACAAAATAAGGT
Source organism: Homo sapiens (assembly GCF_000001405.40). Lineage (NCBI taxonomy): Eukaryota > Metazoa > Chordata > Mammalia > Primates > Hominidae > Homo > Homo sapiens. The sequence goes on from NC_000011.10 coordinate 19,269,714, forward strand.
ATAATTGGATGGGTTCTGAAAAAAGCATACACTCCTGGAATGATCACCAATCTAGATAAAATATTTTCATCACTCCAAAAAGTTCCACTGGGCCCCTTTGCAGCCCTCCTTCCCTACTCACAAGCACACTGAGGTAAATGAATACCAGCTACTTAATACAGTTAATTGTAATGTCTAGTAACTAGAACTCAGTCCAAGTAATACAAGAAAGAAACCAGTCATTTAATCTACCAAACACAAAATATACCTTGCAGCATTTACTGGGGATGTTTTAAAGTCTTTCTTTACAACTTCAGGGCCTTTTTGCTTTCTTGGTTGGGTCCAACATCCATGGAATTTAAGACATCTTAATCCTTTAAGGGAGTGAAGTCACAAAAAAGGGTATTTATATTAGAGAATTTTTTTTCACAACCATACTCCAAGGGCCCCATCACTCATCTACTGAAACTTCCAAAGCCCTTGTAAAAGATGCCCTAGGCTGAAAAGAAATGCTACCTCTATAATCTTATAAAGTCCACAAGACTTTGGGCACATTAGGCTTCTGAAGAGTGTTGATTTTTGCTAACTAAAATGACAAAATGATGAAATACATAGGATTTGTTTTACTCTCCCCTGTTCGTTACTTGAGCACAGTTAGAATAAGAGCAAAATAAGCTTGACAGATTCCCCCCAAATAACTGGTACCCTACTGTGTTTGAAGTATTTTTGACCTTCACCAGGGTGCTCTAGACTAAAAAAGCATTTACATGAAATGGTAGCTTTAGCTGATAATTCAGTAGATACTTGCAACAGTCCTGGTCCAAACGAAAGCACTGAAATTCAGGTAACTTTATTTAAATTCAAAAACAATTCTTAAAATTGCATTTAGAGTCAAGACCTTTTTGTATTAAAAAAATCACAAGACATATTTCTAAGTAAGGCAAAAGTTAGTTCTAGGTTAACAAGACCAGATTTGACTTTAGACTTTAAAAAATTATAGAGAATACAAAACCACGCAGCTACATGGAAACTGAACAACCTGCTCCTGAATGACTACTGGGTAAATAATGAAACTAAGGCAGAAATAAATAAGTTCTTTGGAACCAATGAGAACAAAGACACAACATACCAGAATCTCTGGGACACAGCTAAAGCAGTGTTTAGAGGGAAATTTATAGCACTAAATGCCCTTGTCAGAAAACAGGAAAGATCCAAAATCGATATCCCAACATCACAATTAAAAGAACTAGAGAAGCGGGAGCAAACAAATTCAAAAGCTAGCAGAAGACAAGAAATAACTAAGATCAGAGCAGAACTGAAGGAGATAGATACACGAAAAACCTTTCAAAAAAATCAGTGAATCCAAGAGCTGTTTTTCTGAAAAGATTAACAAAATAGATAGACAACTAGCCAGACTAATAAAGAAGACGAGAGAGAAGAATCAAATAGACACAATAAAAATGATAAAGGGGTTATCACCACTGATCCCACAGAAATACAAACTACCATCAGAGAATACTATAAATACCTCTATGCAAATAAACTAGAAAACCTAGAAGAAACGGATAAATTCCTGGACACATATACCCTCCCAAGACTAAACCAGGAAGAAGTCAAATCCCTTAATAGACCAATAACAAGTTCTGAAATTCAGGCAGTAATTTATAGCCTACCAACCAAAAGAAGTCCAGGACCAGACGGATTTACAGCTGAATTCTACCAGAGGTACAAAGAGGAGCTGGTACCATTCCTTCTGAAACTATTCCAAACAGTAGAAAAAGAGGGACTCTTCCCTAACTCATTTTATGAAGCCAGCATCATCCTGATACCAAAACCTGGCAGAGACACAACAGAAAAAGACAATTTCAAGCCAATATTCCTGATGAACATTGATGTGAAAATCCTCAATAAAATACTGGCAAACTGAATCCAGCAGCACATCAAAAAGCTTATCCACCACGACCAAGTCAGCTTCATCCCTGGGATGCAAGGCTGGTTCAACATACACAAATCAATAAACGTAATCCATCACATAAACAGAACCAATGACAAAAACCACATGATTATCTCAATAGATGCAGAAAAGGCCTTTGATAAAATTCAACACTCCTTCATGCTGAAAACGCTTAATAAACTAGATATTGATGGAATATATCTCAAAATAATAAGAGCTATTTATGACAAACCCACAACCAATATCATACTGAATGGGCAAAAGCTGGGTGCATTCCCTTTGAAAACCAGCACAAGACAAGGATGCCCTCTCTCACCACTCCTACTCAACATAGTATTGGAAGTTCTGGCCAGGGCAATCAGGTAAGAGAAAGAAATAAAGCATATTCAGATAGGGAGAGAGGAAGTCAAATTGTCTCTGTTTGCAGATGACATTATTGTATATTTAGAAAACCCCATTGTCTCAGCTCAAAAACTCCTTAAGCTGATAAGCAACTTCAGCAGTCTCAGGATACAAAATCAATGTGCAAAAATCACAAGCATTCCTATACACCAATAATAGACAAACAGCCAAATTATGAGTGAACTCCCATTCACAATTGCTACACAGAGAATACCTAGGAATACAACTTACAAGGTGTGTGAATGACCTCTTTTGGGAGAACTACAAACCACTGCCCAAGGGAATAAGAGAGGACACAAACAAATGGAAAAAAATTCCATGCTCATGGATAGGAAGCATCAATATTGTTAAAATGGCCATACTGCCCAAAGTAATTTATAGATTCAATGCTATTCCCATCAAGCTACCATTGCCTTTCTTCACAGAATTAGAAAAAACTACTTTAACTTTCATATGGAACCAAAAAAGAGCCCGCATAGCCAAGACAATCCTAAGCAAAAAGAACAAAGCTGGAGGCATCACACTACCTGACTTCAAACTATGCTACAAGGCTACAGTAGCCATAACAGCATGGTACTGGGACCAAAACCGATATATAGACCAATGGAACAGAACAGAGGCCTCAGAAACAACACCGCACATCTACAACCACTGATCTTTGAGAAGCCTGACAAAAACAAGCAATGGGGAAAGCCTTCCCCACTTAATAAATGGTGCTGGGAAAACTGGCTAGCCATGTGGAGAAAACAGAAACTGGACCCTTTCCTTACACCCTTATACAAAAATTAACTCAAGATGGATTAAAGACTTAAATGTAAAACCCAAAACCATAAAAACCCTAGAAGAAAACCTAGGCAATACCATGCAGGATATAGGCATGGGGAAAGACTTCCTGACTAAAACACCAAAAGCAATTGCAACCAAAGCCAAAATTGACAAACAGGATCTAATTAAACTAAAGAGCTTCTGCACAGCAAAAGAAACTATTATCAGAGTGAACAGGCAACCTACAGAATGGAAGAAAATTTTTGCAATCTACTCATCTGACAAAGGGCTAATATCCAGAATCTACAAAGAACTCAAACAAATTTACAAGAAAAAACAACCCCATCAACAAGTGGGTGAAGGATATGAACAGACAATTCTCAAAAGAAGACATTTATGTGGCCAAAAAACATATGAAAAAATGCTCATCATCTCTGGTCATTAGAGAAATGCAAATCAAAACCACAATGAGATACCGTCTCACGCCAGTTAGAATGGCAATCGTTAAAAAGTCAGGAAACAACAGATGCTGGAGAGGATGTGGAGAAATAGGAATGCATTTACACTGTTGGTGGGAGTGTACATTAGTTCATCCGGTGTGGAAGACAATGTGGCAATTCCTCAAGTATCTAGAACCAGAAATACCATTTGACTCAGCAGTCCCATTACTGGGTGTATAACCAAAGGATTATAAATCATTCTACTATAAAGACACACGCACACATATGTTTATTGCAGCACTGTTCACAATAGCAAAGACAGAACCAACCCAAATGCCCATCAGTGATAGACTGGATAAAGAAAATGTGGCACATATACACCATGAAATACTATGCAGCCATAAAAAGGATGAGTTCTTGTCCTTTGCAGGGACATGGATGAAGCTGGAAACCTTTATCCTAAGCAAACTAACACAGGAACAGAAAAGCAAACACCGCATGTTCTCACTCATAAGTGGGAGTTGAACAATGAGAACACATGGACACAGGGAGGGGAACATCACACACTGGGGCCTGTTGGGGGGTTGGGGGAAGCAGAGGAAGAACATTAGGACAAATACCTAATGCTTGTGTGGTTTAAAATCTAGATGATGGGTTGATGGGTGCAGCAAACCACCATGGCTTATGTATACCTATGTAACAAACCTGCATGTTCTGCACAAGTATCCCAGAACTTAAAGTATAATAATAAAAAATAAATTATAGAGAATAGAGAAAAATAGGTTATATACAGAAAATTATACTTACATATGTACTCAGAAGCATAAATTTGGTGACAGAAAAGACTTTATTATATACTGGCATCCCAGAAGCAGTTCTGAAAGAGCTTAGTTTTATTTTCTTGAATTTTAAGAATGCCTAAGATCCTTCTTCATTTTCAATATTGGGAGGCAGGTAATATTTACTTTAAATGTCCCATATGGCGCGGGCATGGTGGCTTATGCCTGTAATCCGAACACTTTGGGAGGTCAAGGAGGATGGATCACCTGAGGTCAGGAGTTCAAGACCAGCCTGACCAACATGGTGAAACCCTGTCTTTACTAAAAATACAAAATTAGTCAGGCATGGTGGCACATGCCTGTAGTCCCAGCTCCTCAGGAGGCTGAGGCAGGAAAATCGCTTGAACCTGGGAGGCAGAGGTTGCAGTGAGCCGAGATCGCGCCAAAGCACGCCAGCCTGGGGACAGAGCGAGACTCTGTTTCAAAAAAAAAAAAAAAAAAAAAGTCCCATATTAGCAATGTTATACTCTACAAGTGGTACGTCTACAGACATACCGAGTGTCACTGTAGAAGAGCGTGGAGTGGCTTTTGTGAAGAAGTTCAGGTACATCAGTGCAAAAGTTAGCTGAACTAGTTCATTCATCTCTATGGCAACAGCTTCCTTCTCTTTATCAACATTACTTATTTGTGACAATTTAATGTTTCCATTTGCAAGTTCTCCAGTTGCAGAAAATTTCACTCCATCTTTCGCACAGGAAATTACAACAACATCTCCAATATGATTGAGATCTCAGCATATGCATGCAAATTCACCAGCAGGCATCTTTACTACACAGCTGTACTCTTGTTTTGGAATTCCAAGTTGTTCAACATCCAAATCCATTAGCTTCATTTTATAATCCGAAACTTTCTCCTGATTTAGTGCTTCAAATACTAGTGCTAAGTTGTCTGCATTATCTTCAGCTCCTAACATCATGACATCTTCATTGCCAGCACAGTTTAGTATTTTGAACATACTGGATAGGTTCATGCCTATGGCCAGGTTGTAGTCGCAGCAGCACGTGTTGAAGCCCTTGGAGCAGTGGGTGAGCTGCCACGAGGAGATGCAGAACGAGTCTATGCTGTGCACATTCAGCTGCTTGAGCTAATGTCCCGGCAGGCCTCACTAATGAGGTCCTCAAGGGCCTCCAACACATTCTTCAGGATGGAGCCCTGGACCAGGTGTACCTCGAACATGGTGGAGTCACAATGACATGGCTACAGGAAGGTGCGAAGGAAGAAGGTCTAGGCAGTTTTGGCTTTATGAAGCTCAGAGCAAGTGGGCAAACGCCGTGGGAAGAGGCTGAGACCTCAAAAGATGATGACAAATCCACTATGCCTGCAACTGTTTAATCAAGACTTGTTTTTTTAATGAAGAGCTGGTGCGTGTTCAGGAGCACGAGTGGTGGAATTCACAGATTGCTATCCTCAGAATACCTTCCTGGCAGAAACCCAGGAGCCATGCTGGGATCCACACCCACTCCACCTCCCGCCCTTGCAGTTTCTGCTGGCATCACTGGAGACAGTGGAGACTTGTCCGTTACTCTGGCAGGGATTGGACATGCCTCCAGTGGGCTGTCGCTCCAGAAAGCAGAGAGCAAAGGAAGCCTCTGGCTAGGCTGTCACCAGCCCCTGAGTGGATGCATCATGCCCAGGGATTGGCAGTGAGTCATTGAAGCCCCAGACTGGTGGTAGCCAAGTTCCTTGAAGCCTTTACCTTGTGTATTGCTGAGTGGCACTATTGTAGGCAGGAGAGGAGGGCCACAGAGGCATAAAGGCTGTCTGCCCCCGAGCTTCTTCCTGGGAGGCCTGCAGGTACCTAAAGTGTCAGAAAAGCCATTAGTGCTTCCTCCCCAGGTGTCCGCAAGTGTCCCCAGTCATCTGAGAGATGATCTTAGGAGTCACTTGGAGGACTATTGGGTTTTAAATGTAATAGTCATGCATTTTAATGTCTCTTCTATTTATGGCAAGTCATATAGGTTTTCAATCAGTGGTCATAATGGTTTTTTAAAAATAATGTTAAAAAAGTGAATCTGTTTAAAGAAAATTGTTAAGGGAAGCAGCATAGCATAGTAGTTAAGAGAATGAACTCTGAAGACGGATGCATGGTCAGACTCCCAGCACCACACTTACCAGTTATGGGACAGTGGGTAAGTACTTCACTGTGCTGCAGTTTCCTTATCTTTAAGGAATAACAGTAGTACCCACTTAATGAGTTAGTTCATGTAAGCACTTACAACATGTCCCAGCTCACACTAAGCATCACATAGGTAACTGTTAAATAAAATGCAGTGAATCAAGGTGGTAGGGGAGTATAGGGCAAACATAATGAGGATGGGTCTAGAACAAGAGAAGTTTGTAGGAATGTTTGTCTTCTGCAATTCTTGCTCTGACAGTTGGGGGCCCAGGGCCCAGGGAGCAGAATGGCTGTATCCAAAGTCATAAACTGACATAGCATGGCAAGGCAGAATGAAATCCCTGCTCACTTGACTCACTATCAACTACAGGGCTGCAGAGGTGGCCCCTTCTATGGAGAAAGCAATTTGTCCCATGGGCCACTCAAAATGGCAAACATAGTCTCCAACAGAGGTGACGCAGACATTACCTCAGAGGCAGCCTTGATATCGCTGACCCCTCAGATGGATGCAGTTTCGCATAGCTCCTACTTGCTGATGAGATGGCCATGGCCATAAAGCAGTCTTCCAGAGTCTGTCCCAGGTAGATCTCAGGCCTCCATACGCCAGGGCCAGGCAATAGAGGTCATGGCCGGAGCCTCAGGACCTACCACAGAGCTGGCCCATGGAAGCCTCTGAAGGAATGTTTGATGACTCACCAAATGAATGAATGAATGAATGAATGAATGAATGAATGAATGAATGAATAAACATCCCCATTACATGGATCAGCTGATCAGCTAAGCAGAGGATACGCATGTGCCCAAGGGCCCTTTTGGTGCAGTGTGTGTTGTTCTTTCTGTGGGTGAGGCTGTTGAGGTATGTGTCTACAGAAGGTGCTAGCATAGTGCTGGTGTGTGTCATACACGAGGCCACGCCCTACACTTGTGCAAGTTTTCTGTGACCTCTGGGATCTGAAAGATCAGTATTTCCTAGAGTTGAGCAACAGTGAGGTTAGGGGAGTTTGAAGGAGGGAATGGAGGTGTGACATTTCTGGGGCCCAGGACCCAGGGAAGTAAGAAAGATGGTGTTTATGAAGGCACTTAGCTGCAAGGGCGAGGTCCTATAGGCAGGTTTAGGGCTTAATGACTATAATCACTTTGGCATGAGCAGCTGACATGGGCATCTCACTATACAGTTTACCTAAAGCACTGCCACTCCAGTTTCATCACTGGCTCCTCAGCACTGCATGAGTGCAGAGCAGTTATTGCAGTTTCTATTTAAAAACAAAGCCTGCTAAATGGCAAAGCTGGATAGAATCAGCTCCTCTGAGCCCATGTCCAGTATGATCTCAAGCCAGGCTGCGTTCTGATTGTGTATATCCCAGTAACCAATCCTGGCCATGACATGGTGCTTACCACATGATTCTCATCCCCTACCTCCAGGATTGTTTGCTGATGAGTCAGTGACCAAATGAATAGTGCAAAGGAGAGACAAGAGACCTGGGGTGAGGGCAAAGGGTGTCAGGTCGGGGCTGAAGAGCGCAGGAGGAAGAAAGGGCTGGAACGAATTCTCTGAAGATGAGCTGCTTCTTTCATGACTATGTGGGCCAGGCCAGGTTTCGGCTCAAGCCTCTCCTTGCTTTTAAGTTATCAGAAAATTTGTCATTGGTTCCCTAAATATTGAACGTGTTGGATCCAGAGTTCTCACCATGGGCCACAAGGTGCCATTGAGCTGGCTGCCCACTGTCTTCTCTCTTCCACTCTGTAGCCCCTGGAATGTCACTTCATTGGCCGCCTTTTGCCACTTCTAAAACATTCCAGCATACTTAGGCCTCAGGGCTTTTGCACTTGCTGTTCTCTCTGCCTGATATGCCTTTCCCCCACTGTCTACCTCAAATGTACCTCCTCAGAGAGGCCCTCTCTGCCACCTTGCCCCCTTGGCCTACCTTGTTTTTCTCCATAACACTGATCACTCCTTGGCATTTTATTGTATATGCATTTCTATCTATCTACTGGAAATGAAGCATCACAAGGCCAGAGATCTTTGCCTGCTTTGTTCATTGCTGTATGCCCAGTGCCTAGCACAATGACTCGCATATATTAGGTACATTAGGCATATTAGATTCAAATTAAACGTATTTGAATGAGTTAATGTGGTTTGAAGCTTTTACCTCTCTGAAGCTTCTAGGTGTGCTACTTTCACAGGAAGAGCAATCCTGGCCTAGGATGCTAGTGCCTACAAAGTGGCAGAGCTTGTACTTTATTAGATTCACTATATCCTTAGAAAAGAGGAGGCATGTTGGATAAGATGCAGCCCCAGCCCCCCAGCCTCTGCCAAAACCAACGTGTCCCAGTCTGAAGCAGATTCTAGTTGAGCTGGATGGTGGACTGGTAGACCAGCATCCCTCTGGCCAGAACAGACATGGATGGCGGGACTGGGAAAGGTCGGGACTGAGAATGGCTGAGATCAGGACATCAGGGGTCAAAGATCAAGACAGGGATCTGGGGCTGGGGCTAGGGCTGGGAAGAGCCAATGGGTCCTTGGTGGGCATTTAGGGGAGCTGGGTAGTTGATATAGTTTGGCTGTGTCCCTACCCAAATTTCATCTTGAATTGTAGCTCCCATAATCCCCATGTGTCATGGGAGGGACCCAGTGGGAGATAGTTGAATCATGGAGGCAGTTTCACCCATACTGTTCTCGTGGTAGTGAATAAGTCTCACAAAATCTGATGATTTTATAAGCGGAAATCCCTTTCACCTGGCTCTCATTCTCTCTTGCCTGCTGCCATGTATGGTGTACCTTTTGCCTTCTGCCAGGATTGTGAGGCCTCCCCAGCCACATGGAACTGTGAGTCCATTAAACTTCTTTTTCTTTAAAAATTACCCATCTCAGGTATGTTTTTATCAGCAGCATGAAAATGGACTAATAGAGTAGCCAACGTTTCTGAAATGATAATATGGGCCCAGTTCAGGTGGCTTCTTGTAAGCTATTGATACTTAGGACTTCTCTGCTGGCCCTACTTGGGCATGAAAGGTCCATTTCTTGACAGGATAAATGGCAACAATATTGTAATATGTAAAGATCCTACATATCTGTTATCTCATAACAACCATGTGTAGTATGTTTATTCATTTAGGTAACAAATATGTGTTGATCCCGTGTAAGAACCAGGCACTGTAGATGTTGCCTCAGTCACTGTCTTAGTCCATTTGTGTTGCTATGGACTCAGGTATACCTGAGCCTGGATGACTTATAAAGGAAAGAGGTTCATTTGGCTGACAGTTCTGCAGGCTGTACAAGAAGCATGGAGCTGGCATCTGTTGATGGCTTCTGGTGAAGGTCTCAGGCTGTCTCCACTCACTGCAGAAGGGGAAGGGGAATTGGTGTATGCAGAGGTTATGTGGTGAGACAGGAAGCAAGGGAGATGAGGGAGGTGCCAGGCTTTTTATAACGATCAGTTCTCCTGCGAGCTAACAGAGAACTCATTACCTCAAGGGGGCACCAAGCCATTCACGAGGGATCCATCCCCATGACCCAACACCTCCCATTAGGCCCCACCTCCAACACTGGAGATCAAATTTCAACATGAGGTTTGGGGGACAAACATCCAAACTATAGCAGTCACATATAGGAAATCTCTACATTTATAGGGGTAACTAACACTCCTGCAACAAAATAGATGATGGTTTACTAAAATACATCAGCTGCTTTATCATCAGTGCTAAGAATAGTGGTTATTACACGTTAGATGCTCAATTAATATTTTTGAATTGCTGGATTAATATGTAGGTTAATGACTTCACCCATTTACTGAACAAGGAAGTAGCCCAGAAAAATCAGATTTGGAAATCTGGCTCAGGGTGGTTTTACTCTTGAGACCAAATGGTTCTCTCTGATTCTAAGGACTTTGAAGCTTTACAGACTTGGTATTAATACATTTCTAAACTAAAAATGCCAAAAAATATTGCGGGGAAGTGGTTAAAAGCTGCCAGCTTTTCATTTTTCCAAGTAAGGAGATGGAGAAAGATATTACCGACAATTGTTATTTCGTAAAAGGGCATTTAAACACTTCAATTGTGTGAAGGGTGATCCTAGAATTTTAAAACATTGGGTACATATTGGTTCTATGAAAAAGTTACTACATTGTTCTAATTTTTTTCCCATTTCACTGAGGATTGGGGTAAACTTCACTGATCCACAGTGAAGAGACAGGTCCGGGCTCAGATGGGCATTTGGGAGCCTCTGGCCTGGAGGAACCAGTCACTCAAGTTCTTTCCTCTCTCTTTGTCTCTCTTTTTAGTCCTCTTCCCTTTCTTCTTCTCTTTCTTCTTCCTTTCTCACCTCTTACATACAGACACACTTAGACACACTGAGGCACATTTCAAAGCTCCCGAGAGAAGCAGACCATGCATCAGAGTTAGACCTCTGGTGGGGAAGAAAGACAACCTCTCCTGTTCTGAGCACTGCTTTCCCAACTCTAAAAAGAAAACGAGAAGGGGGTGGAGGTGAAGGGGAGGAGAATCTTCCCTACCTTCCCATCAGCCTTCTTTATTATATCTGTTCAAAGTGAAAAAAAATGGTTTTAAACTCTCAGTGTTAGTTTATGACCCCTATTAATCACATGTAATAACCCTCCCAATTATTAAATTATGGAGACATGTGTTTCCTCAGCCAAACAGACTAATTATTTACTGAAATGAATTAACATATAGAAAAGCCTCAGTTCTATGGAGGCTGAAACTTTGCATAATGAGTTTATCAGCCTTAAAAGCAGCCCAGATGAGCTTTTTTTTTTTTTCTTTCTTTTTTTTTTTTTTTTTGGTGAAATAAACACACTGATTATAGTGAAGCTTATCCATGCTGGCATCTTGCCATTTGCTATTTCTTTAATAAACACCGGTCGAGTTGTGTATCTGTTTTCACTTTCATTTATCAAGGCTCCCCTTTGCAATTAACAGCTGTGGTAGAGGTGCGGTGGGGGTGGGAAAGACATGTTCTTACCAGCCTCCCCCTCCAGGTCCCCAAAGTTGCTCATGTGGGGCTCTCTTTGTATTTTAATAGGCTTGCCAATCAGCTGACTGCAGCAGCAGCAGCAGCAGCAGCAGCAGCAGTGATGCACAGATCTGATCTGCGTTGGCAATATACTTGTAATTCGGACATGCATCTCCAGGACACCAGCCTTAGCAGGAAGGGGAGCCAATCAAGGGGAAACAATTATGCAAATTTAAAATGTAAACTCTCTGGAGCCCCTGCCACAACCTGGTAAGAGGATAAAGGTCTGCTTTCCATTCCTTTCTCTAGTGACAGCAAGCTCTCTTCCCACATATCTTCTAGGGAGATTCCTAAGTCATTTAAGCATCTGCAAAATGGCCCCATGGACACGTGGTTTGGAATGAGGATTTATGGGTAATTATATCTAAAAAACTCTTATTTTTCATGGTACTCATGAAGCCACTCAGTCTCCTACATTTTTTTAATCTAGTGATTTAGGGACTGTGTCAAATGTTCACCAAAGGACATTCAGATCATTCATTCATTCAACAAGCGTTTAGTAATGTATATTGCAAAATTGCTGACAGTAGATTTTAAATGTTCACACTCCTCCCAGAATGATAAGTATGTGAGGTGATGGACATGTTAATTAGTTTGATTTAATCATACCATATTGTGTACATATATCAAAACATCAGATTGTATCCCATATATATATACAATTACTTGTCAATTAAAAATAAAATTTGAAAAAAAATACAGGCATGTATTCCAGGGTGCAATACTGGGAGCTCCTGGAGCTTATAGTTTGGTTACTTTGTTTATTCCTTAAAAAATAGATATCAAACATCTACCAGGAGTGAGGTACTGGGGTAGTGTGGAGAACAAGACAGATGAGGTTCCTGCTGTCATGGAGCTTGCCCTTGGGGATGGGTGGGTGCAGGAGCATGGCATGAGGCTGCTGATGTGGTTCTCAATAAGAACCATGACTCCTGGCAGTCACAGCCTAGCTCTTGAATGTGGTGTGGACCTAGAGACTTGCTTCTGAGAAACAGAATATGGCAAAAGTGATGGGATGTCACTGCTGATTGGGCTACAAAAGACTGCCTTTTATCTCAACAGCGTTCTCTGTCTCTTGCCCTCTCACTTGCTCTGATGAAGCTTGCTGCCCTGTTATGAGATGCTCTATGGAGAGGCCTACGTGGCAAGGAACTGAGGGTGGCCTCTGACCAATAGCTCATGAGAAACTGAGGCCTCACTCCAGTGTCCACAGGGGTGAGCTAGGAAGCAGATCTTTCTAGTGGAGGCTTGAGGGCACTTGTAGCCCCAGCCAAAACCTTGATTGCAGCCTGTGAGACTCAAAGCCATAGGCTCTAGCTAGCCACTCCTGGATTCCTGGCCCACAGAAACTGTGAGATAGTAAATGTTTTTAATGTTAAGTTATTAAGTTTTGGGGCAATTTCTGGCTTAGTCAGTTCTGAGTGCTAAAACAAAATACAATTGACTAGGTGGCTTAAGAACAAACATTTATCTCACGTGGTTCTGGAGGCTGGGAACTCTGAGATTAGGGTGCTGGTAGAACCAGTGTCTGGTGAGGGCCCTGTTCCTGGCTTATAGATAGCCACCTTCTTACTGTGTCCTCACATGAGTGAAAGACGCAGAGCTTTAGTGTCTTCTTTTTTTTTTTTTTTTTTTAAGATGGAGTCTCGCTCCATCGCCCAGGCTAGAGTGCAGTGTGATGATCTCATCTCACTGTAGCCTCCACCTCCTGGGTTCAAGCAATCCTCCCACCTCAGCCTCCCAAGTAGCTGGGATTAACTGATGTGTGCCACCACACCCGGCTAATTTTTTTGTATTTTTAGTAGAGATGGGGTTTCACCATGTTGGCCAGGTTGGGTCTCTAACTCCTGACCTCATGTGATCCTCCTGCTTTGGCCTCCCAAAGTGCTGGGATGACAGGCATGAGCCGCTGCGCCCGGCCATCTTTCTCTTCTTATAAGGATGTTAATCCCATCATGGGGGCTCTTCCCTTATGACCTCATCTAAATTGAATCACTCCCAAGAGCCCCACCTCCTATTGGGAATTAGGGCTTCAATATATGAATTTTGGGAAGACACAAATAAATAAGCAGCCCATAACAATTTGTTTTGTAGTAATAGATAATAATATGGTGGCTGGAGGTGGGGAGTGAGATTATAAATTAATGGGTAAAAAGGAAGATATGAGCTGGTGAAAAGGCAGTGCTGAACATGAATGAAGGGTGATAGACATACTGAAGAGTGACAGGGTGGCTGCTGAGAATTTGAGTCTCAGGGCAGGACAGACCCTAAAGGTCCTTTGTCCAATACCCTAGATGAAGCCAGTGTGCTCTGCACATCCCTTCCAATGGGCATCCAGCCTTGGGTCAAATACCCCAAGTGAGGGGGAAATTCACATCTTTGTTACTCTGTCCCATCTTTGGATGTAAAAAATACTTGCTGTTGGGCTGGAATTTGCATCCCTATGGTTTTGTCTTTCTGGTCCTGGTCTTTCTCTTTGAGGCCATTCCTCCTGTCTGGTCTTTTGAGCTCCTATACCCTAAACAGTTGTCTAGCCTTTCTCGGTTGGCCCTCTAATTCCCTGACCCAGCTCTCCTTTCTTTCCCAGACTGGCTTTGATCTTTTGATACTGCTTTTGGCCTTTCTGACTTGACTGCCTTTCACACTTCCCTTCCTCTACCCACTGGGTCTCTTCCCACAGTCTCTGCTTGTTCCTGTGGTCTTGGGGTCCCTGTAGCTTTAGTTAGGGATTCTGCAACTTTGGTCAAAGGCCCCTCACAGCATCATGCCAGTCCCCTCCCTCACATGGCAAGCCCTTCTTTTCACAGAAAATGGTCACCACGTGCCAGTTGAACATTTTCCTCTCCTGCTAAACATGCCCACCTCTTTGGCACTTCACCTCCTCCTCCTCCCCAGTGACTTCCTTCCTCCCCTCCCTTCTCTGCCAGCCTCAATTATCACTTCTGCAGAGGACTTCCTGGGGGGTGGCCCTCTCTAGTCAGCTACCTGCTAGACATTGTCCTGTGAGATCCTTAAAGCCCCTGGAGCTCAGTGTGCCTTCCTTCTTGTCCTCTGACAAATATCCGCTGATGCTGACACTGGGCCTGTGCCCCTTCTAATAATCATCCCCTTTCGTCCCCTGCCTGATGGGCCAGAGCCTCCTGTGTCTCCTGGTATCCTACACTCTAAACTCAGGGACATCCTAGTCTTTTTCTCTTTCCTCCACCATCCATGACTAAATCTGTCATCTGGTTTGCCTTTTTTTTTTTTTTTTCCTTCTCAGGGCCTCTTTCATCTTCCCCTTCCTTCTGCCACCCCTGAGGACCAGGTCTTTATCAGTTCACCCCAAACTATAATAATCCCCATCCCCCAAATAATTTATTACAGGAGACAGTGCTGGAAACTGGAAGTATAGAGACAGCAAAGCAGATCTTGCATCTCTCCTCGTGGAGCTTGCAGTGAGCTTGTTCATGCATGCGTGAATTCACATATTCATTCATTCATTCATTCATTCAAACAGTTATTAAACACCTTCCATGTTACTTCGTCTAGTTGTCTCAGATTCCTGATAGTTGGAGGTAACTTTCTAACTTAGTTGTAATGAGGGGGGCAGTTTCCAGTAAATCGCTTGACAATTGCTTTGATAATTAGCAGCAGTAACTGAGAAGGACTGCCTGGAATGTCAGGGATACTTTCTTTCTCCACCCCATAAAAACGATGAATCTGAGAATTTCTGGGCTGCTGGTCTTATCTACAGGTCTGGCTGATTACAAGATGCCCTGCAGTGATGTCTCAGGAAAGGCCAGGACTGGGAAGGCCAACCCCCAGAGCCTGCCTCTACATTCTTGAGACATTGTGGTAGTTCTCCCATCCTAGCCCATCTTCTTCCCATCACCTGCAGCAGATCCACTTCAAGCACGTGCGTCATCCTAGGTAACCTGGCTGTTGGAGATGAGGGTCCTGGCTGCCAAGAAAGGAACTAAGACAAGCAGGCAGTGCCAGAGGGACAGTGTCCAGACAGCTTCTTGCAGGCTCTCAGGGAAGTAGTTCAGGCCAGAGGTGGGAGGAGGCAGTGAGGAATGATGTGGTACAACTGCAGGCTGTAAGGTGAGTGTGTGCATGCTAAGTAGGCTGAGTTAGCGAGTGTGATACCAGGGTTAAGAAGATGCAGATTTGGGCCGGGAGCAGTGGCTCACACCTGTAATCCCAGCACTTTGGGAGGCCGAGATGGGCAGATCACCTGAGGTCAGGAGTTCGAGACCAGCCTAGCCAACATGGTGAAACCCTGTCTCTACTAAAAATACAAAAATTAGCTGGGCATGGTGGCGCACACCTGTAGTCCCAGTTACTCAAGAGGCTGAGGCAGGAGAATCACTTGAACCCAGGAGGCGGAGGTTGCAGTGAGCTGAGATCGTGCCACTGCACTCCAGCCTAAGTGACAGAGCAAGACTTCGTTTCAAAAAATAAAAATAAAAATAAAGAATATGCTGACTTGGGGGAATCCCAGAGTCTTTATCACTATCTCCTTTGTGTCCTTGGGCTAATTAATTAATTTCTCTGAGTGACATTTGTTTCTTCATC
This sequence comes from Homo sapiens, assembly GCF_000001405.40. Classification (NCBI taxonomy): domain Eukaryota; kingdom Metazoa; phylum Chordata; class Mammalia; order Primates; family Hominidae; genus Homo; species Homo sapiens. The sequence continues at coordinate 19,285,801 of NC_000011.10, forward strand.
TTAAATGGGACTATTGATACGAGCCTCAGAAGGCTGCTGGAGTTTACAGGAGATAATGTGAGGAATTGCCTGGCATGGGTGGTCAATAAATGGTAGCTGCTTATTATTAGTATGGTTAGGCTGATTTCGAGGGTAGGGTTGGGCAGGAAGAACCAGAAAACTGGGGAGGAGCCAGAGTCCTCAGAGGGCATTTAAATTCAGGCTGGGGAAGCCAAGATCCTTCCACAAATGCGCAGAGCAGGTACAGGGATGGAAGCGGGGCAAAGCTCAGGTCAGAAGTAGGTGGGAGGTCAGAGAGGTGGGAGAGTCCCTGGGCAGTTGCGGGGATTTTTTTCCTGGATTCTCAGCAGCTGCCTTGGTCAGCTGTTTCCTGGAGAAGTTGGACAGAGTGGGCAGGAACTGTCACTAGGGCATCAAAATTACTCTTCCCCTGGCTTGGGCCAGAATTGTTTCCAGAACAAAACAGAAGCTCCAAATAACTGTCAAGTGGCCGCTGGATTAGACTGCAGGGCTTGGGGGCAGGGAGCCAGGCAAGGCCATCTAGACCTGGCCCACAAGGTGGGAGGGGATCCCTCCAGGGGGATGCCCCTCCGGGCCCACCTGGAAGCCCTGCATCTCCTCTTTTCCTGGCCAGACCCTTCCAGGTCATGCTCATCTCACCTGTTTCAAGGATGCTTATCTGACAACTCTAGTCCTTAAGGATGAATCCTCTCCCAGACTGCCCACAGCAGTTTCTCTCTGTTTCTACAGTACCAGGCTAGCTGCTTTATACACGTTGTAACATTTATTTGTCAAGGCAGCCACGCGAGGTAGATGTTACACCCATTTTACAGAGAGGAAAGGTGAGGCTCACACAGATTAAATAACTTTGCCAGCCTCCTGCAACTGGAAAATCTCAGGGCCAGGATTTAAAAACAGGTCTGCCTGGCTCTAAACTTCAAGAGACCAAGATATTCCACTTACTATGGCTGAGTAACAGATTACTCCAAAATTTAGGATGAGACGATTTATCAAGCTTATAGATTCTATGGGTCATAAATTCAGACAAGGCACAGCAGGGATGACTTGTTGCTGCTCCATGATGTCTAGAGCCTCAGCCAGAAGACCTGAAGGCTAGAGGCTACACCCATCTGAAGGCCCGCCCACTCCCATATCTGGTGACTGAGGCTGGCTTGAGGCTGGGGGCCTCAGTTCCTCTCCACGTAGGTCTCTCTACAAGTCTCTCTGTATGGACTAGTTTGAGCTTCTTCACAGCATGATGGCACTGCCTCTGCCAACCCGCAAGTGAGGGTCCTTCCAAAAAGAACCAGGTGGAAAGCACCATCTTTTAAGATCTAGCCTCAGAAGATGTGCAGCTTCAGTTTTGCTACATTCTACTTGTCAAGGCAGTCACAAAGGCCCATCCAGACACTAAAGAAGGGGAAATAGACTCCCCTTTTTGATAGAGGAGTAGCAAGGTTTTGAAAGATGTGTGATCAGAACTATTATGTGGCTGATTACTTTTGGAAAACTCAATCTGCTGCATGAAGGAACCTGAAGAAACATATCCATTAGATGGTGAGCTCATGAGGACTGACCTTGTCCTAGACTTCTTGGTAACTCTCATAGGCCCAGCACATTAAGATACACATAGCGGCCGGGCGTGGTGGCTCACGCTTGTAATCCCAGCACTTTGGGAGGCCGAGGCGGGCGGATCACGAGGTCAGGAGATCGAGACCATCCTGGCTAACACGGTGAAACCCCGTCTCTACTAAAAATACAAAAAAAATTAGCCGGGCGTGATGGTGGGCGCCTGTAGTCCCAGCTACTCGGGAGGCTGAGGCAGGAGAATGGCGTGAACCCGGGAGGCGGAGCTTGCAGTGAGCCGAGATTGCGCCACTGCACTCCCGCCTGGGCCACAGAGCGAGACTCCGTCTCAAAAAAAAAAAAAAGATACACATAGCATTTGTGGAATTAAATGAATAAATACGGACCGTCCAAGTCAGGCTGTTTTGAGGATTTTATTATTATTCTTCCAATTTTGCATTTACTGCTTTCTCTTTTACGATTAAGCTGAAACGGTCCATCTAATGTAGAGGTTCTTTTGCTTCAAGGTTTGTTTCTTCCATCAGAGATCCAGCAGGATACCATTTTATTATGGGCATCTGCTTCATGTTTTGCAGGAGTCTGTAGGAACGTTCTTGAAAGTCTCAAAGACATGCCTTCAAACTTCCATCAGGGCCTTCCATTCTTAGGACAACATTACCCTTCTGCCTTGCCCAGCCATGATCAAAGCATGTTTCCCCCCCCGCCCACTTGGAATTTGCATGGACTCTGCATGGAGGTGACAGGGGATCCTGCAACGATAGTCTAGGGGCTTGTTGTGGAATAAGTATAGGCTTCAATCATAAAGGGAGAATATGGGTAAGACCAGGATAGTGATCCTTTGCTAATATATGTATTTTTTGTCTGTCTTTCCTTTTTTCTTCTTTTTTGTAACTTTTCCCCTCCCTCTCTTTCTCCAAAATGCAATTCTGGCTTTGTTTGTAGCTCAGTACTCCCCAAACTGATCTCCAATTCTGTGAAAAATCACAGCCCTGCCTTCATCTTATTGCTCAGCGTGCTGCTGCTGAGAGTTGCTGCAGAAGGAACCCTGATCCGGCAGCTTAGCTGGATGGGTAGAGCCAGATGGGGAGTGGGAGGAGGGAGAACATAGGGACGAACAGCCAATGGATGCTGGGCTTAATACCTAGATGATGGGATGATCTGTGCAGCAAACCACCAGGACACATGTCTACCTATGTAACAAACCTGCACATGCTGCACATGTACCCCTGAACTTAAAATAAAAGATGAAGATTAAAAATTAAAAAAAAAAAAAACCTTTGGTCATACTTTCAGAACATTTTCTCTCTTTCTCTCTCTCTCTCTCTCTTTGTGTGTGTGTGTGTGTGCGTATGAGTTTGTATATATACACATACACAGGTACAAAATATTTTTAACAAAATAAATATGGTTTATACTTTACAAACGGGTAACTGGCTTCCTGTGCCTCCCCTGATTTAACTATGAACACATATTTTCATCAATAAACATTCCTCTTTGGCAGTGATATGAAGAGTGATTATCCATTTTATGGGTGTAGCATGATTTATTTTACTAATCCCTATTTTAAGATGTTTAGATTTTCTTATTCTCTATTAGAGTCAATAGCATGATGAACATTCCGTCAGCTAAATCTCTATCTCTTTTTTCCTCAGTATGTATTTCTAAAATCATAATACATTTAGTTAAAGGATATATATACACAATGTGCATATATATGTATGTATATATATTAAAGAACTTTTTTTTCTTTGAGACAGGGTCTCACTCTGTTACGCAGGCTGGAGTGCAGTGGTGGGGTCTCAGCTCACTGCAACCTCTGCCTCCCGGGCTCAAGTGATCCTCTCGCCTCAGCCTCCTGAGTAGCTGGGACTACAAGCACGTACCATTAAGCCTGACTAAGTTTTGTATGTTTTGTAGGGACAGGGTTTCATCATGTTTCCCAGGCCGGTCTCCTGAGCTCAAGTGATCCACCCACCTTGGCCTCCCAAAGTGCTGAGATCACAGGCATGAGCCACTGTGCCCAGCCTAAAGAACATTTCTGAAAAAGCTTAAAAACTGTCTCCCAAAAATTTGTAATTTATGTAATAGCAGCAGTGCTTGGGGATGCTAATAAATCATCATTAACACTTAGTGCTTTCCATGTGACAAACACCTGTAAAGGTTTTACAGACATCATCTCAATCTCTCCACTGACCCTAAGAGAGGACATCATTATTTCCGTTTCATAGGTGGGAAAACTGAGGACCAGATGGACAAAGTAACTTCCTCAAAGTCATGCAGCCAGGAAATGGCAGATATGCGATTCAAGCCCAGCTCAGACTGACTGCAAAAACCCTCCTCTCCTTTACCTACCCAGCCTCCCACTTGCACATTCATAAAAACTGGTATCTTAAAAAGTACCTGATTTTTTTTCACTACCAAACTAAGTGTTCTTACTCTTTTTTGGCTGCAGTTTCCACAGACTGAAGAGGCTCTAAATGACTACGAACAGATTTTTGTTGCCAAAGAATTAATTTGATCCTCCACCCCCTCCCTCTCACTCAAAAAGCACACAACAAAATGATTTTAGCAGCGGGGATAATTACAGAAAATGTGGTATTAACTCAAATGGAATACAAATATTTTAGATTTTTTATTGTGCTCCAAGACCACTGGAGTGGAAAGAAAAGAGTGAAATATGCCTCAGCAGACATAAGGAGAGAGCAGACACCAAGCTGAGAACCCTACGGTCACTCTCTGTGCTTGCACTTTTGATGATCTCAAAGAGAAGCAATCTTGTGATTTGAGCCTGGATCATAGCAGGAGCTGAAGCCCGTTGGAATCACTGGGTAGACTCAGAAGGAAAGGCTAACCTGGCAAAGACACAGGTGAAGGCAAGGCCCTCCTCCTCTGGCGCCTTCCTTGCCTGGCTGCTGTCCTTTCTCTCTGATGTGCCCTTAACCTCAGCCCCATCTGGGTTTAAACTTCAAGGACTGCAGAAGACCTTTGATGAAGTGTTGGTGGCTCTGCAGGGCAAGCCATACTCACACCAGTAGTCCAGGTTATAGACCTGTAGAGGCTGGAGGACTCCATCAGTTAGTTCTCCTTGACATGGACCGGTCTTGTACTTTCTTTACTTTTTTTTCTTTAGAGTCAAGAGTCTTGCTCAGTCACCCAGGCTGGAGTGCAGTGGTGCAATCGTGACTCACTGCAGCCTTAAACTTGTGGATTCCCACTATCCCCCCACATCAGCCTCCCAAGAAGCTGAGACTACATTACCCCTGGACAATTTATTATTTTATTTTTTTAAGATATGGGGTCTTGCTGTGTTTCCCAGGCTGGTCTCAAACTCCTTATCTCAAGAAATTCTCCAACTAGGCAGCCTTTTTGCCTCAGGGCTCTTTGCTCCTCAAACCCACTAAGCCTTTTTTCTGCCTTAGGCCTCTTTGCATTTGAGTTCTCCATACCTGAGAGCCTACTCTTTGCCTAGATCTTTGCATTTGTACCTACTTCTCTTTACTGTCATGTGAAATCAAAAGTACCTTCCTCAGTTTTCCCTGACTACCCTATCTAAAGCGGGACTCCCCTGCCCCAGCAAGTAACCCAATGCCTTTACTTATCATCTTTATATCACTTACCACTACCAGAAATTTTTTTTGTTTACATGTTGTTTACTTGCTTAGTACTTCCTCTCCCAAATGTAAACACTAGGGGTTTTATTTGCTTTTCTACTTCTGATTCTCAAGGCTTAAGCCAGGCCCTGGCTTGAGGGATGCAATGCATTTATTGAATAAGCCAATGAGAACAATATTACCAACTTTATAGTTTTCCTCAGAGGCAGCCTTGAATATTGCAGACACACCTATACTTTAGCCTATACTTTAGAGCAAGGTTCAGCAAACTACAGCCCATGGGTCAAATCTGGCCCACCATCTGTTTATATAAAGTTTTATTGGAACACGGTCATGCTGATTTCTTTTCACACAGTATCTATGGCTGCTTTCACTCTGCAACAGCAGAGTTAAGTAGTTGTGACAGAGATCATACGGTCTGCAAAGCTGAAAATATTTACATCTGGCATTTTGTAGGAAAAGTCTGTGAACCTTTGCTTTAGAGGGAAGATTCCCTGGATTACCACAGACCTTTATTTCATGTGAGTTGATGCCCTGATGGTAAGATGCCACATTGCTTTCTCTCACAGAGGCCTCTTTCATGTCAGCATCTTTAGATAGGCAACTCAATCTTTCTGTTCATGAAAATATTGGCCTTGGCAATCTGCTTAATTCAGGTGGAAAACTACTGTGACTGGAATTATCCAGAGAGCAGAGATCGGTGTGTTTTCTCTAATTGTTAATTATGAGAATGACACATGGTATGGGCCACTCTGCTTGTCTGTCTTTTTATATAGAGGAAGGGTTTAGCAAGGCACCTTGGTGGCATGAAAGATAGACTTTAAGTGTAATATTTTATTATTTTTATTATTTCCCTTTGCTTAGATCTCTATAAGAATCATGATGTTTCCAAGGCAGCACATGGTTTGGGGAAATTGGAGAGAATACTCCCGATGGAAAGGGATAACATCACAGCTGCCACAACAATGCTATCCAGTGAGCAAATGTCGGATGTTCAGAGGGACCAAGTCATCTTGATTAGAATCGTGGAGGTATGAGTTTCAAAGTGGAATAATCTCATATTTAATAAATTTGCAATCTCTTCACAGTGCACTGGAAAAGGGAACATGCTTAAAATAATTCCAGGGACTTGGCTCCTGGGCTTATTCAGATATCGGAATGATTGTCAGGGACTGGTTTATTGTCTTGCTAGGATGAAGTAGATGCTTTTAAATCTCTTTTCTATTGTGCATGTCTGTGGGAACACATGTTTGCTCTTCTTTTTCACCCAAAATATTAAAAAGCTGTTCAAATTGCCAGATCATTTTTTCCAAGATGACACTTATTTATTTACAAAAATCTTTAAAATGTTATTACAAAGAATGTGTTTATTGTAGAAAAACCAGAACACATAGTTATTTTAATACAAGAAAGCAAAAAAAAAAAAAAATCAAACCACCTCTCTGTGATAACCATTGTTAATATTTTGTTATAAGCCCTCCCATACTTTTCCCTATGGACTAAAATAAAAAATACAAAGGTATATATATCCATGTATGTGTATTAGACATGCATAATACTATAAATACTATTCTCTAATCTGCTTTATTTTTCACTGAATGGCATATTATGGATTTTTATAGTCTACTGAAATCAGAATAATGTGGTGGTTGACATCACATTCTCTGAAGTCTGGTTGTCTTGTTTGAGATTTGACTCTATCAATTACTAGCTGTATGATCTCGGGCAAGTTACATAATTGCTATGGTGCATCAGTTTCCTCATCTGTAAAATGAAGATGATAATGATGGAATATACTAACTATATGATAATGATGGAATATACTAACTATATGATAATGATGGAATATACTAACTATAAGATAATGATGGAATATACTAACTATAGGTTGTTGTGAGGGTTAAATATGTTAATGCCAAAAAAATTCCATAATACAGTTCCCAGCATAGGAGATGCTCTTGTTAAATGTTAGCTATGATTATCTTTCCATGTTAACTCATGTATTGCCACATCATTATTTTATTGGCTGCAGATGATACTAATGTATTTATGTATGGGAACATTCTTTCCTGCTTTTCATTTGGTGTATGGTTGTGTATATGTGATTTAATGCTGGTCATGCTTTAATGCTCTTATTTTCTTTCTAACTTTTATTTTAGGTTCAAGGAAGACATGTACAGGTTTGTTATATGGGCAAATTATGTGTCCCAGGGTTTGGTGTACAGATAATTTTGGCCTCCAGGTAATCAGCATAATACCCAATAGGTAGTTTTCCAACCCTCGCGTCCATGTGTACTCAATGTTTAGCTCCCACTTATAAGTAAGAACATGTGGTATTTGGTTTTCTGTTCTAGTGTTAATTTACTTAGGATAATGGCCTCCAGCTCCATCCATGTTGCTGCAAAGGACATGATTTCATTTTTTAATGGCTGCACAGTATTCCATGGTATACGTATACCACATTTTCTTTATCCAGTCTACTGTTGATGGGCATCTAGGTTGATTCCATGTCTTTGCTGTTGTGAATAGTGCTGTGATAAATATATGCATTCATTTGTCTTTATAGTAGAGAATATACTCCTTTAGGAATATACCCAATAATGGGATTGCTGGGTCGAATAGTAGTTCTATTTTAAGTTCTTTGAGAAATCTCCAGACTGCTTTCCACAGTGGCTGAACTAATTTACATTCCCACCAACAGTGTATAAGCATTCCCTTTTCTCTGCAACCTCACCAGTATCTGTTATTTTTGACTTTTTAATGATAGCTATTTTGATTGGTGTGAGATGGTATCTCATTGTGGTTTTGATTTGCATTTACCTAATTATTAGTGATATTGAGCATTTTTTATATGCTTGTTGGCTGCATATATGTCTTCTTTTGAGAAGGCTCTGTTCATATCCTTTGCCCATTTTTTAATGGGTTTATTTGGTTTTTTTTTTCTTGTTTATTTGTTTTAGTTTTTTTTTAAAATAGATTCTGGATAGTAGACCTTTGACAAATGCATAGTTTGTAGATATTTTCTCCTATTCTGTAGGTTGACTTGATAGTTTCTTTTAGTGTACAGAAGCTCTTTAGTTTAATTAGGTCCCATTTGTCAATTTTTGTTTTTGTTGAAATAGCTTTTGAAGTCTTTGTCATGAAGTCTTTGCCTGGGCCAATGTCAAGAATGGTATTTCCTAGATTTTCTTCTTGGGTTTTTATAGTTTTGGGTTTTTATAGTTTTAGGTTTTACCCTTAAATCTTTAATCTATCTTGAGTTGATTTTTGTATATGGTGAAAGGGAGGGGTCCAGTTTTAAATCTTTTGCATAGCTTGCCAGTTATCCCGGCACCATTTATTGAATAGGGAGTTGTTTTAGTCCATTTTCACACTGCTATAAAGAACTACCTTAGACTAGGTAATTTATAAAGGAAAGAGGTTTAATTAACTCACAATTCCACATGGCTGGGGAGGCCTCAGGAAACTTACAATCATGGTGGAAGGCGAAGGGGAAGCAAGGCACGTCTTCATGGTGGCAGGAGAGAGAGAGTGAAGGAAGCCACAGATTTTTAAACTATCATATCTCTTGAGAACTCACTATCAGGAGAACAGCATGGGGGAAACTGCCTCCATGATCCAATCACCTCCCAACAGGTCCTTCCCTCGACATGTGGGGATTACAATATGAGATAAGATTTGGGTGGGGACAGAGCCAAACCATATCAGGAGTACGTTCCCCATTGCTTGCTTTTGTCAGCTTTGTTAAAGATCAGATGGTTGAGGGTGTGCACTTTATTTCTGGGTTCCCTAAGCCTTTCCATTGGCCTGTGGTCTGCTTTTATACCAGTACCATGCTTTTTTTAGTTACAGTGGCCTTGTAGTATAGTTTGAAGTCAGGTAGTATAATGCCTCCAGCTTCTTTATTTTTTTTTTTTTTTACCATAGGGTTGCTTTGGCCATTTGGGCTCTTTTTTGGTTTCAAATGAATTTTAGATTTCTTTCTTTCTTTTTTTTAATTAAAAAAATACAGAGAGGGTCTCACTCTGTCACCCAGGCTGGAGTGCTGTGGCATGATCTTGGCTCACTGCAACCTCTGCCCCCTGGCTCAAGCAGTCCTCCCACTTCAGCCTTCCAAGTAGCTGGAACCACAGGCATGCAGTACCACACCTAGCTATTTTTTTTTTTTGTATTGTTAGTAGAGATGGGGTCTTGCTATGTAACTCAGGCTAGTCTGGAACTCCTGAGCTCAAGCAGTCTGCCCACCTCAACCTCCCAAAGTGCTGAGATTATAGGTGTGAGCCACCGTGCCTGGCCAGATTTTTTTTTCTAATTCTGTGAAATGCTGAGTTTTGATGTACATGAAATTGGAGCTGTATGGCGCATCTGAAGAGACAGCACTGAGGAATCTTTTAGCCCTCTTGCTAGAGAGGTCCTGACGATATTAGTGGGAAGGGAGAGGAAAGGATGGAAGAGTTTGTAGCTATGGATCTCAGCAGATAAGAGGTGATGCAGTGACTGTGCATGAACTTTACGGGGTCTGGTCTTGACTCTACTACTTTCTGAGGATCATATGCAACTTAGCCTCTCTAAGTCTTAATTTTCACATCTGTAAAATTAAGATTTTTTTGCTATCTACCTTTTTGGGTTCTTATAAATTAGATCATTCATGTGAAGAGTTTAGCATTTGTCTGGTACCTGGCAAAGTCTCAGTAAATACTAGATATTATTATTTGAAATTGGGGGTTATCATTAAAACATGATGTATTCATGCATGAATATACATTCACATAGTTTAGCTATGAAACAGTCAGTTGATAAGTTGTACATTTATACAGGTATACTCTTTTTCCTTCTCTTTCCATTGGTTTCTTGCTACTGTGCCTCAAATTCACACCTACTGTTTAATACTCAGCTTTGTGATGCTGGGATGGGATTCTGCAAACCCTTTTTCCTTTTGCCAAATGGATCCATATCAGATTCCGCTATTAGAAGGTGCTATGTGGAGACTGCTTCCTGGAGAAGAGAAAAGGGATATGCCTCTTCCTGTTTGCTTCCAGTTCCTGCCAGCATCACTCCAACAATGCTTCTTTGCTTTGGCAGTGGCAGTTCATTTCAGCGGAGCAGCTGGCTCCAGTCTTCATTTTTTTCCACACTCTCAGAACCAGTCCCATTGTCCCTCCTTGGTGATCCCAGCCCTGGCCTGTTGGCATACCTTCCTCAGAGGCCTGGGCTCCATCTCTGTGAAGGGTTCCTTCATGTCTCTAGGTCCTAGTTGCCCTAGACTCTTCTCTTTGTTCCTCCAGCCATGGTGGCATAGCCACTTTGTAGTTATCTCTGTGAAACTTCAGCATTATCCTCTCTGCCATCTCAGTTCTCCAATTCCTGGTGAGCAATGATTTACACTAAATGATCTCTGTTAAAATTTCTGATGTTATTTTTGTTTCCTGAGTGGAAACTTCACCTTCCCTAAATAAACCAGTTGAGAATCAGTTGAGAAGGGAAGATTCATTTTATGAGTAAATGTGTCAATGTTACTCTGAAGGAAGAGTGCTGGGAGTCTAGTCTTTATCCTGATTGTACTTATTGTATAACTCTACTCATTGTAGAAGTACCGGAGCCAGCAGACCACCTGGGCCCTGAAGATGCCCTGGAGGCATGGCCTGGGGGGACTGTGCTTTGTGGGCTACGGCTGCTTCCAAGAATGCAGGCAGGGATGAGACCTCAATGTGAGTGTCCACATTTGGGAAGCAGAATAATCCTTTAAGGCAGACAAAGAGGAGAAGGAGGATGGAAGGAGAGAGGCCTGGAAGAGAAAGGACTACTGTGTTATCAGAGGCAGAATGCAGGGTAAAAAATTGGTCACCAAAAGCCGGCAGAGGGTGGGGTGTGGAGAGGGAGAGAGTCACGGAAACTATTAGTCTTGGTAATAGGACAGTTTCAGCCTTTCATTATTTACTGATAATAAAAAAGGCCTGCACAATAGATTGGTCAACACCACTTTCCTGCTTCATTGGTTTCCAAAGGGATTTGATGCTTCCCTACTGAGAGATTATTTCTAGGAGCCCGTTTCAGGTCACTCACCATAATGTCCTCACTCAGTGATCAGCTGTGTTTGTCTCCCTGTATGTCTGTCTGTCTCTCTCCGTTTGTGTGTCTGTTTCTTTCTTTCTCTTTCTCTGTTTCTCTGTCTTTCTCTGTCTCTCTCTCTCTCTCTCTCTCTCACACACACACACACACACACACACTCAAACACACACACACATACACCCATGCTTCTTTATCTATATCTACTGGGAGCACTGGAAATCCTGCCCCAGCAGTGGTCCTGCCCAGAGGGGATCTGACCAGCCAGGCTTCAAGAGAGCAGTGGATGAGGCTGCCATTGCCCTCTGACCCTCAGCTGTCTGGATGCACAATAAAGGATGCCTTTATTGAGTTCAAAGAGCCAGGTGGTGCTGCTGATGGGGAGAAGGCAGAGTGACTCTGGATGGGAAGAGGTGGATGGCTCTCACCACCAGGCAACCTGGTGTGGGGTTTTATGAGCCGAAGCAGAGAAGCTCCTGCCCCTGGCTTAAAAATTGACTATCCTGGCTAAAAACAAAATATTCCCTTTGCTTCTTCAGAGAAGATTCAACAGGAAGGACAATAGCATCTAGTGCCTCCATTGAGATTTTTTAAAAATAAACTTTTTATTTTGGAATAATTTCACTTTTACAGAAAATTTACAAATTAATACGAAGAGTTCTCATGTTCCCCTCTCCTAGTTTTCCCTATTGTTAACATCTTACATCACCACAGTACGTTCAGAAAAACTAAGGAACAAACATTGACAGGTTACTATTGTTAGTTAAACTCTATAATCTTTATTCAGGTTTCACTAGCTTTTCCATGAATGTCCCTTTTTCGGTTCCAGGATTTCATCCAGCATATCAGATTACATTTAGTTGTTGTGTCTTCTTAGTTATAATTTTCCAGTCTTTCCTTATTTTGATACTTTGATAATTTTGAGAAGTATTGGTCAGGTACTTTATATAATGTCCCTCCATTTGGGTTTGCAAAGTATTTTTTTCATGATTACACTGGGGTTATGGGTTTCTGGGAGGAAGACCACCAAGGTAAAGTGTCCTCTCATCACAACCTGTGGGATGTACCCAGGTGCTGTCCACATGATTTACCTGTGGTTCCACCATGATTTGAAGGCAGAGGGCAGGCTCTGAGAAGCCTCCTACAGGATGAGGGTCTTGATTCAGAGTCCTTCCCTCTGGATGCACAAGACCATGGATTGCTGATCAAGAAGGACCCTGCAAAGCTGGAGATGGGGTGGAGTGGGGCAGTGCTGCACATGGGAAGAGCAACAGACTAGAAGCCAGGTCTGTCTGGCACTAGTCCTGACTTCACCGCTTCTGAGCTGCGTGATGTTGAGTGAGAGTCTTTAACCTCCCTGGCCTCAGTTTCCTCATTCACCAATCAGTATGTAACCCCTTCCCCTCCCTTCCTTCTAGGGTTGGCAACTGGATCAAATGACATTAGATTTGAAAAGACTTTAAAAAGTATAAAAGACAGTACATAGATGGGAAGTCAGTCTTTAAGCCTGCTTTGGATTTTCCAGCATTTCAGCTCCAGCAGGAGGAGAAAGATTTACTTTCTATTTACTTATCACTGTTAACAAGCAAACACATACAAGTCATATGGGTGTGTGTGTGTGTGTGTAATCTTTTAACTTTTTTAAAAGTCTGATTTATTGAAATATATTTACATATAGTAAAATTCATCCTTCTTATGTGTACAGTTCTGAGTTTTGACAAAAAATACAATCATGTAATCCTTACCACAATTAAGATAGAGAACACGAGACATAGAATACTTCCATGACCTCTTCACCCCCAAATTCCCTCACACTTCTGTCATCAACCCATTCCCCTACTCTTAGCCCCTGGCAATATTGACCTGTTTTTTGTTCCTATTTTCTACAATGTCATATGAATTGAATCATGTTGCCTTTATTGTTTTTAGTTCTAAAAACAACATTATTGAGGTATAACTGATATACAATAAAATGCACATACAAAAGTATACAACACGTAAGTCTTGGTTATGTATACATTTGTGATATCATCCCCACAATCAGGACAGTGAACATATACCCATCACCCTAAAAGTGTCCTCAACTTCTACTGTCACTGCTTTTCAGCAAACTGATGGTTCTCTGCATGTACTCTGAGGCACAGTGCTCACTCCCACTGTTATGCCCTCCTTCAGGTGGCTTTCTTTCCCTTAAGCTACCACCTGGCCCTTTTGATCTCTCCAAATCCTGCCCATCCTTCAAGTCTACGCTTTAGCCCTCCCCACCACCCAATGTCTAAAGGGTCCTTTAAAGTTATCCTTTGAGAATAATTCAGCCCACACTTGCTACTTCCTTCTCTACTCCTAATGTACTTACAGACAACCTCTCATTGTGGTCTTTCTTTATATAACAGTGTTTGTATCTTACTGTCCTAAGGTGAGTGGCCCAGTGTTTAGCAGCATGGTCTCTGGGGTTAGATAGTTAGGTTCATATAGTTAACCTTAGGCTCCTGTTTAACCTCTGTCTCTGTGTCATTTTTCCTTATCTGTAAAATTAGGAAGACAATACAGTATCTACCACAAAGGGTCTTGTGAGGATTAATTGGGTTTATCTGCATAAAGCACTTAGAAAAGAATCTTGTTATACAGTAAGCACTTAATAAATGTCCACTGGCTTCATCAGTACCATTACCGTTGAAAGCCTTTTAACAGCAAAAACTACAACTCTCACTGTGTCCACAGTAGTGGGCTTGTGGATGGAGCTCAGATATTTGTTGGGCTTTTGATCAAGGGACCATTCCAGTGAATCAGAAAGTTCCTGTGACCACTTAACATATTACACGCTTGCTTGTGTACTGCTCTTAGATGATATAAAAACAAATCAAATTCCCAAACCAAAAAGCTGCACTCTTTTGTCTGGGTAAATACAGCTATGACATGTCTATTTCCATGGTTTAGAATATCACCAGTGGGAATCTACTGTGGAAAATTGAGTACAACACTATCATCATATGATTTGTTTTGCTCATATTTGGCTGTGCCATTGGCTGCGGAGCCAGGCAGCGAACTCCACACAATGAGGAGCCTGTGAAAACGCAGAGAAGGCAAGAAAGGATGCAAACATTTAGTGAGTATCTACCTCAGTGGGTGTGTCAGAGTCAGTTGTATCAGCTTGTAAGAGATGATTGTTAAATTTGCAGGAGTTTTGTGAGCCAGTTATTAAACACCATCATTATAAAAAATATATACACTTTAATTAAATAAATTAAAGACAAAGGCAATAAATAATTATACTCAAGTTGAGTATAAATACTCAACTAATTATTTTACTATTAACTACATTCTTGAGGCTACTTACATTTATTGCATCTGTGCAGTGAATATACTATATAATTATATGCTATTTCCCATCTCTTGTGTTTGGCGATGTCACACTAATAGCTGGAAACTGGCCATGGGAGGAGTATTTACACCACAGATATTGGTAAATGCTTCAAATCAGTGCCTTTGATTCTTAGATGGTTGGTTGTTAAACATTTACTAGCACATCACTGATATTATGTACCAGGCATGGCAGTTGAATGTTTTTAGTTAAAGGAAACAAAGGACCACTCAAGTTATTTCAGCTAAAGTGAAGAGAGGCTTATGGCAAGGGTGTTTATTAAGAGGAACGGGATATAGAATATCTTGGAGATTCAAGAACAGGCCCTACCCCAAGGCCTTATTTTCAAGAATGTCATATAAATTAAATCATGTTGACTTTATTTTTTCCATTTTAAAAATAGCATTATTAAGGTATAATTGATATAGGGTCACTCCAGTGGCCTCAGAACAAGGCCTTGAGGTCTGTGGCCTGGTTCACTGCTGTTCTCACAGTACCTGCTTCTTTCTGTCCTGGTCTCAGTGGGCTTCTTTCCCTTTTACTCTGCATTGTTTCTCTGTTATAGCTTCTACTTCCTTCCTTTTTCCCATATCTTTGGCTTGTATTGATGAATCATAGCCATTACAGCATTTCATTATTTGCTCCCATTGAAGGCTGTGTTATTCTCTTCATTTGGTTGCATTATTTCTGAGAGAGAAAATCTAATTGATCCAACTCATTTTTTTTTTCTTGCAGGGCAGCATCTGATGGTAGCTGGCTTGTGGTTTACCTGGCCTTTGGTTAGATAACTGTGCCTGATCCCTATGGCCAGGAAGGAAGGTAGGGTCATGTACTACAAATTTTGACCTTGTACATGAGGAATATAAAGACAAATTAGCCACTGCCAGAATGACTAAAATTAAAAAGACTGACAAGGATGGTGAGGATTTGACACATTGCTCCAAATTTCAGACAGTGCTAATGAAAATGAAGATCTGTACAACAAAAGTACAGGCCTACCTCAGAGATATTGGAGTGTTCAGTTCCAGACCACGCAATAAAGTGAATATCACAATGAAGTGAGTCACACAATTTTTTTGGTTTCCCAGTGCATATAAAAGTTATGTTTACACTATACTGTTGTCTACTAAGTGTGCAATAGCATTATGTCTAACACATGTACTTAATTTAAAAATACTTCATTGATGACAAATGCTAACAATCATCTGAACCATCAATGAGTTGTAATCATTTTGCTGGTGGAGGTTTTGCCTTGACATTGATGGCTGCTGACTTGATCAGGGTGGTGGTTGCTGTAGGCTGAGGTGGCTGTGGTAATTTCTTAAAATAAGGACAACATTGAGGTTTGCCATATTCATGGACTCTTTCACAAAAGATTTCTCTGTTGCACGTGATGCTGTTTGGTAGCATTTTACCCACAGTAGACTTCTTTCAAAATTAGAATCAATCGTCTCAAACTTTGCTATTGTTTTATTAACTAAGCTCACATAATATTCTGAATCCTTTGCTGGAATTTCAAAAATATGCACAACATCTTCACCAGGAATAGATTCCATCTCAAGGAACAACTTTCTTTGCACATCCATGAGAAGCAACTCCTCATCTGTTCAAGTTTTGTCATAAAGTTGCAATAATTCAATCACATCTTCAGAATCTACTTCTAATTCTCTTGCCATTTTCACCACATCTGCAGTTACCTCCTTCACTGCAGTCTTGAACTCTAAAGTTAATGATCTCAAAGTCATCCATGAGGGTTGCAATCAACTTCTTTCAAACTCCCGTTAATATTAATATTTTGACCTCCTTTCATGGATCAAGAATGTTCCTGAAGACATCTAGAATCCTTTGCAGAAGGTTTTCAATTAACTTTGTCCAGATCTATCAGAGGGATCACTATACATGGCAGCTATAGCCTTGTGAAATACATTTCTGAAATAATACTTGAAAATTCAAATTTACTCCTTGATCCATAAGCTGCAGAAGGGATGCTGTCTTCGCAGGCATGAAAACAACATTTATTTTCTTGTACATCTCCATTGGGCTCTTGGGTGACCAGGTGCCTTGTCAATGAACAATAATATTTTGAAAGGAATCTTTTTTTTTCTGAGCAGTAGGTCTCATCAGTGGCCTTAATCATTCAGTAAACCATGCTATAAACAGGTGTGCTGTCATCTAGACTTTGTTATTTCATTTATAGAGCACAGGCAGAGTAGATTGAGCATAATTTTTAAGTGCCCTAGGATTTTTGGAGTGGTAAATGAGCATTAAAGTCACCAGCCTCATTAGCCTCTCAAAAGAGAATCAGCCTGTCCTTTGAAGCATTGAAGCCAGGCATTGACTTCTCTCTAGCTATGAAAGTCCTAGATGGCATCTTCTTCTAACTGAAGGCTATTTAGTCTACACTGAAAATCTGTTGTTTAGTGTATTCACCTTCATCAAACATTTTAGCTACATCTTCTAGATATCTTGCTGCAGCTTCTCCATCAGCACTTGCTGCTTCACCTTGCACTTTTATGTTACGGAGATGGCTTCATTCCCTAAACGCCATGAACCAATCTCTGCTAGTTTCAAACTTTTCCTGTGCAGCTTCCTCACCTCACTTAGTCTTCATAGAATTGGAGAATTAGAGCCTTGCTCTGGATTAGGCTTTCGCCTAAGAAACTGTTGTGATTGGTTTATCTTTCCAGACCACTAGAACGTTCTCCATATCACAAAAGGCTGTTTCACTTTCTTATCATTCATGTATTCACTGGAGTAGCACTTGAAATTTCCTTCAAGAACTTTCCCTTTGCATTCACAACTTGGCTGTTTGGTTCAGGGGGCCTAGCTTTTGGCATATCTCAGATTTTGACAGGTCTTCTTCACTAAGCTTAATCATTTCTAGCTTAAAGGGAGAGATGTGTGACTTTTCCTTTTACTTGCCACTTAGAGGCTATTGTGGAGTTATTAATTGGGCTACGTTCAATATTGTTGTGTCTCAGGAAATAGAGAAGCCTGAGGAGACGGAGAGAGATGGGGGAACAGCTGGTTGGTGGAGCAGTCAGCACACACACAACGTTTATTGATTATCTTCACATTTTTGTATGGGTGCGGTTGTGGTGCCCTGAAACAAATACAATAGCAACATCAAAGGTCACTGATCACAGACTACCATAACAGGTATAATAGCAATGAAGAACTTTGAAATATTGCAAGGATTACCAAAATGTGACACAGAGACATGAAGTAAGCACACGCTGTTGGAAAAATGGTACCAATAGGCTTGCTTGATGCAAGGTTGCCACAAACCTTCAATTTGTAAAATATGCGATAACTGCAAAGTACAATAAAATGTAGCACAATAAAACAAGATATGCCCATAGTTAAGTTCTACAAATAACTATTCAGCAGTATCTACTAAATCTGGCTGTATACCTGCCCCGTGATCCTATTCCTATAAATATCCAAAAGAAATGTGTGCTTTCTTCGATGGCAGGATAAGTGCAAGAATTTTCCTAGCAGCACTAGTTGTAATAGTTCCAAACTGGAAACTCCCCAGAGTCCATCCAGTAAAATGATGGATAAATGTCAAAAATATTATGCTGTGTGAGAGAGGCCATATTCGAAAGAATATATCTATTCAAGAGCAGGTAAAATTCATTAACGTCAAAAGAATCAGAATAGCAGCCACTCTTACAGGAGGTATTGACTGGGAGGGGGCATTAAAGAACCTTCTGGGGTTCGGGAAATGCTTTATCTCTTGACTTGGGTGGTAGTTTCCCAGAAGTAAACACTTGTAAACAGTCTTTGATATATACTTAAGATATGGGCACTTTACTATATATCTGTGTGTTAGTCCATTTTTGCATCACTCTAAAGGAACACCTGAGATTGGGTAATTTATAAAGAAAAGAGGTTTAATTGGCTCACGGTTCTATAGGCTATACAGGAAGCATGGTGCTGGCATCTGCTTCTGGGAAGGCCTCAGGAAGCTGACAGTCATGGGAGAAGGTGAAGGGGGAGCAGGCACATCACATGGCCAGAGAGGGAACGAGAGAGAGAGAGAGAGAGAAGGGGGAGGTCCCAGGCTCTTTTAAACAACCAGATATCGTGTGAACTAACTGAGCGAGAACTCACTCATCACCAAGGGGATGGTGCTGAGCCGTTCATGAGGGATCTGCCCCCACGATGTAATCATCTCCCACCAGGCCCCCACTCCAATATTGGGGGTTATATTTCAACATGAGATTCAAAGGGGACAAACATCCAAACCATAGCAGTAAGTCAAACCTCAATAAAAAGTAAATTACGATAAAAAGAAGAATGAATTATGATTATTGTCCCCAAGAAGTTTATAGCCTTCTAGTAGGGGTGATTGACATTGAGAACACAGAAGTGTAGTTGAGAAAAGTAACTGCTCATTAAAACATGCATAAAGCATCATGTCATGTGACTCAAAGGTTGGAGCAACTGATTCTGCCTCTAAAAAAGAAAGAAATTCTTATTTATTAAGTCTCTAGTATGTGCCAGGTGCTTTAAATTACCTCATACTCTTCTTACAGTATATGAAAAGAAATTTGACTGGGCTTTTGAGTGATACTTTTGAGTATGGCAACGTAATGAAAATAATTGTATCAGAATTGTGGAACCATTTATGATAAAACCCTTTCATAACTGTGATTTGCTTCTGGAGGCTGCTTCAACAAATTATCATGAACTTGGTGGCTTAATGCAAGAGAAATTTATTCTCTCAGGGTTCTGGAGGCCAGACTTCCAAACTCCAGCAGGTCTAATCTTTGCCTTTGTTGTCATTTTGCCTCCTCTGTGTGTCCCGTATTCTATGTATCTGTCTTATAAGGATTCTTGTGATGGCATTTAGGGCCTACCCAGATAATCTAGAATTATCTCCTCATCTCAAGGTCCTTAACTTAATCACACGTGCAAGGACCCTTTCCCCAAATAAGCTAATGAGCACAGATTCTAGGGATTTGCGGTAGATATTGGTCTACCATGGATGGTTTAATAGATTAATAATATGAGCATGTTTATTTTAAAATGAGTAAGTGTTTGCCAGGCAAAGAGGGAAGGGAAGCCTCTTACAGAGAAGAATTCCTGAAATGTGTTCCATGAGGATTATAAGATATTTCACTGCATACTTGCTCCTGGCCTCAAACCCCTTATTTATAGGAGTAACGTGGTCATGCATGCATGCAGGCACACATGTAGATTTGGTTTCAGCTGAATTTTGGACTAGTCTTCAATTTCCTGGAGCTCTCCTGAAGCCACCTTGTAGCCCACCATTTTCCCATTTTCTTTTCTTTGTTTTGAGACGGAGTCTCTCTCTTTCGCCCAGGCTGGAGTGCAGTGGCGTGATCTCGGCTCACTGCAAGCTCCGCCTCCTGGGTTCATGCCATTCTCCTGCCTCAGCCTCCTGAGTAGCTGGTTCTACAGGTGCCTGCCACCACGCCCGGCTAATTTTTTGTATTTTTAGTAGAGACGGGGTTTCACTGTGTTAGCCAGGATGGTCTTGATCTCCTGACCTTGTGATCCGCCCGTCTCAGCCTCCCAAAGTGCTGAGATTACAGGTGTGAGCCACCGCGCCCGGCCAGCAGCCCACCATTTTCAAACCACAATGTGCCTCTCCAAAGGAAATGGGTTTTGAACTATTAATGTGTGTCCTGGACCTTGTTTAGCTACAATCTCTTTTCAAACAAAAGCACATTATGTACAACTGATAGAAGGGCAGCTGCCTTGGCTAAAGCCTGAAGTGCCATTCCTCTCTCTTAATGTCCTGGTCCCTTCTCCAAAGTGCCCATTTGAAAAACCATTATTGTCTTAGATCAGGGGTTGGCAAACGTTTCCAGTAATGAGCCAGATAGTAAATATTTAGGGCTTTCCAGTTCATATAGTCTCTGTTGCAACTATTCAAGTCTGCTGTTGTAGTACAAAAAGCAGCTATAAACAATACAAAAATGAATGGCATGGCTGAGTTCCAGTAAAACTTTATGGATAGTGAACTTTGAATTTCACATACATTTTACATCATGAATTTTTTTTTAAATGTTTTCAACCATTTAAAGATGTAAAACTTATTCTTAGCTTGAGGGCTGTACAAAAACAGACAGTGGGCTGGATTCAGTCTGCAGACTATAGTTTGCCAGTTCCTCTCTTGGGTAACAGCATCTGACTTGTGGAACTTTTAAGATTCAAAATCTCAGCACTTCAGCATTGGAAAGGGCCTCAAAGGCTACTAGTCCTTAATTCCCACCATAACATCCGATTCCTATGCAGTGCTTCCGATATTGTCATCCAATGCCTCCTTGGTTGCCTACAGCTGCAGGGAACACCACGTCCTGAGCCAGCTCCCCCCAGGCTGTGCCGATTGCTAGAGTTCTTCCCATGCAGAGCGGCACCTGTCTCCACTGACAGCGTCTACAGGATACAGTCAGAACGGTGAAGCACAATATTAACACATCAGGTTAATTTCATGCTCTACTTGTCCTAGGCTGATATTAACGAAAATTAAATTTTGTGCTAATCAGCCTTAGCGTTCAGCATGCATGACACAAATTTGTGATTTCTGGCAAGGGTGGTTAAATCATATTTATGCTATTTGTGTGGTGCCCGAATAACAGGGAAATACTATTACCAACAATTAAACTTCCAGGTTGACAGATGTCCCCTTGAGCAGACATAGCTGAGTGCAAATGGAGATTTTTTTCTTAGCAAGTTGAAGGCAGAAAGGACATAAACCAGGGAGCTGCAGTTAATTTTCAATTTCCTCCTTCCCTTTGGATGGCTAATTTTGAATGTTTGACCAATGCAAATGACTTTACCCTGTGCCCTGCTTCTGTTTCCTCCTTTTTTCTAGCTTTGAAAAGTAAAATTTCTACAAACAAGAAGGAATATTTTCTTCTTTCCAGGAATCTCTGGGATACCTAAATAGCATTCTTCCTAGTTGCAGGTAGCTTATTGTGTGAGGGCAGTTGACTAGGAATTTAAAGAAGGGTGGTACTCCCTAGTGATTTGCAGAGCGGGAAAAATAAGAGTTGGAAGGGTGAAACTAGTCTGACTCCACGTGTATTTTCCTCTGCAAGAGAGAGATGCTTGCCCTACCTTGTGGTCACAGCATCTTGCGTTTTCTCTGTGCTTTCCTTGTGATTAGTCAGTTGCTCGCAGATGGGCTGTGTAAATGCAGTCCCATAGGTTTTATTTCCTGGAGAAGGGAAGAGCCACTCAGTCCCCCGGCTCCAGATGGATCTCTCTCCACGGTCCCCCATGCTTCATCTTCATCCACAAGGAGGCACCAGGGGAACTGAAAGTCTGTAGGATCTTGGGCACATATTTTATCTAAGACCCACCGAGTATCCTCAGAGTCAGGCTCTTGTGGGGATCTTCCGCTCTGAAGAGGATTGTGTTCTTCTGTTTACTAGGCTTCAGGATCAGTTCTGGGCATAGGGACAAGTAAGGCCTTACATGTCTTCTGTCTGTAGGGTGACCAACTGTCCCAATTTGCTTGGAACTGAGGGATTTTCTGGGATGTGGGACTTTGAGTGCTGAAATAGAAACAGTCGCAGGCTGAGTGAGACTGTTAGTAAACCTACCTGTAAGGACTGATGGGACAAGACAGGTGGTCCTAGGCCATGGCCTGGTAAGTTGCTAATGGTCCCCTAGGATATTTTGGTGATTGCTTCCAGATTTTGGTGAATCCACCTCATGAGTCTCTCAGAGCCCAGATCTGTTCCTTTCTTCTTAATTATCCGTGTGCCTAATTCTCTCGCACAGGAGCTGAAGAATTCACATTTGGGCTGATGGGCCTGGGGTAGGGATGACCAACAGACCACATGCTTCTTGTCTCTTCTACTCCCTGATCCTCTGATAGACAGGGCTAAGTGATCATCCACTCCTTCCACCCTCCAGCCTCCGAGTGGGCCACTTTTCAAGCATGGAATTCCAGGTGGGTGCTTCCAATAAGTTGGCACAATAGATAATACTTACTTGCTGTCAGGCTCAGACATTGCTCCAGAAGCAGATATGATCCAAGGGACCATTGCAGATAGAAACCCATGTGCAGAAAGTAAGGCTTAGCCAATGAAGTACCTCAGGCATCAGGCCAGGCAGAGAGCCTGAGGACTGCAGAATCCAGGAGCTATACACATAGGATAAGGCCAGCTGAATCTGGATTGGCCCAGGACAGAGCCTGGTTTCCAGGAGGCTATTCATATTGGATGCTGGCCCTGCACAAAGAGGACATGTAAGCTGGCTTCAAGGTGCTTAGTCAGGCGGGACATCTGGTACTAACTAGATTTGAGCTATGCCCTTTCTTTCTGAGTTGCCCTGGCTAAGCATCCAGCCAAGGGGCAGCCAAACAAGCCCCTCTGCCCACTCCTCACTCTTCCTACTCTCACCTGAGTGGGTCCAGTCTCATGACAACAAAGGAATGATGCTCACATGCATAGGATGCTACTGTGGGTATGTCCAGGTCTGGAGTGTGGGGGTGAGTCAGCCAGCTGAGACTGGTAAGGCAACACTGGTTGCTAAAACAGTAAAGTGCTGTAACTTCTGTTGGTTAAAGAGCCAGTGCCCTGAGCCCCTGGAGGTCCCCACCCCTCCCACTCCACCTATTGCCTTGGCCACCTGCCCTTTCATTCCAAGACTTGCTCTTCACCATCCAGCAATTGAAGGGGTCATGCCTGGCACAGAGGCATCTCCAGGACTCCTCTGTTGGTTCTGATTTAGAGTATCGGCACTTTCCAGTATGGTGTGCTGTTCCTAAAGCCCTGGCTGTAACTTCTCCTTGTTTCTCCTATCCAGGAAGGCACATCAGAATGCCTGTGATAAATATTAAGTATTTCATGTTTGTATATAGAGCCATTTTTACATTTGCCCCTTTATTAGTAGTAGCAAATAATAATATGAACTGACACATTTGTAATGTTTTAGACACTTAACATGTGTTAACTTGTTTAATCCTCATAGCAGCCCTGTGAGCTAAGTACTATTATTATACTCATTTTACAGATGAGGAGACTGAGTTATGGAGAACTTATCTAATTATGTAATTAGCCTAAGCTAACACTGCAAGTTAGCAATAAGTAGAAGTCTCCCAGGGCCCTCCCATGCCCTCACAAAGCACGAAAAGCAATAGAATGTGGTCTTGTGGATTAGGAAACGGAGACTCAGCAGGCCATGGGTCAAGGTGACTAGAGCAGCCCTTCGTGTGAACTAATGCCTGGAGACCAGACAGTCCAGGACAGCTCTGTGAATGACAAGGGGACAGGTGATGATCAAGAACAGATTCCCCCTCCCTCCTCCATGCCTTGGCAACCTCAAACAGAATAAAACAAAATGACCACCACAAGAGAGGAGAGATAGTGAAACACCGGACTGAATAATATCGTATTAAATTGTCTGAGATTAGATTTCTCCCTGCTGTTATACAAAAATACAGGTTACATTTCTTGCAACCATTTCTACTTAACTTTCCTTTCTCTGCTGGGTTCTGGGAGGGAAACTTCAGTCAGACTTGTCACATGCCCAGGCTTTACCCAGGAAGTGAGCCTCAGTCTCATCTGCTCTCAAATGCCTAACTTATCCTGCCCCGGGGCCTGGCTGGACCAGGGGTTGGGGGAGTGAACAGTGTGCAGGCCTCCTCCTCAGGGGCCTCCCTGCATTGGAGATCATTGATTTGCTTGTTCCTCCTCCTCTCGCAACAGCACCTGCAGTTCTTATTTCGTGGGGAGTGGTAAGGAGTGGTTCAGACTGGTCACGGTTTCTTCCAGGTCTGTTGTTTACAGCATCAACTTCATCCCCAGGCTGCTTGCAGGACTCAGGCAACTGAAGCTCAAAAGCCCAGGTCTTGTAGCTCAAGAGTCTGGAAAGGTTTGCAACCTTAAATTCCAAGGGTTTGGCTGTACAGCTCTCCTCTGTTCTGCTGTAATCACCCAATCAGGAGGCAACAGGTGCTTCATGGTCCAGTTTAGCAGCTTTAAGAGATACTGGAGGAAAATACATCACTTAATATCATCCAAGTACGCACCTATTTGCCATTCCTAGGTGACTCAGCCTGGGCAATATTCCCGCCTACCAGCAATCTTTTCAGCTCCCTCAGTAAAATACCAACACACCCTGTGGCTCAGTGATGCATTGAAGTCCCAATTTAGTGATACCTTATTTACAGATTTTCTAAATAAAATTGCTAATACAGTCAACCCTTCATATTCACAGGTTCTGCACCCTCGGATTCAACCAACCAAGGATTGAAACTATTTGAAGGAAAAGAACAATAATAATACAAATAAAAGCCAATAACAATATAACAACTATTTATGTAGCATTTACATTGTATTAGATATTATAAATAATCTAGAGATGATTTAACGCACATGAGAGCATATGCATAGGTTATATGCAAATAGTATGTCATTTTATATAAGGGAGTTGAGCATCCACAGATTTGGGTTTCTGCAGGGAGCCCTGGAATCCTGTGGATACCGAGGGACGATTGTACATTTTGAGAACCGAAGCCCGGTGCTACCCTGTTGCAGCGATGAAGTATCCAGGTCACCTGGAGAAAGCTGACATAAGAGCAGGCACACAGCAGGAAGCTTTGATCCTCATCTTCTCTCTGGCTGCAGCCCTCAGCTCTTGTGCACCAACTCTGACCAATGACTAGGACTGGCTGCTCGGAGTACAGCTGTATTGAGAAAGATTCTGAGGCTGGGTCTGCATTCAGCAGGAAAAAAAATGAAGTAATTGTTTGGTAATGCCTGACATAGGCCTAAGAATGGGGGAAACGGTAACCCTCCTGCCAGGTTTTGTAGAATTTTCTCTAATTCATTTTCTTTAGAGATACGGTAAGGACCCGCCCCCACCCAAATGGGTAAAAGGCAAAGCCTGGTTTCCATTTTTTTGTAAAGCCTCAGATCACAGGGGCACCTGAGCCATTAGTGTCCCAATGGCAGGGCAAGGCAGGCATGTCTATAAATCTCCAGTTTTTTGTTTGCTTATTTTCTTCTTTAAACTGCTTACAATTTCTCCTCTTTCATCCTCATTTCCACAGGAGGTGTAACACTATGGACGAGTGGGCAACTGGCTCTTCAGGCTTGGAACCAAGAGGGGGCAGCAGAGAGCAGAGAAGAATTGGTTGGCTTGGGCTGACCCAGACCTAGGAAAACTTCCAATCTTCTTCTTCTTCCCTCAAAACCGAATCCTTGTGGACTCACTCTTGAGACTATTGTCCACACAAGTGGTGTGGTCCAAGGCCACAGCAAGAAAGGTCTGAGGGAGTTCTTTGGGGTTCAGGTGGAGAAAAGCCTGTGCTGGATGCCAGGCTGCTCTGAGAACAGGAAGGAAGATAATAATGTTAACAGCAACAGTTACAATTACCCAGCCCCTGTAGGGTGCCAGGCCCTCTGCCAAGGTGCTTTCTTTTCATTCTCTCAAAGACTACTTGAGGTGGGGAAACCCCCAGTTTACAGATGAGAAAACAGGGTCCCAGAGTGGTTAAATACCTTGCCCATGATCACGTGACTAAGGGAGGGCCAAGCCACATTTTAGACTCTTGCCTGTCCTGCCCTCTGTGTTATGGTGCCCTTCCAGGAAGGAGGCAGAAAGGTGCACCTGGAGTTAGAATATCCTTGGGGAGTGTCCCGGACCCAAGGGAAGGCAAACGGTCCTTCTGGTACAGACTGCTGTCTCCTGATGGCCACGGGTCTCCTGACAGATTTAGCCAATTCACTGGCTCACAGGTCCATGCACCATCCTCAGCAGAGCCGGGGTAAGGTAGCTGGGCTCGAACAGCCCCAGAAAAAGGCAAAAAGAAAGATAACAGAAACTTGTATGGAACTTTCAAGTACTCACTGTGGAAGTCATTGATTTATCTGCCTACTGTGAGAGTTATGTCACGTTGGAAGGTCACATTAGAACGCCCCTCACCTCCTGCAGCCTCAGCTCCACCCTGGGCTCAGAGATCAATCCTTGCCTTATTTAGGGAAGCACATCCAAGCATATTTGAAACTTTTGGGATGGGCTTGGGGATACTGGCACCAGGGACATCTTGCTGTCAGTACTGTCCTGATTCTGAGAACTCCACTAACGCCACATTCCTCAATCCAAGCCTGGATCTGGGACTCAGGCTGCTGCCTCACTAAATGCCTTATCTTTTGGGTCACTGCAGACCAGGGCCCTGCCTTCTTTAGCCAATGTCTGTTTCCCTCATCTGGCAGTAGGACATCAGTCTACCAAAAGAGTCACATGTTCATATCCCAGCTTAGGTCCAAGTTGTGAACCAACTTCATTTCTTAATGTAATCACTTTTTTGGTATTGCTTTTTTTCTCTAAAAAGTATGTATATTTTCTGATCCTACATGTAATATTTTCTGGGCCAGTTGCAGTGGCACACACCTGAGCTACTCAAGGAAGCTGAGGCGGGAGGATCCCTTGAGCCCAGGAGTTTGAGGTTACAGTGAACTATGATTGCGTCACTGTACTCCAGCCTAGACAGCTAGCAAGACCCCATCTCTTAAAAAAAATTGTTAGAAAATACTTTAAAGCATCAAGGAGAAAAAAATTTCTCCTATCTTTCTGGATACATTTTTCTCAACTGCGCTTATTACTATCTAACACCGTCCTTTACTTAGGTTTTCATTGTTTGTCTCCTTCTCTAGAATGGGAGCTTGACAACATGAGGGATTTCATGTTTTGTTCACTGCAAGTTCCTTAATTCCCAGAACAATACCTGGCACATTTACAGAATGAATGAATTAATTCATAATGCCATGACATCAGATATAATTTTATTTAATATTATAGAGGGAACATTTTTCAATGTCAATAAAATTTTTTCAAAAGCATCATTTTAAATGGCTGATAATAATCTAGGGTATGGACATCTAAGCATGTGTTAAGTATGCCTGCAGTTTTGGATACTGAAAGATTACACAGATTAATTTGATTCCCCATTTATCAAGCTACAGCAGGGCCAGGCTCACTTTGTTGTTTGGTTTCTTAGTTTCTTGTTCCTGGTCGAATGAACAGATGAGACTGGTGAATTATGGAGAATTTCTGTCACTGCCCTCTCTAGCCTTGGCATAGCACTGTGGCTCCTCTCTCCAAATTTCTAGGTGATCCAGCCGGCTGGGCTCTATGTACTGAAGCATAGGCTGCCCAGCGTAAGCAGAATTGCTAACAGGATACTATTATGGTACCCACCTGTGTGGCCTTGTGGGGGTGGGGGAACTTACCTTTGTTCCTGTCCTCCTCTAGAAAATCAGTTACATTTCTCTTGCCTCCCTCCCAAGGATGATTTCCAGGGAAGCAAATTAAAAAGCGGTGAAAAGCCTTTAACAATTACTCAGAAATCTATCATTTCATCCTCTTTCACCTCCAGTTCAAGTTTAAGAACAGTCCTTTCAAAAAGAAAAAATTAAGCACTAAAGTCAGAAACATTTTCTTTGAGACGGAGTCTCGCTCTGTCGCCCAGGCTGGAGTGCAGTGGCGGGATCTCGGCTCACTGCAAGCTCCGCCTCCCGGGTTCACGCCATTCTCCTGCCTCAGCCTCCCAAGTAGCTGGGACTACAGGCGCCCGCCACTACGCCCGGCTAATTTTTTGTATTTTTAGTAGAGACGGGGTTTCACCGTTTTAGCCGGGATGGTCTCGATCTCCTGACCTCGTGATCCGCCCGCCTCGGCCTCAGAAACATTTTCAATCAGGCTCAAAGAATGCAGGAACTGTGGGGCCAGGTTTCATATAAAATGCGTTTTAGAGTTCACTTGGTGAGATATTCCCCTCAAAGAGCACAGGGACTTGATTCCCCAGCACTCTCCTGCCTCTGGATCTTTGCTCAAGCTGTTGTCTCTGTCTGGAGTGCCCTTCACCTCCATGTCTGCTTGTTGAAGATTTGCTGCCTCTAGGACACCTCTTCCAAGAAGCTTTCTGGAACCTTCTCCAAGTCGGAATTATGGTTTTTCTCAGGCATTGCACATGGCTTGTGCCATTCACTGCTGACTGCTTTGCATTAGGGTTCTTTTGGTCTTAGAGCCCTGTAGCTGATTTATTAAAGGTGTGGGCTGCCTAGGATGGTGGTTTCCTGCCATGGCTTCACATTAGAACCACCTGGGGAGCCTTGACTCACCTGGCCAAGTGGAAACCAGCATCAGTATATTTCGAGAGCTCCTCAGGTGGTTCTAATGTGCAACCAGGAATAAGAGCCTTGCACTGAGACCTCCTCCCATCTCATGCATGGAATTTTTCTTGCATCTGTTCTTCCAGCTCACAGGCCCCTTCCCCTCACGACATGGAAAGAGAGATGAGTTTCCACTAAGACAAGACCTTAGCTCTGACTTGATGTCTTAAGCAGGAGATGTAAAACCTAACTCACAGTGTCCGCGGGGTCCTGAATTTCTGTTCCACCCCTTTCAGCCAACTGGCAGCTTGGACTGGAGTTAGCGACAGATGTCTTCTGAGCAGGACTTACAGGTAAGCATATGAGTCCACAAGCTGGCCAGAGAGCCAAGAAGCATCTTGAATCTAAAAGGCTTAGGGCTCAAGCTTGCATATGGGCCCTAGGAGATGAATATATTCAGCTGTTATGGGCTCAGCAAGATCCTTCTCCTAGGAATTCGGGGTCATTATATCACTTTATATCAACAACAAATCTTTCGGCTTCTGCAGCAAATGGGCATCTCTGTGTCTGTTGTAGGCTTGCTTAGTCCTAGGTCCTTGTTGAAGAAGTCACAGAACTTGGACCAGGGGGTATTTTGAGCATATCATTTCTCAGTTATTACCTACTGTGGCTTCCTACTGCTTGAGTCTAAGACCCTAAACCCTGCTTGAACCTGGCATTGAAGACCTCCTACAAATCTTGTCCAGGCCTCCTCAACCTATCTTGTCCCGGCCTAAAATGATTATTGGAGATCTCTTAGCCTTATTGTTACCTAGGGGCCTTTTGGGGAGGGTAGATGTTGGTGGAAACATCCCTGATATTTTATGCCAAATATGTATGCATTCCTTTCCCCAAGGAACACAAATCTGTAACTTTCAAGTTACCAGAGGGATTCATAATCCCCCAACCTGGAGGTTAAAGAATCCCTGGTATTCTACAAGTCCTTTGTTTTACAGAGGAAGAAAATGAAGCCTGGAAAGGCAGTGACTTGCCCAAGGTCACACAGAGTGGGTCTATAGCTGTAGGCCTGCAGGTATCCAGTTGCCCCCACCAAGCACCCCTGCATCTGTCCCTGAAGTTCTCAGCTTCCTCAGTGATGTCTGCAGGCTGATCATCAGAGTAGTGTGCTGCTGGGTCAGGGCCAGCAGGAGCCTCCACAGGCCTCGGGCCTCTGTGGCCTAGCCTGGATGACACAGGCTGTTCTGGCATCTTCTCTCACCCGGTCCTTCTTGGGTCCCTGGGCATTTGTTTATGCAGTGGTCCATCTAAGTGGGACAATTTCCTCCAAGGAGACCCTTCTGGTCCAACTGTGGCATGGGTCTCATGCATGCATTTTCCTATCCTTTTTTTTTTTTTTAATAGGAGAAAAGGCATACAAATTTATTTAACATGTGTACATGGGAGACCTCACAATGAAGACCCCGTGCATGTATTTTCTAACACACTGTTTACCTTCTCTGTCCTTTGGCCTGTAATTCACCTTAATTTGGGAGGTCAGATAGGGCTTTCAGGTATTTTTTATTTTTTAATTAAATACTTTTTTTCTTAGTGTTTTGGACTTTATTAGATTACCATCTTTTGATCACTAGGGAACTTAAAAACTTGATGTTTCATTCCATTTGCAACTCCAGTATCCACCAATGATAGTTACATTACAGACAGGAACACCAGGTCATAAAGTCCTGGTAATTGTCTTTGCTATACTATTTTGACGGTTAAATAATATAAGGCATACTAATGTGATAAATGGGCACCAACTGAATGTAACACTTTACTGTTGGTGTTATTGTGGTGGGTTTAGTTCCTGCAGAGATTTTGCAAACTCCTTGAGGTCAGGAATTATGCCTTAAACTCTCATTGCCCCACTGCAAGCAGCACAACGCTGGGCATTTCAAAGCTTTCCATAAATCACCGTGTGCTGATCTTAAACAGGCTTTACGCCAGGTAAAGACTGGGGAGGAGATGCCTGGGAGAAAACTGTTCAGGGAAAGATTTCAGCTGGTCGAACCCGGTGTTGTGTCTGCTCCAAAAAGAGTGTGAAAGAGCAACTTGTTGGCAAGCGGCCTTCCTTTGTGAGTAGCAGAGCTCATTTTTTCTCAGTCCCAGAGGCAAAATCAGACTTGGCTTAAGGCCGTGCTGCTGGGCTGTGGCTGTGTGTGATCTGAGGAGAGTGGGAAGCCAAAGTCCCAGCCAGGGCTGGCCCTCTGTGGCCACCAGCAGCCACTGGCTGTGCCTCTACTGTGATCCCCAGCATGGAGCCTTTGAACGGACCCTGTTATGTGGCATATACAGTGGATGAGGCTAGAAGCCTGGACATCTAGTGATTTCTGACCTTGAGCCTGAGACCTAGGAGGCCTTCTCTGTAGAGTCCAGAGGTAGGACCTGTGGCCAGTGGCACCGACTCCTCACCTGCACCCGGGACCAGGACCAGACTCCTTAGCTGTGCATTCAACATTCTAAAACGTGCTTCTCTTTGGTCTCCTCTCTCTGGCCCATCTCCCCTGGGAGATGGGCACTGGGAAGACCCTACATTTACACCACATCCCTACCACTTCTGTGCCCTGCAACCCTCCTCACCATTTCCTGCTCCTTTTTGGAGACATTCTTCTCACTCTTCTCTGGGCCAAATCCACCCTCCTCTTCTAGTTCTTCCTACCAACTCTCTTACAAGCCTGACAGTTGTAAAGCAGGCCTGCGGGGAAGGTGAAGGTGAATTTGAGGCTAAACCTCTCTGTCATGATCATGGATTTTGGTGTCAGACACACTTGGGATCAAAATCCAGTTCTGCCACTCACTGCTGAGAGACCTGGGGCAGGAACTTCATCTTCTGTAGACTCAGTTTAATCTGTAAAATGGTGGTAATAGCTGTCCCATGGTATTGTGGAGAGAATTAAGAGATGCTGAATATAAATAATATCTCAGGCCCATAGCCAGTCCCTAGTAAATGGAAGCCATTCTAACGCCAAGCCTTCAGATCATAGGTGCTTCTCAAATGTCCACATGGCCGGGCCCCCAATCTGCTCAGGACACCCAAGGGTGAAGCATGTTATTGGCTTCCCAGGGTTTCCTAGTACTATATCATGGAGGCATCTGGGGATTGTGGTGTGATGCTTAGCCAAGAGGCTGCCCTCTGCACCCCCACTTCAGGGAGGCGAGGAAGGGGAGCAGTGTGTGTGTGTGGCAGAGATGGCATTGATTGAGAACTGGCAGACCTGGCTTCCCTGCCAGCGCTGCCATGTTCCAGTGTCTAACCTATAGATGTTGGCTGAATGAGAGGAAATTACATACTCTGTGAGCCTCAGTTCTCTGATCTACACGATGGGGGAATAGTACCTTTTGGGGTTGGTGTGGACACTATATGAAGGAGCTGGAATACTGCAGCTATTTGGAGCCATATTCTAGAACCAAACTGCCTGGGTTCACATCCTAGCTCTGCCACTTACTGGCTCTGCAGTTTTGAACAATTACATCACCTTTTAGTTTGACTTACTCTTATAAAAAGTAAGGACAATGTTAACGTCTATCTGACAGTGCTGTCAAATATGTTTTCATATATGAAATACTTAAAACATTGTTTGGCAGTAGGTAAGTACTTGATAAATATTATCTTCTCTTTTATGATGATGAGAGTGCCTGTTACAGTGCCTGGCATGTCTTAGGGTGCCCAGTAATGAATTTCCTGTCATTCTTCTGCCTGAATCTAAGGGAATATGGTGCCTGAGACTCCATCATTAAGTATTTTTTATTTCCTAGTGTTTGACAATAATATGGAAATGCCCTAATTTGGGGATAATCATACTCTGTGTATTGTTCAATTCAGTTATACGATAATTGGCCATTCTGTGCCAGGTGCCAGGCTGAAGCATTCTCATCAGTGATGCGAAATTGAATGGCATGTGATCTCTGCCTTGGGATCACAGTTTTGTGGGGGGTTTATTTATTTGTGCATTTATTCATTTTCACATTTGTTTGGAGCCTATACCACAAATGTACAGAGTACAACAGGTGTTATGATGAGGTCTGAAGGTACACAGGAAAGGGCAGAGAAGTTTTCCTTTAAGGCGATATTTGAGCCAACCTTGAAGTCTGTGCCAAAGATGGTCAAACCAGGGCATGGGAATGAGTAATGATGGGGGTGAGAAGGACTTGCCAAACAGCATCAAATTTGGAACAAAAGACTGTTGGTTTGGAAGTGCACATCGTTTCTTCCATTGTCACTCACCAAGCAGGCAGCGTGTGCTGGCACAGTGCTAGGGGCTAAAAATAGAGGGGCATAAGACCCACTCTCTGCTCTCCAAATGCTCATAGTCTGTTGGGGGCACACCTTGTTGTCCAGGCCGGAAGGTTGTGCATCTTCCTGCAATCATCCTGCTCCCTCCCCAAGCCTATCAATCACCAAAGCCAGACGGTTACTCAGTGTTGATCACTAAGGGTATATATGGGTGATGTAGTTTGAATATTTGTCTCCATCCGTATCTCATGTTGAAATGTAATCCCGAGTACTGGAGGTGGAGCCTGGTGGGAGGTGAATGGGAGGTGATTGGATCGTGGGGATGGATTTCTTATGAATGGTTTAGCACCATTCCCCCTTGGTGCTTGTCTTTGCGATAGTGAACTCTTGTAAGATCTGGTTGTTTAAAAGTGTGTGGCACCTCGCTCACTCTCTCTTGCTCTGCTTCCACCATGTGAAGTGCCTGGTCCTGCTTTGCCTTCCCTTCTGCCATGATTGTAAGCTTCCTGAGGCCTCCCAAGAAACTGGTGCTGGAGCTGTGCTTCCTGTACAGCATGCAGAACTGTGAGCCAATTAAACCTCTTTTCTTTATAAATAGCCCAGTCTCAGGTGTTTCTTTATAGCAATGCAAGAATGGCCTAATACAATGGGAGTGATTAGGAAATTTAGGATGAGTATTAAGTGTGGGAGGTAGGAAGCAGGGTGTCATTGTGTAGAGAGAAGCGTCAAATTTAAAGACTTGGGGGGTTGTCTAGCTTCACTCAGAGAGTCTGACCACAGCCTTCATCCCCAGGTTGCACAAGGTGTGAACACTGTGCTCTGTTGGGAGTTGATGATGCCATTCCTGGGCCTGAAGGGGGTCATCTGTCGGCTACCCTGCACTCAGCCTGTGGACCCAAAGAGAGGCCCACCTTAAAACCCCTTTCTTCTATCTTATCACACCTGGCTTTGGAGAGGAACTCAAGTAATGATCTCTGTAGTAGCTGATGAAATCCATATCAGCCATCAGTCTTGACCAGGATAGGTCTTCATTTAGGATTAACGAAAAGCAAAGAACAAGTCAGAACTATGAGGAGAATCGGGAGCTCAAAGGAAGGTGATCAGGCTGAGAATTTGGAGTGACTGTTTCTGTCTGAAACAGGGCTAATGTAGGAAATGGAAGAAAAAGTTTAATGAATATTCTCAGAGGTATTTTAAAAGACACTTAATTGACAAAATAAGAGAAAGTTTGACACAAAATCGAGGAAATCAGGCAATAGAAAAGAATCCTGAGAACAAAATAGAAAAAAGAAATGGAGACAGTAACTGTTAGAAGGGGCATATAGCTAAAAATAAGATTAGTGAATTAGAAGACAACTTAGAGAAATTTCCCAGAATGCAGAGCAAAAATACAAAGATAGAAATTATGAGAATAAATGATAAACTTATAAGATAGAATTTAGTAGGTCCAAGAACCACAAAATAAATATACTGAAGTAGAGAACAGAGTGCATAAAGGAGAGACAATAATCAAGGAAACATAAAAAAATTTCTTCTCGTAACAGAAGAAATGTGAATTTAGACTCAAACTCTCACTTTTATCAAGGTACAAACCTATATACGTCTGAAATTTTGGAATTCTAACCAAGAGAAAAATCATGCAATCTTTTAAAAAGGAAAAATAAGCCAGTTACAAAGGAGAGAGGGTCATTTTGTTATTGGATTTTTAATCCGCAACACTAAATGCTGCAATACGAAGGAGCAATGTTTATACAGTTTAGCGGGGAAAAAATAGATACCCTATAATTCTATAATCATTTTAATGATTCTTCTTATGTGAAGGCAAAATAAATAAATATTCAAGACCCAGTCTCAGCCAGTATGCTACTCATGTAACTTTAAACAAATAACTCCTTAAGGAAGTTCTTCAGCCAACTAAAAAAATAATTAGCACAAGACACCCAACAAAGGGGAAGATAAAGGTGCATGAAACTTGTGAGCAACGAAACCAATGATGCATATCTATGGTCTGATGCAGAAGTAGAGAGAGCCAATTATGGAGAAAGACAGCCAGGGCTCCAATCCTTACTCTGGTTCTGTTGTGGTTGGAGATGTTTGGTCCCTTGTGATGGTTAAAAAACCAGGCAATGGCTAGATCCTGACCTCTTCTCATGCAATTGAGGACACATGTGCTACTCAGAAACAGAAGAAAGGGAATCAAAGCATAACCGTATTAATACTTGTACATGTGCTTGGCACAAGACAGGGCCTTTGGCAAAAGCTGAATTGTAGAGTCTGGCTTAGATTCAGGAGTGGGGTTTTTCCACTTCTCCAGTTTAAATCAAAATCTTGGGAATAGCAAGTTCAGCTGTGCTGAAAGTTGGAGAGAGTTCTCTGTCTCTCTGTCTCAATCTGCAGAATAGATCATGTCCCTTTTTTTTTTTTTTGGACAAATACAGAGAAGGTAGAGAGAAAGAAAGCTATGGCCAGATTTTTTTTTTTTTTTTTCTGAAGACAAGAAGCCCTAATTGGAGGTAAGAAGGAGAAAAGAGCACTCTATAGTTATTGACCTTTAAAGAAAAGTAACTTTATAAAAAAAAATTCCCCACTGAAAAATCTGGACTCTGACCCATCAGGTTACCAATCCACAGTCCCTTTGGTAATGGTGAGGTTATCAAGGGAGCAGGCAGAGTTGGGATTCACGGCACAGGTGCTGAAGGGTCCTCTTGCTCTATACCCCCCTCCTTTTGTTCTGTCTTAATCCACTGGTCAGCCTCCAGGGGTGACGCTGTTCTTATCAGAAGGGTCCTGATCTCACCTTTGTGAGGCTGCTCACCTGAAGTCTCCTACTGCTCCTTTCTATTCTCCTAGGACCAGATGTGCAATGTAGCCTCTGATGTGGGCAGTAGGAAAGCACTTCTTTTTTCATAATTTAAACAATTTTGTGAGTACATAGTAGGCATATATATTTGTGGGGTACAAGAGATGTTTTGATACAGGCATGCAATGTGAAATAAGCACATCGTGGGGAATGGGGTATCCATCCCCTCAAGCACTTATCAGAAAAGCATTTCTTAACTCTAGGTCACTGTATCTTAGGAACACTCCAGGTAATTCTACATTATCAAAAAATTTATCTTACATTCAATTTCCATCTCAAATTATGCCTAGCCATGTTGTATATGCTTGTACAAAGTATGTACAACACACCCACACAATCTGAAACATTCCAAATTTGAATGTAAACTCTCTTTCATTATTATGGTCCCATTGAGACATTAAATTTCAAGATGAAATTCCCTTTGCTTGTAAGATTCTGGAGGAAAAATGCC
The DNA here is from genome assembly GCF_000001405.40 of Homo sapiens. Taxonomy (NCBI): domain Eukaryota; kingdom Metazoa; phylum Chordata; class Mammalia; order Primates; family Hominidae; genus Homo; species Homo sapiens. The sequence continues at coordinate 19,322,112 of NC_000011.10, forward strand.
CACGATGTCTTCCTGTATGCTTCCTTTTTCTGCTTATTCTCAGCTAGAGAGGTCCCACCCAGATACGTGGGTGCAGTCTCGGTTTCTTTTGTTACTTTAGCCTCTATTATCTTTTACTGCAATGATTGAACACCTCTTTAGCGTCTTCAATATTAAATTCACCAAACCTCAAATCTCCCACATGTTCTGGTTTTCTTTTCTAGTTCCAGAGCATCGGCAGAGCCTCTAAAATGAGGAGTAGATTGGCTTGGCTGAGGGATTCACCAACAGCCTCAGATACACCTATACATTCTGTTACTTTATCCCAGGTATCCTTTTAATAAACCACCTAATTCATGAGGATCTATGATTTTCAATATCATGTTTTCCAACATTCAAGAGCACTGGCCCCAAATAGATACACATGATTATGAATGTAGTTGCAAAAGAATTCTATATAAAATATTAGCAAATCAAATCCAGAAAAGTATTAAAAGTACAACATATGATGACAGAGTAAAGTTTTGTTCCAGGAAAGCAGATATTGCTTAACATTAGGAAGTCTGTTAATGAATTCATTTTACTAATAGGTTAAAGGAGAAAAACCATATGACTTTCTCTCTGAGTGCTGAAACAGATTTTACTAAATTCATCATCTTTTCCTAATTAAAGGTTTTAGTAAATTTTGAAGAGAAGGAGGGTTTTAAAATATAAAGAGCATAAGAAGGGAGCAAACATCACATTTAATGGTACAATAACAGAGGCCTCACTAGTAAAGATAAGAAAAGTATAAGGACACATACTGTCCCTGGGATTAATCAAGATGGTGTTGGAGTCTTAGCCAAAGCAGTAAGATAAGATAAAGAAATGAGAGATACAAATATTGGAGGGAAAGAGCCAAAGTTATAATTATTTGAGGATGATAAAATTGTTTGGTTGAACTATCTAAGAAGATTGACTTTTAAGAATTTGTACTTAAGGTGCTGAATACAGAATAGTAACCTTCCTATATATTAACATTACCTAGTTAGGCAACTAGGAGAAAAGGTGCTTATAACAAAAATATCTATAAAATATATAAGAATAATTGTAGCTGGAAAATAGAAGAACTAGAAGGAAACTTTGGAGAGTATCTTTTATAATCTTGGTATAGAGAAAACCCTTCTTAGCATATAACAGAGTCTATAATATGTTAAAAAATACTGACAGATTTGACTAGATAAGAATTGTGAATGTCTGTAAAACAAAGACACCGTAAAGAAAGTTCAAAGTTGAGTGACAAACCCAGAGAAAATATTTGCTACTTGTGTAACATAGAAAAGATTTCTATCCAGAATATAAAAGACTTCTACCAATCAATCAAACAAGTTCTAACAACCTGACAGAAAATGGTCAAAAAGTATTGGATTAGCTAAGGATATGTTTGCTAATGTAACAGACAAGCTGCCAAATCTCATTTGAAATACAAAAATAGTTGTTCATTATCACCTGGCAGCTCTTCTCCAACCAGTGATTCAGGAACCCAGGCATTGCATCTTACACACTTAGCTTCCAAGGTCAAAGTGTTCAAACTGAAAATATGGCATGGACCTTGCTCTAAATGGTGCTTGTATTTCAGTAGGGGGAGACAGATTCAAGAAAAAACAGGTAAATTTAAAGAGCAAGAAAATTTCAGAGAATGGTGAGTGCTAAAGGTAAGGAACTTTAAGGTGATCAGCAAAAGTCTTTCTGAGGAGGTGACATCTGAGCTGTGACATTAAGAGCCAGCCATGTGAGAATCTTATGAAATAGCCTTTTAGGCAGTGGAATAGCAATAAAAAAGGCTTTGTGATGGGAATGAACTTGACTTATTTGAGGTGCCCAGAAAATGTTGGTTTGGAGGAGTGAGGAGAGTGGTAGTATCAGATATGGGGGACTTCCATGTTATGTAGGACCTTATAGACAAAGCAAAGGAATTTGATTTTTATTCTGTGTGCAGTGAGAAACCAACATGTCACAGTTTCAGTGGTATCTGCATATTGATGCCAAATCAACACCCCTTCATGTTAAAAACTCTCAATAAACTAGGTATTAAAGGAACATACCTCAAAATAATAAGAGCCATCTATGACAAACCCACAGCCAACATCATACTAAATAAGCAAAAGCTGGAATCATTCCCCTTGAAAACCAGCGCTAGACAAGAATGCCCTCTCTCACCATTCCTGTTCAATATAGTATTCGAAGTCCTGGCCAGAGCAATCAGGCAAGAGAAAGAAATAAAGGGCATCCAAATAGGAAGAGAGGAAGTCAAAGTATCCCTGTTTGCAAATGACATGGCTCTATAAATAGAAAACCCCATACTTTCAGCCCAAAAGCTCCTTAAGCTGATAACTTCAGTGACATCTCCAGAATACAAAATAAATGTACAAAAATCAGTAGCATTCCTATACACCAACAGCTATCAAGCCGATAGCCAAATCAGGAACAAAATCTCATTCACAATTGCCACAAAAGAATAAAATACCTGGGAATACAGCTAACCAAGGAGGCGAAAGATCTCTTCCATAACTACAAAACACTGCTAAAAGAAGTCAGAGATGTCAAACAAATGGATAAACATTGCAATGCTCATGGATACGAAGAACCAATATTGTTAAAATGGCCAGACTGCCGAAAGCAACTTACAAATTCAATACTAATCCTGTAAAACTATCAATGACATTCTTCACAGAACTAGAAAAAACTCTTTTAAACTTCATATGGAACCAAAAAAGAGCCCCAATAACCAAGGCAATCCTAAGCAAAAAGAACAAAGCTAGAGACAACATATTACCTGACTTCAAATTATACTGCAGGGCTACAGTAACCAAAACAGCATGGTACTGGTACAAAAACAGACACACAGACAATTGGAAGAGAATAGGGAGCCCAGAAATAAGGCTGCCCACACTCAACCATTTATCTTTGACAAAGATGACAAAAACAAGTAATGGAGAAAGGACTCCTTATTCAATAAATGGTTCTGAGATAACTGACTAGCCATGTGCAGGAGATTGAATCTGGACCATTTTCTTACACCATATGCAAAATTCAAATTAAGATGGATTAAAGACTTAAATGTAAAACCCAAAACTACAAGAACCCTGGAAGACAACCTAGGCAATACCATTCTGGACATGAGAACAGGCAAAGGTTTCATGACAGATGCCAGAAGCAAATGCAACAAAGCAGAAATTGACAAATGGGATCTAATTAAACTAAAGAGTTTCTGCACAGCAAAAGAAACTAACAACAGAGTAAACAGACAACCTACAGAATAGGAGAAAATATTTTCAAACTATGCATCTGGTTTAATATCCAGCATCTATAAGGAACTTAAACAAATCTATAAGAAATAAAAAACAAATAAACCTGTTAAAAAGTGAGCAAAAGGCATGAACAGACACCTTTCAAAAGAAGACATACATGCGGCCAACAAGCATATGAAAAAAAGCTCAGCACCACTGATCATTAAAGAAATGCAAATCAAAACCACAATGAGATACCATCTCACGCCAGTCAGAATGGCTATTATACGATAGTCAAAAAATAACAGGTGCTGGGGAGGTTGTGGAGGAAAAGGAACATTTATACACTGTGGGTGCAAGTGTAAATTAGTTCAACAATTGTGGAAAACAGAATGGCAATTCCTCAAAGACCTAAAAACAGAACACCATTAAGCCTATCAATCCTATTACTGGGAATATAAATAATTCTATCATAAAGACACATGCACGCGTCGCAGCACTATTCACAATAGCAAAGACATGGAATCAACTTAAATGCCCATCAGTGGTAGACTGGATAAAGAAAATGTGCTACATATATACCATGGAATACTATACAGCCATAAAAATGAATGAGAACATGTCCTTTGCAGGTACATGGATGGAGCTGGAGGCCATTTTCCTTAGCAAACTAATGCAAAAACCGAAAACCAAATACCACATGTTCTCACTTATAAGTGGGAGCTAAATAATGAGAACACATGGACACATAGAGGGGAACAACAGACACTGAGGCCTACCTGAGGGTGGAGGGTGGAAGGAAGGACAGGATCAAGAAAAATAACTAATGGATATCAGGCTTAATACCTGGGTGATGAAATAATCTGTATAGCAGAACCCCATGACACAAGTTTACCTACATAACAAACCTGCACATGTACCCCCGAACTTAAAATAAAAAGAAAAAAGAAAAAAACAAGAAGCAATGAAGACAGCTTTTGAAAATGCTTTCTGGAAGGCATTTTTGAACAAATTTGTGCTAGTTCTCCACCTCCTCTTCAGGCTGAGCTTTGCTGACTGAAGTCATTTGACAAGATTTCAGCAGAGTGGAGTGTGTAAATGTTATGCAGAATGAATTACAGGTCTGGAGACATTCATTTCATTACCCTAGATTCTATTAGCAAAGTTCACTTTATGGAACAGTCCAAAATGATTTATCTAATGCCTGCTTCTTCAGGAATGTTTCAAATCCTGAGCTATAAGTGGTTGTTGAAATTATTAAGAGATGTCCATTTTAGCCACTAGGAGGTATAGTTGTGATTTTGGAATGTGCCTTCAATTTCTTTTTAAAATGCAAACCAGACCATCCAATAGAACACCTAACACAGTACCCAGCCCACAGCCCAGGCTCAGTGCTGATGAAGGAATGCAAATGTCAGTTGTCAGAGAGTCCTCTCTCCCCAGGCCTGCTTTGGATATGCTCCAGGAGAATGGGGCTGTGTCCCCGATACCTACAACAGCTCTTGGCACATGGTAGGCACACAATCAATATCTCTGAATGACTGAGTGGATGAATGATGAGATTTTCCTGCACTTCAGCCACATTTTCACACACAGTGGAGCCATCCATCCATGTGGAACCCTTGGTTTGCCAACACTGCTTTGGAAAAGTGGGCCAAGGATAAGGACTGTTGTCATGGCAGTCTGACACCGCCCATACCTTCAGCCTCTATCCACATCCTCTTCCACCCTCAACCCAGTGCTGTGGCCACTGGCAACTTCCCCCAGGCCTCCTTCTCAAGGCTTTTACAAGTGCTATTCCTCTTTGGGGAGAGGCCTCATCTGTACCCACCCTTGCCTTGACTCACTGATTGGCAAGTTAACTCTTGCTTATCCTTCAGGTTCCAGCTCAGATGTGGCCTCTTCCAGGGTATTTCTCTGACTGCACCCTCTCCCCTCACTGACTACATAAGGTTTCCCTGTCATGTGCTCTTATGTACTGTTTTTCAAAGTGATTATCAATGTTTATAATTTTGTTGTGTAATTATTTTAAGGCAGCATTGTGTAGTGATTAAGAGCAGGAACAAATGCCTGCAGGGTTGAAACTTCAGCTCTGTCATGTGCAAACTGCGTGAACTTGGGCAAGGTATTTCACCTTTCTTTATTCACTTCCTCATTGGTAGACAGGAGACGACACCACTACTCACTTTTAGGGTTACTTGTGACAATTAAATAAGCTAATAAATGTAAATGCCACTTTGAGTTGGCCTTTTTTATTTGACGAGTATGTGTCTCCTGTGCTAGCCCCATGAGGATAGAGTGGGCATTTTACTTGTCATTGTATTCTCATATTTAGTGGTGTCTGGTCTCTGGTAGGCACTCAATAAATTTTTGTGAAATAAATGAAGGAAAAATCACAAACTTTTTTTCAACAAGCCAGGTACAAGACAAGAGGAGGAAGCCTGCTGCAAAGGATGCAAAAGGCCCATGCCTCCAACCTCAGTCTGGCTGTCATTGCTAACGTCACTAAGCCATGGTTGCCAGGCAATTGCTGGGGGAAAAAAGCACTTTCAAAGCCAACTAAGCACCTACTGTGTGACACTGTGTGACAAACTCTCAACAGCATCCAGTCCTGGCCCTGTAGGTCCTCCCGGAATAAAAATTTTCTCAAACCTATATATGTGGCTCTAATGAGATGTGTTAAAATAGAGCAGTGCTTTTCAACTTTTGTATGAAAGCTGCAGGATTTGTTAAAACATAGACTGCTGGCCCCACCCTCAGTAATTCTAATATTGAAGTAACTCTGGGTTGGGATTCAAGAATTTGCATTTCTGACAAGTTCTACTTGCAGCAAATCCTGTTGGTCCAGAGACTACATTTTGAGAACCACTGAAATAGGGGCATGTTCTTGACATGAATGGGGAAGCAGTGTGATTAAATTTGACTCTAGGAGAGTGGTCATAGAGGTGGTGACATTTGAACTGGGCCTAGAAGGATGAGAAGGATTTTTCAGAATAAGGACACAGGTTCCCTGCAGGGCATGAACAAGACGGGGAGAGATGAGCGCCTGTTTGGGAAATGATCTTATGTGGGAAGAGGCAGAGGCTGCCGAGCCTGCAGCATTGTGGGGTCATTCATCCCTTATTCTTGGCCAGCGTGGAGGGAGGTAGCCTGGGGAGAAGATGAACCCAGGAGGGGAAAGGTTAGGCAGGAAGAGCTTAGACTCTTCAGCTTTGTAGTTAGACAGACCTAGACTTGAATCTCGACTTCATCACTTACCACCTGCAGGACTCTCAACAAGTAATTTACTTTTCTCAGCCTCAATTTTCTCACCTGTGAAATGGGACTAGAATAGTCACTGTTTCATAAAATAATCGTGGACTAAATTAGCTAATAGATGTGAATTACTCAGCTTTAGGTTCGGCCCGTAGAGGATACTCTGTAATGGAAGCTATCATCAGTATTAGTCATTAGTATTGGTCAGTCTAATGCAGAAATGACCACACTGAAGATATTTATACATCTGCCTTCCCTACCAGGCTGCGTTCCCTGAGCATGGTCTGTGACACCTCTTCTGGGTACCCCCACTCCCCGCAGAGCCAGAGCCTGGTGAAGCTCAGATGCTCAAGAGATGTGACTCAGGCAGGGATCTCTGCTCCCATGCAGGGCTCTGGTGGTCTGGGAGCAGTGTCAGGGAGCCAGCAGACACTAGGAAGAGAAGCAGGATGAGGAAGCCAGAGAAACTGGAGGAGACTTCTGCCTGTGCCCCAGCATGACCTCAAACAGGTGGCCCAGCCCCAGGAAACTGTAAACCCAAGCCCAACTTCAGGCTGCATGGACTCCTCCCAAGGGAGGAGGGCTTGCCACGGTGCAGCAAATACAGCAGTGAGCAAGACAAATAGTGTCCTGCATTCACGGAGGTCAGGAAAGCTGAAGCAGATGAGAAATCAGGTAGCTTTTCAAGGAGCTCATGGGTAATTATACTAGGACATGTGGGGTGGGAGCACCTGCCCTTGAGAACACTCCTCCTGGCGGAAGGGCTCAGTTCACTTTTGGTGATTTTGGGATAAAGAACAGGGCACATAAGATCCTGCTCTTTCTTTCTTCCATTCTGCAGGGAGTGAGCCTGTCCATGGCAAGCTCCAGCCAGCTCTGCTCCTCCTGCCCTACCTCTTAGGTGACCCCGCTTCCTAGTCTGCATGTCAGCACCCAGAAGCCCTTTTGCCCACAGATATCAGCCACATGTTCTAATATCAACTGTACTGGAAATAAAGGTGAGATTTTGTTCTCCCATCTGCCTTGCTTTTTTTTTTTCTTATTCTTTATTGCATCAGAACTAACACGGAGTAGAAGGGTGCTATTTTGTAGCCCCTCAAACTCTCCAACGAAGGGAGTTAGAAAGGGTTAGGAAGTGCTATTTTAGATAAGGGAGGTGAGAAAGACCTCTATGATGAAGTGACATTTTGGTGGGGAGATCTGAAGGAAGTGAGGGAGAAAGCCTTGTGGGAGAAGAGCACTCTGGGGAGAGGGAGCAGCCTGTGCAAAGGCCTTGAGGCAGGCATTTGTTTAGTGTGTGTGTGGAACAGCAAGGATGGCAATGTGGCTGGAGAATAGTGAAAGCAGAGGGGACGGTTCTCAGGGATTCTTGACTTTCTGTCCCAGGCAGGTATTTGTCTAGATTGGATAATGGGCATAGCACAGCTCATAGAAGGAATAAATGCTTCATTCTGGAAGCCCACAAACTATTGTTTTGAGCAATCTGCAAGTTTCCCCACCCCTGCTTGGTGCCAGGACTCCCCTTTGAGAGCCAAGAGCTGGAGAGATGTGCCAGAAACACAGATTGGAAGATGCATGACATCCCTTGGGAGAGACTGGCTGGAAGGCAAGATCCACAAGACAGAAAGCAGAGATGACCCTCAAGTTGAAAAGCTTGAACCTAGCTGGGTGATTGATTACCAGGAGACCACCCTGATTTTGTTCTCTAATTACGGTGTTTATTTGATGCATCATATTGGGCCTGAAACCCTTAATACCAGCCGGTGCTGTTCAGTGTTACAATGTCCTAATTAAGCTTTGATTTATATGCTAATTTTATTCCAAGTGTGTTCAAAAGGGGAAAAGTTATTAGACTTTATTTTGAGATTACATTTTAATCCTGAGGTCTGCCAGAGAGCACTGTGTTTATTCTGTTGGCTTTTGTTTCCAGGATGTTAGTGGCAATTGTGATTATTTCCTCGGAGGGGAAGGATGATGAAGTGGTAAGGAGCTGTTTAGAGTTGGTGGGGCTTCTGCTAATTGGAATTATGTAACCTCTTGCCTTTGCCTTGACAGCTTTGCAATGAGGCTTGCCTTGACTGCCCAGCTGCTTAGGAGGGACAACAGGGATGTGCCTTAGGGATGTCGCAGGGAATATTTGGAAGGAAGGCCATTACATGAGGGAGTGATTGGATTCTGGAATGTGAGGGGAAATTGGGCTTTTACCACATGAGTCCCTGAAATTTGTAAGAGTCACGCAAAAACCAGCAAGGGGAGCAGCTGGTCTTTGCTACAGAAAGGATGTGTTTTGTTTGTTTGTTTTTATACTGTTATTTATCCTAAGTGGATGTCACTTGAAATTTCCTGTTCAAGGATTAAAAAGTCTTATGAATCAAATTATCTTTGGATCTTAGAAGGTTCACGTGGCTTCATAAATACTCTGAAATAGTATGAAAAATAGGGTATGCATCCGCATGTGTGCATCGTGCTTGAGTGTGTTGTCTGGGGATGAGTCCAAAGTTTCCATCAGATTTCCAAGAGTACTGGCCCTTCAAAACATTAAGAATCACAGGACTGGGGAACATCCAGCTTGAATCTGTGATTTAATTTCCTGAGACTGGATGTGTGGTCTGAAAACACAAATTAACAACCAGCAGTTCCTTTCCCTCTGCCCATCCAAATCGTAGCTCCCTGGGTCCACAATGGTGCCCAAGTTCAGAAGGCCATGGGGGCAGGTTGAATTGTGAGGGATGCTTACCTGATCTCAGAGGCATGGGCAAGGACCCATTATCTTTCCTCTGAGTGACCTGAGTCCTATTTGTCCCAACTTCTGAGGGAAGAGCAGAGTTGCTTATAAAATAGATGAGAACTTCTATGTAAACACTCAGGGACACACATTATTCAAAATCCTTTGTAACCTGGAGCATACGTACTTCCCATGTCAGCCTCAGTAAAGGGTTCTCCACTGGGCCTCCAGGTTTTCTGATTGGGTTTTACTTATTTATTTATTTTCCCTTCTCCCTTCTCTCTGCCAACTAGCAGTGAACAGAAGAAAGGTTTAACAGGAGCATATTCGTTTCACTTTCTCCTTTTGTGACTACTACACGGTCTGTGGCTCAATATATATTGCATTTGACATCTTTAGTTTATCCTAAGAAATCAAACTTAGGGATTGCAGTTCCATAAAATTATAGGACCTAACATTGATCGAGCACTTATGTGCTAAACATTTTATCAGCATGATCTCATTTACTACTCTCCCAAATCTTCTAGGGTACATTCTATTATCAATCATATTACACACATAGGGAGACTAAGGCCCAGAGAGGTTAAGGGCTGCTTTGGAGTCATATATCTAGTACGTGGTTAGCTGGGATCCAACTTGGGTCTGCAAGGCTCCAAGTCTGTGATCAGAACCACTATGCTGAACTGTTTCCTCTTGGATTCAATTACTCCTTCTTTTTTTGTTTTGAGGTAGGGTCTCGCTCTGTCACTCAGGCTGCAGCGCAGTGGCATGATCATAGCTCACTGCAGCCTCGACCTCCTGGGCTTAAGCCATCCTCCTGCCTCCACCTCCTGAGTAGCTAGGACTACAGGCATATGCCACCATGCCCAACTAATTCTTTTACTCTGTGTGTGTGTGTGTGTGTGTGTGTGTGTGTGTGTGTGTGTGTGTGTGTGTGGAGATATGATCTCACTATGTTTCTCCAGGATAGTCTCAAATTCCTGGGCTGAAGTGATCCTCCCACCTTGGCCTCCCAAAGTGCTGAAATTACAAGTGTGAACCACCATATCCGGCAAAAGATGCTATTACTTCTTAAGTGTCTCCTTTTCAAAATTTTCTGCAGAGGCCATTCACCCATCCCCCTGGGTATGAAGACATGGAGAATGGATCAACCCCTCTAGTCCAGGCTTATATTTTTCAGAAGGGTACCAAGAACTGGTTTGTGAGAGAGCAGAACAATGTCATCTAACCTCAGAAGGGAGGTAACCCCCAAAATGGTCAAACTGCCCTCATTTTCTCAGGGTGCCTTGGCTCTGCACCAGTTCTCGGTCTTGTGTCATCTAAGCCTTCCATCTGACCTAGTTGAATTATGATGTGGCTTCAGAAAGTTTCTAACACCTGCTTCTGATGCATGTATCTTAGCGCCTTTGCTATTCTTTGCTGCTTGCCTATATTTTTAGCTTTACATTTCAGGTTCTGTCAGCCTTTCCACAGAATTAAAATGCCCCTGTTCACTTGTGCTGCTCCAGGGGAAGAATATTTGCCATTTTCCACAGATGATGACCCTGGGATGGAGAAGATGTCTGCTTTACTAAGGCTTCTAGATGACCCATAAGAGTTATAGTGAAAATATCTCATTTTAAAAAGGGTAACATATTTTTAAAAATAAAGTATTATCTTCCCACCTTATCATAAGGAATTATTTTCCTATTCCTTTGCTTATCTGTCCACATGCATATAAATTTTACTTAGTCAAAATGATGGCATGCATTTATTTTATATATATATATATATATATTTTTTTTTTTTTGAGATGGAGACTCACTCTGTCACTCAGGCTGGAGTGCAGTGGTGCTATCTCAGCTCACTGCAAGCTCCATCTCTCAGGTTCATGCCATTCTCCCACCTCAGCCTCCTGAGTAGCTGGGACTACAGGCGCCTGCCACCACACCCGGCTAATTTTTTGTATTTTTAGTAGAGACGGGGTTTCACTGCATTAGCCAGGATGGTCTCGATCTCCTGACCTTGTGATCCGCCCGCCTCGGCCTCCCAAAGTGCTGGGATTACAGGCATGAGCCACTGCACCCGGACTATTTGGTTTATATTTTATGACGTGAGTAGGAATTTCACCAGCTACATATTCAAGTGTGCAAAGATAATCATTCTATTTTTCTATAACTTTAGCTCTATTTTGAACTCCCTTTACACCTGTTGGTAGAAAACAAAGAAACAAACAAAAAACCCACTGATCAGTTCCATGGAAACGAAACCATCCAAAGGTTTCCCAGGTTTTTGTGAGGGTGCATTCAGTTAATTGAGGGTGTTCTGCCTCCCTTCTTCCTGTTGGGATTGTGATAAATTCCCAGGGGACTTACAGGGCATCAAGATCTCAGTTGTGAGTGAGGAGCCTTCTGATTCTGATTAGTCAAAGTCCAGTTAAGACAAACAAAATCAAACATACAACAGGAAATTGAATACATGGATATAGAAGGGCTGAGATGCCAAACGGGACAGGATTAGCTACGGGGGAAACTACTCTCACCAGGAGGGATGGAGGGACATGAAGAAATGGTGGGGTTGCAGGGCCCAGAAGCCAGGACCCTCGGGCTAGAACCAGGGCAGAGGCTGCCTGGCTGGAGCTATAGGACCTTGTAGGAAGGGTTTAGTTGGCGGGAGCTAGAATCACAAAAGAGACACAGACACCTGTGGTGGTGGAACTTTACTCAAGGAAGGTGGAATGAGAGCAGGAGAAGCACCCCGATCTCTCCTGCTTCTACATGTCAGCCTCCCCACTGCAAGTAGACTTGCTTCTACTCCAGTGCATGAAATCATGCTGGGGTAGGGGCTATGGGGACCATCTTTCTGAGCTACCCTAAAGAAGTGAGTCATGGGTCTCCTCGACTCTCAAATACCCCTAACCATGTTTTTAAAAATAATTTTTACTCTTTCCAGGGACTGGCCTTGGGGATGGAGGGAAGGATGATATGGGTGAAGGCATGGGACCTCGTTCTCAGAGAACCCACCAATCCCTAACACTTGAACTTTATTTCCAAATCTTTAAGGAATTATAAGGAAAAAATAATAAAATATAAGCTAGCATCTCAAAATTTTATTTGGCCACCATAGGGATAAGTGTTAAAAGGACCTTAATCATTCATTTATGGACGTTTGGTTGGTTTTCAGCATTTGACTGCTAATCTGATGGTGGGTGTGCTTAAGGAGGTGGCAGAAAATTCCCACCTGATTCTGTACCTTTGTCCCTGATCCTGCGCCTTTGTCCCCCACTGACCCCTCACGAAACTTGGAGGCAGCATGAAGAGGGGCTTTGGGCACTTCCGCCCTACTCATGGCAAAGAGCTGGGCCTTCTCCTTGTCTTCCATTTTGTGCTTGTTCTCTCTACCTCCTGGTCTTGACTTTTTGTCTGCTTCTCCCCAAATCCTGGCTAGAGATGTGGCCTCTCCTTCTCAACCCTGGTCCTTGTCTTGCACTATCTCTTTGGTTCTTGTCCTCTGGCTATACCATTTTTGGCCATCTCATTTACCTCCTCAGAGGGAGGAAGGACATAACAGGTGTGCTTTAATTCCTAAGGCTCATCTTTCAATCCTGAACCACAAACAGTATCTCCAAGGTTTATTTTTCAAATTATGTTTAATTTAAATTAATTTAAAAAGGAATATCTGATTGGTTTAGAAGATGTGGAAAACACAGAAAAACAAATGGAAAAAATGAAAGTTATCCCAAGTTCTACCACTCAAAGATAACTGCCACAAATTCCATGAGGGGAAAGGACTTGGCTTATCTTGTTCATTTTGGTAACCCCAGGGCCCAGGCACACAGTAAGTAAGCTAAGTAAATATTGCTAAATTAAACAATAACCTTTTGGAAATTTTTTCCATTCATAAACATTTTTATGCAAGTGGAGTCATATTCTACCTACCATTTTGTAACCTACTTTTCTGTATAGCAATGTATCATTAGCATTTTCCAAATCAATAAATGTTCTTCCATATTATTTTAGTAGTAGCATGGTATTCAGTTATAAAAGCAGACCATAATGAATGTAAATGGTACCTTCATGTTATATATTTAGGTTTTTCTTTTCTAAATTTTTATTCTCCCAAACAAACTTTATATTCTTGTACATATATGGGTGCACAACTTTTCAGGTCAAAGGGCACACATACACATTTTCAAGGTGTTCCATGCATCCTACTTTCTAGTAGGTATACACATTTCTAGCACAATGAATTATACTAGAATGCTCATTCCATGAAGCAAGGATTTTGTTCATTTATTTCCTGTACCATAGTGAATCTAGCCTAGAGCAATGCCTAGCACAGAGTAGGTTCTTAATAAATATTTGTTGAATTTGTTTCCTTTTGCCCTCACCAATAATGTTTAATGCTACTTTAAAAAGTTTTTTTTTTCAGTCTGATAGCAAAAATAATGGTTCCTATATTTACAAATTGTAAACTTATCACACCCTCTGCCCCCAAAATGCTTAGTAAGCCTGCTGGAATTGGACCCTAAATATTTAAAAACTGTTCTCAGAACCAAAGCTAAACAGAAACAAGGTCTTGTGGAGCCAGAATCTCTGGCTTCAAAGATTCCCTAGCATTCGACATACTATCACCTGTACCCACTTACACATCGCTTAGAGCCAAGCATCCCATCCCCATGGGAGATTACTGCAGATAAAGGAAGGCAATGAGATTCGTGGTAAAAGCATTCATACTGCCATTTTTCTCCACGAAGAATACATCTTTGGTTTGTTTTTGTTTTTGTTTTTTATACAAAGCTTACCTACTGACCCAGAAAAAAAGAGTTTTTTGTATTTTCTCTGAGGATTTAGACGATGTAGGCTTCTGTTAGCCAACCCCATGGGAGAAGACAATGGCATCATCAGACTTCAAAGATGTCTTGAAGAGTGCTCCCTGGGGCTCTGTGGGTGCACTGCTGTGTGTGTGTGTGTGTGTGTGTGTGTGTGTGTGCATCTGTGTGCGTGCGCGTGCACGTGTGTGTGGCTGCAGTCAGGGAGTGCCAGTCAGGAAGTAGCCAGGAATCCCTCCAAAAGAATCTAAGTGGGAGTTTTCTTCTGTGTGTCCTTGCTCAGCTTAGCCTGCTGGGCTTTGAGTAGTTAGGAGGCCACTGGACACACTGTGAGATGAAAGGAAGTTGCATTGACTTCCAGGCCACTTTCATCTGATGCCACAGGAAGAAAAAAAAAAATAGAATGGGTCCCCGATTCAATGGAGAAACAAGACACTGGAAATGCAAATATTCCCAATGTGCTATGCAAAGGAGCCAAGCCAGGGTCCCCACACCTGTCTTCCCAGGGAAGGTCGTGATCCACACACAGGAAGCTTGGGTGGGTGGGTCTCATCATCAAAGCAAAAAGCCTTCCCTTTGAAGAATTCATAGAAACAAAATGTCAATGAAGAGTCACACACCCAAGAAACAAACACTATTCAGATGGAGTAACAAGCTTTTACTTGTAGAACACACTCTTAATTTATCAGAGCACCTTTCCCCTGGCATTGTAATTGTTGTCTTACAAACAATCCCTAGACAACAGCAAAGACAGATGGTATCTCTATCTTTAGAAAATAAACTTTTAGGTAATAAACTTGAGGCTCAAAGAAGTTATAGTTCTTTACCCAGATCCTAGAAATAGTAAATGGAAGAGCTGGAGCTTAAACCAGGCAGTGTAGAAAGTCTCTTCGTGGTTTCACTAGATAAAACAGCAGCAGCAGCTGTGGCAATATTTATTCCTATTTTTTTTCAACATCCATGTTCAGGATACCTTCTCATTAATATTTGAGCTAGACTTTAAAGAAGATTTCAACAGTGGTTAAGATCAAGGCCTCAAGAGTCAGACTGCTTGAATTTGAATCCCAACTTCACCCCTAACTAGCTGTATGACCTTGGAAAAGTCACTTAATTTCTCTGTGCTTATTGCCTTTTCTGAAAAATATGGATAATAATAGTATCTGTCTTATGAGATAACTGTGAGAATTAAATGAATTATTATATCTAAATAATGTAGAACAGTGCCTGGGACAATAAGTGGTATGGAGGTGCTGGCTAAGATCACCATTGGGCCTGCCTGTTGTTGCATGTGGCACACAGCACCTTCTGCGCCTTCCACCTTAGTACACACCTAAGGCTGGCCTGCCTTAGCCCCCACTGCATTAGTGGCCCTGATTTGATTAAATGCACCCGGTCTCTCCTACCTGCCCTAGAGGTGAGCACTTGACGAAGAGAGAGGAGATGACCCATAGGTTGGCTTGGTATGTTGAAATGACCTGGGCAATCAGACCCTCCTTTGATGCCTGAACTAGGCTACCCAATTAGCAGTGAGAACTGAGGATGAGAGAGTGGGCAGAGTCTGAGAGAGACAGCATCTGTCCTTTATTTCCATCTTCACATCTCTACGTAAGCCACCATTGTCTCCTGCCAGGTGACTTCAGTGACCTAATGGGTCCCCCTGCTCCCTCTTTTATAATCTAGTCTCAAAAATGCAGCCAAAGAAAACTTCTGAAAAATTTATCCACTTAAAACTCTCCAGGTGCTTCCCATTGCATTTAGAACAGACTTGTCTGACTCAATCATGTAACATTGTTTCATTATTTGCCACTTTCTAGCCACATTGGTCTCTTGACTACATCGGACACATCGTGGTCTCAAGGCCTTTGCACTTGCTCTTTGATCTTTCTTCCCCCACACCTTCACTTAGCCAGTTCCTCCAGGTCTAGTCTGAATTGTCACCTCCTCAGAGAAGCCTTCCCTGGTCACACTACGAAATGCTGTTCTCCCCAACCTCATTCACTATCATATCATCCTATTTTACTTCTTTTGTGGCAGTCATCATTACTATCTAAGATTATCCAGGTTGTATATTTGTTTCTGTGTTTAATGACTGGCTCCACTGCTAGGATACAAATTCCTTGATGGAAGAAAGCTCACCTGTCATGTTCACTGTGGCATTTCCAGTAGTGAGGATAGCGCATTTGATAAATATTTGTTGGATTTGTTTTACAATTTCAGTTTCGACTCCATTTCCAGTACATATATGACCCCCTTCTTTTTTTTAAGATACCTTGAAAACCAAAACAGCCTACTGAAATAAACTTAGAGCTTGAATCTTGTTACCCATTCCAACCTCCCTGGGAAGTTCCGTTCTGAGGCTCTTCCTCCACATGTGACTCCTCCACAGCCTAACTGACATGCTCATGCCACCCGTGGGTGTTTCACTGCAGGCCTGTTTTATAGCATCCTCCCATGCTCACAGAGGTGCCAGCTCCTAATGGCAAGAAAAACAGAGCCAGCCCACCCTCTGCCTCCACCCCTTGCCAGCTGACAATAAGCTCCCTCCTAGCCACTGTCTATTTCAGATAATGCTACATTGTCTCAACCCATCATCACTTGGGTAATCGGGCTCCTTCCTTCTATTCTAGCTACTCAACCATGGTGGTGCTGAGTAAAGGATGTTAACAGAAATGTTTGAGGAAAAATAAAAACTGCCAGGAGTAGGAGGAAGAGAGAACAAGAATGTCCCAGCCAGTCCATTTCTGCCCTTCCTCCTCCCCACCACAGCCATTCTGCAGATGAGGATACCAAAGTCCAGACAGGAACTGGAAGTGACTTTCACTAAGCCACCCTTCAGTGAAGTTGCAGAAGGGTGGCAATATAAAATAAGGACTGCAGGCTGCCTGAGAAACAGGTACAAGATAGGTGCGGTGATGACTTCTTCAAATACAAATGTCTAACTTTGCTGTTATTGGCATTTATTATTTTCAAGAGTGAAACTTCAGCTGATTCCCAAAGATCCAGAATAAGAGTCATATTTAGTAGGACAACGACAAATTGGTTTTGTGACAGACTATGGAATAGGTCCATCCATTCCTCATGCTGTAGCACCCTGAGGACAAGTTATGCCTGGCTTACTCTCCAATGTGTGTCTAGTGCCAAAACAGTTCCTGGGACAAATTTGTTGGATGAATGAGCCCTGAGTCCCTACTTTGAAAACTTACTATCTGTCCAGATCTATGCTAAGCATTAAGAGGAATAAAAAAGGAGAAATAGATACAGTCTATTCTCTCCTTCAGCTTTTGATCTGGTTGTAAAAGAACTGCTGCAAACTGGCTTTGTGACCAAGGCAAGTTACTCAACCTCTCTGATGCTGTTTCTTCCTCTTATCTCCCTGATAAAATAAAGATAACAGTACCTACCCCACAGAGTTATTGTGAAGCTTAAATGAAGTCAAGCATTTAAAGCTACTGGCATTTAGAGTTGTTCAATAAATTGAAGTTTACAGTTCTATCAGCGTAAAATATTAGCTATACATAATTCGAGTTATTTTTGACAATTGAACTTTTTGGTAGCTCTGGGCTTGTCCCTTAAATTCCATTTAGTCAATTTATTTGAAAAGCTTTCTAGCATACTGAATTTTTTCCTGCTGTATAAAACTTGGCTGAATTCAGAGTCAGCATTATGATGGATTCATGTAATTTAATGAATGGATGAGATGTGTAAGATTGATTGTCCATTCACTAAATGGTCCCAGATCGCCCAGACCTTTTGTTTTGTTTTTCGTAGGTCTATTGGTCTCCTCTCTTGCTGTCAGATTGTTGTCCCTTAATTCTTACAGTTGTCGGGTTTCCCAGTTAGGTAGGGACCTAATTTGTTGTGGGCTTGAAAATGAATTAACTGAACCCATTTAAAGTGTGAGTAAACCAAGGGCATCAGACCCTGAATGAGGACCTGGGAAGGCTATGGTCTTTACCACAAACCTTGGCATCATCTGTTTTGACTTCTCAGAGATTTCCTGATTCTTTGTGTGTTCTCATCAGTGATATGTTAGACAGACATGAAAGTTCTTGGCATATGTAGGCACTCAATAAAATTTATTAAATACATGAATGAAGAAGCAAGAAAGCATAATCATATGTATTTAATATACCATAAACTCAAGTGGTATGTATGAGAGTAAGGGTGAGGTGAGGGAATATAGAGTGAGGTTAGTTTGGCATGTTGGAAGAGACTAATTGAGCTAAGTCTTAAAGGAAGAGAAAGATTTTGGGTGAGGATAAAGTTGACATCATGAAGGGGTATAGGAAAGAGAAAGAGTGGATGTTCCCCTGTCCTTGCTATTCTGATGGGCTTGTTTCTTCCCAGGATGACATGAACAAGATATTTCTAAAGGATTCACTAATCCATCCATCCAAACATTTAATAGGCATCTCATGTGCTTGGTTCATTTCCAGTAGTGGGACATAGGAAAAGAAACAAGAAATAACTTCTGCATTGAGGGAGCTCTCTTTGTGACTCAAGTAAAAAAAATCTAGATATACATGATTTGTTTCCCTCAACCTCCAATCCATTAGAAAGTCTTATTGATTCTGACTCCAAAGTATTCCTCAACTCCATCCATTTGCTACCATCCTGGTCCAGTGGACTTCTTGTCTGAACTATGTAATCACATCCTAAGTGAACTCCCTGCTTCCATCCTTGTCAATCCTCCATGAAGCAGCCAGAGTGATCTATTTAATCATATCAGGTCACTTCCAAACACAGAAACCTCCCATGCTTCTAGCAGCACTTGGAATAAAATCTAGTTGCCTTTCAGTGGGCTCAGGCTCTATATGATCTGGCTCTGCCTACTGTCCAAATCCATCCTGCACTGCTCTTCCCTTCAGTCACTATGCTTCAATTTCATTGACCATCTTTTTGCTCCATGAACACAGCAAGTTTGTAGTTCTGCCATCTGCCTCATGGCCTTTGCACTAGCAGCTGCCTCTTCTGGAATGTTCTTTTCCTTGATCCTGCATGGCTGTATCCTTCTCACCAATCACAGTTTAAATTTCTTCTTCTCAAAGAAGTCACCTGCAACTACCCAAATGAAGGTAGCACCTTGTCATTCTCATACCATCTTATTTTTATTCTCTGCCTAGCTCTAATTATTCTCTCAAATTATCTGGGTTTAATATTTATTTATTTCCCATCTTTTCCCACTGTCACCATGAGAGGCGGGACCTTCCCTACCTGGTTCATTACTCTATCTCAGAATGTTTATTAAGTAATACAATTTATTGCAGGAGTGAGTGAATGATGATTGAATGAATGAGTAGTAAGGGAGATAAATATGAAAAGAGATGATTACAGTATGACATGACAAATGCCGTAAAAGAGATGGGAACAAAGAACTATGGGATTCCAGAGCAGAAGACAACAAATTCTGACAAGTATTTGGGGGGAAAATTCTTAGATTTGGATCCCCAAAGGTAATGAAAGTTCACCAGTCCAAAAAGAAAAAAAAAGGTTGAAAATGCATTTTTCATGTCCTTTCCTGGTCTGCTGGTCAGCTGACTCTGTGTCCAATTCAGAGAGAGCTAAAGACATGACAGAACATTTTCGTACTTAAGATTTCACCTCTGTGATGCCCAGCTCATGTAAGACAGTGTCTAAGCTGAATCTAGTACTGTGTCTGCTTACCAGAATTCTAAGACTGGTTACTTCTTCCTCAAGTCTTCTCAAGATTGGATGGAAGATTTTCCTTAAATTAGTGAAGGAAAGGACATGCTTTAATTTCCTAAAGTGTTTCACATACACTTGCTTCAGATATTCCCCAGCTCTGAAGGAGGGCAACATGGATATTCTTGTTTTGAAGACAAGAAAACTGAGGAGCAGCAGGGGCTCAGTTTTAGGAGTCAGAAGCTACACTGAGTAAGTACTTTTGCCTGTCCTCTTTTTATTGTGTGCTACAAATGTCTGACATTGCTTAACCATTCTAAAGTCCCTTTCTTGTTTGCCACCATTGATTGACCCCCTGACTTGTCCCAAAGGTCAACAACCAATCAGATTCTCTCATGAAAATTTGAACTAAGTTCCAGAGGTTATGAGCAAATTCTATTGGGTGTTTGCACTGAGAGATCCTGATGTAGACACTTAGACTGGCAGTCATATTAGGCCATGAGGAAGGTGAGTAAACAGAAAAGGAGATAAGGTGCATTCCCCCCAGAAGCCATAGAGGGAGTTTCTACAGTCCCTAGGCTTGTGGTTCCATTCTCTGGGAGACCTCGTTATACTCTGATTCCTGTTTTTCAATATCTGAAATTGAAGTAACCCTGTCTTTAGGTGATACTGTCAGGTTTGGGGTTAGGATCCTACATGGGTAATTGGCTATAATTTTAAAAAATAGGTCATCCTTTATTGAGGCAAAAACTGTCCTGCTGTTGGCAGTAGGTGTTAAGGTCTTTGCCACTGCAACTCTCACTTGGGATCACACTATGTGTGTGTGTGTGTGAGAGAGAGAGAGAGGTGGGGGAGGGAGGGAGGGAAGGAGGGAGAGAGAGAGAGAGAGAGAAAATTAGAGAGAGAGAAACAGAGATCAGAATCTCCATGGACAAGGCTCTGCTCTCCTGGCTCCTAGCATGCAGGTGGGGACTAAGGCAAGTGGCATAATGGCAGGAGAGAAAGGTAGCTGTTTTAGAAAAATGTTCCCCAGATTGCCCACCCCTAGTAGGTGAAAAATTGTTGCACAGAGTGTTGGGTTGAAAACATCTATAAAAATAAGACAACACCTACCAGTACTGGGCTTGGGGAAACATATGCACGTGTACCAATGACTTCCAGGCTCATGATCAGGCTACAGATTTGACCACCTGGTTGTGCCTGCTCCTTGGATTTGCCTGGCAAATCATCATCATTCCAGGAAGGGGATGTATGTATTATTCAGGGCTCTCCAGAGAAATAGAACCAATGGAATACACACATATATAGAACTCCTTCTTCCTCGGGACATCCATCTTTTTCTTAAGGCTTTCAATGGATTGGATGAGGCCCACCCATGTTAGGAAGGATAATCTGCTTTACTCAAAGTCTACTGATTTAAATGTTAATTATATCTAATGGAATACTTTCCCCAAAACATCTAGAATGATGTCTGACAAAAAAACAAAAACCAAAAAACCACTGGATACTATAGCCTAGACTAGCTGACACATAAAATTAACCATCACAGGGGCAAAGTGGGCATATTGATAAAAGTCTGTCTCTGTAAGATATATTATTGTTTACAAAGTTTGCGCTCATCCATGATCGCATCAAATCCTTATAACATCTATATGAAGAGGAATATTAACTTCCCTATTTTATAGATGAGCAAATCTAGGTTCAGAGACAAGATTACATTGCTGATGATGGTGGAGAGGGGATTTCAGCCCAAGTTGTCTAACTCAGGTCTGTGTTCTTCTAACTATATCACACTCCTTATGACTGGGTTCATAATGTCACTTCCCTACCATGACCCTACTGATTTTCTTCCTTGCATGAGCTCAGAGAGACTTTCTTGCAAGCCTCTCTGAGCTGACTGGCTCAGAAAGAGCATGGGTTTTATTTTGTAGCTCTGTCTTGTGAGCAGTCTCAATGGGCCCCTCTGGGACAGGGCTCAGGAGTGTAATATATGTGAATGTTTCTGAGTGAGCATGAGCTTCCAGCCCAGCTGCAATTCCCTCACCTCTGCCATCCCCTCATCCTACAGCTGGGCCCCCTTCCTACAACCAGACCTGGAGAGGGATGGTTGGATCTGGCAGAGATCCAGCTGGGTACTGTCTGGTCCTCATCAATCCCTCCTGCTCTGACGCCAGACAAGTGTAGCTCCCTTCCTGAGCCCCAATCTCTTCCTGCATCCCAAATAGGGGCCCGGCAGCAGGATTGGCCTTCTGCTTTGGTGTGTGTCTTGAGCTCCTGTTCTAATGGGGTGTCTGTGTACATAACACCCTGAGAATGCTGGACCCACCTGGTCTTCACCAGACGGTGGTATAGAAAGATCTGCCTGTGGCTATGGACAGGCCCTGCAGCCTGGTGGCCCCTGGAGACTTTGGAAAGGCCAGGACTCTCTCCTGCCAAGACCAATAGGACTTCTTGCTTTCTCACCTTGGGCACCCTGTGTGGTGGGGCAAGTTTTGATTGGATGATAGGATCGGAGGCGGAGTGGAAAGAGAGAAATGTCCACGGTAGTGCCTCTCCAGACATGCCTGGCCTCCCCTTTTACTCTTTGGACCTGACCTTAACTTAGGAGAGGAGAGAACATTTTTTCAGAAGTTCAAGTCTTATTTGCAGTACTGGGTTCCTGATATCCTCTCATGTGGGCACTTACGTACTAGGCCACTCCATGAAAGAGAGATAAGGGACATGGGGAGCACAAGCCTCCCAGATTCCAAAATGGCCCTGGGTAAGCTAAGAAGAATGAATAACTGTCCGGAGATGGGTAACCTTGGGGATAGGATGTGTTGCCCTCTAGGTTACAGAAGGTCTGGCTGTTAGTTGGCCCAGGGATCCTTGTTCTGCGTGTCCAAGAATCACAAACGGGTCTTGACATGGAGGCAGATTTCAGTTCAGTGTTGGAAAGAGCTTGCTGTCAACCAGAGCTCTACAATCAGGAAGGCAATAAGCACCGTCTTGGGAGCTTCAGAGAGCTCCATCCAGAGAGGTGTTTGGACACAGGCTGGACAGCTCCCTGATGGGATCCTGTCCAGGGGATTCCTGGATTTAGTGAGAGGTTGAACCAGGTGCCCGGAGGCATCTTCTGACTCAGGTTGTCCAACGATGCAGGTCTTCCTTAAAGTGTCAGGTGCGTCTGTCCCACAGAAGAAGGGCGTTAGCAGGCATGATTGGCATGTCTCTGCCTGGCAGGTCTGCCATTGAATAGCAGCAGCTCCGGAGAGACCCTCTCTCTTTCTCTGGTCCCCTAGCCTGGGAAAGGGCTCGGGACCCTGGAAGGGGACCGGGGTGGCGAGGCCGCCGATTGGCAGCGAGGCGCCATGTGAACTGCACTGGTTGGCTGGCGGGAGGGAGGAGGAGGCGGTTTCCCGGGTAACGGGAGGGCAAGGAGCGGCTGCAGCGGCAGCGGCCGCGGCTGAGAAGCGCGGGCCGGAGTGCAGTGCGAGACCGGCTGGAGGAGGCGGCTCCGCGAAGCCGGTGTGGGCGCAGGTAGGAACCCCCTATGCTGCCTCCCCCAGGTCGGGTCTGGCTGGACTGCCCGGCGGCGGGACCGGCCTGGGAAAGTTTGCGGTGCAACTGGGTGGGCAAGGAGGAGAGGACTTGGGGATGCTCTGTGCTGAGCTCCGGGGTCCAGAGCAGGGTGGGGACTGCCGTTGGGGAGAGGGCCGGCCCCTCATTGAGAGGCTCGGGGGCCACACCTCTGCTGCGGGACTCTGACCGAGGGCCAGGGCCTCTCAAGCCACCCGGCCGCAGCATAGATACCGGGCGAGCGGACGCATAGCCACCCGTGCGCGATGACGGCCGGCGGGCCCTTGTTCACAGATGCGCTGGGAAACTCTTCCCCAGCAGATGCGGGGCTGGGCGCCCGGCGCAGTGCTCCGAGGCTGCTCTGCGAGCTCGGGGGCGCACTTTCCCGGCCTCCAGCGACACTGCGCACGCCCCTATCCGGAGTGGGTGTGTGTCCCTCTGGGCGTACGTGCCTGAGGCTGTGCCACCTCCTGTGCTTGTTCTTGTGTTTCTGACTGTCTTGTTTGCGTGTCTCTGTGGGTTCCCCTCTGCGTGATTGTGTCTCTGGGTGTATCCCCGCGTCTGGGTCCCTCTGTGTTTGCTGTTGGCATGGGTGTCTGTGAACGCCCTCTCCAGGTTCTTGTGTCTGAATACCGCTATTTGTGGATCCTTCTGTAGGCGTCTCTGTGTTTTCGGTCTGTGTGTCCTCCTCTCTGTGTGCTAGTCTTTAGGTGTATCTATGAGCGCGTGTGTTTTCTGTCTGCGCCTCTGTTTTCTAGCTACGTCTGTCTCCGAATGTAGGTCCAGTACCTGTCTGCGCGGGTCCCTCTGTGGAGGCGTGCTTCCTCGTCTGTGATCTGAGCTTCTGTGATCTGTGTATATGGATGTGCGTCTGTAAGTCTGTATGTGTGTCTGTCTGCATGTCTGCGAGTATCTGCTGTGCTTGTGTCGGTCTGTGCCTCTTTGCTGTGCCTGTCTGTCCATACGTGTGTATGTGTTGGTGGGGGTGGTGTAGGTGGATCGGATCCGAGCCAAGCCGGGGGCAACTAGGCCAGGCCTGCGGTTCCCCTGGCTCTCGCTCTCCCACGCTCCGGTTAGCTGCGGGCGGCGGGCTAGGGCGCGGGCGGGGAGGGGGCGCCCGAGCACTGGGAGCCGCGGTGCCTCCCGGGTGTGCGCTCCGCTGAGCCGGCTCCTTTCTTGCCTGCAAAGGGACTCAGGCGGCGGCGGTGGCAGCCCGCGTCGCCCAGCTGGGGCCCTAGTGACTTATTTTTGTGTGTGATCCTTTCTTTTCTTCAGGGAAGAGGCGGGAGCACGCTCCGCTCGCTCGCAGTGCACAGATAAAGGCGCCAGGGTTGGCGGCTGGGTCTGCCCTCCCTCCCCTGTGGCTTAGCAGAAGTGGCCGGCTCACGGGCTCCCTTTGGAAGCAAAAAAGCCCCTAGATTAGAAACTCAGCCCAGAAACCACCATGCCTCCTTGGTTCTCTTTCATACCTCTTATGTAACTTATTTATTGATTGATTAATGAAAAGCTAGATTTCCAAGAAGCTCTTCTGTTTCCCCTATTGACACCAAGGGCTAATTAAAAATGCGATTTTGGTGATAAGTGTTAATTAGACCATTGGAAAGACCCTTCTTTTAGATGCACCCTTCTTTTAGAAGCTTAACTCCAGGTATAAGATGAAACAGGTCAGGCCCCCAACCCTCCAACCTTTAATCCAGATTTAAAAAACAGTTTCCCCAGTCCCGGCAGCCACTGGAGAGAGGGACAGGAGTGAGGAAAAGGCCAAAGGGGCATTGCCTGATTTTGCAAACTTTGGGAAAATCTAAGGATATTTTGCCAAAGCTGGGCTCACAATTCCAACACCCACAGCAGAAGGAGTAAGTTATACCTAAGAAGGCCTGGCCTGTGACTTGTCTGGCACCTGGAATCCTAAATTGGCATTTAACAGGGAATGAAGTTTTACTGCAGGAAGGGACTTCAGCGGGTCCCTCTGAAGGATGCCTCTACCTCTAAGACTAGGAAGCTTTTTCCTGTACCATCTATGTACTGGGCTATATCTCCAAACCTGTCTTTAACCTCCGTCCCACCCAACCTCCCACCCCCGGGGTGGTTGCCCAGAGGAAGAAGGATTTGGGCAGATGTGGAATGGGAGTTTGAAGCCTTTTGGAGGCTGTTTGTACCAGGCAGGAAAAAGTCTTGGCAGTGTGTTCAGAAGATCTTCAGTAAGAGTGGGCTTGTCTTATGAACTTTGAGGAGAAGCCAGGGCTTGCCCTCAATGCTCCCCACTCATCTTATGGTGCAGTTTGGCCAGGCCTTCTTGTTTTTCTCCTTTCCCTTGCAGCCGCTCAGTTCTGACTTATGACACAGAGAGGAGAAGCTGCTGATCCATTGCTGCATTTAGGGATCAATCCAGCACGCATGTTCATTTCTCAACAATTCAGTTAAATGTTCCCTGAGTCCTTTCTTTCAGTTCATTTTCATTCAAGTGTATTTAAACATCCTGAGATTTCTCTGGCAGTAGGAAACCAGAGCTTTTACATCAGGGCATACTCTCTTGAAGTCCCCTCTGCCCAGTCAGGAAATAGACTGGATGTGGCAGCTAGCTAGCTGACAACAGCATCCTTGCTTCTCCTCTTTCTCCTGTGACTCTCTCCCCTCTGGCTCCAGCACAAGGACAGCAACAGCCCCAGAACTGGTGGAGACTGACTCCTAGAAAAAAACAAAAGGCTCACAGGAGGTGTTGAACATCCTCCCACTTCCTGCTGGTTGGGAGGTATTTCTGTGGCGAGAGCGTCTGTCCCCATGTGCACTTGGGGCGTGTGCGCCGGCTGGTGTGATGGGATGTGACAGGGTCTCACCCGGGAGGGAGCTCCAGCACAGGGGCCTGGCACAGAGTGCAGAGCTGTTCTCAGATACAGAGAAAGCCCAGAGCTGTCAATGAGGCAGCCCCGATGGAGAAGGCCTTCCAAGCAGGAGACCCTTTTTGGCACCGGACTTTTTTTTCTTTTATTATTATTCATGAGGAGGGCCAGTAGCTATGAAAAGTGTAGATTCTGAACTCAGCCTGCTTGGGAAAAGTCAAACAGCAGTACTCCTTCCAGAGCAGCATGGATATGAGCAGGAACTTTGAAGTCAGACCTGGGTTCAAGTTTTAGACCCACACTTCCTCGCTGTGTAACTCTAGGCAAGTTACTTGACCTCTCTTATCTTCAGTTGTCTCATCTCGAATACAAAGCTAAACATCTCTATTTGAAGCAGAGGAAGTGACACACAGCATGCCCTTAACAGAGATGTGCTGAATAAATGAATATATGAAGCAGTAGCTAGCACTAAGCATATAGCAAACATTCAGTACATGTTAGCAATTATCATTTGATCACCTATTCTGTGTTAATAGGTGATCTTGATCTTTCCAATTTTGTGTGGTATCATTCTCCTCACTTTATAGATGAGAAAACTGAGATTGGGATTAAGTTACTGGCTCAGGGTCACACAAGAAGCTGCAGTGTTGAGATTTGAACCTAGGTCTGCCTGAGTCTTTTAGTTTGAGGTTTCAATTGGATTCAGAAAAGGGTAATACGTATAGCCAGTTTGTCAGAGTTCACTTGCATTGTGGTCTGCAGCTGAAAAGAATGATTCTGAGGTTTCACCTTTGCAAAGGATCCCTTGAAGGGGCTGTGGAGATAGTGGTGGTGAGCAAAAAGCGAGTATCTACTTTTTTTCTAAAAGCTCAGCTACTTCCTGGGTCAGCAGAGGGCTTCAGTCATTCTGTCTATAATGTCACCCACTCTTGGGTATACAAGATAACCTTCTGAACATTCTGCTCCTCACTGATTCTTACCAAATTCAGAACATCTGTGACTTGGGAATTCACTTGCAGAAATCTGTTCTGGCCGAGTGTTTCACGTGTGTGGGACAAGCCTTCAATTAAGAGGGATGTACCTGTGAAGTCACATCCCCTCTGCTGCTTCTCTCCCAAGCATCTGCTAGTCCTTCTCCTCCTCCTCCTCCTCCCCCCTCACAAGCCCTCTGTGGCCGAGTCTCATGTCCGCCTCTTAACCTGCTTTGGCACTGAGCTGTGCGGAAGCCTTTTGTGATAGGGGATGGCTTCGGCCTTATTCCAAAGTAGCCACCAGTCAGGACAGCTGCAAGGGAGGGTCTGTGGGTTTCTGTCTAGTACCCGCTGCGGCCGGATCTGGCCGCAGCTCTCCCGGAGGCTGGCATGGCCTGAATTGTAGAATGGCTAGTGCGTTCATTACAAATGCTGGCAAGACTAGTGCCTTTTAGTAAAGAGCTCCCCAGCCCCCATTCCTTTCCTTCCTGATGGTGCTGGTGTTGGGGGAGGAGGCATTCATAATTACTTGTTGATGCATGATCTTCCTAGGATCCTCAGATATGTCCCCACCTCTTGGACTATTTATGGGAGGGTGTACCAAGTGTGAATATTTTTCTTGGTGCAGAGGTCCCTTCCTCTCTCCTCCCTCCCTGTCCCTCCGAGCTTCTGTGACGTCAGCCGGGAGGTGACTGAGTGTCTGCTCTATCTGCAGATTCCCAGGCAGGGAATGCGGCTCCATAGGCAGTTGCTTTTCGGCCCTGAGACAATCTCGGCTGCTCTTTCTCACCCTCCCTGAGGACCCTGGTGTCTCGCCTGCCATACACTGCCTCCTGCAGCTGTAATTGGGGGAAAAATATTGATGCTTTGTGCTTCACAGACCATTGCTTCCCTGTCTCTTCATACTATCGTGCCTTATTCCTCTGATGATGATGATGATGATGATGATGATGATCATGCACCCCATGGAAGTTTGAAAGATAACTCATTTCCAGCTCCGGTGTGCTTATTTCCAGAACGTGAGAAGTGGGGAGCCCGTGAGGCCCCTGGAGTTTCCTTGTCCATGGATGTGCTCAGAGGAGCTTGGAAAACGATCATCGGCTGCTGCTTGGTTCAGGCCTCACTATGTGGCTCCAGATGGTGGGAAAGACAGCTCAAATCTGTACTTTTCTACAAAAGACAAATCTGACTGTTGAACGTTTTCTCCTCAGGTATGGGTCTTACACCATGAAGGAAGATGACAGCCCAGGAGGGGAGCCACCGCTGTGATGAACGCTTGCAGGAGCCATGAGGGGCGGCTTTCCGCGCAGTGTTTGCAGTGATTTATGGGAGTCAGGGGCTGCCAGAGAGGGATGTGGATGTTAGCAGCTTGGTGGATTAAATGCCCATTTACATTGTTATTGACATATAAATTATCTGTGCCAAGGAGACAGTGAAGGAAAGGGTTTCTGGGGCAGTAATGTGGTATGTGCCTCAGGATATGGACTTGTCTTTGCCCAGATTTGTCCTCTGGGCTCTCATGAAGCGAGTCTCAGACCTAAAGTAAAACCCCAAGACTTAGCTCTCATGATGCCGGCAGCAGTCACCCTCATTGCAAAGGCAGTGGTGCCGAGTGAGGTTCCCGAGTGGATTTTAAGAAGACAGGAAGACCTTTGAAGAGGTGGTGCTGATTTCCTTGGCTGGCGGGAACTCTGTCTGGCTGTTGCATGCATCACTTTTGTGTGGGTTATTTTGTTCCTCTGTGGATTTGGAAGCATCGCTGAAGGAGAGAGAGGATTTTATTTCTGGGAAATGGAATCGGTTTCTGAGTCCAGCCAACAGCAGAAGAGAAAGCCAGTTATCCACGGACTGGAAGATCAAAAGAGGGTAAGTGGCAGAACTTTGTTGGTTGATTGGATTATGGTGCTGATTGCTAAGTGTGATTCAGAGAGCATAGGTGGTCATCATCGAGCATGCTTGTCTGTCTTTCTCTC
This sequence comes from Homo sapiens, assembly GCF_000001405.40. Classification (NCBI taxonomy): domain Eukaryota; kingdom Metazoa; phylum Chordata; class Mammalia; order Primates; family Hominidae; genus Homo; species Homo sapiens. Next base: position 19,351,135 of record NC_000011.10, read on the forward strand.
CGGAAGGAGGTAGCATGGTGGCTTGAGATTTGCTATGTCTCGATGCTGGGTGTCTTGACTTACTGGTAGGCAAGAAGAAAGATAAAGAAAAGGGAAAAAAAATTCAGTCCTGGCAGCCAAAAAGGCAAAGATTTATAAGCGTTAACTGAGGGAGTTAACAAAAAATGTTGGTGTTCTCAAAATCCAATATGAGTTTCTTTGTACTGAAGCCCCCTTCGGGATTCACACACTCTTAGCACCTTCTGGAAATGTTGCTCCTGACAGCGGAGGTTTTGTTTGAATTATTCTCTGTGTGGTTGTCTGGCTCTTGTGTTTATGGATCAAAAACATATTCTACTGCACTCTTTGGCCCTATCTGTGAGAATGTCACAGCCATTTAAAATGGCCTGTTGAGTGTAGGTCATTTGCTGTCATTGGTCTGAAAGCTGCAGTCACCCAGGACCTGTGTCTACCAGTTAAAGTTCAACTTGTCTTTAAAAGGCAGACGCGTTGTGGAGTAGCATAGGGTGGTTGGTTGTCTAGGAAGAAAGTTGAAGCTACATCTTCTCACTCTTGGGGCATAGCTAAGAACGGGGCGTGGCAAGGGTTAAATAAATCTCTAGCAGAGTCCAAATTTTTGTTGAACTGAAAATAATTTCTGACATTTCCTTTGAAATGTTGTGTATGGTAAAAAAAAAAAAAAAAAAAAAAAAAAAAAAGACTTCTGATGTTCTTTCAGAGTGGTGTGGGTATCCCTCTCCTCCTGAGTCTCAAAGATTGACTCTTCCCAGTGTGAAATACACATGGAGATGAAAACTGTCCTTCTGACTCTTCCCTATGATTTTATGTGGCTCTCTCTGTGAGTGTGTGTGTGTGTGTGTGTGTGTGTGTGTATGAAAAAGGATTTTGTATTGCATTTTCTCTGACTTTCCAAGGATAAAAATAATCAAAAATAAACATTTTATAAATATTGACTCCATTCCTAACAAAAAATTCAATTTCTGAAACTGCTGTCGCTATAATTTGGGAAGAATGCCCACTATCTTGGGAACCTAGATAAGTGGGATTTGTTTTGTGGTGTTTGATTTATTAAGTGTATAACCTACTAGACCTGTCTACTCCTATTTCTACGGAAGCTTTCAGAGAGATAGGAGAAAAATCAATAATAGTTGTGAACAGAACCCAGGATTGATTGCATTTGACTAAGTATTAGCCAAGTTTGGTATCCAGACACTTAGTGGAGGAACATTTGGGACCTCTGACACTGTAGACAATTTTAATTGGGCTGGTACAGCAAGATAATATGCAATTATGATGGCTTCTTTTTGGCTAGGTGTAGATGTCTGCATTTCCCATCTGTTCTTGGCTCTGGCTGTGTTGGGTCCACATGTACTATGGAGCCTCTGGAAGTAGAATATAACCCCAAGTGAGGCTCTGCGGCAGCTGGGGTAACATCAATTGGTCATGCTCAGCTGACATTCATTTTAACTTGAACTCTAGCCGTCATGGCGATTATTAAATTTATAATGATATATGTAAGATCCATTTTAATGAGTCTCCATGCTTGGGTGAGCTCTCACTTGTGCTGGCAAAATAAGGCTTAACAGAGTATTACATTTCATCTTCTACTGAATTTTCTGGGCTGTGGTTGAAACTTTGTGTAGAAAGAATTAGATTGTTTTTCCTGATAGGCATTGTGATCGAGTTCCACATTGCCCAGAGTACAGTTTCTGGGCTTCTAGAAATACCGCCACTGCAGTAGCTTCTGTTGGCGGCAGCAGCTTCTGTTGGTGTGTGCATGTGTGTGTTTGTGGGTAAACATACACCCCATTTGCGTCAAGTGTGAAGCTAAACAAGCCTCTCAGCGTGCAGCCTGGAATGTCTTGTCCACGAAGCTGAAAGGCGACTCTACAGTGTTTTGGCTCATATACCTCGGGTGAACTGAAAACTCCTCTTCAGGGGGGATTGGCTGAAAATCCAACAAAGGCACAATCGAGGCATCTGCTGGAGAGCTGGGAAGTCTCCACCAGCATGCTTAAGTTACCAAGCATTCATTGGCACCAGATCCTCCTGGCATTTCTGTCTGTGTGTAAGAGATGTTTAGCGAAAGACAATTGTGAGATAAGTCAAGAGACAAGGCAGAGGGCTAGCTAGATCCAATTTTGCTGTATTTCCCAATGTCCCAAGAGGAAAAGCCACTTCTCATGCACCTGGTTGTAGCTTGGTGATTGCTGGGGGTTTCATGTGGATGAAATGGCTAGTTTAGGGCCAAATAGGATCTGGCTGTTTGTGGGTACGTGCATATACCTTCTGCAGTGAAAAGCGTCATGGAATATAGAACTAGAGACCTGGGTTCAAATGCCAATGGTGCTGTGTGTTAGCTGTGCAACCCTGGGAAACCTCCTTAACCTCTCTGATTTTTAGAGTCTACATTTTCAACATAGGACAATGGGGATTTTATTATAGGGATATTATTAAGATTAAATGGAATGTAGCTGGGAAGGACTTTGGCACTTGGTAAATATTTAAGAAATGTTCCACATATCCTTGGGATAGATTGCAATGTGGGCTTTCTTTTTTTCCTTTTGTTCTTAGAGGGCTGCATGTGATTTTGTTTTAAATCCTTAAAAAAATACTCAAGTCATACATACACATCACAAATCTGAATGTTATAGAAGAATACAGAATATAAATTTCTCATTTCTCTAATTCTATCCAGCAGTGACTGCTATTAACAGTTTTGTACATATTATTCTTGACTTTTTTTGGTTTGTGTTTCTTAATAAAATGGATTCATGCCATACATATTTTTAGGAAGCTTGCTTTGTCATTTAAAATAATGTGGGTGCCTGTCTGAGTCCTTACATACACACCCAAATCATGCCTTCTAGTCACTGGATAGAGTTACACTGTAGAAGTGCCAAAATTTATATTATTAATCCCTTATAGATGTATATTTAGGATGTTTCCAGGTTTTTGGTTTGGGCTCTGTTTTTTGATATTACATAATTCCAGTATTCATCTATTCAAGAAGTATTTATGAAGTGCCTCCTTGTGCCAGGCACCTTTCTAAGAGCTAAATATAAACCAGACATACAAAGCCACTTTTTTCTTGAAGCCTATGTTTTAGATCAGTGCTCTCCAACAGAACTTCCTGCAATGATGGAAATGTTCTATTCGTGCACTGTACAAATCAGTAGCCACTAGCCATATCTGGCTACGGAGCACTTGAAATGTTACTAGTGTGGCCAAATTTTAAATTTTATTGAGTTATAATTAGTTTAAACTTCAATAGCTGCATGTGGCTAGGGGCCACTGTGGTAGACAGTACCTTTCTGAAGAGCCAACAACAGGCAAATAACTACACCATCAATTTCCAGACACTGGCCTATGCCTTAAAGAAAATTAATAGGGCAAAGTTGGTGTAGTGAGTGAGAGAGGTATACATTTCATATTTATGATTATTCTTGAATTTCCCTTTTAATTGATGCATAACTTAGATTCAGTAAAGTGTGTGCTTTTAAAGTTTACAAATCAATGAAGATGAATTTTTCTACCTCATACACACCTATGCAGCCACAGATGCATAAGGTATTAAGATCTAGACCTCTTCTCTTGCCCCAAGAGGATGAGCTTTAGCTGGTATAAGGGGATGTCTCCCTGAGGAGGTGTCTTCTGAGCAGAGACCTTAGCGGCTGGCTGTGGGAAGATCAGGAGGCAGCTCTCAGATGTGAATGTGCCCACTTGTCCCCTGTGCCAGGAGAGGTTATCATTCAGAGCTCTCAAAGCTCCTCCCTATTCCTTTGAAGACTTACCTGGGTGCCACATATAGATGGTAGCTCTCTATGCATCCCTAACTCTTGTCAGATTCAAATTCTGTGCTGAAGTGAGGAAAAAGCCGGGGAGACAGGGGGCTTCTGCATAGAGAAATTCAATGAGGTAAGTATTGTTCAGTGCTCTAAGAACCTACTTAACTAGCATAGATTGGCGAAGTAAAATTTTCCTGACAGACACCTATTGATCAGTCAAGGGAATGACTTTTTGATTGATTTTTCTCTACTCTTCTTTAGAAGTTTGTCCTTCACAGACAGAGGTTTCCCACAGCGGATGAACATTGTAAAATAAGAATTGTTGGTTGTTTTTTTTTTTTTTTTTAAAGATGCTTGATGATTGAGTAGTGACAAAGATGGTTCAGTTTGAATATTCTCCTAGCTGTCAACTTCTCAGCATGAAAGCTTCCTGGAGCCAGTTTTTAAAAATGTCTTTGGAGAGTGTGAACTCGGGTTTAGTGTAATTAAAATTTCTAGGGTTGGCTGAACTGCTCTGGATCTGCCAAGCCCTGCCCTTCAAAGGGTAATATACTATCATATTTGCCCCATCAACCTCTTGTCTTCATTTTTATTAATGGCATTCCCAATTTCCTCGTCACTTGGGTTTGCAACTCAGAATTGTTTGACCTTCTCCCACCTCACAGGCCCACCACCTTCTTCAATCAGTAGTGGAATTTCTAGTCTCACTGCTACCACCCTAGTTTAAGGTCCAGGAATTCTTGCCTGGATGGTGACATAGTTTCCTGGCTGGCTCCCTTGTTTCCATTTCTCTTTCTTCAGTCCTGCATGGTAACTGTATGACATCTTACAGATGTTTTGTTTACCCGGGAACAATGCCCATGTCATTCAGCAAGTCAGGGCTGCATGCCACCACCCTCCCCAAGGTCAATCCCAGGCCAGTAGTGAGGCTGGGCTACATTAGAGGGATTTTCCTTGGCCATAGTGATATGAGCTCTGGGGCATTGAAGGTGTGGTTAGGGGTCTGGATTGATGGATACTGACATGTTAGGTGAGGATGAGGCTTCAGCCCCAGCTCCCCAGATGAGCTGAAATGCTTGTTTCCTGGACTGGGCCAGTGTTTGCTGCTGCTCCTTTGGAGCTGGAGGTAGCAGCAGTTAGTTACAACTGATCTGCCTTCTGACAGGTCACTGCCTGTAGGGCCCACCTGTCTTCCTGACATGAATGAAGGGAGTGTTAAGCAAGAGCTTAGGATGGACAGTGAGGACCTACCACAGCACATTTAAAATATCACTGAAGACGAAAGGAGAGAGACTGTAGCCAGATGCAACTCCATTCAGTAAGCTTTGAGACCTGACTCAGGTATAGGGTCAGGGGGGAGGATGGCAAAGGGGTCAGACCAATTCCCAGCCTTCATCTCAATGAAGAGAATGTGAGATAGCATGATTAGTCTTCATTCATTCATTTATTCATTCATCCTACTTTGTTGAGTACCTACTGTGTGCCAGCCAGCCGCAGCATGAGGCACTGGGATCATGATGATGAGCTTAGATATTGTCTCCTGTTTCTGGGCACTTCCAGTGTCTTGGGGGAGGCAATTCAATCAGCAGTGACTGTGTTATTAGGTAAGCATCCTTCTGGTTTGGAGAGGTCAGGGAGGACTTCTCTGGAGGAGGGGGAACGTGAGCTCTGCCTATAAGGGGCCAAGTGAAAGGCACACTGAAGAGAGAACTAAATAAGCAGCTCACAGGGGAACCATGTGGCCTTTTGGGGGGCTGCAGCTGGGATGGATGCTGGCTGTTATGGACTGAATTGCATTTCCCAAACATTCATGAAACCTTAACCCCCACTGTGGCTGTATTAGGATTGTTTTCCAGGGAATAAAACGGCCTTCTTCAATCAGCAGAAATGAATGCTGATATTTTTTATTTTGGCTTAATTTTCAACAGTGAAGACAATTTGACATTTTTCTGGACCTGATTTTAATGATGCTGGAAAAGTTGGGTTATTTTTGGTCCTTAAAGCCGCTAGAAGTTGAACAATGATTCAGGCACCCTCATAGGTGGCCATTCTCCATTTATTTGACAGATTCATGTAAATTGCACAAGGATAGCTCTGAACATAAGTAAACTGAATTTACTTTGGCTTTGCAGCTCTATCCCAACCTGGCTTCCAGAAACCAAATCATTGAGTCCTCAGCACAAAAGAAGGATGAAATTTAATGCTAAGTGGTATGCAGTGCCAGCCTTCCCACTGGCATCCTGTGTAGAGATCCAGGATTGGCACATTTGTTAAAGCCCTTTTACTTACCTGATCTCTTTAGACTTAATTTTATCCTATTGGTCTGTACTGTGTCATTATTTATTCCTTTCTTAAACTATCTGAAGTATGGTTTTAAACTGGAGGGAGAAAGAGCAGCAATGTCACCTAGGTTGTTTGGTATTTGTTAATCACATAACTTTGAGGCTTTATTAAGGGGATAATTTATTTAACCTTTCTAGCCTCTCCATTTTCATTATGAAAATTAGGATGCTAATAATAAAACTTTTGGTGAGGATTATGAGATATAATGTACTTGAAGATTTAACACAGTACTTAGCACATAAGTATTAAATGATATCTATTATAATTCTTATCATATGTTTCCCTTGCATTATTTTGCAAAAATCCCTGTAAGAGGCCTATTGGAGGAGTAAAATGGGGATGGGGGTGGGTGGCTGCTGCTACTGCATTTGAGTTTCCTTTTGGTTAACTGAAGGTCACATAAAATTCCTTCTGGTTTAAACTTGTGTTATGCACATCTTTCTAAAAGAAAGTGTACTTTTCTGTTTCAGAAGTACAGTCAGTGGAGACAACAAAATCTTCCTTTATGTAGCAATCCTGTAATAACTACTTCGACTTCATCTTTCCACACGTTAAATTACAATATACAGGACCCTGGCATGTAGGGATTAGGTTAAACCTTTGTAAGTGTGTCTAAGACAGCCCTTACAGGTTGCATTTTTACTTGAAATTTTTTATTGAATTTCATTTGATCCACTCTGTGGCATCCCCTATAACCTCAGCACCAGGAAAAAAAACCTGGTTACCTAGAGGTGGGTTACAATTAATCAAGGTTTTCCAAAACCCATCCTAGGCTACTTTGCTCCTAAAGCTTGGATCAGATTCTTCCATGCCTGGGGTTTGAATCACAATAATGACATCTCTGACTCCCATCCTCAGGGCATTAATTTTTAATCTTCTTTCTCATTGGTATAATTAGAAAGAGAGGGATGTGGGGGCTGGGAAGAGAAATGAGAGGAGATGCGGATGGCAGAGCAGGAGTAGATGTTTTTTACAACGCAGCTTCTTCCAAAGATGAGGAACAACATTGCAGCCTTGCATCTGCATTCTGAGTTCATTTGCGGGGAGGAAGCAGAGGCAAATATGGGACTGGGACAGGTGGCTGAAGAAGCCAAGTCAGGGTGATTCCTGACATGGGAATTGGAGGTCATTTGGGGAATGAGCCAGAGCCATGTAACTGCATATGTTAGAGAGGAAAGTTAAGAACTGGGCTTGGATGTACAGGGGATTTCTTCCTTAAGCTGAGTAAGTAAAGATAAAGTTACCCAAAGCTGTATCCATTTCCAGCACCTACACTCCCTTGAATCTCTGAGGTCACAGTGAGACTTGAGGGACAAGAATCAGGATGTTGGTTACAAACAGCAAGATCCTATGTCCTTCATCTCTTGTGAAGCCATCATAGAGGTACCAATCTGCATACCTGGGAACAGTGTGCCTTTATGTTCAGAATCCAGGTTTTTGTCTGCTTCTTAGGTGAGTAAGGTTCCTTCAGACCCCCTCTTCCCACCTCTTACACAGAGGTGTGTGAGTCTAAATTTAAGTTAAAATATTTCTCCTTGTTTCCACTGTTATAATTTAAAAATGCAATAAGTAAAAATCCTTAATGATGTGAGAAAATCATCATGAGAAGCTAAAAAGTAGGATAAATAATTGTTCTTAGATACACTTTGCACCTCACATGTGTAAATCTATATTTAATTGTTTGCTGAAAGTCTCTCTTTTTCACTAGCCATTCAGTTTCATGTTTGTTTCTGTATTCAGAACACATATTACAGTGTTCGGCATACAGTAGATGATCAGGAAATATTTGTTGAATGAATGAGTGACAGTTGACATTCCAAATGAGAGGGTAAAAGGGAGAGATAGGACTCTCCTTTGACTCTCTGAGTTAGATTCTTTGTGGCACAGAGCAGTAGTTTCTTAGAAAGGAGAAGATTTTAATTGTCTTTGATTTGGGATGGGAGAAATAGTGTCTGGTAGCACTGCTTAGAGGTAAAAGTTCTGCATTTGTGAGTCTTTATGCGTGTGGGGATTCATAACTGTGAAGACCCAGTTTTATTATTGTGAATCTATTATCCCTGTCACCCCCACTGTAGAGACATGCCTTTTCCCTTTGAATTTCCACGGGTCCATGGTGACAGGTGACCTGGAAGGTCATTTCATTGATGTCTGTGTTGGCTGATCATTTATAGGTAAGATAAGAGGCAAGAACTGTGGCTCAGATGTACCCAAAAGGGGATGTACTGAATAAATCAGTGCAAAATATGCCCTTACATGTTGCAGCACAATGGGGCAAATTGTGAGAGCAAGTAATGAGGAGTCTCAATTTCTGAGGGCAGAGTCAGTGTCCTGTTGAAGCCCATGGAATGTTCTGAAATAGAAACAAATGACGTCACCAGTCATTTAGAAATGCTTACCCAGAAGAGAAGGTGGAATGCTGTTATTCTTTCCAAAAAATAGAATGCATTCAAGAGAAACAGCTTTGAGCAAGGAGACGCTAATTAAGGTTGTTCCTTTGAGTGTCAGCCAGGCTTCAGGAAATCAGGGGCTCAAGATGCTGCCATGCGTGTCTCCTTGGCTGTCGGGTCACTTCTCTGCCTGTCTTGGTTCAGCAGGTCCTTTCTCTCCTTCCCAATACTCTTCCTCCACTGCTTCTCATGGTTTCTTTCTCTTCCCTCTTCCCTTCAAGGCTGATCCTCATTGCCCCCACCCACCATCACTACTCGTCTCTTTTAATATCACTGTCTACTGAGAACTTCCCTCTGGGTTTCTTAGTTCAGAGTCATGAATTGATCTAATTGGCTTATCCCATCTTGTTGTGCCTAGAAACTGACAAAGACTCTTTCCTTGACTAAACTTCATTTAGGCTCCTTTGAGCTGTCTCTTCAGCCAAATCTCAGCCTTGGCCCCCATCCTGTCTTTGGCCTGCCAGCCTGGTCTTAGCAAGAACTGTGCTAAGTCAATTATTAGCACAATCTTCCCACCCTTGAGACCTGATCAAATTCCTCATTCCCCACCTTTGATGTATGTGTCCTTGACCTGTCTGTAGCAAGCATCCTGTTAGGTCAGTTTAGCAAGAAGCCCCTATCCTTGACATGTCCTCTTGGTAATTTTCCACCCACTGATCCCCTGTCACTCTGCCCATAGGCTATAAATCCTCAGCTGTCTTTGCTATATTTGGAGTTGTGCCCAATCTCTCCCCTGTTGAAATTTTTGCTTTTATTGCAATAGTCTCACATAAAGTCTCTCCGACTGTTTTAACAAGTGTCAGAAATATATATTTATGTAAACAAAGCAAGTCCATAGAGATAGATCAGCCACCCAAGTTCTTTGTCTGTCCCTGGGCCAGTCAATTATCACTAGGGTAGGGACAGCGTCACATGGTATAAAACCTAGCTTTTGAGGGTGGATCGCTCCAGAAGAAGGCATGAGTGGACAGGCAGTGATTGACATCTCTAATCTATTGGGAAAAACCTGGTAGAAAGGGGAGGAAGAAGAAGGCTGGAGAGCAGGAGGCACTCTTTGTGGTAGATGGTCAGGGGAGTGATGGAATCATCTCTTGAATGTTTGTCTTTCCCACTGAACTGCCCCTGTCCTCGCAAAGCTCAGTCCAATGGAGCAAACAGGCATCAAGTGGATACTTAAATAAATGTCTACTTAGGTCCCACAAACTGGCAGATGGAATATACCAGAGAAGATGGAGTTCTTGACAATGGAAAACAGGAAGCATAATGATGAGGTGGAAAAAACTGTGACAACTGGAGTGATCTGAGTTTCAATCCTGGCCTCAGAAAGTCCTGGGAAAAAGTCCAGAAATCTTGGGAAAATTTTGTAACCTCGCTAAACTGGCTTAGATACTATAAAATGAGGATGGCAATAGTTTCTGCCTTGTAGGGTTGTATTAGGTTAGATAAAATGAGTAAAGTACTTCGCACAACACCTGGTGTATTTTGTTGGTGCTGACTAAAAGTGAGCTCTTTTTTATGTCTCTCAGCCTCTGCTAAGCATTTTGTTATTGAGGTTTTAGTGGGTCTACTTTGGGACTACCATTTCTTGTCCATAGAAATCTGAGAAAAAGTCACACTTTACAGTGGACTTGGGTTCCAATCCCAGCATGTCACCTCTCGAGTGACAGGCATGACTGGGTGTCACATCTTATCCTTGGGTATCAGTTTGCTCCTGGACTGGTGTGAGATTCATTGACTTCTTGGTCTATCTAGCCTTTTGTGGGCATTTGGTATCTAGGTTGCTTTTGGGGATGGGGGGATCCTTCTGCACAGAAGGTAGGCCAAAGTTCCGGGCTCTAAAGTGTCTTCCTCCCTGGATGCCATCCACAGTCCTGAGGTCACTACATGAAGCCCAGGGAGCCAGCTTCCTCTGCCATCTGAGATCAATACAGCTTGAAAACGTGAGTGTGGGATGTGTGAGCTCTCTTTTCTGGTGGCCGTCAATCACTGGCAGGGCCTGCCATAGGACAGCAAAGAGAGAAACGGCAAATAAGCATTTGCATTAGTAGAACATCACGAAGCCCTTTGCCTACGGTAATTGAAAAAAAATCTAATTTCTGCTTGTGTCCCTGGAGTATCTTCCCATTTGGATTCCTATAGAGTCTCCAAATCTTGTCAACACAAGTGAGGTGGTGGAAGGAATTCACCTGCTGGAGCTGGGTTAAGAGGAGAATCCCTAGGCTCCCATAATGATGCCCAAATATCATGGATTTCAGCTAGATTAGGGGGATAAGGTAGAGGGGATGGAGAGGAGGTGAGTGAGGACAGTGGCTCTGGATGGGGAGGAGGATGAGCTGGAGAGGGAGATGGACTAGCAATTGGTGAGGCCCTGTAATGCAGGTGCAGGTATACACTGTCACTTTAACTTCACTTGAACAGCACACACAAGAGAGTACTATTGTTCCCACTTTACAGATGGGAAAGTAAAGACTCAGAGAAGTTAGGTAACTTTCTTATAAGTCCAACAGCTAGAAGTAGTAGACCAGGTCTCGAAGCCAGCTCTATGTGACTCCAAAGCCTGTGCCATTTTCCATCACATACCATTATTAGACATTAACATTCCACTGATCTAATTTCTACCATATTATTACCACCTTATGTGTCTTTAAATTGACTCATTTTTTTTAAATTGAGCTTTGTCACAAGGGTAATATCAATGAGATCTTGGGTTTTGATGAGCTACTTATTTTTCTAATACCCATTGAAATAAAACCACGATCATTAACTTTTTTAAAAGTTCGTCAATGTACCACCTAAAATAATGTTGTATACCACCAGGAGTACACAGACCTGTTTGGAAAGCACTGCTCTGTAGCATAAATAATAATATAGTAACAATAGATAACATCTTTAATTATTGGACACTTGCCATCTGCCATCATCATAGTGAGAAGAACACAGGTTCTGTAGTTACCTGGGTTTGCAATTCAAATCTACCATTTCTTGGACATGTGACTCTGAGAAACTTAGTTGTCTTCTCTGTGCCTCAGTTTCTTCATCTATAACATAGGGTAATAATAGTATTATTATCATTTAGAGCCATTTTGAGAATTAAACATGTTAATAACATTTAGAAACATGCCTGACACCTACTAAGTACTATGTCAGTATTAGTTGTTATTTGTTTATCAATTCATTCATTTGATCATCCAGTCATTCAACAATTAATGTTTGAACACGTTTTGTATATCAGACACTGTTCTATTGTCTTTACAACAATCTGATGATGAAGGGTTTTTTAAAATTATACTTTAAATTCTGGGGTACATGTGCAGAATGTGCAGTTTTGTTACATAGGTATACACGTGCCATGCTGGTTTGCTGGTCCCATCAACCCATCACCTACATGAGGCATTTCTCCTAATGTTATCCCTCCCCTAGCCCCCCACCCCACGACAGGCCCTGGTGTGTGATGTTCCCCTCCCTATGTCCATGTGTTCTTATTGTTCAACTCCCACTTGTGAGTGAGAACATGTGTTGTGTGGCTTTCTGTTCCTGTGTTAGGTTGCTGAGAATGATGGTTTCCAGCTTCATCCATGTCCCTGCAAAGGACATGAACTCATCCTTTTTTATGGCTGCATAGTATTCCATGGTGTACATGTGCCACATTTTCTTTATCCAGTCTATTATTGATAAACATTTGGGTTGGTTCCAAAGGTATTATTATCATCATCCTCATTTTACAGGTGAGAAAACTTAGGTTGAATAGTTTTCCCTGATATCCCCCAGCTAATACGTGATGAAACTGAAATTCAAACCCAAGTATGTCTGAAGCTCTGCTATTGTGATTCATTTCTATCCACGGAATACTTCTGATACCAAATGTGGGTTGTTCTTTTCCTACACCAACCAATTCTCTGACTGCGTGTCCTACAATTCAATTCAATTCTGATGCTATCTGGCTGGAATTAGCATCAGAGCCCACAGGTTAAGGGCTCAGACCCACAAGACCGCCCCAATTTCAGATGCCAATTGCATGTCTAGACCACCTGTACCTCTCACTGAAAGTTCCCAAGACCTTCTCTTCAGGTTTGATGATTTGCTAGAATAGCTCACAGAACTCAAGAAAACAGTTTGCTTATTACCGGTTTATACAGGAAATAACTTGGAAAATGGCAAATGGAAGAGATGCACAAGGCAAGGTGTGTGGGAAGGGGCATTGAGCTTCCAGGCCTCTCTAGGGCCTCCACCCGCCCAGCACTTCCCTGTGTTCTTCAACCTGGAAGCTCTCTGAATCTCATGGTTTATGGATTTTTATGGAAGTTTCACAACACAGGCATGATTAACTCAATCTCCAGCCCCTCTCCCCTCCCCAGAGGGTGGGGCTGAAAGTTCCAACCCTAATCACATAGTTGGATCCTCTGGCAGCCAGCCCCCATCCTGAACCTTTCCAGAAGTCCACCAAAGAGTCACCTCCTTAACATAAACGGAGGTATGCTTGAAAAATGCTTGTTATGAATAACAAAAGGTGCTCCTTTCACTCCTATCACTCAGGAAATTCCAAGGGTTTCAGAAGCTGTGTGCCAGGAATCAGTGATGAGAACTACATATATATTTCTTATTATATCACAGTATCACAGAAGCCGTAGCTGGTTCTCTTATCTGCTCTGCCATTGCTACCACCCCAGGAAAGGAAGCTCTCCTTCCTGACAGAGGGATGCTTACTTATTTATTTCCCAAACATGTGGCCAGACTTTCTCTTGAACCAACTGATCCTTGCTTGGTGTTCTGAAAGCAGCCAGTGTCACCCCCTCTGTCTCTGTCTTCCAATTTTGATCCTAGTCATATGTGAATGGGTCTTTAGCTCCTGCTAGCCTGTTCTGGCATATTTGTGTCCCCTGAAATGTCTACCCAGAGCCCCTGCAGTGTCTGCTTAGAGCCCCTGAACACAGTGGGTCATCACTATTGGAGCACAGGACTGCAAGAGGGATACAGTGACCTGGAGCAGACAGATGCCACGGTAGCAGTACAACAGCCACATTCACACATGAACATCCAGTTCTCCAAATCTAAGGAGTTAAGGGTCTGTTTTCCACTGTATAAAATAGGGATTTGCTTTACAGAAGATGTCATCATGGAATTCTTTTAGTTAGAGAACTTTACAAAAAACTGTCAACTCTTGTTATTTTTCACAGATTTGTTTACTATGCAAAGCTAGGTTTACCCATACAACAATATTTCGGTTTTCGTTCGTTCACCTTCTGTAGGAAGATCTCTGGGAAAAATTTTATTAATCTGAGCTTTCTTTTGAGGGAAAGAAATTCACCTCCTTTTGGAAAGAATGAGCGACAAATGATCCCATCTGAGGTTCTTTTCCAGATATGCTTAGAGCCCAAGTTTCACAGATATGGATGATAGAGTTCAGAGAAGACAATAGCTTATGTTTGGGCAAATCTCAGTAAGACTGGCTTTCCTAGTGGAAACAGAAATGAAATCTGTCTACCTTCACCTCATTCTTTCCAGTTTTCTCCAACCATCTACCCCTAGTCACTATTCAAGATTCATCTCACATTTCTATCCATTTGAAACCTTCTCTATCACTTTCCTCTTATTCTTTCTTCTCTCACTCCTTTCAGCTCTCTCCCTGTTTTCCTACCCGATACATCATTTCACTGAATCACCTGTGGCTTAACAGCATGCACTGTGGTCAAAATGATGAAAGTCCTGGTTCAGTGACCTTCAGAAAGTCACTTCACCTCGGTGTTCCTCAGCTTCCTTCTTTGTTAAATGGGGAAATCAACAGCTGTTATAACCTGGGCTTGGTATGAGGATCAAATGAGAAAATACAAGCACTTAGCAAGTATCTACTAGACAGGAAATATTCAGTAAGTGCTGACCAGAAGCAGTAATAGTGGTAATTACAATAATTTTGTTCCCAATTAGACTCTAAGATGCTAGAGGGTGGAGATTGAGTCTCAGATTTGTTTTCTACCCTTCAGAGTCATAGCATAAATACTCAGTGTATTTAAAGAGGCTTTATATTTTATGTTTTCCCTTCTGTCTGCTTTATTAGAATTGGGTTTAAATACACTTAGTGTTTTGCTGATACTTAGACCCATTTTATAGAGTGCATGAGTCAGTGATTAAATAGTTTGTTCATAAGTGTTTATCTTCTTAGAACAATAAGCATCTGGACAAAGCCTTGTGCTTTGAAAACTCCTGGTCTTTGTCAACTCGCTGAATGAGTGAAAGCCCAAAGGGAGAGCCACCTTTGCCCTTTTAGTAAGAAGTGAAAGTAGGCCTGATTATTGAAGGAGCCAGAGAGGAAGGATTAGAAACAGCTCTGAGAATGGGGAATTCTTGTGGGAGATGTCAGTAACCCAAATTATCTCTCATTTCAGCAGCCACTAAAAAGAGCCCCACCTGGCCCCTTCCCCTGGAGGGGTGACCTCTCCCCTGAGCCAGCATGATGGGCCCAGCTGGGGTGAGGAGTGAGCAGTCATTAGGGGTCAGGTTACCAGTAAGCATGATGTCAGGGTGGCTCCTGGCTCCTAAGAGCCCCATGCTAGCCAGAGAGAAGAGGCAGTAGCTGCACCCAAAGACTGTGCCCCTCTGTGGAGCCCTGCTAGGCCTGGAGCTCTGGATGGATGGCAGGAGGGTGTGGATGGCTTCTTCTCACCTGTAGGAGAGCCAGGGCTGCTCTTCCTGCTTCCTGCTTGCTTCTTCTAGCTGGGTTGTCTTTCTGTAGCTTTCCTTGGGATGCTAGTTTGCAGATGAAGGGTACCAGGAGCCCCTGGGTGAGGAAGCATGTGGCTGGATGAGTTGAAGAAAGGCTTCAGATCCCTAGGATGGATCTGCCAGAGCTGTCAGTGGTGGATCAGAGGCAGAGAGTGATTCTGGGAAGAGCTGGGTCTGGAATTAAACAGACCCCAGATAAAATCCTGGATCCAACTCTTACAGTGGAACCATATGCAAATCACCTCTCCGTGAGCCTCAGTTCCCTCATCTGTAAAATGAGGAGAATAGCACTTTTCAGGGAATTTTTTTTCTGTTTAGGAGAGAGCACCAAGGCTGTCTGAGAGACCCTGAGAAAACACTGAGAATGTGCATAGTGAGATCTGGACACATGGCAGCCACTTGCTGTCCCTTCCCCGTCCTCCCACTCTCAAGTATTAAATAGGTAACTAGCTAGAGTATACTAGCTGCAGTTTAGGAGATGCTATGATATTCTAATGATGTGTCAGCTCTTCATTTTTTGTTTAGTGACTGTTGAGAGCAGTTTTTCTTAAGTCTGATGAATTCTCTTTGGTATTTGGGTCATTAATCCAGAGTCATCATTATGCAGACAAGTACACTGAGGCCCAGAATTGTCATGACAAGGGTGGGAGAACCAGCACCAGGCTCTCAATCTGGGTCATGTGGCACCATTTGTAATGTCCTGGCCTCTCAATGTTCTCACAGCCTCTGAGCATTTGATTCACGGTTCCCTCTGCCAAGAACAACCGTCACAGTGATTGTGCTGACCTATTTGTCCACCTTTAAGATTCAGATTGGAGTTGCCTCTTCTGAGAAACCTTCTCTGCCTCCCACTTACCCACTGGGTTGGGAGCCTTTCCTCTGACTTCCAAGGCCCCTTGAGCTGACTTCTACAGTGGCACTTCTCACATTGTTTTGAGGAAAGCTGTTTCCCTGTCTGTTTCCCCTACTTGAAAATGAGCTTTTCAAGAATTCAAGCCAAGTCTTACTCATCTTCATATTTCTGGTTTTATGTCTGGGACATTGTAGGTACTCCAAGAACTATTCATCCAAACAATGAATAAGTGAATAAGCAAATACCAAGAGTATAAAGTGCTCATGGTGGTGGGGTTTTCAAGAGAGCTCCCACTGGCTCTCTAGATCCTCCCACCCATCTGCTCTTGGAGTCATCTCTGCCTCTCACTGGGATGGTCTCCTTGCCAGTGGCCCAGAGTGCAGCTATTCCTTGCTTGAGTTGTATGTCCATCCTTGTGGGCCCTAAGGACTAGAATGCCTCCTAAGTCAGGTCCAGAGAAGCCCAATATTTAGGGTTTGTATTTAAGACAGCTCTTGCAGCTTTCTTATGGCTCTATCCTTGGCTGACATCCTCACAAGGACTGAGTTCCCAGAAGATGCATTAATGGAGACATCATTATATTATACCCCAGAGCTGGAATAAATAACTCTTATGTGCATTCATTCATTCACTCACACATTCATTCAATGCATTCCTCCTTCCATTAGGACACATAATCACAAACTGACTGTCTACAACTTTATCACTCACATGGCTCCCGTGTCATTCAGAATAGGCAATTAGATTTTCCCAAAGGCCAGATTTGGGGATCAGAAGGGCAGGCTGATGGAGCATCAACAAGTACTCTGATGTTAGCTTTAAAATATGCAGTAGAATCCTGAAATAATCTGAAATAATTTGAAATAATATGTCTCTCCCACTCTTTCTGCTTCATATTCATGCACCCTCAATGTCCAGTAGCAGGTTCAGAGCCACAACTGCTATTTTTTCCTCTCCCGAGGCAAGGAACAGCCAGCCAGCCAGACCAAGAGGTCCTACAGGATTTGAAGTCCTTAGAATAGTGGCTACATTAAGTTTGCTTTTGGGTAGAAACAAACAAGCAAGTTTCCTGCTGGCCTCCCTGTTCATCTCTAGGTGAAGTGAGGAAAACTGATGGAATGTTAAAGGGGCCAAGCTTCTTCCCATCTACTGCAGCAGGACTGTATAAGAAGAAACTGGACCTGAGGTGTGTGTGGCCTTGGAAGAGCCATTTCACTACTGTGAGCCTCAGTTTTCTCATCTGTATGATGAGGCTAGTAATCCCAGCCCTTTATCCCTTATAATGTTGTTATGAGGATTAGATGAGGTCATATTTGTGAAAATAAAAAGAACACTAACAGCTAATGTTCACTGGGTACTTATTATATATCAGGAACTGTTACGGTTTATATTTTATAACTAAAGGACCTGAAGCTAAGGGAAGTTAAAAGTCAAAGTCACACAGCAAATAAGTGATAGAGCATGTATTTGTTGTCTGACTTCAAAGCCTAAGTAAGCTTTTAATCATATTTTTCAGATAAATTTTTCAGATTTTAGCTGTGCAACTTTGGACAAGCTACCTCTTTCTCAGGTCTTCAGTGGTGCCATCTGAAAAGGAGACATGGCTCAGATTAACGTTCAAGTCCATTTAGCTCCAAATTCCTGGTTATATTTTAACAAAGTATACAGACACACACCATAACTCTTTCTTTCTCCAAGTTTGGTCTTCTTTGAGCATGGAATGACTTGACTATTTACAGACTCTAGCTGAGAAAGTGTGCTGGAGAAGCAAGCAGATTGTAACGCACATCTAAATAGCAGAGCCGAGCTTCCTAAGTGGGAAATGGATGTTGTAATACAAAGGCAGTTAGCAGGGTCCTTGGAGGTTTCAGCAGGATGTAATTATGGTTCTTTAAAAAGAGGCTCGCATATGTTTTTGAGCAAACTTAACAGATGCCCGGATGTCATGTCTATATTCTTTAGGGAGTCTAGGATGACTAATTTTCTACAGCAACTTTGCATAGCACATTGGAACGACCCATTGCAAATCAATTCCTAGGGTGCAACTTAATGAAAGCTTTTATTGATGATTCAGATTAATAATCTAAAAACCTTTATAAAATGACCACAACTTCATTTCTGCCTGGTCTACTCTGTATTTGATAAACAAAATAGGCAGTTCTCTCCATAGTTATCACTTAATGTGATTTCTTTTTAAAAAGAAATCTTTAACCAGGCCTGTTCATGGAGACTGAGGGTTTTAATGCTGTGTGGTTCATTTTTAGTGCAATATCCTTTGCAAACTTTTGTGACTTCCTCAGAGATTTTCTTTGAGCTAGGTGCCCTAGGGAATCTTCTATATGGTTCACTAACATTTTATTGTAGAATGAAATGCACATTGATTCTACAGAATCAATGCTCAGTTAAGGCAGTTTGGGGGCCATTTCCTTACCCCAGCATACTCTATCTGAAAAAGCCTCTTGCAAACCCATGTCCTCCTGAGGTTGTTGTGAATATCGAGCCGGTGCATCAGGAAATCGAAAGATAACAAGTCTAGTTTCCTTTGGTAGGCACCTTGACATCTCTTTTCTTGCTGGGGCTTTAACCAGTCTGATAAATTTCCAATCAAGTCTTTTGAATCAAGTGGCTCTAAGACCTGGTACAGGCTTCTGGGTTCACTTCTCTGTATTAGCTGCCTTGGAGCTAAGAAGTTTTCCTCTTAATAATAAACAGTTGAAGATGGTTGAACACAGAAGCCTTGCATGTGTTTGGTTTGGGCAGAATATCAGCCTTTCAATTGCCTCCAACTATTCATAACCCTCCATAATTTCATAGCCATCGATTTCCCCTTCTCCCTGATACGCTCTTTCATTGGCCTGTTGCCCACATCCTGTAATTGTGCCAGTCACCCCTGCGACCTTTCCTTTGCTGAGCTCAATTAATAATGTACTCAACATATTTCCCTGTTGCATCAAATACCAATTTGGCCTGAATGAGTGAAAGAATGTCTAATGAGGAAATGGTTAAGTCTTTCTTGCTGGACAAGCCTTTACATTGAGCCGGTCTTGGGAGATGGGGGAAGAGAGGAAGCTGCATTGTACTACTTGTTCAGCAAGTTTTTCTCAAATTCCACAGCAGAGACTTGTTCTAATTACCTAGGTCCAGCTATTGTGCAGGTGAGAGTGTGTCATCTGATGTGGAAGACTCTGAGCATCAAAGACCTCAGATGGCACAGTTTTTGGCACGTGGTTGCCCACTCCTCAAATGTTTCTGCTAAATATTTTAGACCATGTGGAGAACAATTACAACATGGAATGGAATGTTTATTTAGGAAAGGAGGAAGCAAGAAGAATAGTCCTCCCTTTCCTGTGATACTTTGTGTCCTAAAATGGCCTAGGAATGTGCTCAGTCAGAGAAGGACTGGCCAGCCTGGATTGTGTAACAGTCAGAGGATAACATGGCGCCTGTGCTTGCAGACTCCCCACCGTGCACAGATACATCATTTGCAGTTGCTTTGAGGGCCAGCTTTGTTGACAGCTAATGCTAAGGGGACATGCACCAGGAGACATGGCTTCCAACCTTGTGTAACAGCAGCCAGCTGGGCTCTCCAATTCTGAATTTTGGGACGATTCCATGGCTTCATGGGAAGAGGGCGTTTTCTTGATTGTTTGCTCCTGAGCTGCCTGTAGCCTCATATGTAGAAGGTCAGAGATGGAGGTTCTTTTAAGACCTTTTAGTCCAATTCCCATTTTTCAGACAGAGAAGCTAGGGTCTCAGATGGCAAGAGACTTAATGTCACACAGCAGCAGGTTAGCCTCTGTAATCATTGCTGTCGCTGGAAAAGGATTGCAGAAAAGTGAAACAGCCAAAATAACCAAGCTTTATTGAGAATTTACTCTGTGCCAGACCCCATGTTAAGAATTTTACATGCATTATTTCATTTAATCTTCAGGAAAATTCTGGAAGGTAGATACTGTTTATTATCTTGATTTTTTTCCACGGGGCAATGCCGTTTGGAGAGAATAAGTGTGGAGGAGCCAGCACTCAAATCCTTACCATTGGAGGCCAGAGTCTGCATTCTGAATCACCATGTTCTTCCTGTTTCCATCTGATTCTAGTTTAACCCTCCCTCATTTTACAGGTTAACTCTAACCCAAAAAAGGGAAGCAACTTGCCCGAGACCCTTCAAATACTGGAAAATATTGTTATGGTGACTGAAAGTAGTTAACGTTTATTGAGTACTTACTGAGTGCTTACCAGGGATTGTGCTGTGTGCTTTTCATTCACTTGTTTGTTACCATAATTCTAGAAGAATGTAGGTAGTACTAGCTGAAGTAACTGATGGCTAGGGAGCTTAAGAATAACTTATGCCATATTTTATAGTTATTAAGTCAAGATTCAAGAGGAAGCCATCCAACTCCAAAATTTGACTTCCCTAATTCTGCTCTGCCAGGCCAGCATCTTGGAATCAACTATGCAACTATGCCTACCTTTTTCTGTATCAGGTTTTTTTTTTTTTTTTTTTTTTGAGATGGAGTCTCACTCTGTTGCTCAGGCTGGAGCTGGAGTACAGTGGTGCAATCTCGGCTTACTGCAACCTCCTCCTCCTGGTTTCAAGTGATTCTCCTGCCTCAGCCTCCTGAGTAGCTGGGATTACAGGCACCCAGAACCACATCTGGCTAATTTTTGTATTTTTTAGTAGAGACAGGGTTTTACCATGTTGGCCAGGCTGGTCTGGAACTCCTGATCTCAGGTGATCCACCCTCCTTGGCCTCCTGAAGCGCTGGGATTACAGGCATGAGCCACTGCACCTGGCCTATTTTTCTGTATCACAGTTAATCCTCATACTAACCCTGTTGGTAAGGAATTGGAAAACCTGGATATAATTCTAGCTTTGCTACTAAAGGCATCATGTTTCTCTTGGGGCAAGTCACTTCCCCCTCTGAATGCCTCAGTTTCCTCATTTGTAGAAGAGGGGTGTCATCCTTTTATACCATAGCATCTTGTGAGACACTGAATATGCACTTGATTCCCTAGCTGAAAAGTGCTGAATAGAGATTCTTCTGACTCCTTCAATCAGGTCCCTTTATCCTTTGAAATCTGGGAGCTTTCTCTGCTGCCCCATCCACTGGGCTCAGTACTGGATGGTCTGCATTTGTTGTGAATAGATGACAGCTGGGCTTGTATTTTCTTCAGATGGAGCTTGGCCTGGGTATTAAATAGCTGTCAGTAAGACCACTTTTCTAACTGGCGCAGAGGAGCAACAGAGCTGGGCTGGTAGTCCTCCCTCCAGATGTCTGGGGGTGCTTGCAGAGGGGAGCAGTGGGGTCTCTAACACTGAGTCCCCATCCCTTTGTGCTTGAAGGATAGCACCTAGAAAACATTGGCCCCAAACAGAAAGGCTGACCTCCGCTCCAAAATCCTACCTTATTTCTATGTGACTGTGGAAAGAGCGGGCCTGAGAGATATTAGTAATAAGTAAAGCTGAGAAACAGCTGTGGAAACGAGGTTTCAGGACCTCCTGGCCCCATCAGCACTACGCTCTAATTATCTCACAGCATTTGGCCAATTGGGCTGTTGGAGTTTCTAGGAAAGATTCATTTTAACCTTAACCAGTATTATTGTATTTCTTTTTATCCAGATGGGAGAATATTGTTTCTTTCTCCAGTCTTCACTGATTTCTCGTTTTTAAATCCTGCAGAACTTTATTCTCTTTGAAACCTATGAGGGACAACGAACATTTTTGGGAGTCGACTTGTTGTTGGACACTTTTACAGGCATTATCCCATACCATTCCCACAGACACAGATCATCTTTCCATGTGATGTTCACATTCTCTTTCTTTTTCTCCCATGTTAATAAGGTCTTCTCTTCTGGCTCCTCCTCTGAATGTTAAGTGCCCTGGGGCTCAGAACTTAGTCCTTTCTTCTGTTCTCTGGGATTTTGTAGGTGATCTTATTTAGGCTTTTGGCCTTACCTTTCACCTCTAGGCTGATAACTCCCCAATTTATGACTCCAGATCCAGCTATTCACCTGTGCTCCAGCCTCATGTCCCCCACCTGGAAGTCTGAGAGGCACTCCAAGGTCTGGCCTCTGCCTGCCTCTCCCCTCTCTTCTCTTTCACTCTCCCTTTGGCCACAATGACCTTCTTGCTGCTCCTTGAATCTGCCAACAATTCCCA
Organism: Homo sapiens; assembly: GCF_000001405.40. Lineage (NCBI taxonomy): Eukaryota > Metazoa > Chordata > Mammalia > Primates > Hominidae > Homo > Homo sapiens. Next base: position 19,373,443 of record NC_000011.10, read on the forward strand.
CCTCAAGGTCTTTGCACCTGCTTTTCTCTCTGGCTGGAAAAGAGTTCCCCCAATATTCTCATGGCTGTATCACTCTTCCTTCAGGTCACCTCCTCTGAAAGACCTCCTCTGATCACATCATCCAAACTAGTCCCTCCTGCAGGACCCCATCTTCCACTCTGTAGCCTCTTACCCTCCCTGTTTTTTGTTTGTTTGTTTTTTTGTCATAGCACTTGTCCTACCTAAAATGATATTGCATGCTTATTATATACCTGTTCATTGACTGTCTCTCTCCTTAGACATAAAATTCACAAAGGCAAAAGCATTATCTTCATGATTGTCGCTATAGCCCTGAACCTAGAATGTGGCTGCATGTGGCCTGGGGCCAGTGAATATTTGTTACATGTTGAATGAAAGAAAATATGACAGGTAGGTGTCACCTCTAGTTTTATAAATGAGTCAGTGGAGGCTGAAAGACATAATACACCCCATATCACCTGCTTTTTTCCCCCCTCAGAAAAGGGGGAAATAGTTTTAGTCAAGATAACCTGTATGAAAACAAGGCATTGAGTTATTTTTATAATAATTTATAACTTAAAAATAACAGTAGATCTTTCTTAATTGTCCAGATAACAAAACTCAGTATGTACATTTTATAGCAATTATAATAATGTTATCATGACCATAATTTACCACACGTATCACCAGTCTTGTTTTCTCTTTCTCGAAAACACATGCTTTTCTGACTTCACACATAATCTTGCTTTCTTGTTTTTCACTATGTATCAATGAACTTGGCACCCATACTTCTTTGTCAGCTCCAGCAGATGACAATTTATCTAGGAATCTGAATACTTGACACATCCAAAGAGAATTTTTCCGAAAAGGTTTTTTTTTTTTTTTTTTTTTTTTAAAATCAGCTATTAAATGACTCACCATGTAACTGTCCTCACTGAAGGATGATTTGTGATAGTGCCTGGCACTTGGTTGCAGGGTGAGCTATCAGTGAGTTGACTGGATGGTCACATGGCACCATAGTGTATTCTCTGGCAACACATATGACACATAGTTGAGACATCCTCAGTCACTCACATACTTTAGCAGAAACTAATTGTTTTGATACTTTATGTTGCAATTATGCAAGTATATTTTACATATCCTTTTAAAAATCTGCACAATAGGAAGAAACACCAAGAGAACTCAACCATGACTTAATGAGCTAGATCAACTCTTCTTTTTTGTTGTGTTAAGAAATCATCTGTCCTTTTGATTCTAAGAAGCCTTTACTGGAAATATCATGAATTCAGGAGAGATCAGGATGTGGACATTCAGGGCATATAACGTTCTCCCGCTTTGTTCTCCAACTGTTTGGCCCACCTGGCAATTTGACTCCCATTGTATTACTCAATGCCTCTCCTAGGTTTTTCTTCTCTTTGGATTGGAGCCTGTCTCTGTCTTTCCCTATCAAGGCCTTGCCCCATCCCCTTCCTGATTCTCAGTCTTTTAGGTGCACAGAAACTGACTTTGATTGTAGCTATCCCTTCTGATCGGATACTGCCTCTGACAACAAGATGTTCCCACTTGGCTCACCCAGCTTCCCAGTCAAGACATGGACTCTGATGTCCTTCTCTCTAGGCACATTGGAAGCTCCTTCTCGACAATAATGATCTTATACTTCTGTGTTCCTTCCAAAATGTAGCCCAAGACTAATTAAAATTAGTAAATACTCATTTGTCCAACTTATTGGTTTGTGGCAGCCAATTGTTCTTTCCATGATCCCTTTAGCTTTGAGTAGTTACAGTCCCATAAATCTGGGTAAAAACCCTTTCTTCCATGAGGTTATGGTGGAAGACCTCTGCAGAAGCACTGTTTCCCTGCTGCAGACACTCATAAGCAGGTGTGTTTAAATTTATCCCAGAAGATGGCTGGGCACAGGCCGGGAAACAAGAGACCAGTCAGTGAGAGCAGGCACCGTGTTGGTACTCCCTTCTCCTACAATCTAGCAAAATTCTTTGGGGTCCTATTCTTTCCCTAGTGCTTGAATTTCAATATCTACCTCCTCCCCCACAAACTCAGCTCTTGCTCTACATCAGTCTAAATTTACTGGTCTCCCAGCCTCTCCTTCCTATTAAATTAGATATTAGAGAAATCCATCAAGCCAGTGCTGCTTGAGGGTACAGTTTACAGTCCCTGTGCCTAAATCACTGGATGCTGTGGCTCGGATGGACCTAAATTTATCTACAGAATTACATGAAACCCTCTTGTTTTCACTTGTGCAGGTGTTCAGGTCCCGTCACACTACCTAATAAAACACTGAACTGCCCTGGAAGGTCTCAGCAAAATAATCCCATGTTATTATCACTTGGCATTCCTACAGCTCTTTATTTTTTATCTTCTGGTGGCGATGGTGGGGGGTGTGTGTTTACGATCATTTTATTAGCCTTTCCACACAAGATTCGTTTTTTATTAAAAACACAAATATCATTATAAATATCTTGGTAGAGAGGTAGAGAAGAGATTTTGAAAGAGACTAGGCAAAAGGATTAAATATCTATAGGTTTAAACTGTTGCTAAAATAAATGCTCACAATATAGCCATGAACTTTTTTCTTAAAGGTAGCCTTCATTAATTATCTTTCCAATGGGAAGTAACAGCTGAGACCTTAAAAGCCAGATATGTCGCAGGGAAAAGGCAAGTTTATGGAGATGATGTTAAGAAAAATCTGGTGTTTAGAAAGTCTTGTTTTCTATTTTCTGTAGTTACTTCCTGCTCAAAACTTTTTCTCATTTGTGCATTTCTGGTTATATAATCTGGATCTTGTTACGGCAACATTAAAGTGGATTTAAAAAACAAACAAACAAACAAAAAAACAATTGCTGGTGAAGCATCCTAATTGGTAAATACAGATAATAGGTACATGACATTTGGGAGTTTACAAAGCACCTTTATAATGATAATCACATTTAAATCTCATGACAACCTTGAGACAGGTACACTTAGAAACCCCTACTGCAGAGGAGGAGACGAGGGCACAGAGGGGACGAGGGACTCACCTGCTGTTATACTGCTAGTGAGCAGCAGAGCCTGGACTCGAACCCAACTTCTCTTATTTCTGTTTCAAGGTCTTTCTATAATCACACATTGTTTCCCAAAGAAACAGCCTTGTTCATTCATTCAATCAACTGTCTGTCTATAGCTATCCATCCAAAACGTTTATGAAAGATCTACTATATACCAGATACTGTCTAGAACCCTCAGCTTGGTAGGGAAGACAGCAAGTGAAGGGATGATAATAGTAAACTGTAACAAGTGCTCAGACATTAGCACTGGGGCTCTGGAAAAACAAAGAATGGACACTTAGCCTGAGGTGGAGGGGAAGCTCAGAGTAAGGGAAGGCTTCCTGGAGGAAGCAGTGCTGGAGCCAAGTCTGGATGTGTATGGTATTTAACAAGCATGTATTTCCCTGGGTTGTCCCAGTTTCCTAGGCACCACTTATTGGCCACTTCTATGTCACTTTTAGTTGAGCTCAGTTGTCAAGAAAGTAGTAGGGCAGAGCTAGCTAAAAAGGGAAAGGCATTCCCAGTGAAGGAACTTTGAGTGGTAAGGTGACCCAGAGAAGGCTGTAAAACATGGCGTGGGGAAAGTGCCCCAGACAAGCATCAGGAGACCTGGTTCTGGCTCCCAGCAATCTCTGTCCTTTTTCTAGGCCTTGTTTTCTCAACAGCAATATGAAAGGATTAGATCTTTAAAAAGTTAGAAGGGTGGATTGCATTGCCCCAAGGAAGCAGCAAGAATAGGGCAAATAGGAATGTTGTCAGGGAGCATGGAAGGGTGCTATCTATGTCTTCTTGTAGTTTCACACCTGAGTACTTGCTATGGGGGCTGGCCATGCCTTCTTATAACCTTTGCACTAGCTCTTTCTTCTGCCTGGAAAGCCTTTGACCATCTTGTCCATCTGCTAGCCTCTAACTCCTACCCTGCTCTGTTCCTGTTCCCAGGCAGATTCAGGGGTCCTTCTCAGCTCCTGCAGAGCCCCGGGGCTACAGCATGTTTATCCCCCTCGCTGTGTTTGGATATTTGCATGCCTCTCTCTCCACTTGGCCATAGGCTCCTTGGGGGAGAGACTGCAATTCTTATTTCCATATTCCCAGTATGCAGCACTGTGCTGAGCATGACACATATGTGAATATATGAGGGGGAATTGTGGACTTGGCTTGATTATAGGTCTTCAGGTTGAAGGAGATTTCCAACCTGAATGGGTATTCAGAATCAAATACGTTCATGCCCATTTTACAGACAAGACTCTCAAGGCCCTGGGAGGTTAGAATATGTATTGGGAAGGATAACCCAGGTCTCCTGCTTCCCAGGGCAAAGGTTCTGCCATTCCATGAAAATTCCCAGGAATCCAATTTCATTTCATTCCTTTAGCAAAACAGAGGGGCCTTTTTGTTGGAGTAAGCTGAAGGAGATGGGAGTGGGGTGTAACAGCTCAACTTGACTCTGGGAGTGATATGAAGTGTGGGAAGGTTCATTTGGGTTACAGCCTTTTGAATAGATTAAGGAGGTGAGGCTGGGAGGAGGCAGGTGGAAGATCAGAGGAGACAGCATTTGACAAGGCAGAGCTGTCTGGGGTCTGAACAAACAGCTCCTCTCCAGAGAGACAGGAGCAGGGCTTCTCAGAGCGTATGTATGAGACAAGCTCCATGTGCAGTGAAGTGATGCGTACCGCAAACACATTTCTCCCATCCGCTTCTGCTGTCACAGCCCCAGCCCCCCTACACATGTCATTTGTCTTCTGGCTTCCAAGTTGCAATGGACTTTCAGGCAAGCAGAAAACAAGGAGTGAGCTTTTGGGGGTGCCCGCTTCATTTTCACGTCCAGTCGTCACCACCTTGGGGTATTCCTTTAGTTTTCTTTATTACCCCCCTGCCCTGAGTTTATTCCTTGGCAACATGCCCCTGGCTCGGTGGGGCCTATGGTGCATCCTCCTGATGAGAGACACCTTATCTGCTCCTTGGCAGACGTGGGGAGGTGGTGCGGGGTGCACGCACTGAATCGCTGATAGATGCCATGCACGGAATCAGCGCGCACCCTTAATAAAGAGCGGCGCCTCACTATTTGTGGTGATAGGGCCGGTCGTGATAACAGCATCTCCTTCAGATTGGCTTTTGAAATGGCAGATGGAGGGCTGGGTGGGGGTGGGGTAGGGAGTCGCTCACGGAGGAGATGCTCCCTGTCATGAAACTGACTTCGTGTCTGCCAGTGCTCTAGGTGTCAAGCTGAGGACAGGTTTGGCGCCTTCTTTGATTGTCTCCTCTGAAAGAATAGCTGATCAGCACACACACCTTAGTGCTGCTAAGGGCGTGCAGCAGCTTCTGAGGATCCGTTGGGTCCACAAGGCAGGTCATGCACTGGCACCCCGCTCTGAGCTCCCTGAGGGCAGGGGCTTTGTTGTTTTCTTCCAGTTGTCCCACCCCAGGCTCGGTGCTGGGCATGTGGAGAAATTAAGTGTGTCAGCAGAGGCCCATGGCCTGAGTTCAAGCCCTGGCTTCGTCCCTCACTCCCTGTGTGGTTTTGGGCAAATTACTCAACCTCTCTTGAATCTCTTCCCCAGTGTGTGCAGGGGCAGGGCAGAGAAGTTTCCTGGAAAGGCTGCTGCCAAAGCTGAGTCTTGAAGGAGGAGGAGGAGGACTGTCTGGAGGACTTTTGTGGGCCAGTGAAGTTGGCTCCATAGATCCACGGGGCTGGTGGTGAGGAGATTGGAAACTTGCAGTGTGGCTCAGGGTCAGACAGACTGGATGGGGCGTGAGCAGGGGCAAGGACACTGAGGCCCTGGTGACTGGGCGTGGGGTCACTAAGGGAAGTAATAAGGTGGAAAAGTCAGAGGGGTCAGAGAGAGAACTATTAATATTTAGAGAATAAGAGCAAGGCCTATTACTTGGGAGCAAGGGGGTGGTTGAGAAGGGATGCTGTGAAGCAATGACAGAAGTAGGGAAAATTTCAAGTGAAATTCAGAAGACATTCACATCTGTACATCATACTTGCTTCACTGGAAAATGTCCTTCTTCTGTCCATTTCCTAGTTATGTTCTGAAGCAGATACCTGAGTGGCCGTTGTGGAGGAAAGGGCAGAGAAATGGGAGGAGAGAAAGTGACAGCCTCCTTAGATTACTGACACCTGCTGGGCTTGGCCACATCCGCTGCCCTGACTCTTCCCTCCTCCGGCATCTTCCCGGTCCTGTTGTGGCTCTGGTGAGCTGACCAGAGCTTCACATGGACTTCTTCCAGGTCTTTCTCTATTTCACGTCAGACTGCCTGCTTTCCTTGGCATTCCTCTGAGACTTCCTCGCATTCTCCTTTTTTTCTGTTTTGCTGTCTGCAGGCAATCCAGCCACGTAATTCTCTTCTCACCTGCCAACAGTGTCTTCCCAGGAAGCATTTCTACTCCCGCCAGCACCAATAATTTAACAGGCTCTTCCAAATCACCAAACACCATTCCAAAAACAGATTTAATTAACATCTTGGTTAGCTTTAGTATCTATAGTTATAGACATATATAATAAAATTATATAATTAATATAATTTATTATAGTTGCAAAAGGGATAAATACGGCCATGATGGTTTTTACCTTCCAGGCTCCTGCATAACACATCCCTTTTACCTAATCTTCTTCATCCCCTTATTGTTGCCATGTTACTTGCAGTTAACCATGTAAGTGGAATCTTTTTATGCAAAGAAATAAAACTAATAGCGTATATCTTCTCTCTACTCTGGCAACAGTCTAGTCAGTCTTAATGAGATTTGAATACAACACAGTGATGTTGATACCCATCAAGCTTGTTACAGTGGGATTCTCTCCATATTGAATTTCCTTAGGCCACTGCTGTTCCCTTGCATTAGATATTTCATCCCTGTGGTTCTAAAAGTCTGGAAGACACTAGCTAGAAATTGTGCTGGTCTGGGAAAATCATGGCATGCTTGAACTGTCTCTGGAATTTCCATGTCCTGTGATCTAAAGGGCTGCTCAGGAAGTGGAGTGCTTCTGAGTAGGTTACCATGAGGCATGTGGGTGTGCAGGAGGGAAGAGCTCCCATCTCCGGGGATCTTCCATGACATTCTCCATGACAGCAGGCCAACAGGAAGTGGCAGAACCTTCATGACAAAGCATTGGAGGTCAGTGTGCTCTGAGGCATTATGAATCATCCCATGGTGTGACGTGGAGGAAGGTACACCCTCTGTCTGGATGGTGGAATCAGTGGAGTAGATTTTCTGCATAAATTATAAATACAAAGCCAATCATGCTGCTTCTCTGCTATGGTCTTCCACTAACTCCTTGCCACCTTTGCAAAATGCCCAAGCTCTTGAGCAGAACAAAGAACCACTTGTGTAAAGTGGCCAACTGTCCTGCTTTGCCTGGGATTTAGGGTTTTCCTGGGACATGGGACTCTCAGTGCTAAAACCAGGAAAATCTGGGCAAACCAGGCTGAGCTTTCCACCCTATGACTATGACCTAGGTCCTCAACTACCCCACTGCAGCCCCACCTCCTTCCACACACTGAATAGTAAGCACTAGTGGTTCTAAATGGGTTGTAGTGGTTTCCAGTGTTTCTTGCCTCTTTGCCTATACCTGTGTTCTCTCTGCTTCCTAGAAGCCTTCCCTGGCTTCCCTATCCTTGCCTAACTGATTCTCCTCATCCTTTGACATTCAGCCAGGCATCACCTCATCTAGGAAGCCTTCACTGACCCACCAAAGTTGAGGGAGATTCTCTCCTCTGCTCCCCTACTATCACAGTTATCACTCTATACCTTCTCTGTCAATTTCCTTGTCTCTCTACTCACTGGACTTGGAGCTTTGTGAAGGCAGGACTATGATTTATTAGATTTGGTATTCCTGGACCCTAGCACAGTCACTGGACATAAATGTTCATTAAACACTTAATTTAAGGATTTATTTAATTACATAAATATTGAAGTGAATGAGTGAATGAATGAAGTCATAAATGGTAAAATATAGTCCAGGTGCTGGGGATCTTTCAAAATCTGGGTGCCTGTGTTCTATCTGCAAGCATGCGGAGTAGTTTATGAAACATACGGAGACCCTGACTCTTTCCAGAGATGAGAAAGGAAGTGTGGTAGCTCAGGGCCACCAAGCTTGCTGCCCAGGGAAGAGGGCATGGATAGTGAGGTGGGGATATTTGATGAAGGTGGTGGCAGGATAGGGCTCTGAAGCGAGCTGGTGTCCTGGGAGTTGGGATTGGGAGAGGAACAGGTCAGCACTGGGTATAAGTGGACCAAAGAGAAATAACGTCAGGGCAAATGTGGCCATTTGGTTTTTTGGTGCCAAAGAGATATTCTTAACTAAGATGCCTTCACAAATGGAGGCTGGAGCCAGAGAAAGAGAGATGGGAGATACAGGAAGGCAACCAGAACTAATTAGGTTCCTTTTAGAGGGGCCGTTTCTGGGTTTCTGAGGACAAGAGGGGCTGTGAAGCCACCAGACAGGACCTGGGAAAATCAAAGCAGCTCTGGGCAGTGTGTCCTATGCCAATCTGCTGGGTCGTGGCCAGAGCTAGTCTGCAGGCTGCTCACTGGGGCCATCACCACCTGACCCCCAGGTGGGAATGCTGCTGGAAAGAGAAGACTCCTGGGCTTCCAGGGGGCTGCCTTATGTGCTGGAATCTCTGTCTGCAGGATGAATATTTCAGAAAGGCAGCTGGGAAAGGCAGTGCCTTTTTAATCTAAGCTGAATGGCGCCTGAGGGGGAAGGGCGCAGTGTCCTCGGGAGTGGAATAATGTGCTGCAACACCATGTTCCCAGTGTACAATGGGACAGGAGGTGAGCGTGGGAGACAGCTTTGGCTATAGAATTCTTTTTCTTTCGGCCCATGCTGAATGAGAGCCTGGAATTGTTGCCATGCTGAATGAGAGCCTGGAATTGTTGCCAGTGACCTTCGACAGCAGCACGGGGTGAGACAATTGTGCCGACTGGCAAACCTTGATGAATTGGAACTTGTCGGGGAGTCAAGCAGCGTCTGCCGTTCATGCAGCAGCTCGCTCCAGCCAGATGCTCCGGCAGCCCACTTATAGGCTGTGCTTTCCACACATGACTTTGCTTCACGGCAACAACAGCTCTGTGGGAAGTAATTGTCTCCCCCACATTGCAGAGGAGGAAACTGCGGCCCGAAGTCTAATGACTGAAAATCACAATGCCTGGCACATCATCCCAACAATAGTAGCTGAAACTTATATAAGGTTTGCTCTGTGTCAGACATTGTTCTAAGTGCTTCTATAGGTAGAACCCATTTCATCCATATAACCACCTCATATAGCTTCCATTATTCCACCCATTTTATAGATGAGGATGCTGAGGTACAGAGAGATTAAGTGGCTTGCCCAAGATTGCATAGCTAGTACATGACAGAGGCAGAACTTGAACCTAGGGAGTCTGACTCCAAAGTTTGAGTGCTTGATCATTTACTATACACTTTGTATATAGACAGCACTCAATAACTGTTAGCTGCTATTACTCTTATTACCTCCAAAGGCATATAGCTTGTGAGGCCAGAGCTGGGATTGGATACGGGATGTCTGACTCCAGGGTATCTACATTGAATTTCTACATTAGGCTGATTGAGGGATTTGTGGATTTTTCTTGTTAACTGAGGCTTAGGAAGAAATCCCATTTGCCTTCAATCCTGTGACAGACACTGCTATAGTGCACTAGCATCTCTATTCTCTCTGTCCTGGCTCACAGCCCCACCACACACCCCTGCTTCCTTTACAGTTAACTGTGGCCATGTCAATGAATTCTAGCCAACAAAATATGAGCAGAAGAGCTGTCCACCACTTCCAGGCTTGGCCCCTCCTCCCAAATAACCTCATGATACCAGAGGACTTAAAGGAGAGCCATAAGGTGGCAGTAGCCTGAGTACTTGAATAGCTACATGGAGCAAAGCCCCTCAATTTGCCCCCAGCATTAAACTATGATGTAAGCAAGAGATCATCTTTTATTGGGTTAAGTCAATAAGTTATTTACATTGTTATAGCAGTCAGTTTCTCCCACCCCTGCTCCCAACAATATAGACCCTTTTTAAAAAGCCCTTGAGAAATGCCTTAGTCTGCGTCTCTACCACAGTAAAGAGAAGCTGAGAGAATCAAGTTTTGAAACAGCACAGACTTCGGCGTCACACACAACTGAGTTCTGGTCCCAGGTTACCATTTCATGACTGTGTGCCTCAATCTCTCTGAACTCCATGGGCCTCCTACGTGAAATCAAGGTAACACTACCCTTGCTGGTATTGCAACGCATCAGAAGTAATTCAGCCAAAGCCCCTAGGACAGTGCCTGCTGTATACTTGCTCAATAAGCGTTAAAGCTTTTTCCTTTCAATGAGAGAGTAGTTAGACAATATGCGTCAAAACCTAAATGTTTGTATTCCTGTTAACCCAGCAATTCCACTTCCAGGAATTTAGTCTAAGAAAATAATCTTGGATGCTCAAAGATTTAGCTCTTAAAATGTTTATCCTCATGTTGCATATAAGTGAAAAGTTGGAAACAAGGTAAATTTTCAGCAATAAGAAATTGGCTAAATAAACCATGGTGCATCTATTTAATTGAGAACTATTCAGCCATTAAATATTATGTAATAGAAGACTGTGCAAAACATGAAAAAATATTCAGAGTAGAATATTCAAAGTAGAAGAAGCAAATTACATAACAGTGTATGTTCCATGAACACATTTTTAAAAATAGAGACAAAAACGTATATATGCAGAAAGAAGAGACTAAAAGGATACATCTTAAAATATAAAATGTTTATCTCTATGGAGTGGTATTTGTGTATTTTTCTTCTTTGGTTATATGTAGTTTCACATTTTCCATGGTAAACAGATATTACTTTGGTAAAGAGAGTAAAATGAGTTATAAAAAGTTATTTTTTGGCCTTGCCTGCATTAGCTGTGACCTTGAACATCCTTTATCATCTTTATCATTGTGCAGATGTTGACTTGGACAGTGTGAGAAACAAAGACAAATGTGAGTTGACTCAGGATATCTGTGGAACTATCTAGGATAGGGTTGGATTGCTGTCATTTGTGGCTTAATTGGGTGCTGGTTGTTGGATTTTTAGTATTATGGGTGTTATTTGCATGGACTCATGTGCACCACTCATCTCTCCACCCCTCACCTTCCTTGCAAAAGTGCTGCTTCTAGTGTGAATCCTGTCATGGATAGGACCATGTATCCTGTACACTCTCCAGGTGCCCAGTGAATATGAGCTTCTCTGAACTGACTGAAGACCACAAGATGAAAACTGGAAACTCGCAGCCTTCATACAACAAGGCATCTGGTATGGAAGCGTTCAGTGCGGGCTTCTCTGGCTGATACACTCGCCATGGACCTTGCTATCCCTGAGCTGGGACCCTAATGGATGTGCATGAGTTTGTCTCCAACTTGTAAAAAATGTGCTTTTGCAAGAATGAGTGAATCACAGACTGAAAGAATATATTTACAATGCATACACCTGACAAAGGTTTCACATCCAGAATATATAAAGATTTCCTAGAAATGCGCAATAAAAAGACAACTCAAAAAAATGGCAAAAGACTTGAACAAGCACTTCACAAGAGATATGAGAATGACTATTAAACACACAAAAAGAAGTTCCACAGCCTTGATAATAGGTAAAATGCAATTTTAAACCACTGTAAGATACCATTTTATACTCACTAGAATGGCTAAAATACGAGAGTCTAACAATTCCCATGATTGGTAAGGATATGGAGCAAATGGGATCTCAGTTCAGTGCTATTGTAAAACCAGTTTAAATTCTGGTTTATGTTAAACTCTGTTCAAAATGATTTGATGTGATAAAATAGTTTTGGATAAATATGTTTATTCATTCATGCACTTATCCAACAGTTATATATTTAGAGTTCATGGTGAATAAAACAAAGTTAAAGCCTTCAAGAACCATAAAGACAGTTCGCAAAAGGAAGCCTTGTTAAGTTAGCCACCATATAGCTAGTGCTATTTATCATATTTTCTTGATCCTCAGATATATGTATTATCTTACAACAAATTTCAAAATACACCTGACAACTGCAAAAAATGTTTTTGCACCAAAGATTGAAGTCTTGAGGCACCTGTGTTTTTCTGTCATTTTCTTCACAACTTAGACCTTTGTTCATCAGGAAAGAGATGATTTTTAACCTCTTGCCTTTGCCTCTGCATTTAAGTTCTTTGAAAAGAAATGCATATTAATGCACATGGTAATAATTATCTCATTCTATCTGTAAACTGTTTATTTCTCAACTGCTTTTTCAATATAGCTCCTTTTTTTTTTTTTTTTTTTTTTTTTTGAGACAGAGTCTCGCTCTGTCGCCCAGGCTGGAGTGCATTGGCACGATCTCGGCTCACTGCAAGCTCCGCCTCCTGGGTTCACGCCAGTCTCCTGCCTCAGCCTCCCGAGTAGCTGGGACTACAGGCGCCCGCCACCATGCCTGGCTAATTTTTTTGTATTTTTTTAGTAGAGACGGGGTTTCACCGTCTTAGCCAGGATGGTCTTGATCTCCTGACCTCATGATCCACCCGCCCTGGCCTCCCAAAGTGCTGGGATTACAGGCGTGAGCCACCACACCCAGCCCAATATAGCTCCATTTTTGACCCCTCAATGTAAAAACAATTATCTTAAATTAATGCAGTCTTAAATTGTACTTTGACATGGCTTTGTTTACTTGCCCCAAAGCATGAATGCAAGCAAAGATAAATGCATTTAACAATCGTTTGGGTGCCCAGCATTGAATCAAACACAGAAGGAACAGCTCTGAAGTGAAAAACTGATATCATTTTATAATGAGAGGGGTTCTGGTTTTGAAGTCAGAGAACTGGGTTGCTCTATTGCTGTGTGATGTCTTATGTGATCTTGGGCACATCCCTTTAATTTTCTAAGACTCTGTTTTTTCCTGGATGGAATGGGTATGATACTACCCATCTCATATGGTTGATTTAAATGGATCAGGTATAAACATCCTGGCATGTAATAGGTGCTCAGTGAATGCCTGTTGAATCTGAATCTCAGTGGAGGCATAAGATGCACTCCAACAGATTCTCAGAGACAGCGGGAGACAGTGGGGAGCCTATATTATCAAGTTCACGTTTGGACTGGTACAGCTTTTAGTGTAACTTCTACCCAAGGATTTTTCAGCAGCTTCCACTGAGCCATAGTATAACATCAGGAAATGTGTCAATAACTTTGACCTTGGTTTGGTAGAGAGAAAATGTGAGTTGGCATAACTAAAGTGAGTTTTTGAAGCAAGCTCCCAAACAAGCCCCTTATCTCTGTGACTCGAAAAGGCAATGGGTAAAGGGTAAAACAAGTGGGAGCACGGACATGATATTCAGAAATAATTTCCTGGAAAACAATCAAGCATGGGAGGGGCTCAGGGTAAAAATAGGGGGAGGTGACACCCACTCAATGGAAGGACAGTGGGGTCTTTCTTTGGGGTAAAGTATAGGCAAAGGCATGGGATGGGTGCTGGGAGCTGCTTATCAAGGCTACACAGGTGGTTACTGCCTGATCCAGGACAAGAACTCACATTTCATCCTCCAAGTATCCTTTTTTTGTTCCATTTCAAAATTTTCTTTGATAATTTCATTTTCTTGGTCTCTCATTTGCTAAGTGTGCTCACACACACACTCGCACTCACACACACTCTCTGTATACACATACACGAGACAGTTGATTGGTTCACGTTAATCGTTTAAAATTTTCCATATCCTGCTGGGTAGGTTTTAAGCCTCTGTGATCCCAATCAGCTAGGTGCTCAGGGAGCATGGTGGCGGGAGGAGGAGTAGCAGTGGAAGGACATCCCAGAGCTTTCTGTCTCTGAGATTAGAGGATGACAGCTCTAAAGAAAAGGAGGTAGTTAGGATGCAATGGCATTCCGAGAAAGGGCTGCATAAAGACTGGAAGCATGGAAGTTTCAGACACTGCTTGTAGTTCAGGCTGCTGGAGCATGGGCTGGGAGGTGGGTGGTGCACGAGAGAAGATGCTGAGTCTCACCACCCATTTCCTCCAGGGGACATTTTCTTCCCCTTCCCAGTTTTGCTAGCCAAGTGGAACGGAAAAGTATATTCTTCCTCAAGCAAAGAGACAGGAAGGGATTGAGTAGTTGGTGGGTATTGAGTGAGGTTGCCAGGTCGCAGGCAGCACTGGGGACTTGACCCAGAGAGTCCCAGAGACTGGAAATAGAGGACTGGAGCCATTTTAATGCCAGTGAAGATGGTTAAAACTGGTTCAGAGGAACAACTCTGTAGTCATTTGTTTTCTTTAAGTCTTCCTCTTTGCTCTAATTTGATTTAAATAGAGTTCTTTGATTTTCAGCCTAATTTAAAAGTAGCATTTACAGAAAAAAAAGCATAATGGAGAGGAAAAACTTGCAAATGTGTGGTTCCCTTCTATGAATCTTTGACCTGATTCACCCACTTGTTCTCTTATGCATCTCCTCTCTCAGTGAGCCAACCTCCAGCAATGACATTGCCTGTGAGCTTGTGAGAAATGTAGAGTCCCAGGATCTTCCCCAAGACCTCCAGAATTGGAATGTGCATGTTAACAAGATCCTCAGGTGATCTGAATGCACATGCTATGATAATCATAGAAGTATAACTAATTTCCTAGGAGATGAAACCTTGAAAACTCCAAGAAAGAAACGTCAGACTTTGGGATGGAAGGAACGGGGTCAAGGGATTTTAGAAACAATGTGCGAATCTTTGTATGTTTTAGAATACTTTGTGAAACCGTGGATTATACAGTGCACATTGGAGTTCCTCAGGATAATGGACATTTATGACTGTCCTTGCAAACCCATCGCTCATCTCTGAAAAGACTTTGCAAGAACCCGACTGTCCCAGCTGTTCCCAGTCCCAGAAAAAGCAGCTTTATCTCAGATGTCTTGAGTCCTGCTTCCTCACAGTGGAGCTTCATTGGAGATGTTTAAAATTTGCCTGCTGATTCTCTTTCTTATTCTAAAGATTTTAATTGCTAGGAATTAAAAACACCCATGTAATACATATTCCATCTGAGAATCTGTTTTTCTGAACTTCCTGTACTGTAATCTTCACAGAAAGATTGAACTATAAGATGAATGGGGATTTTGGCTGGGAGGAAGTCTGAGAGGGAGTGGGTGTGATGGCGGATTTTGGTGGGTTTGGAGAAGGTGCTTGACCCCGAATGCTGCTTTCCTAGAGACTTACGAAATAAACGTTAGCAGTGTAGGTACGCTGGGCAAGATAATATCTGTGAAATCTTATTCTGTTGTAGGTATCACCCCTAAAATTCACGATAGCCATAGTTTATTGAACACCTACTATGCACCATGGACTTTGGATACATTGTCTATAATCCCTACAACAATCCCATCAAACAGGTGGTGTTCTCCCCATTTACAGATGAGGAGGCTGAGGTTCAGAAAGGTTAAGTACCTATCCCAGGCCACAGCACTAGCTGTGATGCCGGAATTTGAATCCAGACTCTTTTAACTTCAGAGTTAATGATCTCCCTACTCAGTCTTCAATAGTTCACTATGAGCCAAGCTCATTTTTGGCATAACATTCTGGTTTTTTACCAGCCTCCTCTCTCCGGCTATGCTTTGTAATCTAGCTCACAGCTGTCCCCATATCAATACTCATTTCCCTGATGCCTCCACTGATGGAAGCAAAACTCATAAACTTGTCTCTCTGTGATCCACTGGAGGGTGAGCAGTGACTGGCTTGCTGTCCATCCTGTCTGCTAGCAGTCAATCCACCAGGTTGTCAATTCACCAACATTGGATAAATAGCTACTATGCACAAGACAGGGCTCTAGGCCACAGGGAGGTAGAAGCCTTTAAGATAGAGACTTCAGTCTTATGGAGACAAGCAAATAAATACATTTACCACTTACCTGCACATGCTAAGTTGCATATTGGAAGCACGATGTTCTTTCCCAACGTGTCTTATATTTCAGAGGCTGCTGCAATATATCAGAAAGGGCACATAATTTGGACACAAAATGCCTGGCTTTGAATCTTATTCTCCCACTCACCAGATTTGTGATGCTGAACAGATCCTTTTCCTTCTTTGAGTCTCAGGATCCTCATCTGGACCATGAAGATCAAGGACAGTCATCACACAACAACTCACAAGGAGTTGTGCCTCACTGTGTTGTGCCTCATAAGGGTTACATGCCATAATTTGTGTGAATGGTCGGTGCAGTGTATGTATGGCACACAGTAGGTACTTTTAAAATGTTTATGGAACTGTGAGTCTTTGGTGCTTTACTATTTTAAACCTTGCTGTTCCCAGACATCTCATGTGTGTTCCTGTGGCTGGCCTAGGCCTCTTGAACTTCCCTGAAATTCTCTCGCCCAGCCCACATTGCTAAGCTCTTCATGGTGAAGGACTGGCCAGGTTCCTACATTGCTTCTCAGCTGTCAGCTGGTCAGACCAGGAAAACTGTGGCCTCAGTTCGGAGGCAGAATCCCTCTG
This sequence comes from Homo sapiens, assembly GCF_000001405.40. Taxonomy (NCBI): domain Eukaryota; kingdom Metazoa; phylum Chordata; class Mammalia; order Primates; family Hominidae; genus Homo; species Homo sapiens. The sequence goes on from NC_000011.10 coordinate 19,389,945, forward strand.
CCCTCTATTCATGGCCCAGGCTGCTCTGTGACCCTAGCCATGTGATATTTTTGTTCTTTGGCTAGAGTTTTGTAATCTGCCCCATTTGTGCAAACATTCCAGGAAGGAATTGTTTGTGTAGGCTCATAAATTTGTGGATGGTTTACATGTGAAGCCTGATTGCATGATAATCTCCTGGGGCGCAGTGTCCATTCCAGGATCCTCACCATGGTCATTGCTTTATTTTGGGCCCAGCTGTGTGGGTGCTGGTGGACTGATGCTGTGATGATTCTGTTCTGGTCTCCTTGGACTTGTTTTCTATACCCTCTCTGTGGCCTTTCATGATGGATAGTCCTGGGCCCACAGTTTTCTGTTTCTCAAGTCTTTTCAAGCAGAGATCACCATATCCTTGCCTCAGCTTTTGAATCCCAGTGGATGACTCCCAGATCTGCCCTGAAAGCCTAATCCTGCTTCCCTGCCAGAAAAATAATAACAAATATGAATCTGGTCCTTTTGCAAACATTCATTGAGTTCCTATTATGTGCTAGCCCTTGGGATTCAGGGAAATTCAGGGTGAACAATATAGGCAAAACTCCTGGACAGAAGCAATAAACAAGTAAGATAAATAAATAAATCATAAAGTTTCAGTTGGGGGGAATGAAACATCAAACCAAATGGTCAGGGAATAGAGTGATTGGGTTGATGGATTGTCTCATAACTGATGACCCCTCTGGTTTGCCTGCTATGAGGAAAGTATAGTAGGGTAAGTGGTGAAGGGGAGGGGAGGGAAATGGTCAGGAAGGCTTCTCTTGGGACATGACCTCTAAGCAGACCCTATATGCTGAGAAAGAGCTGGAAGATCAGGGGAAGAAGAAGCCAAATGTACCAGGAGGCCCTGAGATGGGAGTGGGCTTGGTCAGTGTTAGGAAAGGCTGCCATTTATTGTTCAATAACTACTTGCCAGGCAGTGTGCCTAGTTCTTAAATGCAGTATCTAATTGATCCTATGAGCTCAGTGATAACACTATCCCTTCCAATTACTCAAGAGGTAGGAGCTACTCTAATTCATTCCTGTCTTAAGAATGAAGAAGCTGAGAGGCAGAAAAGATAAATAATTTGCCCATAGGTATCCCAGGCCAAGTAAATGAGGGGCCCAGCATTTCATGGGAGTCACCGTACCCCAAAGCTTTCGTTCTCTAGTGATCATTGCTCACACTGCCTCCTGCTGCCCCGGTCTCTCATTCTGATTAAACCTCACCTCTGGCCTTCACTACCACTCACCTCCAAGGGGCACCCCTTCCCTGTCAGAGCCCCTCTGACCTGCCTCTGGCCTGTCCCCCTGCTTCACCCTTAGCTTCCATTCAGTTCTGTGTTAGTGTCTCACCTCTGTTCCTTCCCAGCTGCTGTTTCACCTGTTCCCAAAGCCCACAGCCTGGTTTCTACCACCCTGTCCACACACCTTTTCCAGAAGAATTGTCCTTACATATGACTTCATCATCACCCTCGAGTTAAACCCCCAGTGAGTTCTGATGCTCTCAGTTTCAAAGGAGATCAAGTATTTTAAACCTTATCAATGACACTGAGAATAATGTCCCCTTACATTGGAGGAGGATGTTGAAGTGGGCAAGACGTTCACTGTTAATGTGTCCCTGTAAGTAGCAGGAACAGTGGGGTATGATTTTAAATTTGGGTGTTGCTAGTGGCACTGCTGTAGGAAAGTTATAGTTCTTTTAATGCCTGTTAGTCTGGTGTGGGGCAGTGGGGGAGGGGCAGGAACTGGGGGGGATGGATTTCATACTGTGTGTTGTAACAAACACTGGAGTTAAATCTCAAGTGTGACTTTTCTTTTTGAGTTTGTTCTTCTCCAGTGTGTCTAGAATACTGACTGACAAATACTTAGGACAGTACCATGCACATAGAAGATGCTAATATTCGTTCCCCTGCTGTGTCTCCACCCATCAGCTCAACTCGCAGGGATTAACCAGCTCTCCTGTATATGTGTTTATTTTAATGTGACCATCACTGAGAAAATTATACTTAAATGAAGCTAAAAAATAAATAATGGTTACAAATCATAGTAAAGGAAGGAATACATTAAACTCCTGACTAGAAGGCCTAGAGAATGGAGAGTTTGGATTAGTGGTTTCTAGGAACCAAGGATTAATCAGACTCTCCTTTTACTTTGATGATGGAGAATCAGACTTGAAAAGTAGTATGGAATAGTGGGTATGGGCATACACTTTGCCAGCTGCGTTCAAGTCCTGATTGTGCTCATTGCAAACTATTTGAGGCATGAATTAATCAATCCAAGCCTTGATTTTCTCATCTGTAAAATGGATAGAACAACAGTTTATTTCAGGCATTTATTGCTATATAACAAACCACTCCAACACAATGACTTAACTCAGTTACATATATTTTGTTCAGGAATATACAATTTGAGCAGGGCTCAGCAGGGTGATTTTTTTTTTTCTGCTTTTTGCTCCATTCAGCATCAGCTGAGGTGACTTGAAGCTGGAATCATCTGAAGGTTCTCTCACTAACATACTTGGTGGTTGATGCTGGCAGTCAGCTGGGCTACATGTGGCCTGTCCGTGTGGCCTGGCTTTCCTTACAATGTGGTTGCTGGATCCAGGAGGGAGCATCCTGAGAGCACGAGCAAGCCAGGCAGAAAATGTACTGCCTTTTGTGACCTAGCCTCAGAAGTCACTCAGCATCACTTCTCCAGCATTCTGTTCATTGGGAGTGAGTCTGGAAGGCTGGCCCATATAACGGGGAGGGATATTAGACTCTTGATGGGAAGGGTGGTAAATAATTTGCAGCCATGCTTAAAACTGCCACATAGTTCCTACCTGGTCAGAGCTGTAGTGAGGTTCAAGTGTGATCTTGCAGTAAATCCAGGCATAGTGCTGGGCACACAGTTACAAGAGCAGCCTTAGGAAGTATGTTATCTTTCTTATTTACAATTGAAGTGACTGAGACTCTGAGGTGATACGTGACTTGCTCAGATTCCCAGTGAGTGCCAGAGCAGGGATTTGAACTTGCTTATGGCCTCCCTATGGGTCTTCCAGAGGCTAGCAAACAGTACTGATGTCACTCAGCATTGTTGGTGCGTTGTTCCCTGGTGAAATATGCTATGCCACTGGTCACAGGCAGAGATCTGTGAATTGGATGATCTAACCCCTGCAGCCTAAAGTCATACTTCCCCCTTTCCCAGACTGTCCATCCCTCTTTTCTCTTTGAAAGAGGGCTTATGGGTTGATTACCTGGGGACTGTAATATTTTGCTTTGCACTGCCCATCCTGCCATGGGAATGACACAGTAAGACCACCAGTTTCATTCTTCTCATGCTGTTGACCAGAAGGCCTCTGATAAAGGTGCCAGACAGGCCTATATGCCATTGAGCCCAGTGCCTGCTGGGAGGCTTCTAAAATATGCTGGCTTGCTCTGGAAGCTTCTGTCCTCTACTTCAGCTGTTAAGTAAATTGGTCTGATCTGTAGCTTTAAAATACTTCCATCCCATTCTACTTGCTGTGCTCCATTGATTTAGAGGGGAAGCTGCGGATCCCTTTGTCTGTTGTAAAAGGCTTATAAAATATGAGCTATATCTGTACTATGAAATTATATGTGTGACAATAAAATATATAGTTTTTGGAAACAAACAAACCTTGACAAAATGTGTTTTAATTTTGCAACGGAAATCGTATCAGCTGTCAAATTAAAATTTATTTTTCCTCCTTGAAATGAAAAGTACCTTTTGTAGACAAAAATCTAAGGAAAAAGACAATGTAATTGGACATACCTCTAGGCTTTTTAATTTGGATTTTCTTCTTTTTTCTCTCTCCTCTGTGCCTGGTTATTTTTCTTTCCTAGTAGCAATTTGCTCGCCTTAAATTTGAAATGTACTGGCTGCAGAGCCTTTTGGCTCCATATTATTACTTCTGTTCTAAAAAGAGATTTTATAACTTAAGGGTTTTTTTTTTCTTTTTTTTTTTTTAGGTCAAATCTCACTTCTAAAAGTGTGAAACTCATGTAGACTGTTGTATCAGAAACTTCTCTTTCCATTTGGAAACTGTAAACCTGGAACGTTTTCAGAGGCAGCAGTGTTGAAGACCTGCTTTACTTGGGGGAGGCAGTGAAGTGAGAAGTCAAAGGAAACATCATAGGTCTCTTCTGGAAGCTAAACTCTGAGCCATTCAGCATGGTTTCATTCCCATGGATTGCATCATAGCCAGGAAAGTCACTGAGTCTCCTTAACATCCTGGATGCTTTTGGCCCAATGGTGTCTCATGATTTTACTGTTTAGGGATAACTTTGGGTCCTGGGAAAGAGGGTATTTCCCAGTTTCTTTCTATTTCTCTTTTAGGTATAGACAGTACTTTTATAATGGGGAAAAAATGCTTTGATTTAAAAAGGAAAACCACAACTCCAAAAGAGACTGTTTCCAGGGTTGTTGGGCATTCATTCACTCATTTGTTTCTTTAGCCAATATTTTCTGGACACTTACTATATTCCAGGCATACCCATGCTAGACTCTGGGCGCATAGTGGTCAATGTAAGGAGCCAAGACTCTGGCACACAATGGTCAATGTGAGGAGCGATGGCTCTTGTCTTCTCAGAGCTTAGAGTCTTGTGGGAGTGACAGCAGTAATGATAGGGCCTCACAGACATGGCACATTCAAACAGGGATATGATGACATGTCTAGTGGGGAAGGAAAGTCCCAGGCAAGAAGGTGAGATAAAACTTCCCCGAGCTGAAATCTGCAGGCAGAGTGAAGTTGATGAGTGAAACAGGAGAGAAGAGTATCTCAGGCAGAGGAAACAGTGTGGGTAAAACCCCAGTGAGGTGGGGAGTGGTGGCATGAGGGCCTGAAAGAGGTTCAAATGTGGCGGGGATTGAGGCCTCATCACACCACACAGGGCTGCAGCGCATGTTCAGGAAGGATGTCCTTATCTGAAAACCAACCAAGGAATGGCTGAATGTAACCTGCAGTGTGTGTGGTTAACCAGTACATAATCCCGTAAAGCCCAAAATGCAGGAAGTCACTGAGCTGCTAAGCCTCGCTTGTCAGAGGCAGGCCTTTTTCAGTCTGTGAAATGGGAACATTAGCAGTGCCAATGACCTTCCAGGTGGGGACAGCTTTGGGTTCACACAGTATCTTGAAATCTTCTGGTGCTGTGCTTTGGGACCAATGAGGAAGAGTGAGACTGTGTTCCCATGGACATACCTGTGAGCATGTGCCCATGTGCACGTGTGAGGCCATGGCTACACCTGAGTGGGCGCATGCTGTGCGTGTTAGTGCATTCACATTCCTGTTCATTGTCATGCAGATATTTGTCAGGGAGAGAAAGCCCCTCATTGGGCCCACACATCTGCTACCTTGGATAGCACTTGTTCCTCTTTGCCCCTACATTTGTTCAGTGTGCATTTTGAAGGCCTCCTTTGTGCAGAGTGCTTGGGATGTAGAGAGGACTCTTGTTTCTGACAAAACTGCCCCAGTCAGAGCCTAGTCTGTGGAGAATGGCCAGACATGGTTGAGGCCACCATTGTACAGGGCAGTACCTGTAGCTTGTCTTTGCTCAGAAGCAGGTGCATCTGCCCAGGTCCTGACCAAGGAGACATCATCTTTGCAGGAGTCTGAACCATGCAGGCGGCTGACAGACCTTCCCACTACTGTCCTCAGGACAGAGGAAGCCCTCGGAGTGGACAGCGGCTGAGCCACTAAACTTGCTACCGGTTTCTGGATGTCTCTTGGGAGCAAACCAAGCACACTGATGGCTCTGGGATTGATTTCAGCCTCTGTCCTTGCCACTGGGCCTCTTCCCGCCTCCCTTCCTCATGGTCTCTGATCCTCTTTCCCCCTCTCCTCTGCCCCTTTACATGCTGAGCCCCTTTACTAGGGCTATGTGTAGACATGTTCCTTCAATTATAAGAGGTTCTCTCTGATTACCAGAGCTATCAAAAAGTAGACAGGATGCTATTCCTGTAGCAGAACTGAGTCTCTGTCCCAGCCTTGCACTTCCTTATGGAGTATAATCTAGGAGAGTTTTGAGTTGGCCTCAGGCAGGACTTGGGAATTTGCTCATCTTTACAATGGGTGATAATGCCTACCTCCTGGGATTTTGTGAGCATTCACTGGGATAATGCATATGAAGTACCTAGAGCCCTGCTCAGCATGTCCCAATAAATCCCTAATAAATGATGATGGTTGTTGTGAATAACCAGTCTCAGCAGCTATGAAAATACAGAGGAGAGAGGATGTCTTTAAATCAGCAGAACAACTGGCATTTAGTAAGCACACCTAGTACTACCACTGGCTAGCATTTGAGCACTTTGTAGCCAGTAGCTGTCTATACTATTATCCAAGATCGCATGGTGAGGAAGTACGGAGGCAGGATTCAAACCCAAGCAGGGGCCCAACATGATGTGTGAGACCAGGACTCAGCCCAGTGGTGTCTGCCTTAGGTTGGCGTTTAAAGTGTGACTAACATACAACCCATGAGGGTGTCTACACAGTGTGCATTTTCTGTGAAGAGGTACCACATTATTTAGAACGCCCTATCTGTGTCCTTCTGCTCTTGTCTGGGGCTCCCCTATGGCGGCCACACTATGAGATCCATGAAGTCTGTTGCATCTCCAGAAGGAGCATGTGCTCTTTCTGTCCCCTGGCACCTCACTGGGTGGGGAGGTCTCAACAGTACGCTGGTTCTCGGGCCCTGCTCTCTGCCAGTGCATCCCTTCTTAGGTGTTCACTGATAAAGAGGACTTGGTGAACATTGATGGAGTGGTCCGTGGGGCCTCCAGTTCGTATTTGGAGTGGGATCCAGATATTTGTGTGGCAGTGGATACTGTGGAATTTGATGCTTATTTAAACTCCCACAGAGATCTCTAGTAATGTAGAATTTTCACTTTCCAAAAGAATCCAAAAATACATGCTACCAGGCAAGGCATCCTTCATGACTGCTACATTTGGACTTAGATATGGTGGATTCCCTTAAAGTGAGGCTCATGTGTATTCACCGGAAGCCTCTTCCTCTTTTTATGGGGACCACTGAGGAGTGAGGGTGTAATGAATGTATCTCTCCCTTGCAGTTCCCTGTGGCTCTGCCCTGGATGAAGCTTGTAAGGGACACGTGGTCTTGAGTCTGTTCTTCAGATATCATTGATAGAACCAGGGGTGGTTGGCATGGCCGGGAGAAAACCCAGAGGGCTATGGGGACTATTCTTAGCTGCTTAGAGGTCCCCATAAAAAGAGGGAACTGATGTGTTTAGGGCTGTCAAAAGGATTAAACTAGGGCTATGGGTAGGCATTTTCCTTCAATTATAAGAGGGTTTCTCTGATCATTAGAACTATCTAAAAGTGGACAGGATGCTTCCAGAGGTAATGATCTCTTTCGGTTTTGGAGGGACACGAGTCAGGACTGGGTGACCACTTAGCAGAGCTACTGTGTAGAGAATTGGATTCTCTGGGGAGTGTGTGTGTGTGTGTGTGTGTGCGCGCATGTGTGTGTAGGGAATACTGTTCTTGTGTCTGCCTCCTGAAAGGGGCTGTAAACACCTCCTGTAGCTTATCAAACTGTCACAGTGGTTACCTCTGGTACATGTGTTTATGGATAAGCTGGGTAGGGGAGGAGGTACATCATCTTTACATTTTATTATTATTTTTGCATGTATATTTAATTTGAATTTGTCACAACAAACAAGTATTGGTTTTATAATGAAATATAGGTTAAAATTGCACCTTGAATAAAAATGGCCTCTAAATTATATGTCACAGAGAAAAGATCAGCTCTTAAGAGACCTGGAGACAAGCTTCAGCTTAGCTGCTCTCTTGCCACATGGCTGGGTGAGGTACGTCTCCCCTCTGGGTCTGAGTTTTCCCATCTGTAAACCGGGAGGACTGGACTATATATGCTAAGCATAAGCCCATACAGCTCTGAGACTGGCTGGGCTGCAGTAGGGGAGGGGAAAAGAGAAAAGGAGAAAGGGCAGCAGCAGTGCCTCTGTGTGATGGGAATAGGGATAGTAGCTGGCATTGCTGTATTCCAGAAGCCTTGATGCCAAGAGGGATGGCCTTTGGAGAAACAGACTGGGGAAATGGCACTGCTGGCTTCCCCCGCGTATTAGATCATTCTTGCATTGCTATAAAGAAATGCCTGAGACTGGGTAATTTATAAGAAAAGAGGTTTAATTGACTCAATACTGCAGGCTGTGTAGAAAGCATAACTGGCATCTGCTTCTGGGGAGGCCTCTGGAAACTGAAAATCATGGCGGAAGGCAAATTGGGAGCCTGAATGTCACATGGGGAAAGCAGGAGCAAGAGAGAGAGAGCAAGGTGCCACACAGTTTTAAACATCCAGATGTTGGAGAACGTACTCACTATTGCTAGGAGAGCAATGAGAGGATGGTGCGAATGCATTCATGAGCAATCAACCCCCTTGATCCAATCACCTCCCACCAGGCCCCACCTCCAATACTGGGGATTACATTTCAACATGAGATTTGGGCAGGGACACAGATCTGCATGACATCACCCTGCATTGGCCTGTCTCTGTCCCTTTAAACATAGCTGGCTTTCCCACGTACCATGCTTCAGCCACCACAGAGAACCTGTGGTATCAGCCCCGCTTACACTCTGGCTTGTTGGTCCGCCAAGCCCCTGCTATGTTCCATTCACCCTCTGCTCTCATGAACTTCTGACCCCTGCCTTCATTCTCCAACCTTCTGGGTGTCCTTCCCTAATTTCCTGAAGCTCAGTTTCCCTTCTGACTCTCAGTTCTTGCTCAGCCCCTTAATTATGACTTGACCCATCATTTGGGATTAAAAAGCATTCTGTTAATCTCCTGCTCCCAAGCAGCAGCCTGCCCTGCTGGGGATCCGGGCCCCTCCTTCCCCCCACAGACACACTCACAGCTAGTGGGTGCACAACATTTTTGGACGCAGCCTCAGCTCCTAGCAAACACTTTTCCTGAACTCAGGGTCACTGTTGCTTAAGTCGCAGCTGGAGGCTGGCTTCAGAGCACATTGATTTTTCCCAGGGCTTTAATAATCCTGAGCTTCAGTTTGCCTATTGGCTCTTTTGTAATGCATCAGCCTCATAAAATGGTCACTTTCGGTTAAAAGATCTTATTACTGCAAAAAGAGATGTTGAATCACACTTTCAAGGTCTCTGGTGAAATGTGATCTTTGAGACTTGTTGGCCCTGTTCCACGGCACGAGAAAGTGGATATTAAGAAGATAAATTAGAAGTCAAAACACAGTTCTGTGTTCCCCTGTGTCTTAGGCTGAGTGTCCGTGATGAATTTTGCAAGAAAAAAATCAGAACTCCCTCTACCCACGCTGCACTCCCTGCCACCTTCAGAAGTCAGATTCTAACCTGGAGAGTCAGCAGCTCTTTATTTCAGCTCTGACACTACCAGTATGCTAATCTCCCTGGGCAGTAATGCAGGCGCCTTCCTTCTCTCCCACAAGTCAGAGATTGGATGTACTCCTTAGCTGTCATATTTTGCAATTCTGTGCAGCTCAGCAAATCCTTATTGATCAGTTTTCTCTGTACAGGCCCAGTGTAGGTGGACAGGGGACACAGAGAAACTGGAGAAGGATCCTGCCCTCAGAGCCCACAAGCCTACAGTGTGGGAGCAGTGGACAGATGGGGGTCAGAGCCCCCTCATGCCCTCAGTACTGCAGGGTTAAGATGGCAGACCCTGTGCTAAGTACTTAATGTGTATTATGTCATTGATCCTCAACTGTAATTGCTATGATCAGCTTCATTTATGATGAGAAAACTGAGGCTTAGAGAGATTAAAATGCCCAGGGCCAGTGGTGAAGCTGAGATTGAAACTGGGTAGGTCTGCCTGACTCTGAAGTTAGCTAGCCCTTTACCACATATAGGGTGCTGCCCCTTCTGGCACCCAGATCGTTGGTGGGTTCTCTGATGGGATGGCTCTAGGAGTACGGAAGAGAAGCCCCTTACCCAGCCTGGGGTCAGATGGGCTTCAGGAATAGATTGTTGGAAGTGATGACGCTTCAGTTAGGTCTGAAAGACTGAGCAGGAGTTATTCACAGTTAAAGGCAGGTGGGAGGAGACTATGAGAATATGGGAAAGAATGAAGAGGTAACAGCAGTTACTATAAAGAGCAGAGTACATTTGGGAAGCTGTAAGTCTTTCGGGGAGTTGTGGGGACTGGGAATGTGTAGGAAAGTGTGAATAAGGGGTAGGCAGGAAAAAGACTGAATGCTTCCTTACAGCAGAGACAAACCTTATAAGCTAGGGATCAATTCAGTAAGAGCTTTGGAAAATCCGACGTGGTGTGAGACATAAGGAGTCACAAGGAAGAGGAAGATACATTATCTTCATCAATGGAGTGAGGCTCCATCTCCCTGCTATGTTCCAGGTAGAACCTCTGGTGGTGGGCTTTGCCAATTCCGAAGGTCCTAACCGTGTGATAAGGAGGCATTACCCTGGCTTTCCCATCTGTTCCAGCTGGTACCTTCCTTCAATCTCCTGGAGTCACATCGGTCCCTCTTAGCAGCCAGCTTGTGTGCTGTCCACCATAGTGCTAGGAAAACAACACAGGAACTGAAGCCAGGTGGACTGAGTTTGAGTCTTAGCATCAACTCTGGCTAATTGTATGGCGGTGAGTAGGTCATTCACCTGCCTAAGTCTCCTTCCTTAAATGTAGAATAGGGATAATGACTCTTAACTCGCATGTCATTAGAAGGTAAGAATTAGAATTAGAAAAAGGTACCCTTCTTCAAGACACTACTGTCATCTTCTAGCCCATGATGTGAACAGTGACCCCTAGGGCCATGTAGGATGCTCATTATCTATTGCATAAATGATAGCTGCTGCTATTATAATCATTATCATCATCTTGATGGAAAATGGCTCCAACTTGACCTTTTGGTGGGTTAGTTGGACCAGCCTGATTAATTCAGATTTCATCACAGAAGGGCAGTTCTAATCTGACCAGCTAGTATGTAATTGTGGCAACTGGTAGGGGTGAGCCGGGAGTCTTGTCTTCTTATTGGAGCTTTTTAGCATTTGGTGTCAAAAGCTGAAGGTCGTCAAAACATTGGCTCCCTCTAAATTATTGTGCTGCCAGAATAACTCCTACCACAGAGCAGATTGTCTCCAGCCATTGGAGATCAAAATAGAGCCTAATGGATTTAGGAAACAATCAATGCTCTCAGTGCTTCTAGAGACGTTTGTGGGTTGTAGCCCATAAAATATTAATTCTTTCTATTTGTCTTTAAGAATATATTTTATATGTTAATGCATTATTGAAAGATACTTATAATATTAAGTGACTTAAGACAAAAGCATTGAATGACCAAATTTCTTTTTCTTTGGGATATTCATGTAAAATATAAAGACAAAACCAAATACCACTGACTGCGCCAGCAGCCACGAATTGCCAGCCTTGGAATCCAACTGTACCCCTGTAAAATGAAATTGTCTTATTGGTGTTGATAGGTAAATAAATAACTTATGTATGGCATTTGGCATTTCCCACCTAATAAAATGTTTCACTGTTGGATTTACTGGGCACATTTATGAAATCACAACTGTGCAGCCAAGCTTTATTTGGCCTTAGACATTAGAGCGAGACAGGGATATGTCTGGATCTTCAATGTACAGAACGATGCAGTTGAAGGAGGAATGATCGCAAATCAAAGGAAGAAAGGGTAATCCAGAAGATGCAGGGAAAATTATTTAAGATGGACTCAGGATTCACCCACTCTGCAGGGAGCACTATGTATACATTTGCATTCTTCTGAGCGTGAGCATGTGGCATATTCCATACAAAAGCACACAAGATATGTTTCTCGGTATATTTCATGGAACACTAAATTCTAGAAGGAATAATTTCCTGCACTCCTTTGGGGCCACAGACCACTCTGAAAATTTAATTTAAATTGCAGTGCCACACTTAAGAAACATGTCACATTCACGTGCACACAAATTTCTCCCATCCAAGTACTAACCAGGCCCGACCCTGCTTAGCTTCTGAGATCAGACGAGATCGGGCGCATTCAGGGTGGTATGGTCGTAGACATGCATGCACACAAATTTCTTCATGTGATTTCTAAGGGTCCCTCATTCCCTACATAAGACATTGGACTCTGATCTAGTCCAGTAGTCTTATTTTTAACTCAAGAATGCTGAAGTCCAAAGGGGTAGTGGCCCACCCAGGGTCACACAGCTCCTGACACATCATCCTAAGGCCACCTCTCTAGATGGTAGGAGAAGGTGTTCTCTTAGCAATGTGCTGAGGAGCATGGACTCTGGAGCAAGACCACCTGGTTCAAATCTAGGTTTGCTACTTACTAGTGGCTTGACTTTGAACAAGTTACTTATGTTTCTGTGCCTAAATTTCCTCATGTGTAAAATAAGGATAACAATAGCACCCACTACATAGAGTCGTGGTGATTATAAATGGGCTGATACATGCAGAGCTCAGTGCTTTGAAACAGCGAACACTTTGTAAGTATTAGTTTCTATCACTATGTGTCTAGAGCAAGGTCCCCTGCTATATGCTTTTGTAGCTCTTTTTGTATATTTCCTTCACAGTCTGTATTTTTACCCCTTCATTGCACTTATAGTGTAATTTATATAGCTTTTGAAATTTTTTCATTTATTTGTTTGCTTATTTTTTATTTATTTGAGTGTAAATAGATACTGCTTTATCCCCAGTACCTGGAACAACCCCTCGCACATAGCAGGCAATCAATAGACATTTATTGGATAACAGAATGAATGCAGGAATGAATAGTCCTTATTATGATCTGTCCATGTATACTCTTGTGATTAAGTAGCATCTGTCTCCATGTGAGCATTGCTCACTGTAGTTACCTCTGTCTCTCAGCACAGCGCATGGCACATTGTGGGTTCTCAACAAATATTTGTGAACTGAATGTATGAGTAAGGAGCAGGAGAGAGTAAGAATAACAGAAAGAACATAGAGATAAGAGGGAAAAGGAGGAGAAAAAAGAATATTACTTAAGGTTCAACATTCATCCCTCATCCATTCATTACTAATGCAATCGGGAGTGGCGGTGAAGAGCCCAGACTCTAGAGCTGGGCGCAAACTCCAGCTCAGCCACTTATGTTGTGTGAATTTGGGGCAACTTATTTAACCTCTCTGTGATTCTGTTTCTACATCTGAAATATGGGTTGTTAAAAGGTGATGAGTTAATCTCTGCCAAGTGCTTAGAACAGTGACAGGCAAATAGGAAGCACCCAACAGATGTCAAATATAATAATCATTTATTTGTTAAACCAGCAGCCACTTATGAAGTATCTACCGTGTGCCAGGCCCTTGCTGGGTGCTTCAGATACATAGGAAAACCAATACACTTTTCTGGAGTGGAGGTCAGCATGCCCCAGGGGAGATAGCAAAGCATACCAACAATGATACTCTAGTGCAATAACAGGAGATGGCAAGGGGCATAGAACCGGCACTCTTGCCAGGTCTGGGTTCAAGGTAGGAAGACACGTGGAATTTCCCAGAGAAGGGGGCTTTGAACAAAAGCTGCAGGTTAGCCTAGCAAGAGGAATGGGAGGAAGAGCATTCCATGTAAAAGGAACAACTTGTTCAAAGATAGGGAGGCATGTAGCGGCACACGATGTGGGGATCAGCAGACAGAATGGGATGCCATTTGTTCATTTAATTCATTCTATCAATGTTCATTGAGAGGCAACAATGTGTATGGTAGGCACTGTTATGTGCACAGAGATAGTGCAGAGAACAAAACGGGCAAAGTCCTTGGTGTCATGAAGCCTCTGTTCTAGTGTGGGAAGGCAGTAAATAAACAGGCATGGATGTCAGGTGCCAGGTGGCTACAAGTATGTGCTATGGGGAAAAATAAAACAGAGGAAGGGATATCGAGTGTGGGGTTAGGGGAAGGGGTGTTATTTTAGATGGGGTGGCCATCTAAAATCAGGACTCTCTGATAAGTGACATTTGGCAGAGCCCAAGGGAAGTGAAGACTCCTTGCGTACGTGGCTCTTACGGGGACCATGGTCCATATAGAGAAACAGTCGTCTGCAAAGGCCACGAGGTAGTAGCAGACTGGGAAATGGTGAAGAGGTGAGTCTGAGGAGTGAGTGAGGGGACAGTGGGAGAAGGTCAGGCAAAGGTGGGGGCAGATTCTGTTGGCCTTGTGAAGATAAGGTGGAGGCCTTGAGTACAGGGTGCGAGACAGAGAGGTTGGGAGCCCAATTGCTCGGGGCCCTGGCATAATCTTTGCCAAGGGAGTGGGCTTTCTTCATGGAGGGGGAGATCATGGAAAGATTTTAATTGTGAACGATGTGATCACATTGTATTTGAGGTTGAGAGTTTCTTGGAGTTCACTGGAGTCAAGTGAGGTGCACCTGGGTCACTCAGATGAGAGAGGAGGAAGGCCTGAACTTGGCAAGGGAGCAGAGCTGAATGCACGTCAGGCTTCTTGCCTACTGGTGAGTTCTCCTCTCTCCAGCACCTCAGCAGTGCCTCACTGCGAATAAGCATCTCCTCCTGAATTGAGTTGTGGGTGGGAAAGATCAGAATTCATTGGCCTATGAGGCCAATAGTGAGAAATCAACCTTCAGCTTTCTGTGGATGCTTTTATAGATATAGTTTCTGCAGCTTTAACCCTAGGTTCTGAATAGTGAGTCTTTTTTTTTGAGTATGGTATACTGCATTGCAAATCAGATTATTTTTTAAAAAATTAATGGCATCTGTCATTTTAAAAAATTGTAAATGCGCCTCTGTGCCTGCTCTCAGAAAACACTAACTCTTAATTTTTATGCTAAATCGAGTGATCACAACCCAAGAGCTCAGCAATTTTGCACTTTAAACATTTACTCTGATTTATTTCCTTCCAATGAATTCATGATTAAATTTTAAACGCACACTCCTATTCAGCAGGGAATCATAGAACGGAGGGTAAAACAACTTTTTTTTCTTTTTTTAAGTGTTAATCTGGAAGGCCTGTCTGTCTGGTCTTCAAAGCCCCACTGCCAAGTGGCTGGTTGCCTTCCCTCCTCTCTCTGTGCTCTCTGTCTGGAGTTCCAGTTATACGAGGCAGTGTACAAGGACTGTGGACCAAGGACAGAGGCAAAAGGCAGCTAACTTTCATAAATATTTTGTCCCTGGTCCGTGGAAGACAGGAATTAGTATTAACTGTCCTAGAAAAGCCCAGAATCCTGATGCCCCTGAGCGTTCATGAATAAGAAAAGGAAAACTCATTCACAAGTACACGAAGGCTGCTGGTCTTAGACCCCACCAGGCATATGCTCTGCCAAGTGAGTGGGCTCTCTTCATGGATGGGGAGATCATGGAAAGGAACAAGATCATTATTTCCCCCAAACAAATAGGGAAGCAGATGTTTGGGAGGTGCCTGCCAGATATTGATTGTTTTTCACCCAAATTCTGACATTGGACTGGCTCCCTCCCCTTCTCCTTTCCCACCTGGGTCTCTCGTCTTCCCCTTCATGATAAATGATCCCTTCCTTTCTGTAGCAGTTGCTTCTGTTCTCCACTGAGTTCTTTCCGCAGTCAGGGCTGTATTTATCTGAATACGAAGGAGTAACATGAGGCTGCTGAAAGGTGTGTGTGTCCTGAGAATTCCTCCTTCTGTATACTGTTAGAAAACCATCCGTCTCCCTTGCATACTCATGAGGTGCTTGAAAACACCACTCTGTTGAAAGACAGTTTGACACAGTGAGATTCAGACAGGCCTAGATTGAAAGCAGTATTGTCACTTCCTGACTTTTACATTGGATTGAGTTATTAAATCTTTCCAGGTCTCAGTCCCATCTGTAAAATGGGATTGACAGTACTTGCTTTGTAATATCTGTGCATGTGCCCAGCACAGAGTGGGATCAGGGAACATGATTGTTCTCATTTTCTCTCTTCTTATTAGGCCTTTGAGTAAAAGCACTGGGTCTCCAAAAAGAGCCCTGTAAAAATGCCAAAGTGTTATCTAGGAGGGATGTCATAGTCATCGCCCATAATTATCTTGGTTTGGATTGCTAATTTGATAAACAAGACAGGGTCACTGGGACAGAGTAGCAGAAGCATGGCATTGGTCGGTGGGGAAGGGAGGGATAATGTAATTTGATGCTGGATACAAAGAAATAAATACCAAAAAAGAGCTATGAGGTGCCTGGTAGGTAGGGAGAGGTGAAACGTATTGTCTACTTCTGTGGTCAGCCCAGGCTGGCTTGGCTTTTGTATTCTCCCCCCAGGTTACAGCTGGCGGGAAACTTGTGCCACCTGGTAGCCTGCTAAGCTTGTGGGAGCACACACTGTGGACTCATCCTGAGTTTAAATCTGTGCATGGCCACCTACTGGCTAGGTAAGCTTGGACAGGTGGCTCTATTTTTTCTGACCCACAGTTTCCTCATCTGCTAAATGAGGGTCCTGTCTAATAGGACGTGGGAAGACTAAACAATACGAATGGGGAAGCACCGCGCAGAACGGCAAGATGCTAAGCAAACTGTGGAGGAGAGCGTTTTCCAGAAGAGGAAAAGGGAACATAGAAACAGCGGGTGACTTGGCCTAAAGTCATGGGGTAGACAGAGCCGAGGCCATGGCTGTCTCTCCTCCAGGCTGGGCTTCTCAGAAGCTTGCTGATACTTCTCTGGTATCCCTGCCCCGCCAATGAAGTTATACATTCCCTTGAGATGGGCTCATGTCCCCGGGAGGCTCTTCCTCTTTCCCCTCATCCAGCCTTCTTTTTTCTCAATTAACTAAGCTTTTTGTTCTCTTGGAATCTCTGTCGTCACCACTGGCTTATAGAGGATCTGGGCTTCCCTGCCCCATCTCCCTATAGCCAACAGGGTCTGCTTAGTTCCCGGCCCTTGAAACTCACCCATGAATGCAGCAGCATATATTCATGATAGTTTAAGGAAATTCCTTAATATCACCTCTTCTCCTGACTGCTCCTGATTCTCTCTCACCTCTCTGACTCCAAACTTCTGGGCCACACACCAAATGCCATGCCCACTTCTACTCCCCTATTTTGGGGTAACTTCCAAACTCCCTTTCAGGAATTGTGTTTGGGACCTGTATGGCTTTTAACTTTGTTAACTCATTTAATCTCTCCTTCCTGGTGCCAGATGGAGGCTCATTTGGATGGAGGCAGGGAGGAGATGGAGGTCCTGACCCTACTTGGCAGGATGTGTGTGTGGCCCACTTAGGACAGCTGCCTCCTGCCAGTGCAAAGATTCTTTCTCTGCATATTTACTCATTCATTTCATAAATAGTTTTGAGCATCTACTCCGTTTCAGGCATTTTGCAGGGTACTGGAAAGACCACAAACAAGGCAGCCCCTGCCTCTATGGAGTTAGAATCTAGAGGCAGGGACCAAGGCATCAGCAACACAGCTAAACAGAGCCGTGCTGAGAGAGGCTGACAAGCAGCACCGAATGCCAACTTAATGGTGGTCAGAAAAGACTTCCTGGAGGAAGCCGATCTCAGCTGAGACACAAAGGATGACATGTGCAAAGAGGATGGCATGTGCAAAGGCCTACAGATATAGCCCGAGGGTGGAATACAGGTGGGAGCAGAGTTAGGTGGTGTAAGCAGGTGCGAGAACATGGGAGGGTTTGTAAGCATGCGGAAGAGTTTGACGTTCACCAGTGGACAATGGGATTTGCATTTTGGAGATATCTCTGTGGCTGCTGTGTAGAGACTGGAGCCAGCCACTGAGGCCCTGTGGTCACAGGTGACTTCAGCCTTTGGGACTTGTATTCTTTAGAGAATTCCCCACCCACCCATAGCCCCCGCATGCCCCCCTTCCAACTTGCTACCTTAAAAAGCAATCGCCAGCCTTCTTTCCCTTCCACACTCGGCATTTTGTGTGTCCCGGGCTTTGTCCAATCAGCACTGTCTGGCTTAGCGGTGCTCCCGTTCTCCGGCTGGGGCATGATAATGCGTGTTGTCCTTTGTTTCATTGTTCAAATATGTGTCTGCGATGTGGTTGGGACTGATAAGTAAAGAAAATTGTGTAGCTTAACAGCAGACATTTCATGACCTCAGGAGCCCCCCAAGATGCGTACTCCCAGCAAATTGTCGGCAAGCCCATTTATCACCGTGCTGACCTGGGACTTTGTGCACATTTCCCTATGAAAACAGCCCAGTGCCGTCAGTTCCCATCTGCCCCAATGCCACTGTAATGAAGCGAGCTTTAACTAACCCTGGTACCCACTGAGCGGCCTCATCACAAATGGCTTTCGAGATGCAGACACCTGCACGTGGGGATGCATCCTCTTTCTAATGGTGGATTTGTGTGGACATCCAATACACATTGAAGCTTTATTTATTTTTGGCTTAGGTAATTGGAGAGCATTAATTATTTATATTCCATGTTGCAAGCAGGCAGGGAAAGGGCAGGAAAGGGGAGGCTGGGAGGGGAACAGCAGACCCATTGAGATCATGGAAAGGAGCTAAAATATTCTGAACCTTGGTTACATCTGAGTAATTGTGTGCAGTCACTCCAGATAATTTTTGCTAGAAATATTGTATGTGGTTTCCCATAAACTGTTTTGTGTCTGCATCAAGGCAAAATGAAAATGTATCATTGTTTGGGAATCCCCTTGGCAGTTCAGGTCCTGCTACCTCAAAACTCATTACCCTCCATCCTCACAACTTTAGTGACAAAAGCAAACTGCAATATACTTACGCCTGCCAGGTTCTGTGCTGAGATCACAGTAAATGTTGCACTCACTTGAACCTCGCAACAACCTTGTGAATTGTCTGTTGAATTATTATCCCTATTTTACAGATGAGAAAACTGAGGCTGAAAGAGATTAAGAATTCTGCCCAAGGTCACTGCCAGTGAACGGCAGAGCCAGAATTCGAGCCTGGGCCTGGCTGATGCAAACTTTACAGCCTCTTTTTTCTGGCGGGGTGGGGGGATGTTAATACTCCAAACTGAAGACAGCCCTCCTGCCCCCGAGAACTCGGGAGTCCCACTGGGGTTTTAAGCTGCATGGTAGGATCAGGATGGAGAAGTGGATAGAGTTCCCTCTTTCATACTTGGCTTTCTTCATGAGCTGTGAAGCTAAAGGTTACCCTGTTAATTAAATGGGGGGTGGGGAGAGGGGGGCTCTTGGAGGATCAGTGGCAAAGTGACTCCAATTACGTCCTTAATGAGTATGTTAAGCCATGTAAATCACATGTCTTTTTTTTCCCCTTTGGGAACATCAGCTTCCCTTGGTGAGCAAATCATTGGCCCACCCCATGTCAGCCAAGCCTTTGGGAAACTAGAAAGATGGTGGATTTATTCTGAAAATGCAAAAGTCTAAATGATGCTTGAGGGTTTAAAAAAGAGAAAGTAAGAAAGAAAAGAATGCTTTCCTCAATCACTGGTGTTTTATGTGATTTTCAGATTTAACAAAGCATGGAGACTAATTTAAGCATTGTTTTTCTGGTCTTTCATTAACAGAACTTGATTTCTTTTTGAACCTTCTCATCACTCCCAGTCACTCTCTAAGCACTCAGCCTTGCTCTTGGGTGGTGGGTGGAGTCCTGAAGCTCTCTCTTCTCCTTCCATCTCTTGGATTTAGATAGCTCTTGGCTGCTTGGAGGGGCCTTGGCAAGGTTGAGAGGGAAAGAAGGAATGCAGCACTAGAGGCCTGTCCTTTCTAAGTGGAATGGTGAAGGCTGTCAGCAGAAGGACTCCAAGACTGTCTGGTCTGAGCGGCCGTTCATTCCTTTGGCAAATATCCACAGAGCTCCCGTGATGCTGCAGGCACCATGCCCCAGGATTCACCTTCACTATTTAATTTAGTTCTCTCCAAAACTCTTGGAGGTGGACTTATGGCCCTGTCTCCATTCTAAAGATGAAGAAACTGAGACTCACAGAGGGTGGTTACTCACTTCAGGTCACACGAATCTTCTGTTGTAGAGCTGGTATTTGAACCCAGGTCTTGTTTGACACCAAAGTTTGAGATTTTTTAATCTACCCAGAGTTGGAGAGAAATGACTGAGCACTCTGGGCTGAGACAGGCGGCTCAGGATTCAGTGGGAAGAAGTGGGAGCCCTGGCCCAACTCGGGGCTAGGAACTTCTCTGGGACGCTCTCCTGGTCTACTGTAAACAGGAGACAGGACCCCACTAGGTGAGGCCCCAGGATGTCCACAGCTTCTCCCTGCCAATCCTTTGTGGAGCTGCTTTTCCACCCTACCCATTTCCTGCCCTGCTTCAGGGGGGCAGACAGAGGTGGTCCTCCCTGAGTAATGGGGACCTTTCTGAGAGCTATAGAACATGCAGAGGCAGCCTTAACTGCGTTATAAAGGTGGCAAACTTTTTGTTTCGCTTCCTCCTCTGGGCCCTTTCCTCCCTTTCATCTTCCCTTTCATATGGAATTTCATTCTGACTCTGCTGGTTTCCATCTAAGCCCTGCCTGATTATATATTCAACACACGCTTAAATAATGTTAAGTGTGCCCTGCACTATTCTAAGCACTTTACAAATATGAATTCATTTAATCTCCATACCAACTCTACTAAGTAGCAGTTATTATCTCTATTTTACAAATAAGGAAACCAAGGCATGGAGAGGCTAACTACCTTATCCAGGGTCACGCAGTCATTATCTGGCTAAGCTGGGATTTGAACCCAGGGGATTTGGCTCTAGCATCTGTACTCCTGGCCACTACATTGTGCTGATGCTTCTGATGACTCCTGTTATAGGATATTCTCATTTTTTTCTTTGTGTTAGAAAGAAAAGCATGTAAAACATAACTAATGAAGGTATAATAGATAGAATGACATGCCATAGGAGGTAGGGACTCTGTGTGTCCTTCATGACATTCATCCCTGCAGCCAGTGTTTCCAGGGATCATGGGGAAGAAGAAGGGCAGGCTGGTGTATATACTTGTTTGCAGTTTTGAGCCCCTATTCTCAAGGCTCAGCTTGGGTTCCAGGATCAATTGTTTATTTTTTGTTTGTTTGTTTGTTTGCCAATGAAGAGAATCATGGATGTGTGCACAGAGAGCAGCTTGACATCAAATCTTTCTTTAGCTAGTCTGAAATACAGGGAACCCATGTTGTTGGGGCTAGAGGGACCCTGGGACACCTCTGTTGCATGGGAAAGGCTCCCCTATCTCCCTTTTCTTTTGCATTCCTCCAGGGCATTGGCACAGCAATTGGCACACACGGGCATGCCAGTCACCTGGAGGCCTTTTTTAAACCCAGGTTGCTTGACCCCACCCCCAGAGTTTCTGATTCATTGCAGCTAGGTGAGTCCTGAGAATCTGCCGCAACAAGGTCCCAGGTGATGCTGCTGCTCTGGGGACTACCACTGCATTAGCAGCAGGAGGTACTTCAGTTCTGGACCACCTTGTCAGCTAATTTGACCTCCTGAAGCCATTGAAAGCCACTGGGTTGTGGGGAGTTTAAATGATCTTCTAAGTACACAGACTATGTTCTCTACACCCATGCCACCAATAGCATTTCCTTCCCCTTCTCACATGCGTTTAGGTGCTTTCTCCGTTATTACAAGACCCTGGAGACACAGAGGACCTGGAGTCATTTATTTATTGTGGCTGGAGTATCTTTCTTCCACCTCCTGTAAATCTCTTCTAGCTTTCCTTCATCTGGTTGTGTCCCATTTATTATTTATCAAGAGGCTGCTATCTCAATCTCAAGGTGCCCTGAGAATGTTCTAAGGGATAGGGATTGGGGAGAGGGTATGTGGAGATTTCCTTTCCACCTGGGTGAGGAGAGGGCCAGAGATGTGACTTAACCAAGAGCATAGCCAGCTGTTGGATCTGCCCTACTTGGTGCATCTTCATTTAGATAGCCAAGGGCTATCTAAATCCAAGAGATGGAAGGAGAAGAGAGAGCTTCAATTTGTGAAGCATCTTCACAACTGGCATCTCGTTTTGGTACATCCCCATGACCCCTGGAAACACTGGCTGCACTGGGGAGTAAATGTCCCCATTACTCAGGTGCATCTATGAAGCAGAAAGGGCATGCATTTGCTATCAAGATTGTAAAGATGAAGAAATTGAGGCTCAAAGTGGTGAAGTCATCTGCCCAAGGTCACACAGCTCATGCTATAGAGTAGAGCTTGGAAAGAAAACCAGGGGTCTTTCGAGCTAGCTGCAGGTGTTTTTTTCATATCCCAGTGGCACTGGCACACCAGAGAGACAGAACCATTCACTCCCCTGGAAAGGGAGCTGAAGCCAGGGAGACAAGTGGTCTAGCTCAGCAGCTCCCACCCCCACAGAGCCCAGCAAGCTAAAATCCACTGGCTTGAAATTCTTGCTGTCAGCATAGCAGTCTGAAGTTGACCTGGGATGCTCAAGCTTGGTGGGGGGAGGGGCATCTGCCATTACTGAGGTTTGAGTAGGCGGTTTTCCCCTCACAGTGTAAATAAAGCCCCGGGAAGTTCGAACTGGGTGGAGCCCACCACAGCTCAAAAAGCTGCTGTAGCCAGACTGCCTCTCTAGATTCCTCCTCTCTGGGCAGGGCATCTCTGAAAGAAAGGCAGCAACCCCAGTCAGGGGCTTATAGATAAAACTCCCATCTCCCTGGGACAGAGCACCTGGGGGAAGGGGCGGCTGTGGGCACAGTTTCAGCAGACTTAAACGTCTGCTGAAACGTCTCTCTGAAGAGAGCAGTGGATCTCCCAGCACAGCAATCGAGCTCTGCTAAGAGACAGACTGCCTTCTCAAGTGGGTCGCTGACCCCTGTGCCTCCTGACTGGGAGACACCTCCCAGCAGGGGTTTACAGACACCTCATACAAGAGAGCACCAGCTGGCATCTGGCGAGTGCCCCTCTCTGATGAAGCTTCCAAAGGAAGAAACAGGCAGCAATCTTTGCTGTTCTGCAGCCTCTGCTGGTGATACCCTGGCAAAGAGGGTCTGGAGTGGACCTCCAGCAAACTCCAGCAGACCTGCAGCAGAGGGGCCTGACCGTTAGAAGGCAAACTAACAAACAGAAAGGAATAGCATCAACATTAACAAAAAGGATGTCCACACAAAAACCCCATCTGAAGGTCACCAACATCAAAGACCAAAGGTGGATAAATCCATGAAGATGAGGAAAAACCAGCACAAAAAGGCTGAAAATTCCAAAAACCAGATGACCTCTTCCCCTACAAAGGATCACAACTCCTCACCAGCAAGGGAACAAAACTGGACGGAGAATGAGTTTGAAAAATTGACAGAAGTAGGCCTCAGAAGGTGGGTAATAACAAACTCCTTCCAGCTAAGGGAGCATGTTCTAACCCAATGCAAGGAAGCTAAGAACCTTGAAAAAAGGTTAGAGGAATTGGTAACGAGAATAACCAGTTTAGAAAGCATAAATGACCTGATGGAGCTGAAAAACACAGTACGAGAACTTCGTGAAGCATAAACAAGTATCAATACCCAAATCAATCAAGTGGAAGAAAGGATATCAGAGATTGAGGATCAACTTAATGAAATAAAGCATGAAGACAAGATTAGAGAAAAAAGAATGAAAAGGAATGAACAAATCCTCCAAGAAATATGGGACTATGTGAAAAGACCAAACCTACGTTTGATTGGTGTACCTGAAAGTGATGGGGAGAATGAAACCAAGTTGGTAAACACTCTTCAGGATATTATCCAGAAGAACTTCCACATCCTATCAAAACAGGCCAACGTTCAAATTCAGGAAATACAGAGAACACCACAAAGATACTCCTCGAGAAGAGCAACCCCAAAACACATAATCATCAAATCCACTAAGGTTGAAATGAAGGAAAAAATGTTAAGGGCAGCCAGAGAGAAAGGTCTGGTTACCCATAAAGGGAAGCCCATCAGACTAACTGCAGATCTCTCTGTAGAAACCCTACAAGCCAGAAGAGAGTGGGGGCCAATATTCAATATTTTTAAAGAAAAGAATTTTCAGCCCAGAATTTCATATCCAGCCAAACTAAGCCTCACAAGCGAAGGAGAAATAAAATCCATTAGAGACAAGCAAATGCTGATTTTACCACCACCAGGCCTGCTTTATAAGATTCTGAAGGAAGCACTAAATATGGAAAGGAAAAACCAATACCAGTCCCTGCAAAAACATACCAAATTGTAAAGACCATTGACACTATGAAGAAACTGCATCAACTAACAGGCAAAATAACCAGCTAGCATCATAATGACAGGATCAAATTCACACATAACAAGATTAACCTTAAATGTAAATGGGCTAAATGCCCCATTTAAAAGACACAGACTAGCAAATTGGATAGAGTGAAGACCCATCTATGTGCTGTATTCAGGAGACCCATCTCACATACAAAGAAACACATAGGCTCAAAATAAAGGGATGGAGGAATATTTACCAAGCAAATGGAAAGCAAAAACAAAAACCAAACAACCAACCAAACAAACAAAACGGGTTGCAATCCTAGTTCTCTGATAAAACAGACTTTAAACCAACAAAGATCAAAAAAGAGAAAGAAGGGCATTACATAATGGTAAAGGGATCAATGCAACAAGAAGAGCTAACTATCCTAAATATATATGCACCAAATACAGGATCACCCAGATTTATAAAGCAAGATCTTAGAGACCTACAAAGAGACTTAGACTTCTACACAATAATAGTGGGAGATTTTAACACCCCACTGTCAATATTAGACAGATCAATGAGACAGAAAATTAACAAGGATATGCAGGACTTGAACTCAGCTCTGGACCAAGCAGACCTAATAGACATTGACAGAACTCTCCACCCCAAATCAACAGAATATACCATCTTCTCAGCACCACATCTCACTTATTCTAAAACTGACCACATAATTGAAAGTAAAACACTCCTCAGCAAATGCAAAAGAATGGAAATCATAAAAGACAGTCTCTCAGATGACAGTGCGATCAAATTAGAACTCAGGATTAAGAAACTCAATCAAAACTGCACAACTACATGGAAACTGAACAACCTGCTCCTGAATGACTACTGGGTAAATAATGAAGTTAAGGCAGAAATAAATAAGTTATTTGAAACCAGTGAGAACAAAGACACAGTGTACTAGAATCTCTGGGATACAGCTAAAGCAGTGTTTAGAGGGAAATTTATAGTACTAAATGCCCACAGGAGAAAGCAGGAAGGATCTAAAATTGACACCCTAACATCATAATTAAAAGTACTAGTGAAACAAGAGCAAAAAAATTCAAAAACTAGCAGAAGACAAGAAATAACTAAGATCAGAGCAGAAATGAAGGAGATAGAGACACGAAAAACCCTTCAAAAAATCAATGAATCCAGAAGCTGGTTTTTTGAGAAGATTAACAAAGAGATAGACTGCTAGCCAGACTAATAAAAAAGAAAAGAGAGAAGAGTCAAATAGACACAATAAAAAATGGTAAAGGGGATATCACTACTGATCTTACAGAAATACAAACTACCATCAGAGAATACTATAAACACCTCTACGCAAATAAACTGGAAAATCTAGAAGAAATAGATAAATTCCTGAACACATACACCCTTCCAGGGTAAAGCAGGAAGAAGTCGAATCCCTGAATAGATCAATAACAAGTTCTGAAATTGAGGCAGTAATTAATAGCCTACCAACTAAAAAAAGCCCAGGACCCAACGGATTCACAGACAAATTCTACCAGAGGTACAAAGAGGAGTTGGTACCATTGTTTCTGAAACTATTCCAAACAGTAGAAAAAGAGGGAATCCTCCCTAACTCTTTTTATGAGACCAGCATCATCCTGATACCAAAACCTGGCAGAGACACAACAAAAAAAGAAAATTTCAGGCCAATATCCCTGATGAACATCGATGCAAAAATCCTCAATAAAATACTGGCAAATTGAATCCAGCAGCACATCGAAAAGCTAATCCACCATGATCGAGTTGGCTTCATCCCTGGGATACAAGCCTGGTTCAACATACACAAATCAATAAACATATTCCATTACATAAACAGAACCAATGACAAAAACCACATGATTATCTCAGTAGATGCAGAAAAGGCCTTCGATAAAATTCAACACCCCTTCATGCTAAAAACTCTCAATAAACCAAGTATTGATGGAACATAGCTCAAAATCAAAAGAGCTATTTATGACAAAACCACAACCAACATCATACTAAATGGGCAAAAGCTGGGAGCATTCCCTTCGAAAACCCACACAAGACAAGTATGCCCTCTCTCACGACTCCTATTCAACATATTATTGGAAGTTCTGGCCAGGGTAATCAGGCAAGAGAAAGAAATAAAGGGTATTCAAATAGAAAGAGAGGAAACCAAATTGTCTCTCTTTTCAGATGACATGATTGTATATTTAGAAAACCCCATTGTCTCAGCCCAAAATCTCCTTAAGCTGATAAGCAACTTCAGCAAAGTCTCAGGATACAAAATCAATGTGCAAAAATCACAAGCATTCCTATACACCAATAATAGACAAACAGAGAGCCAAATCATGAGTGAACTCCCATTCACAATTGCTACAAAGTGAATAAAATACCTAGGAATAAAACTTACAAGGTATGTGAAGGACCTCTTCAAGGAGAACTACAAAGCACTGCTCAAGGAAATAAGAGAGGACACAACCAAATGGAAAAACATTCCATGCTCATGGATAGGAAGAATCAATATTGTTAAAATGGCCATACTGCCCAAAGTAATTTATAGACTTTATGCTATCCCCATCAAGCTACCATTGACTTTCTTCACAGAATTAGAAAAAAACTACTTTAAATTTCATAAGGAACCAAAAAAGAGCCCGTACAGCCAAGACAATCCTAAGCAAAAAGAACAAAGCTGGAGGCATCACATTACCTGACTTCAAACTATATTACAAGGCTACAATAACCGAAACAGCAAGGTACTGGGACCAAACAGATATATAGACCAATGGAACAGAACAGAGGCCTCAGAAATAGTGCCACACATCTACAACCACCTGATCTTTGACAAACCTGACAAAAACAAGCAATGGGGAAAGGATTCCCTATTTAATAAATGGTGTTGGGAAAACTGGCTAGCCATATGCAGAAAACTGAAACTGTACCGCTTCCTTACACCTTATACAAACATTAACTCAAGGTGGATTAAAGACTTAAACGTAAGATCTAAAACCATAAAAACTCTGGAAGAAAACCTAGGCAATACCATTCAGGATGTAGGCGTGGGCAAAGACTTCATGACTAAAACAGCAAAAGCAATGGCAAGAAAAGCCACAATTGACCAATGGGATCTAATTAAACTAAAGAGCTTCTGCACAGCAAAAGGAACTATCATCAGAATGAACAGGCAACCTACAGAATGGGAGAAAATTTTTGCGATCTATCCGTCTGACAAAGGGCTAGTGTCCAGAATCTATAAGGAACTTCAACAAATTTACCAGAAAAAAACACAACCCCATCAAAAAGTGGGCAAAGGATATGAACAGACACTTCTCAAAAGAAGACATTTATGTGGCCAAAAAACACATGGAAAAAAGCTCATCATCACTGATAATTAGAGAAATGCAAATCAAAATCACAATGAGATACCATCCCATGCCAATTGGAATTGTGATCATTAAAGAGTCAGGAAACAACAGATGCTGGAGAGGATGTGGAGAAATAGGAACACTTTTACACTGTTGGTGGGATTGTAAATTAGTTCAATCATTATGGAAGGCAGTGCGGTGATTCCTCAAGGATCTAGAACAAGAAATACCATCTGATCCAACAATCCCATTACTGGGTATATACCCAAAGGATTGTAAATCATTCTACTATAAAGACACATGCACACGCATGTTTATTGCAGCACTATTCACAATAGCAAAGACTTGGAAATAGCAAAGACTTGGAACCAACCCAAATGCCGACTGGATAAAGACAACGTGACACATATACACCATGGAATACTGGGTAAATAATGGAACACTATGCAGCCATAAAAAAGGATGAGTTCATGTCCTTTTCAGGGACATGGATGAAGCTGGAAACCATCATTCTTGGTAAACTAACACAGGAGCAAAAAACCAAACACCACATGTTCTCACTTATAGTGGGAGTCGAAAAACGAGAACACATGGACCTGGGGAGGGGAATATCACACACTGGGGCCTGTCAGGGGATGGGCGTCTAGGGGAGGGATAGCATTAACAGAAATACCTAATGTAGATGATGGGTTGATGGGTCCAGCAAACCATCATGGCATGTGTATACCTATGTAACAAACCTGCATGTTCTGCACATGTATCTCAGAACTCAAATTATGAAAAACAACAAAACAAAAGGGTGTCTTCTCTATGACTTTCTGACTTTCTGGCATCAAGATAGTACAAGCAAACAGTCTATCACTCAATCAACCTCTCAATCTGTCAGTGTTCATTGAGAGCCTCCTATTTGACAGGCTGAATGATAGGGGCTGAGAGTGAGCTATGAACAAGTTCTACATTGCATCTGCTTTCAGGAAACCTACAGTCTAGGAGGGAGGCTAGACACTGAGAGAAGAATTACTAAATGGGATGAGCATTTCCAGAGGGGAACATGCAGGTGGTGTGAGGCTTACAGCCCAGAGATGCCTTCTCACCTTGGGCTTGGATGAGTGTTCACTGAAAACATGTTTTCTAAGCTGAAACTCTTATTCAAGGATGAACAGAATTTGGGAGATGAAGGACAGGGAAAAGGCATTCCAGACAGAGCGATCAGCATGTGTAATCACATCTTACCAGCATATGATGGTAGGAGAGCGTAGGGGCACATTTAAGGAACTGAAAGACCTGTGGATCTGAAGCAAAATAAGCCAAGGGGAGAATGGATTGAGACGGGGTTGGAAAAAGAGGCAGCAGCCAGATCATAGAAGGTTTGGCAGATGATCAAAATGGCTTGGGGCATTTTTCTAAGGGTCGTCCAAAGCCATTGAAGGGCTTGTGGTGGTGGGGTGTTGTGATCAGAGTTGCATCTGCTATATAGCTGGGTGGCCAGAGTGGAGTCAGGGAGACCGGTTAGGCTATAGTGGGAGTCCAGGTAGGAGGATGATGGGCTCATCTCTGGTAGTGGCAGTAAGGAGTGATAGCAGGGCATGGATTCCAGACATAGATGACCTGTAGGCTTAGTTAAGGGTATTTGGGAGGTAAGGGAGGAGGCAAGGATAACAGTAGTGAGTGCAGTAATAGGGACTCAAGGAGGGTATACAGACCTGTATATATGTGATGAGATGTATGCCTTGAGTCTGGGAGCTGAGCCCTGGAGATTCAAGGGTCAGTGGCACTGGGGGGCTGGCACTGTGCTGGAGTTTGGGTGCCTTCCCTTTCTTTCATGGCCCCTGCCTGCAAGTAGCTCACCTTCTATGAACTGTATTTTGCTCATCTTTGTTGTTGAAATGCTGTTTCACAATTATTTGCTCTTTCAAAAACATGTGACTTTCTTACTATCTTTAGAGGAGAGGCACTGCAGGTGAGCCTCATCAAAAGCACTTGCAGAAATCCATCATGAGCCAATTAGAAAACTTAGGAAACATGTCTGATATGGAGGAATCTCATGAATATGATTCTCCTGGCAATGCAGGCAGAACTTTTTTCCAGCAGCGTGCATACCTCAGGACAGCTGAGGAGGAGGTTGCTGCAGCAATCGACTGCTCCTCCCTTTCTGCGCTTTGCTTGGCATGAGAAAGGAACCGTGGCAGGTGGGGCTTCGAGACCCGCTTCTCAGTCTGATGTGAAGACGTGGGGAATGATAGAAATGCATATTCCAAATTCTTTTCATTTCCTTGTAGACAGGATTGAGCAAGGATCTTCCATTTGTTTACACACTTGGTGAGTGAGTAAACCACTCACACGCTTAGAAACAAACCAGTCCACCATAATGAAACTGGAAGGAACATCAGAGATCCTGCAGTTCAACAGATGCTTCTGAGAAATGGAGAAGAAGTGAATTAAGAGTCAGTTTAAACTCAGTGAAAGGAAACTGAACTGGAATCAGAAGAAGGTAGGCCTGAAGTTTGCGTCGGGTACATACTTGGAAAGTTATGTAAGCTCTTGAGAATAATTCCTTCCTTGCCTGCCTTTGGCAGTTTGCTGTGAGGGTGAGATGAACGAATGAGCAAAGCCCTGGGTCAGGGCTTTGTAAATAGCAGTGGCAGTTCTTTCCTAATGGCATTGCATCAGTAGCTGGAGAGCAAGCAGTAAGGTGAGGTCCTCTGAGTCAGTCTACTACGCCCACGTTACTGTCTTTAAAAGTTACATTGACCTATGGGCGGTTGTGTTTTTCCCATGTCACTGTCTTTAGAAGTGATGTTGACCTATGGACTGTTGTGTTTCTCCCATGTCACTGTCTTTAGTAGTGACGTTAGCCTATGGGCTGTTGTGCAGTTTGGAAAAAAACAAAATATGGGTGACTTATATGCACACTAGAATGGCTAATTAAAAAGATAAAAAAATGCCAGGTGTTGGCAAGGATATGGAACAACTGAAAGTTGCACACACTGTTGGTGGGAGTGAAAATTGGTGTGACTGATATGAAAAACTGTCAGTATCCACTAACCTAAACATGTCTGTATACTATGACTGAGTTATTCCATTCCTAGGTACACACCCAAAAGAAATGAAGGCAAAAGTAATCTGCTAGAATGTTCATAGCAACATTACTTAGCCAAAATCTGAGTAGTATTCATATACTCATTAAAGATAGAATGAAGTCTGTTTATACAGTGGACTACTACACATCAATGAGAACAAACTAAGCTACATGCAACAGTATGGATCAATCTTGCAGACATAATGTTGAACAAAAGAAGCCAGACACAAGACTCCATACGTACGATTTCACTTCTATAAAGTTCCAAATAGGCAAAACCAATATCAGGTATTAGGTATTAAGATAATGTTTACCCTTGGAGCAAGAGCGTGACCATAATAGAATGGAGCATGAGGGGGCTTCTAGGATGAAGTTGATGTTTTATTTCTTTTTCTGGGTGCAGTTCAGTATTTGAAAATTCATTGAGCTGTACACTTATGAATTATGCATTGTCCTGTCTTCTGTTATGCTTCAATTAAAAGCTAAGCTAACAAGGAAAACAAAACAGAACTCAAGGGTGACCTCCACGGTGCATGGCAGGGTGCTAGGTGGGCCTGCCCTCCTCCCCACAGCCTGCCATAACTAGATCTCTGAGGATGTTGCTGCCTCTGAAGGTGTTAAGCAGCTGCTCTCTCTAGCCTTGTACTGTGGGACGCCTGGCCTTGGCTTTGATGCTGTGGCTGCTGGTGGAGGGGTCATAGTCGATGGACCTGCCTTTCCCTTCTCTCCATCTCTTCATGTTCACCTGCCCCAAGCCCTCCAGCCCTCTCAGCTGCATCCCAAATGGAAGCCATGCTTCCCTGGGTCCTCAGAGCTCAACTCTGCCTCCTTTGCCCACCTGCTGCAGTCCAGGTTCCCATCACACAGCTGCCTCTGTACTAGCCCAGCATCCATCACAGAGGACCAGAGTGCGCAGCTGGAAGATGACCTGGCTCTAAGGCGTGCATGCTCACATGTGTCCATGCTGGGGGAAGGGCCGAGACTCACAGAGCATTTCCTAACAGAAGGCTCACATGCTCCAAGGTGTCACTTGGATGAACAGTTTATAATTTAATTGTTATCAATTTATTTTGTTGCATATAAGGAAGGAATATAATCAGTGCACTAAACCCTTGATATTATGTATATTATTGCTTAGGAGGATATTAACTTTTTAAAAATTAGTTGATTTAAATTTGATCTAAAGACAAACATTAAGTATTAGCATATGTGATATGAGGATATGGCAAAAATCATGGAGGTGGAAATTTGGAAAACTGAGGCTGGAAATGGTGGGAGAAACAACATAATGATTCTAATTCCTAACACTGATGACTTGAGAGCCCATGAAGTGCCTTAAGAGAGAGGCTTTTTTTTTTTTTTTTTTTTTTTGCCCAAGCATGAGAAGTTAAGATAATGACCATGACCATTAACCCTTATTACAAATGAAGGAGCAGAGCCCCTGAGGGGCAGTGGTGAGAATACAGGGCTTCAAAGCCAGGCCAGCCTGGAATCACATCCTGACTCCTCATTTTCTTGCTGTGTGACACTGTACAAGTCACCTAGTGTCTCTGAGCAACAGGTTTCTTACCTGTAACGAAAAGCTTTATACCTGCATCATGGGGTTGTTATAAGGCTTAGAAGAGATGTTCAAGCCCAAGAGCCTGTCAGTCTCCTACCCTAGAGAGAGGAGGGGACTTGCATAAGGTCACACACAGAGGCAGATCCAGGCCTGCAACTCAAGACTCACTGCTCCTAGCCCATGCTCTTTCTCTGAGGAGCCATCCCTCATGCTGCTCTGTGAGTCCTTGTTCCAGTGACACAGTGCCAGTCTGGGGGGCGGGGAGCGGGTGGAAATCACGCCTTGGTACGTGGTGGTTTACTCTCATCTCTGCTGGGCTGATCCAGCTGCTGATGGTGAGAGAACCAGTGCTTTTAAGAGGCCTTCATGCGTGATCCCATGGAACAGTGAGTTCAGTCTGGCCAGCCTCATAGGCTGCCAGCCAGTAGGGAGACCCCCACGGCCCTGAAGAGCAATTAGGGGCTGAAAGAAAGGGAAGGAATGCCTCTGTGACGCCAAACCCAGCAGAGCGTGGCTGGTCTGCACAGGATTGTGGGTTGGGTAGGAGCTGGAGAGCCTGATTCCTGTCCCAACAGGAAGCCGCCCATAAGGCCCTTCTGCGGCTGAGCATACAGGAGAGGCCTCTCTCTCTCTGTTGTTCTGCGCACTGGCCAGAAACTGCTAGGTCTGGAGTCCAGCCTGTTCTGCATGGCAACAATTACACAGAAGATTACATTGGAATCGTCTGGCCTTGTAGGAATTACCCAGATAGTTACAGTGCCTGTGAAAGTCTTCCCTTTCATTCCTGTTCTCTCCATCACTCTTTCTTCCTATGCCTGCTCTTTCTCTCCATCCCTCTCCCCTTCTGCCATTCATTGATCCATTGATTCAAGAGGCATGTGGCACATCAGGGGCTTGAGGCAGACAGGCCTGAGTGTGAGCTTGTCTTCTCCTTTTAATATCAGGTGGATGAGACTTCCTCTCTCTTGGCCATTGTTGTAAATCTAAAAGAGTCAAAAACTGTGGTCAAGTTACTTAACCCTTGTGAGCCTCAGTTTTCCTATCTGTGATTTCAACTGTTTCACAAGGTTATAATATTTAAATTATAATATATGCAGGATATTTACCTCAGTGCCTGACACACAGTAAATACTCATTTGTATTTTTTAAAAGATGGGATATAGGCAACTTCATATGGTTTATCCATTATTTTGGTAGCTTCAGCAAAGCTGCCATACCAAATCTCTTTGAGCTTTTGTATCTTTAACCTTTATACAGTGACAGTGTCTACCTTATAGAGCTGTTGTATAGATTAAATGAGCTAATATGTGTAAAGTGCTACTGGTAAGCACCCAACCACTGGTGGCTATTTTTGTTCATTCATTCATTCTACAGATGGTCATGGACTAAGAACCGTGTGCTAGGCCATGTGTGAGGTGCTGGGAGTAGAGAGATGGGTCAAAAAGCTCTCACCTTCAAAAATTTACTGTCCTGTAGGGTTCAGAGGTAAGAGGCTTGAGAATATTCTGTTATGGGGAAAGCAGTGAAGCTTCCAAACTGCTGGACTGAAACTTAGCATCTTAAGTGGGGAGAGCATTTATTGAGCATCTACTCTGTACCATGTACAACACACATGTTATTTCATTGAGCTCTTGACATTCCTCTAAGGCAAGTACGATGTGAGGAAACAGTGGCTCAGAGATTGAAAGTGGCTTGCCAATGTCTATCTAACTGGGTTTCATTATCTTTTACTCTACACAGCTACTTCAGGGAGCAGAGAGGTAGAAATCAGATTGATCTGACTGTCAGGAGTTTCTTCTCACTGAGTCACCCATGAGTTGGTAGAGATATTTGGGGCCAGGGGAGACTTCTGACAGGTTTAGCCTTTTTGCTTGGGACGGGCCATCTGTGATTGAGAAATAACTAGGAAGTTCTCTAGGAGCTGAGGCATGAGCTGAGAATCGTAGAATAATAGTATGAAATCTCTTTAGATCCAAGCCCACTCCCCAAAGATGACATGTTAATGAAGGATCCCAGAAAACCACAGGGTCCCCATTTCCTTTGAAAGGGAGTGAACTGAAATGGAGTTGTATGCTGCACTGTGATAAACTAATGCTCTTAGAATTTTAGCTATTCTTTGTATGAGCTGCTTTGGCAGGGAAATTAGATATGCGGAATTTTGAGCTCTGGCCTTATTCAATTTTTAATTAATTTTTGTGTAATAAGCTGTAAGCACATTAATATCAATGAGATACTTTCTGCACGGTGGCTAATATACAGCTTTAAGGAGCCATGGGTATTGTTTTCCCCTTTATTTGTGTTGAATAAAGATTACTAGTTCTCTAAGTATTATTTGCTGCTTCCTAGAGGCATGGGGAGGCTGTAAGAGAGGAATTAAATATTTCCAGAAGGTTGGGCTGAAATGCTGTCAGAGATATTTCTTTGAGGGCCAAGAGAAGAGCACTATGTGTGGCATTCATCAAAGATTTGACTGTCGAAATTAAAGGTTCCTCCACATTCTAAGAAGCGGTCAAATTAGGGATCTATAGCAAATAAGCCATAGAATTTGGAATAGGATTAGTTCAGTGTTTTTTTGTTTGTTTGTTTGTTTCGAGACGGAGTCTTGCTGTCTTCTAGGCTGGAATGCAGTGGCGCAATCTCAGCTCACTGCAACCTCCACCTCCTGGGTTCAAGTGATTCTCCTGCCTCAGCCTCCTGAGTATCTGGGATTATAGGTGCCTGCCACACGTCTGGCTATTTTTTTTTGTATTTTTAGCAGAGATAGGGTTTCGCCATGTTGGCCAGGCTGGTTTCTAACTCCTGACCTCAAGTGATCCGCCCACCTCAGCCTCCCAAAGCGCTAGGATTACAGGCATAAGCCACCGTGCCCGGCCTTAGTTTGGTGTTTTTATAAGAAGATCTAAGCAAGAATTTAAAAATAAAAATATTTAAAGTATTTAGGTTAAATTGGAGTAATTTTGCTATGTCCCCATAATATGTTGATATTATGGGAATTCATTTATTCTTCCATTCAGTCAGTCATTCTATGGTAACCTGGGCATATACTATGCTTGAGGCATTTTACTAAGCATTATTTAGTACACATTTGTGGAATACAACCTTGTGTTTATAAGACTACGGGCTATTATGGAATAATAAGGCAAAGTGGCAAGGCTCATTATAGAGGTGCAAATTAATGCTGGAATAGTTCAGTGAAGAGATTGTTTATAGAAAAAGGTTAAGAAAGTGACTTTTGAACTGGACCTTTAAGGATGAATAGAATTGAGTCTCATGCAGAAGGAAAGAAATGTTATTCTTGGAGAAGAGCAGAGCCAATCCATATCTAAGAAGAGTGTAGATAGAGTCACCAAATCCAAGGACAATGACAAACATGCTTTACCATGGACATTGATCATGCTCTTCCCTTCTTCATGAATGCCTTTTCCTTCTTCCAGCTGGATAGGTACTCTGTGCCCTGCTAGTCTCTCTTTCATTCCATCCAGAGACAGCCTGCACTAATTCAACTGGCTTGTCTTACATGCGTGGGAACTGAGACCTAGAGAATTAGAGGGGCATGTAGCCAGTGGTTACAGTCTGGACTAGAACCATATTCTCTGTTTATTTTACGTGGTCCTGCCCCATTATGTCACAGAATAGTGGCCAAGAAACATTATACAATGGAAAGGTTCAGTGCAACTTCCATTAAATACTAAATTTGGGGACAGGGATGATTCTGGATAATGGAGGATTATCCAGAAAACCATTATGGTTTTAACCCTTCTTAGTTCTGATCTCTTTTTCACACGTGAATAGGTAGAATATAAGACTCATATTAAATCCCTTTTTGGTTATTGAGGATGTTAAAGGATCCCAGGCCTGTAATTCTGAACATCAATTCCCAAGGCTCTTTATTATTGATGTCAAGACCCATATATCTACTAAAAGTTATCATCCAAAGCCCTGAGGTGAGATTGTTTTCTTATCTTTTGCCTTGTTTCAATGACACAGAGAAAGAGGGAAGTAGATGGTATTTGAGTTACTGAGAGTTCTGATTTAGCAAGATATTATGGGATATTTCCTGAAGTTGCGCTGTTTCAGAGAAATGCACCATTTGGACAACTCTAGCTCAGTGATTCTGAGTTGTGGTGAAAGGAGACATGAGTTTGGGATTGGAGAGATTCTGGGAATGTGGGTCTCAGCAAAATTTGACAGCTTCCTGCCTGGCCTCTCCAGTGCTCCTAGCGTCTCAAGAAACCAGCTTGCCTCACAGCTCTAGATGTAAAGTGTTGTTTCTTCCCCAAAGAAGGGGTCAGATGGGTCCCAGGGAGTTTCCAGGATGGGGAAGTGCGGCTGGCAGTCTCCAGAGGAATCCAGCTTCCCCAGGGCATTTAATGGCTTTCTTCCTCATCCCTCTTCTCTGAAAATTTCTGCCATCACAACCTGATACTCCTTGAAGGACTCCATGAAGAAATAAACCAGGGATGCTCCTTGGTTACAGAAAAAAAATATTCGCCTTTTTGCTCTAGTCCCTAATTTACAAAGATATTCCCTTGCCAAGCACAACAACATCTACCCACAGTGGTTCTACTAACAAGGAGGGACTGGTCAGCAGGAATCCTAGTCTCTCATAGGAAACTTGCCAAGAGAGGAATATGTTTTGGGGTTCAGGGAGAGGGAAACCAAATAGGCCATAGCCATTGAGAACCTCTTTTCAGGCTTAGAGTAAACAGTCCCATCAATTTTTTTTTTTTAGTTGGGGGGCGGGGTTGTCATCAATTTATTGACTCCTCCCACAACTGCTGTTTTGGCAGGAAAATTTATGTCTCTCTTGAGGACCTATCTGACTCTCAGCCCTACCACACTACCCAGGAACCTAATGATTTATGCAGTGTGAAGAATCTTCATACTTTCTCCTCTCATCAGAGGGAGCAATGGCATTTGATGAGTTCAGTGCTGCTATTTGCTTCACACAGAGCATCCATTTAAGACTGGTCTTGGCACCTCTCTCACTGGAGAAGAGTATTAAAGAAAAACACAAATTAAATCCCTGGCATGGCACCCTGCTACAGTGTGACTGAGACTTCTTAGCAGCTGACCGGGACACTCTTAGCCTCCAGATTTCCTTTGACTCAATCAATGAAAAACGACCCATATCAAAATAAGCTTTTCCTCCAAGGGAACCCAAGCTGTGGCTCCTTTGTTCAGTCCCCTCTGCACACATCTGTCAAAGAAATCAAGTCATGTGGCTACTCTGAGTCTCTTTCCTCCCCTGCAGAAAGAGGATGGCAATACTCTCACACTTGACGTGGGCTATAAATGAGATAATGCATATAAAGCTCTATGCAGCTCCTGGCGCACAGCAGGCTTGCAATTGTGCTGGTCCTTCTTCCTTCTGCTTCCCTTTCTTTCTTTTAATAAGAAATAGAAGAGCACATGCAGCTAGGATTACTGAGGAGACACCTGTTATTTTTAACCTGAACCTTTGCCTAGTTATAGGAGGGCAGCATGTTAAGTGTCAAATAGAACCCAGAAAAAATTCTCACTTTCATCTTCAGAATCCAGGTAGAAAACTCCCAAGGGAATCCAGCCTTTGGGACACATGACTTGAAGTCAAATGGCTTCCTGGCTGTGGCACAAATAGTTGTTGTTGTTGTTTTTAATTTCTGGGATGGGGGTCAAGGCGGGGCGGAATTGCAATCTCCCACAGCCATGCCAACAGTGTATTATGAAGATTTAGGGTATTTACCATTCTAACATGTGAAAAATGGCATTTTGATGTGATTTTACTTTTTATTTTTTAAATTATGAGTGAAGCCGAATATCTTCCGTACTCAAAAGCCACTTGTATTTCACTGTCTGTGATCTGTCAGTTCATTGCCTACAGTTGTTTCTTATTGGGTTGTTGATCATGTACTTATTGATTTCTTAAACTTTTTATATATTGGAGAGCTAATCCCTTTCTGATATGAGTTTGAATCTGCATCCCCCCGCTAGTTTGTTTTTTGTGTTTTTGATTGTGTTTGGGGTATTTTTTTTAATGTAGCCAAATCAATCATTCCCTTTAGAACTTCCGGATTCTGGGTCCAAATTAGAAAGAACTTCTTTACCCTGAGGTTGTAAAAGGATTCTCCAATGATTTCTTCTGCTATTATAATGGGTTTTACAAATACGTTTAAATCTTTGAGATCTTTCATGTTTTTAAGAAAACCCAGAAGTCAGGGTTTTTTTTGTTGCTGTTGTTAAATATCCCAATTTTTAATATTGGCAACGAATTTAAAACACACATACACGCATACCATTTCCCAATTTGTTTAAAAGCCTCTGCCCTTTGTCTGTCAGTGTCTGTGGCTTGGAAGGGGTAGCCTAGTGGCTTATCTCAGTACTGGGCTTTGAGAGACACTGGAAATTTTGCCAGCTGCAAAGTGGGGCTGAACCAATTAATGTGGGGCCTCACTGAGAATTAGCTCCTTGACGCATTCAAGCTAGTGTACCTTCTTGGCTGCATTTAATTGGTTTCGCATCCAAAGAGGTAAGTGCTTATCCCTGCTATTACTTACACTGAATTCAGATTTGGATTACCCGAGTTAGGATAAATGCAGCTTGTGTTCTTCCTTCTAAGTCTTTTGAGATCACTGGTCAATGGTGATACTTGAATGCGAAATTTAATACCTTGAGCAGGAATTAAACCTTGAGCTCTATTTGTTTTGCTCTCTTTGGGGAAGTACCTTAGCAGTCATCTTTCCTCTATGCCACCTAGTCATCTTCCTGTCATAAAAATTTCTAAGCAGAGAATCAGGGTGGGAAGAGAAGGGCTGATCAGTAGGACTGACTGTTAACTTGTGAAATGAGCAGAGGTGTACAAGCTGATTGTGGGAAACTTCTTTCCCATGTGATTCTTTCTTCATCCATATCAGGAAAGCTGTTGCCTAAGAACCTTGACGTGTGTGCATTATGATAATGTACTTGGAGGCAAAGGTAAGGTTAGAAACGCCTTCCTGCTAGCTCCACTACACAGCCAAGGAATTCAAAACTGGGTACCTCTAAAACAGAGAGGTCACCTGGGGAGAAGGGGAATGGGGAAGACCCTAAATGGACCTCCATCCTTTTCTACCCGATTGCACAAGCTGATTAAGCCCTCTGTGAAGCCTTTCTAGAATCCCCCAGGTGCACTCAGAGTCTTCTGCTTCTCTTGCCAGATTGGGAGCTCAGTGAGTCCAGAGGTGGTGGTTTCCAGGTGTGTATCCAGCTCTAATCATAGTTCCTGGAGCAGGGCTGGTACTCTGTGAATTGAAAACTTGTGCCAATGCATTTATTTACTGGGCACTTCTTGGCACGGCCAAGGGGGCCAGGACCAAGTCTAAAGGTCTCCAGTCACTTTTCAGTTAACCAATCAATAAAGCCTCACTGGGCTATTACGGGAGTGTCCATACACTTCATAGAAGAAAAAAGACTGGCCTGGGGGTCAGGAGATTTTGGTCTCAATGTTGATTCTGCCAGTTACCCAGTGAGTGACCTTCGGCAGTAGGACTCCAGTCTCTCTGAACCTCAGTTTCATCTTCTCTAATAGGAGGAAGTTAGACCACATCTCTCCACAGTCTCTTCATCTCTGCTGTTCTTCAAGTCTGTTGGTTTAAGGTTGCAGGGAGGGGCCTCTGCTCAGTGATGGCAAATAGAGGAAGAAGGGAGCACTGTTGGCTGGGCACTCCCAAGTGCTGGACACTTTAAAGATTGACATAACATTTTCATTTTAGTTCTCAAAACACTTCTAGGAGGTGGGCATTTTGCTCTCCATTTGACAGATGATGAAGAATCTAAGGTTTGGGAAGATTAAGTCCTGAGACCGTGCAACCAGTTTGCTGAGTGGCCTGAAGTCAGCAGGATTTCATCAGGAAAACACATTGTCTTTTCCCACCAGGGCCTCCAAACTCACTTCCCTGTCACTTGGAGAAACATCATTTCCAGTCCCTTTTAGCTATTAGAAAAAAAGTGGCAGCAGCCTCATCTTGAGTAATTAGAAAGTCTAGCCCAATATAAATGGAAACTTCAATTTCACATTCAGTTTACAAACTTTATCCCTCTCATCAGCTCAAACCTGGTCTAGAGTTCAGGGAGCAATGGTGGGCATGAGGAGACCCTGGCTGTCCTTTCACTCTTCAGTTCCACTTCTTACCCACCTGTCCCCTTACCCCCACCCCTCTCAGTTCTGGCTCCCTAGGGCAGAGCAAGGGAAGGAAGGAATGGGGCAGAGGCCTCTTCATGCAGCTGATGCTCTTTGCACTTTTCGCTTGGCCATCCAATCACCTTTGCTGGGGCAGTTTCCTAGAGTCAGCTCTTCCATGGAGTATGTGGCAGGCTTTCTGAGAGCCTCGGCATGTGGTCTCTGCCCCTAAAGCTGACCCGTTTGGTGTCTTCTCCCCTTCTTCAGTCCCCTCTCGCATAGCCTCCTCAGGCTGGGTCCTCTTGAGACAGTTCAAACCCAGCGACCCTCACTGGCATTCCCTGTCCCATAAGTACAGTGCACCCTTGCCCTGCGAGGAGGGGAGTGAGCAGCAAGCCTAGCTGCTGACGCCATCCCCTCACCTGGCTATCACGGCAGCTTCAGCTCATGGGCAGCAATGTTTATTTTACACACACTTTCAAACACCTGGAGACAGAGCAAGTTCTCAAGAACTTTCTCACTTTGGCCTGCTTCACTAACACCAGGGAGTTGTTTTTGCAAGTTTCTGGAGCTCTGCACACATCCAGTTAAGAAGATATGATGCCAGTCTCCCCTGCCGTGTGGATCAGTTGACAGTTGAGGGTAGAGAGCATCACTTTTCTTTGTCCCCTCCAATTCATCTACAGATGTCCGTGGAAAGGTCCGCTCCTCAGAGAAGCTCCAGCCTCCTCTGACACAGCCTCTTACCCAGGGAGGGTGTTTCCAGGCTAGCTTTGCCATCTTCCAGTAAGTGCTGCAAGTGTGTCAAGCAGCCCTCTAGAACATGGGCTACTTGCCACCAATTATCTTTAGCCTGAGGCTTTAGCCAAGATTCAGACACAATAGAAAAAAACTCCCTTCATGGCCTGCTAAACCTTTATAATGTAAATCTGCCTTATTTTAGCTTTGTTAAAGGCAAAATAGACAGGCAGGTGGAGGGGCATCTCATCCCTGCCTGGAAGCTGCCCACAGCTAGTTTCCACTGCTGTCCCTCAGCCCTGGTCTGATGGTACCAGGGATAAAGAGTGCATCCCTTCAAGCTGTGCTGAGTTGCTGCTGGTTAAAGCCCGAAGTGGGAATCGGCACAGCAGGCTGTTGCTTCCTGGAGCAAGAAGGTAAGCGAAGGTAAGCAGTCATTCTTCTAGTTCTTTGCTGCGTTTAACGACTGCTGAAGCTGGAAGTGTGACAGGGCACTGCAGTGTACCCATCTTAGTGTGCCGCAGGAGGAGGTCCTGGGGGTGGGCAAGCATGCTATGCTGAGAAATGAGACCAACCACTGAGCACAGAAGCCACAAAAAGACCCTGCCTCCATGGTTTTCAAATTTTATTTCTGTTTCAGAAAATATTGTTCCAAGAAACTCTTACCTGGAATTCTGTTGCACTAGAACAGTTTTTCTGGCCAAAGTGAGGTTGGGGCTGGGTGCTGACCCCATCCTTCTTGGTCTCCTTCCTCTCCTTGTGGTTCTGATAGGGCTGTAAGGAACCTTTGGAATTTACAGAGCAGAGAGTAACAAACAAACAAACAAATGCCTGGTGTCGGAAGATAGAATTTAGATTAAGAGCAAATTTGCAGGACTGGGACCTTCTGTAGAGTCTATCAAGATGAAATATAGTAAGCCAAGATTTGCACATATAGGTGCAAGGTAGAGAGTGCTGGCTTAGCAGCAGCTAGGAAAAACACAGCTTTTGGATTTTGCCATAACACACATCACATTTTCCAACATACATCATAGTGTGATCTGGTTGTCGAAAGTATTGATAAGACTGGGTGCGGTGGCTCATGCCTGTAATCCCAGCACTTTGGGAGGCCAAGGCTGGCCGATCACCTGAGGTCAGGAGTTCGAGACCAGCCTGGCCAACAGGATGAAACCCTGTCTGTATTAAAAATACAAAAATTAGCTGTGTGTGGTGGCACAGGCCTGTAATCCCAGCTACTTGGGAAGCTGAGGCAAGAGAATCACTTGAACCCGGGAAGTGGATGTTGCAGTGAGCTGAGATTGCACCACTGCACTCCAGCCTGGGCAACAAGAGCAAAACTCCGACCAAAAAAAAAAAAAAAAAGCATTGATAAGCTTGAATTCACATTCTGTGAATGTGATGAAAACCCAGAATCCTTCTGTAGAAATTGCCACTTTCCTCTCCTGTGGCCCACCCCTGTCATCATTGTTAATTGATGTTTATTGATTAGGGGAGAGCATTTGAACTAACCCATAGGCTGATCAGCAGCTGCTAGGACAAACTGCAGCTAAAACATTTCATGACTGAGTTGGTGGTGATTAAGGGAAAAGATCATATTCTCTCCCTGTGGAAGTGTTGAATTTAAGTCATAGAGAGTATGTTGGGAAAAAAACCACAAATGGCACACTCACAAGAAGGCAGGCAGAAGCCAAAAGGCGTCATGGACAGTGAGGAGGTGAAAGCCAGGATGAAGCAGCCACTGAGAAGACATGGAGCATGGAGAGCGAGGCAGTGGGGGAGTGGGTGGTATGGAGAGCAGCAGAAGTCAACCAGGAAGGAGCTGGGGCCCCCAAGGTACAGCTAGGGTGTCCCTGTAGTGGAGACTGCACTGAATTCTAGATTTCCCTGCAGGTTTCAAAGCATGTTCCAGTACTAATCCATTCCAGGGTTTCTGTGAGGCCCAGGTTCTTGTGTTCTTTACCCTCATTTGAATCTCCCCAATAACTCTTACCGCAGCTGAGGAGAGCTGCTGCTGTCCTCTGAGGCAATTCTTACTTTTCAAAATGCCTCAAACCCAAACACAAGAGTCCAGCTCACCCAGAACCACAGTGTCCTGAAGGCACTGATGTTAACCCCATTCCTTTCCATATTGCTCAAACTGTGGCCAGCTCCTGTCACTTCAGTTTTCACTGGACATTGACAAGCTGGAGTATGTTCTGAGGAAGAGTCCTGGGAGTTATGCTGTATAGAGGACTTTGGGGCAGAGACAAGGAAAAGATAAGAGTTCAGACTTCAATTCTGTCTTCAAATGCCTGAAGGGTCAATATGTAGAGATGGCACTATATTTTGAGAGGATGCCTCTAAAGGGCAGATACAGGACTGAAAAATGGAATGTTTGTGGAGGTCAGTTTCAGCTTTCTAACTGGAAGTACTCTTTAACACTAGAATGTGTTACTTCATTAAGTGGTGAGCTCCCCATCAAAGAGGGCAAGCAGAACAGGATGCTCTACCTGGAATTCTCTAGAGGAAATTTCTGCATTTGATGGGGCACCAACAAGGTAAAGCCCAAGGTGCCCCGCAAGCATGAGATCCTTGGCTTTATTTTGTGCCTTTTAATAGCAAACAGATATCTGGTCCTGCTGACCTGCCTAAAAGGAGGAAATGAAACTTGTTGACTATTGCTTTTTAGGACTGAATTTGGAAGGAGGCAAAAACAAATCTATTTTCAGAGCAGCAAATGCCAGCACAATTTACATCAAAACCCCCATCTGCTCAACTGAAAGGCGGTGGTATGGACCAAGCATTTTGTGAGCCAGCAACAGGCTTGCTTGTTGAAGAATGTTAGCTCCATGGGGAGTCTCTGATTAGGCCCCTGAAGCTAACTGGGGCCTTTATATTAACTTCTTGCAGTTGTGACCACTGTTGGCAAATTGTATTTCCCCCAATTCAAAGGCAGATCATTGCTTTTCAAAAGATCTCACATCCAATTGAATGTTTAAAGTATTATATGCACAAATAAAATCTGTATTAGAGAAAAGTCTCAAAAAATAGAAATGTATTAGAGTAAATAATGCTGGCTGCTGTAAGAGATGAGCCTCA
Organism: Homo sapiens; assembly: GCF_000001405.40. NCBI lineage: Eukaryota > Metazoa > Chordata > Mammalia > Primates > Hominidae > Homo > Homo sapiens. Next base: position 19,433,931 of record NC_000011.10, read on the forward strand.
AAATCGCAATGGCTTAACACTTCAGCATCTGGCCAATAGGCAAAGGAAGAGAGAGCAAGAAGTATCATGCAGGAAGTGTAGGTGCCAGGCTTGGAAGTAATGACTATTTTGCACACACTCCATTGGTGCAAACAAATCACATGGCCTCTGTTGGATGAAAGGAGAGTGGAAAATGAGCCAAAAAAAAAAAAGAGGAGAACATGGATATTGGTGAACACCAGCAGTCTGTTATAAGAAACAGAAGATGTGGTTTTCCATGTGTCTCAAGAGATGGATACTACAAATTTATCCATGAAATTGGACCAAGGCATCAGATTTTACACACAGTAGATGCTCAGTGGCTGATGAGGTACATATTAAAGATATTAAGGCATCTTGGTCCCTGGAGGGAGAAAGTGGCACTGGGGTTCATTTCTGTGTGATTAGGTGATGGAGAACTGAAGCATTTTTAAAAGCAGAATTCATATGTCAGAATGGCCAATGTTTTATTATTGATAATTAGAAAAAGGAGAATGAAGAAGTTGGAGAGCAAGAAAGGAAGTGAGGAGTTTTTCAGTGTATCCTTGAGAAGAAGAAAGGAGCTGAGTTGCCACCAGAAGCATGGAATCCAGAGCCAGACTGGACATGAAGCTACCAAGAATGAATACACAGTGATTTATCCCCAGCTTTGGGGCACATTTCTTTTTTAGCTCCTTTAGAAAATAAGTATTTTAACAGCTCCTAAGGCATTTTCCTCTTTTGCAAAATCAAATTACTCTGAACTGGGAGGTGGAGTCAACACCTTGGCTTTGTTATAAATGAGACTTCAAATATCACAAAGATGTTCGTTAACATTATACATGGAAATATCAATTGTCACGTGAATCTCTCATATTTTTATGGTCAAAAGAAGCACAGGAAAGAAGCAAAAGGTTGTGGCTTTTTTTTTTTTTTTGCCAAGCTCTTTTCAGCAAAGATAAAAACAGCCTTTATTTTCTCAAAATATGTCTCAACTTCTCACACTGATATCCAGTTCTTTGAAATCTTTTCTTTCCTTTATAATTGATAAATAATTATATATATTTACGGGG